>NC_000002.12:122489618-123114618 GCF_000001405.40 Homo sapiens
TCCTTAGATATATCAAGAGTGGTGTGGGAGAAGAGGAAAGGAATCCTCAAGATTAAGGGGTAATCAGGCACACCTCATTTGGCTTTGATAGTGGGATTTGATCCTATTATGCCTGCAATGTGTCAGACATTGTCAAACATTCAATGTATAAAGAAGAGTAAGACATGGTCCTGGCCACGTTTTTCTCTATGAACTGCTGGGGGATATAGGAAGACAAAGATGATGCAGTGTGGTGCATGAATCCACAGCAATGTGCATGGAAGTAATGTGGCCAGATGTGTTTATGTGTCAAGCAGCATGCACATGATTTCACCCCCATGGGGAGAGGAAGCCAAGGACCTGGTAGAATATTCGGGTAGAGGAAGGGTTTGAGGAATGTCCAGAAGTGAGAAAATGCTGAGCAGTGGTGGAAGATTAGATGGCTAAGATGGCAGTGTCACACTCGTGAATTGCTCATGCTGATAGTGTTTGTCCAGTAAAATCAGACTTCCTGTATTGCATTTTATGAATTTGCATACCTGCCTTTTCATTATTCATTATTGCATACCTGCCTTTTCAATAATTCAAATAATGAATTATTTCATTATTTCATTTTCATTAATAATGAAATAATTATTTCATTATTAGTTGTGCTGTGCACATGGTGGGCAATTGGTATGATTTTGTTGAACCGATAAGTAAGACAACATAAGAACTTCACCATCTGCCTCACACTTTCAATGGTTTGTAATTGCCACACTGCCATCTGAGTGATTTTTCAATACTTCCCCTCACTAATTAGTTTTGCAGAGCATTGCCAGGTGGCCTGTTCACCTTTCTCAGGACTCTTGAGGGTATCTGAAAACCCAGCAATCGTACAACAAAGAATTTGACAGAATGCCATAAAACACGTTTCAGACATTGTATGGGTAGCCCACATAAAGAGATTACAAATCTTTGGGCAAAATGGATCATCTCAGCCTTGTTGATGTCCCCTGTCTTTTAGGTTTGGACCCCCGGGTTTTCTGGCTCTCACCGGGAGTGCTGGGAAGTGCTGTGTCTGTGAATCAGTTAGGAACATTCTCTCACTTCTACTTCTAAAGGGCTCTTCTCTGCCGGTTCCAGTTAGATCCCTTGGTCGCTTGGTGAGCTTCATATCCCGCAGCAAATTCTGTCTGCTCTGCATACTGCATACAGTGACTTGCACAACACCAAGTTGCTCTCAAATGGCCCTTGAAGGGTTGAGAAACTCGGCAATTTTCTTTGGGAGTTGGTGTCTTGTCTCTCATCTTGCCCTTCTCTTATTTCTTCGTGTCTTCTTTAGAGATTTATCACTGGGCATATATATCCCTATGGACATGGCAATATTTTCCAGAGAGCCTGGATAGCTATAAGAAAATACATTTCTAGATTGTTAACTTCCATCTGTATTCGTCCCTAAGATTATTCTGCTCAAGAGTCCCTCTGTCAGTTCTTCTCCATTCCCCTTTGTCAATTGCTCTTTTTTTACTCTACAGGAAACAGTGGGAAAAGGCAAGCACCGCTCTCAGCTATCTGGAAATTGCTCTGACCCAGTGTGTAAAACCTCTTGGGCACTCAACAAAAGGACAGCTCAAGCATGTTTCCTTCCTGAGGACAAAGGCTTTGTTTCTGTGAGGAAGCATGTCCAGACAAGGCACCATGCCAGAGCAAGGTGGTTAACATCTCAGAATTCTCACTCAGCAGCAAGGAGCTCATAGAAGCCATATGTAGTACCAAGTTGATTGACTCTAGAAATGAAGTCAGATGTTGTCTCTCAGAAATTTAACCTCTTTGGCTGATAGGTTTGATTGAAAACTGGAGTTTCCCACTAATTGAATGAACAAACTCTGCCGATTTCGATCAAAATATATTTAAAGTATTATAAAACATGTAATACATGGGAAACCATATCTTTTGCAGTTATTAGAATTATGTTACAAATTTCAGATGTCAACCTAAAAACTCATAAAGACCCCACTGGTTTCACAATTTTTCCGTGGGGTAAATGAACCAAACAGTTCTTGCTGTTCAGTCTCCAGTCCCCACTTGTCCATGCTCTCTCTTTTTAGATTTCCTCTTTCAGTCTCAGCAGCAGTTCCTCAAAACTTGTACATGAGATAGAAATAACATTATGTTTAGAAAAGATTTGAGTACTTAGAATATCACAGTGGACTTTTTCATGTGAAATATGATACATTTATACGTTCTTTACACAAAGGAATAAAGTTGATTCCAAGGCTCTTTTTAATATCCTGACGTGATCTACTTTTGCAAACATTATACTTAAGGTATTCAGTTTGCATTTTTGAGGAATCAAAGCCTTAGGGACTTAAGTGGCTGCACAGTCTAGTAGATTATTAATGAGCTTACAGCTAAGTAGAAAGATAATTAAGAATTTATTCAGAGAAAGACCTAATTCAGGGCTGCAGTCTAGGAGATGGGGGCTCGTATTCAGCCCCTAAGTCATGAACAAGAGGCTCCTTGACAACAAGTTCCTTCTGGATGAAAGCAAATCAGAGTCAAGTCAGTTGTCAGAAATATTCTAGCCTAAAGGGAAAGTTATTTTAAAAGTATGTCTTATTTATTACCTAAGTGTCAAAGGAAAGTTGTGGCATAACCTGGGGATTAATTCAGTCATACGCTTGAGATGAAACATAGCCCCCAGGAATATTTCCGTGTGCTGAGATCTATCAAAGCCTTGGCACTAATGGGTACACCTTCCCCTCTGGTCAGCAACATGACAAATAAACTCTTGATATCAGAAGACTTGCTGAGATAGGACAGGCATGGTATAATTACATATTTTCTCTTTCTTTGAACTTTGGAACTAGAAGTGCACAAAGGAAAGTTATCTTAAGTGAAAAAAGTAGCTTGCCAAGCAGGACAGAGACAAGTGAATAGCATATGAGTGGACTATACCTTTGCCCAGCTGGAAGTCTTTGTGGCATGATGTAAAATGGGACTGCTGAGGATTTTGCAATGTGCTCAGAGAAGCAAAGATGCAAGAATGGCCTAGGAAGTGAAGAAGAGATTTACAAAGTGAGAGACAGAGGGAGAGAGAAAGAGGGTGGCTGATTTAGAATGACAAAAAATATTAGTACAAATATGTCTAGGGGAGGAATGCAAATGTGACTGAAAAATATGAAGAGGATTAGACATTAGAAGACCATACAGATTTTGCTAAAGCAGGTGGTAAGCTATTTGAAATAGAGTGGTAGAACAGAGTCACCATGAGATACAGAATAGCCCTGGGGTGACAGTGTCGCTCAGTGCAGGGGTCAGCAAACTACATGGTCATGGGTCATTCTGCCTGACTGCCTGTTTTTGAATGGTCCAGGAGCTAGAAATATTTTTTACATTTTTAGAATGGCTAAGAAATATCAAAAGAAAAATATTTCATGACATGTAAAATAATATACATTTCAAATTTCAGAGTCCATAACTAAAGTTTAACCTGGAACACAGTCCTGTTTATTTGTGTGTGCATAATCTATAAATGCTATGTGTGCAGTGTTAAGTAGTTATAATGGGGCCATAGGACCTGTGAAACCTAAAATATTTATTATAGGAAAAAATTTCCAACTCCTTGTCTGGAAACATTATGTTAAGCTTTCGGCCAGATATACATTTTGATTCTTTTACTTTTCCCCTATCACCTGGATTAGCTAGACTCCCTTGGTTTTGGTTTTATCACCTGTAAACTGGACAATAGATAAGTAGTATATTTTGGTGAATCTATGGTGATGACTGAAAACAGTAAAAATATATGCATTAACTTGGCAGTAATTCTTAAAAGTTACCATTGGACACAAACCACTTATCACCTTTTTACCTAAATTTAATTATTTTCCTTTTCTATGGATTCCAACAGCTGTCCTTTTATCCAGGAATTATAAATTATTGAAAAGTCCACAACTCTTATATAATAAACATCTCCTTCTGAAGTTAACACATCACATTGACTTAAAAATTATTTCAAAAAACAAAAAGCATCAAAAGAAAATAAAAAAATTTAAAAAGCTCTCTTCTCTATCTAAACATAAGAATAAATTACTTTTTCTTCCTCTTTACCACCTATCTTCTATATTTGTAATCTCTATTTTTTTACTGTCTATTCCCTCTTCACTTTTATCTATCTTGTGAAGTCCTAATTGGTAGGTTAACATTGACTCCCAAATCACTAAATCTTACGGACAATGTTTAGTCTTCATCAATCTTGACATCTTACAAGCAGTTGGTCTTGTTGACCATTCCTTCATATGAATCCTCTGCGCTTGGACCCAACTCTGCCCTGCCTTGTTTTTCACTGACATCTCTTCTCCCTCTCTTACTGGCCATTAAATATTATACATCCTAAAGACTCCTCCCATCCTCCCCTCTTCCCTGTCAGTAACACTTATAAATTTGGCCATATACATAAAACGCAGACCTCATACACCAAACCTCTTTTCCATTGACTGCCTCCCTGACATCTCTTCAATGTCTTCATGCTCGTTTAAACTCAACCTCACTTGAACAGCACAAGATGAAAACAATTTACAAGTGTGAAGCTCCTAAAACGTGAGTTTGTGTCATTTGTGTTTGAGGACAAAAGAACCAGGGCCCGCATGGTGTTTTAGAGTGAAAACGATGTTGTCATTTAGGCTTCTGGGCACATATCGATGGCTCTATCTTTTTGATTTCGTGTAGCCTGTCAGATGTACTACACTATTTGTAACAGTGTTGTCCCATTCTCTGGTCAAGGGTTGTGCAGCAAATTTGATGCATGAGAAAAAGCTTGGGAAAGTCAAGAGTGTTTAATCACATGAAGGAATGATTGAGGGAGGCAATATTTAAGACGCTGGAGAAGAGGAGAGCATTTTCTTTAAAGCATAAATACTCAGCCATCACTCTTCCTATTCCTCTGGTCCTGTAGTCTAGATATACACTTTGTTTCCTTGAAAATAAATTTTCTTTTAGGACTTTAATCTGTAGAAAATTTGTTGTTAACTTAAATAAGAACTGACTCATTTCCTAAGGTTTTGTAATCTGATTCAAATGTGGTAGATGGAAGATTTTGTCTTGTGAAGAATGTATCAGGATACACCAATTTGGATTTGGACTGGAAACTCTTTTTGTAATTATCAAAAGAACTGACTAACAATTATGCATCCATGGGGCATGGGTGTATCCAGCATCTAGAAGCTGGATACAGAAATGTCACTGCAAACCTGGAATAAAAATACTTTTTTCCATATTTAGAGAAACTTTGCTCCTGAATGGCTACTGGGTAAATAACGAAAGTAAGACAGAAATAAGTAAGTGCTTTGAAACCAATGAGAACAAAGACACAACATACCAGGATCTCTGGGACACAGCTAAAGCAGTGTTTACAGGGAAATTTATAGCACTAAATGCCCACAGGAGAAAGCAGGAAAGATCTAAAATCAACACCCTAACATCACAATTAAAAGAACTAGAGAAGCAAGAGCAAACAAATTCAAAAGCTAGCAGAAGACAAGAAATAACTAATTTCTTGTTATTTCTGTTAGAGCAGAACTGAAAGAGATAGAGAAACACACACAAAAAAACCCTTCAAAAAATCAATGAATCTGGGAGCTGGGTTTTTGAAAAGATTAACAAAATAGATAGACTGCTGGCCAGATTAATAAAGAAGAAAAGAGAGAAGAATCAAATAGAAACAACTTTTCTTGACTCTTAATTTTATTCCATTGATCTACGTGCCCACCCTGTTGCAAGTACCACACCATCTTGATTATTGTTGCATTGTAATAAGGTTGTTTTAGTTATCGTGGGCCCCTTGCAATTCCATATAAATTTTAGAACCAAATTATCAATTTCTACAAAGAAGACAGCTAGGATTCTGATAGGGATTGCATCAAGTTTGTAGACAAATTTGGAGACTATTGCTATCCTAACAATCATAAGCCTTCTGATACATGAACGTGAGCTGTTTTTTCATTTATTTAGACATTTAAAAAAATTTTTAACAACATTTGTAGTTTTCAGTGTACACGTCTTGCATATTTTTCTTAAATTTATTCCTAATTATTTTTTGATGCTATTGGAAATGAAATTACTTTCTTAATTTTTGGATTGTTCATTGCAAGTGTATAGAAATCCTGCTGATTTGTGTGCACTGATGTGTCCTGCAGCCTTGACGAACTCACTTATTAGTTCTGATCGTTTTTTAGTGGATCACTTAGGATTTTCTATATACATTAACATGTGCTGTAGAGATAGTTTTGCATCGTTTTTCACAATCTAGATGCTTTTTAATTCTCTTTCTTTCCCAACTGCTCTGACTAGTACCTCACATACAATGTTGAATAGAAAAGCCAAGAGCAGACATTTTTGACTTGTTTCTGACCTTATGAGGAAAGCATCCAGATTTTCACTATTAAGTGTGAGGTCTCTTACGGGATTTTCACAGGTGACTTTCACAAGGTAAGAATATTTCCTTCTATTTCTAGTTTGCTTAGTGTTTTATCATGAATGTGTGTTATGTTTCATCAATATGCTTTCTGTAGCTGTTTAGACAATATCATGCTTTTGGTTTCTTATTTCGTTTACATGATTTTTCAGATGTTAAATTTCCCTTGCATCTTTGGGATAGATCTCACTTGGTTATAATGTATTATTCTGTTTCTATGTTGCTAGATATGGTTAGCTAGTATTGTGTTGAAGATTTCTGTTCTCTATAAACATAAGAGATAATGGTGGTCAGGCACGGTGGCTCACGCCTGTAATCCCAGCACTTTGGGAGGCCGAGGTGGGCAGATCATGAGGTCAGGAGATCGAGACCATCCTGGCTAACACGGTGAAACCCTGTCTCTACTAAAAATGCAAAAAATTAGCCTGGCGTGATGGCGGGCTCCTGTAGTCCCAGCTACTCGGGAGGTTGAGGCAGGCGAATGGCATGAACCCTGGAGGCGGAGCTTGCAGTGAGCTGAGATCGCGCCACTGCACTCCAGCCTGGGTGACAGAGAGAGACTCCATCTCAAAAAAAAAAAAAAAAAAAAAAAAGGAGATAATGGTTTGTAGATTTTTTTTATCATGGTATCTTTGTGTAGTTTTGGTATCAGGATAACACTGGCTTCATATCATGCGTTGGGAAGTGTTCCGTTCTACTGTTTGGAAGAGCTTTTGAAGAATTAATGTTTAATTATTCAAGTGTTTGATAGAAATAACCAGTGAACCTTAAATCAGTTTTGGTAGTTTATCTCTTTTTAATAATTTGTTTATTTTATCTAAGTTATCTAATTTATAGCCATGAATTTTTCACAGTATTTATCTATAATTCCTCTTATTTGTGCAAGGTTGTTGGTATTGTTTTCTCTCTCATTTCTGTTTCTAGTAATTTGAGCTTTTGCACTGTGTTCCTTGGTTAAACTAGCTAATAGTTTGCTGATTTTGTTAATCTTTTCGAAGAACTAGCTTTTGGTTTCATTAATTTTCTCTTGTTTTTCTATTCTCTATTTTATTAATTTCTGCCATAGTTTTTATTCTATCCTTATTTTTGGTTTAGGTTTAATTTTTTCTTTTATTTTTCTCATAGATTAGTGATTTGAGATTTTTTTTAAATGTAGACATTTTAGAGCTATAAGTTATCCTCTACACATTGCTTTGCTTGTATCACAAAAATTTTGGTATGCTGTATAATAATAATTATTAATATCATTAGTGCTTTCTAATTTTTCACTTAATTTCTTCTTTGAAATTCTAAAGTGTTTAATTTTTATATAATAATTTTTCAAATTTCCTTCTGTTATTTTCTTATTGCATTCCACTGTAGTATGAAAATATATTTTGCATAATTTTATTATTTTAAATATTTATTGAGGTTTATTTTATGAGCTAGCACATGGCTTATCCTGGAGAGTGTTTCATGTGCTTTTGAGTAGAAGGTATGTTTTGCTGTGATTGGTTAAAAAAATTACCTAGATACTTACTAAGTCTAGTTGGCTTAAAGTGTTTTCCCATTTCTCAATTTTATTTTTGATATGCTGCCTCGTTGATCTATTCCTTATTGAGAGGGTGATATTGAAGTGCCTATTGTTGGAATGTCTATTTTTCACTTTGTTTATGTAAGTTTTTGATTCATAATTTTGGGACTCTTGTAAGGTGCATATATGATGATAATTGTTATATTGTCCTGATAGATTGATCATTTTATTACTATTAAATGGTCCTTTTTATCTCTGATGACATATTTTTATTTAAATGTCTATTTTGCCTGAAATTAATATAACAATTTCAGCTTTCTTGTATTTGTTGTTTCTATGGTATATATGTGTATATTTATAATATTTCAGATTTTATTTTCAATGTATTATTGATAGTATATAGCTGAATCCTAATTTTTAAAAATATCCATTCTACCTTTTGGTTAGATTTTTAAACCATTTACTTTTAATGTTATTATTGATATAGATGGATTTACATCTGCCATTTTACACTTTGTTTTCGTCGTAGTAAAAATAAAATAATGTTCTACTACCTAGAGCATGGCACATCAAAGCAGCTGTCTTCTGCACTAATTTTTGATGCAATATTTATTATAATAAAAGTTCGCATGCATGTGTGTGTCTGTTTTAGGTTGGTTACTTTCATCTTTATTTTTTCCATTTTGGTGCCAAAAAAGTATTGTTTAAATTACCATGGCCTAGAAGTATGTCTGAGTAGTTGGTAAGGTAACTTTAGTGAGATTGCACTCACTATTTATGTCTAATTATTCCATATATATTTCATAAAAGAATTTCTCAAATCTACAATATATTCATTGGGGATTTTATTGGAAGGACATTAAATTATAGATTAAGTTGATATAGAACTGACGTCTTTATAACATTAAACCCTCTTACACACAAACACAGTATAATCTCTCTGGTTATAGGTTTTTGTATATGTGCATAGATTTTAAAAGTTTCTTTAGGCTAAGCATGGTGATTCACACCTGTAATCCCAGCAGTCTGGGAGGCCAAGGCAGGTGGATCACTTGAGGCCAGAAGTTCAAGACCAGCCTGGCCAACATGATAAAACCCTGTTTCTACTAAAAATACAAAAATTATCCAGGCGTGCTGGCACATCCCAGTAATCCCAGCTACTTGGGTAGCTGAGGCAGGAGAATCACTTGAACCCAGGAGGCAGAGGCTGCAGTCAGCCGAGATTGGCCACTGCAGTCCAGCCTGGGTGACAGAGCAAGACTCTGTCTCAAAAAAAAATACCAACAAAAAACAAAAAATGAAAACAAACAAAGAATCAAACTTTTCTTCATAGAGGCCTTATCCTCTTTCTCTTGTTGGTAGGTTAATTCCTTTATACTATAGTGATTATCTTATTGTTGATATTGAATATAGTATTCTATTATAATTTTCCTTTTTCATTATGGTTATTGAGAAACACTTCAGAATTTTATAGGTTATTTTGTTACCTAGCAATCTTGCTGAATTTTTAAATTAGCTCTAATATCTTGTCAACATGACTATATAATCTGCATATACAGTAATTTTATTTCTTTTCTTTCAATTTCTATAATTTTATTCTCTCTTGTTAAAGACATTCTTATTTTACTACTTACTTTAAATGAAATGATTCTTCAGTTTCTGCATTACGTGTGATGTTTGCTATAAGGTTTTCGTAAATAGCATTTATCAGGTTAAGGAGATTCCCTTCTATTTCTACTTATCTTTAGATAGTTTAAATTTGGGAATATGTCTTGAAGTTATTAAATGTCATTTTGACCTCTGTGATGTGATTTTGTGTTTTTCTACTTTAACCTGTTAATTTCATGACATAAAATGATTGATAAGAATGTAACAATTTATTTGATTCTGCGTTCCTGAGAAAAATCTACATGAAATTACATTTTGCTTCATATACTCATGGTTTGCATCAACTAAAATATAATTTAAAATTTTTGCATCTATGCTCAAAAGAAAAATTAGTCTGTATTTTTTATCTTTGCATTTTATTATCTCATCTAAGTGTTAAGCATTATTAATATCATTTAAAAAGCTGAGAATTTTCATTGTTTTTCTAGTTTGGGAACAACTCATTTATGAGTGTGACTTTGTTTTTTGAAGTATGGGAAAATCTACTTGTAAGCCATTTAGACCCGGAAATTTTAGAGGTAGCGTGGTTGTGGAGGATTGTTGATGATCACTTCATGTTTTTATGGCTTTTATTAACTTAGTTTTTAAATCCATTCTCTATTCCTTTTTGTGACAATTCTGGCAGTCTCTTATTCCTAATTTATTCCATATTTATTCCTGTTAAATGCATTTTTGGGTTGTGGCTTATTTTTTTTCCAAAATGTTCTATTATTTTAAGATTGCTTCTATATTTGTGTTTAGTTTTCTCTGTCTCTCTCTCTTTCTGGCTTTTGCTTTTTTGCTTTTTAGTAACTCTTCTCTCTGTTGTTACTGCTTTTTATGCTTACTTGTTTTTAAATGATCTGTGCTTTCAGAGGTTTATCTTATTAAATGTACTGATCATTTGTATTGTTTTGTTGTTTTCTAATTCGTGGATTTGTGATATATTTCTTGATCTCTTTTCTAATTTCTTTAAATTTATGTTTATGGTTTATTTACTTCGTTAATGCAAACACTCAAGCTCATTTATTTTGTATCTTTTTTTCTTTCTCTCTATCTTTCTCTCCCTCCCTCCCGTCCCTCTCTCCCTGCCTCCTTCCCTCCCTCCCTCCCTCCCTCACTCCCTCCCTTCCTTCCTTCCTTCCTTCCTTCCTTCCTTCCTTCCTTCCTTCCTTCCTTCCTTCCTTTCTTTTTGTGAGATAGGATCTCACTCTGTTGCCCAGACTGGAGTGAAATGGTGAGATCATGGCTCACTGTAGCCTCCACCTCCTGGGCTCAAGCAATCCACATGACTTAGACTATAGGCATGTGCCACAACACTGGCTAATTTTTTATTTTTTGTAGAGATAGGGTCTCTCTATATTGCACAGGCTGTTAGCAAACTCCTGGGCTAAAACAATCCTTCTGCCTCTGCCTACCAAAGTGTTGGGATTTCAAGTGCTAGTCACTGCACCCAGGATTTATTTTTTTTAAATAAACACATTTAGAATCACTGTTTTTCCCACTAAATAAACATTCTGATATTTTGAAATTTAACTATCTTGCATGAAGAACTTAATACTCTCAAGATTTCACCTTCAACCCATTGGTTAGATGAAAGTATGATTTTAAATTTTCCAAACTTGAAAATGGTTTTTGTTATCTATTTGACACTGATTTTCAGGTTAATTGGATTGTTGTCAGAAAAAAAAGTTTGTGCATTAAAATGTATTGAGATTTCCTGTATGAATTATTTCACTATTTTACATGCTTTTGAGAGAAATACAGAGTCTTAATGAATAGCACAAGAACTGTAAAATGTATCCACTAGATTATACTTGATAAGCATGCTGCTCAAATCTATAAACTAGCATAATTTTGAGAATAGCGTGTTTTGGGATGTGTGTATGTGAATATGTTTACATGTGTGTGTAAAAATTCCAACTACATTTGTAGCTTATGTGTTTTCCTTATTTTGTTGTTTGATATATTACATAGTTTAAGGCTACATAATTATGTAATATAAGGTTATGAATATTGTATCTGCTTGGTATCATTTTTTCCTTAAGTCACTATGCACTATTTTTTGTCATATTTTAATATTTATTTGAATACTATTTTGTCATAATAAACTGACTAGCTTGTATTATTTTAACATTTGTTAATTATATTTTTCCCATCTCTTTGTTTTCAATCTTGCCATATTTTCTTCATCTTTTAAATATATATTATTAGTTCTATTTTATTAAAACTAATAAATGTGTCTTTTACTTGGTTAATCTATCTATATGTGTATATCATAAAAACAGATAAAAGTGAACTTATTTCTGCCACTTTTTCTCTTATTTTATAATTAGTATGCTTTCTCTTTGCTTTGTTTTATTTCTTTTTCCGACTATTGTTAGGTAGATTTATTTTCTTTCTTTTTCTTTTTCTACCTATTTCTATTTCTAGCTATAAATTGTGCCTAATTTATTAAGGCATGTATGTATACACATTTTGCCCAGTTATTGAAGGTTATTAATACTATATACTCTCCTAGGGGAAAAGCAATAGTTTTATAATGCTTTGCCACTCTCTTATCGTTACCTCCCCAAACCATCAATTTAAATGACAGTTTTGCCTGAAGTTTTAATCTCAAATTGTTGCAGATATTCATGATGAGGTTATATTTTTCCTGTAGTCAGAAATATACCTTGCATTTGTACTTTGTGGGTTCTAAGACACATTTAAAAATAACACTTTAACTTTTAAATAAGTATCCCTCAGAATATAAATGTGGGAAGAGAGCATGTTGTCATAGTTTGATCTTTTTTTTTTCTTGGTGGCACAAAATGGTGCATCACTCAATATCATCTGTTGTTAAATTAAAATGGTAATTTCTTTCCCTGTTTTTGATTCTCCTTCTTCTTGTCTTCTCATGGAATCATTTATTACATTACTGTAACTCTTCTCCCAAAAGTTCTATCAGAGAAAGTCTCTGTATTATGCATTTTCTGGGACCTTGCATGACTTTGCAGGGGATGTCTCAAGTCTCCTAAAAAGCTTGGCACTCTTCGAACTCTCACTAAAAAAAATTAGAGAGTGCCAAGCTTATTTTAAGAAAATTGAAATCTAATATCTTTTAAAAACACAAATATTAACTTAAAAAATATATTATTATTCATTTGTCACTAATTCTTCTCTTTAGACAGTTTGACACTTTTGCTTTTACATTTTTCTTAGCTTTATTTTTTAATACTTTTCATTCTTTATTTCCTCATGCTGCTTTTGGAAAGATATTCTTAATCCTACTTTTAAGCTCACTAATTTTCGTTTTGAACCCATCTGTTCTATAATTCAACTTATTATTATCAGTTTGAGCACTTTTTTTCAAGCATAAAATAAACAAATTTTATCTTAAAGATGAGAACTTAATGGCTTGTGCAACCAAAATGTAACAGTCTTCAGCTGTAGTATCAGCAGGGCTCAGATCTGATCTTCATGTGTAGACTTTATGCTCAGGCTGACTTCAATCATGGTAGAGAAATGGTTTTAGGCTTCATACCACATCACCCAGAGAAAGTGAGAAGCATCTATGTCCCACAAGTCCCTGGAGGAATCTGACAGTCACATTGATTTGACCACTTTAGATTACATGCCAATGCACAAATCAGTCACTGTAGCAAGGGAGACAACACATATTTGTTAGCTATCCAAGGCCATGTTCTTTGAAAACCACACATAAGCCAATAGGAATCATGGGCCACTGGGCATGGGAGACATTGTGTGCTAGAGAGGCAGCTAATTGGTGTTCATGAATTCTTTCAAAAACGTTATTTTTCGTGTCCAATATCTCCCAACTGTTTCTTATCCATAACAACTTGTCCTACTTGATGTTTGCAGGTGCCTCTATATCTTTCTTAAATACTAATAATGTTTGTTTTAAAATCCCTCCTCCAATACTCACCTCTTGTGTTACAGATAGGCCTCTTTTTGCTTTTCTTTCTCAATGCTTGAGCTTTATCAATACTGTAAGATTGTTTTTGTCCCAAGCTCAGGTTTGTTTTCTTGAGTCTGTTTGCTCTCTAGACTTTTCCTCCTCTCTCTTGGTAAAAGTAGGGGCTGAAGAGCAAGACAGATGTCTGAAACAAGTACTCTAATATGAGCTTCAACCATTTCAATTCTTCATGGCATTTTTTTGCACCCAAGGTGTCTTCTTCCTACTTCCCAAAGCACTACTTTTGTCTGATAACACCTTTCTTTAGTCTCAATTGCCAGGTCCAAGATAAATGGTATAGCTATACAAAAGCTGCTCTGTGTGTAGCCATCCTTTTCATGGCCTTGTTCTGTCATTGTCTTCCTGCATCTGGGTAACGCTACTGCTCTCACACCAGGAACATGTACAAGGTGGACCTTCAGGTAATATCATATCCCTGTACTTATTTGTATAACTCACTATTCTGAGTGTTTACCTGGCCAGCAACAACAACCAGTGTGCTCACATACCATGTGAGAACATCCATGGGGGTGTGAGCGTGTGGGGCATCAATCAGCTCATGCCCAGGGTGCTCTGTCAGAAGGCAAAGGGTGTAGCTCCAAACTGCTACAGTTTTCCCACCCCAGCTGGGCTCAGGCCCTATTCGGGTCTCTTAGGCCCTAGCTCTGTTCTTCTCCCAGCCACCATTTTTCTGTATAGTGAGACCCACGTATCTTCAGTTTTCCAAGTATTTCTGTTTTCTTCTAGTTTACATCCATTCTGACACCTTATATTTTTATTTTCTAATGTCTCCAGGCTTGCTGTGAGGGACAGCGTAGGCAGATGTATCAAAATTTGCCGTTTTGATCCAAATTGTAAGCTGCCCTTTATCCTTTCCTGATAAACTTGGATCTCTTCTATCATTTATACCTTCTCTTCCCACTGACATGATGGATGAGTTTGACTTCTTATCACTCCATGGGAGGTGATACTTATAAGAAGACTCCTTTACTCAGAGAAAGGGAAAAACATAATGATGCGAAATTTTAGGCACAAATGCAAGACATGCTATTATGGGATAACTGTGACTTCTAAATCTCACATTTAGGTAGGAGAATACCTAAAGCATTTGCTGGTGAGAACATCTGGCCATAACATATAATGACATCTAATGAAAAGAATTGTTTTTCTTTTTCTCGATATTGGACATTTTAAAAGTAAACAAATAAAATTTGGAGGATCTTCTTATGACCCCTGAATAACATCCAACAAGGGCAATGAGAAAGAGCTTTGATCATAAGAGTGAACTTAAATTTGCAGCCAGAAAAAGTTAATATGCTTGTAATATAATACTAGAGAATGTTATACCAAACATAAAATGTGTTTCTATTTCCTATTCTCATTGTTGATTTACTTTTAAAAATTTATTCTCCTTGTTGCTGATATTTAAAGTCAGTTCCTTCAGTAAACTATTAAAATAAATGCGATGTAGAAATGAATTCTATGACTTTTTGTTTCAGCAAATGAAATTCTATTTGATTTTCAAGTTTTACTTTAGGTTGAAGATGTAAGTTGCATTAGTTAATGGAGTAGTATGAAGATTTGCAGGATATTTTGGTGACAGCAATTTTGTCAAGGTTTTGTGCATTTTTTCCTTCTTTGTCCTGATCCACATATGCATACACATTTAGCATAGTATATCAGGAAGTGTAAAAATAAGCCATACAAATTACTTTATTCTTTTTCATTTCTCATTTGCAGTTTAACCCCCTCTAATCCTTTCCATGAAGATTACTCAATCAAATTAGTTTACTTACTTGCTTTCTTTCAAGCATGCTTTGTGCTTTCCTTCTCCATTAATTTCTTCATGAGAGTTTTGAGCAGGGAAAACCTTTATTCCTTTTTACCTACATCTTAGTCATGTCTCACTTCCCTCCATTTCTCTCCCTTCTCAGAAACTTTTCCACAGCATTCTAACTCTAACTCATTGTGACATCATTCTTATTTCAGTTCCCAAAATTTCTTATGGCCATTCTAAAGCTCATCACTGGCATAACATGCATAACATGCTCTCATACCTTATGGTGGGGAGCCTGTGGTCTGAGTGATTATGCTGGGGGGGCAAGTGTTGTGGTAAGAGGCAGATAGACAAGAAAAGCTTGAAGGAGTACCCTTTGATTAAAAAATGCAAAGTCAAATCAGTAGTCAATCAATTGGAGAAGACTGAGGCATAAGATATTGAGACAAAATCGCAGATGACAAAAATAAAGTAGAAAAGATAGAATAGTGGTGTGAGTAGGGAAAGATAGGGTAACTCAGATTAATTTAGAAATTGTGATCTAACATCACATACATTTTATTATATAACATTTGTTACTTACACATGGAATTGTATGTTCAGAGGTTGCTTTCTCGGAGACTATAAACATCATGAGGGTAGAGATAATGTCTGTTGATTCAGGACTGTGATTCAGTGCCTAGAACAGTGCCTGTGTGGGGCTGCACCCATTAAAAAAGCAACAGAACCAGAAAAATCGTGTTTAGTTAAAAGCAAAACGAAACTATCTTACTTCAAATATTATGACCTTATTGTGAGAAGAAACTAGTATACCTAGTACCTCACTTGATGGGTGCTTAATAAACATTGCTTCACTGTGATGAGGAGGAATTCAGCTCATCATAGAGGTCAAATGATTGCCTTATGCATCGAAACCACATGGAAAAACCAACTTCAGACTAAATCCAAAGCCACTTAGTAAATAGGAATCAGCACATCCACGGACTAAATGCCCTCTAATTTGTGTTGCCAACACAAATCTGTTTGTTTGTATAAACGCGATCCCATTTATGCCTACAGTGCCTTTATGTGTTTACATTTCCTGCTTGTTTTAATTTCAAAAAACTTTATTTTCAATTTTATTTCAATTTTCAAAAAACTTTAAGATTGTGACAAGATATAAAAACTTACCATCATATATACATGGAATACTATGCAGCCATACAAAAAAATGAGATCATGTCATACTGGTATGCTGAGACAAAAGAGATGACACTGGAGATGCTGAGCTTCTCGCTGTTTTTGATGACTGGTATGCTGAGACATGTCCTTTGGAGAAACATGGATGGAGCTGGGGAAAATTATCCTTAGCAAACTAATGCAGGAACAGGAAACCAAACATGACATGTTCTCACTTATAAGTGGGAGCTTAATGATGAGAACTTATGGACACAAAGAAGGGAACAACTGACACTGGGGCCTACTTGAGGGTGGAGGGTGGGAGGAGGGGGAGGAGCAGAAAAAATAACTATTGGGTACTAGGCTTAGTACCTGGGTGATTAAATAATCTGTACAAAACCCAGTGACATGAGTTTGCCTATATAGCAAACCTGCACATGTATACCTGCACCTAAAATAAAAGTTAAAAAGAAGAAAATGTAGTATATACATACAATGAAATACTATTTAGCCTTTTAAAGTAAGTATATTCTGATTCATGCTATAACCTGAATGAACCTTGAGAACATTATGCAAAATGAAATAAGCCAATTATAATAAAGACAGATGATGCATGATTGCACTTATATGAGACAGCTAGAGTAGTCAAATTCAAATTCAGAAAGAATGAAAGTATAGTGGTGGTTGCCATGGACTGAAGACAGGGAGGAATGGGGAGTTCGTGTTAATGGGTACAGAGTTTCAGTTTTATAAGATGAAGAGTTCCGGAGATGGGTGGTTTTCATGGCTGCACAGCAACATGAATGTACATAATGCCACTAAGCTCTATGCTTAAAAATGGTTAAGATGATAAATTTTATGTCGTGTGTATTTTGCCATAATAAAGAATACAAATATTGGAAGTTATTATTTAATGAGTACAGCATCTCAGTTTTGCAATATGAAAACTGCTCTGGAGATGAATGATAGTGATCGTTGTACAACAATGTGAATAGGCTTAATACCACTGAACTGTGCACTTAAGCATGGTTAGGATGGTAGGTTTTATATTATGTGTCTTTTACCACAATAAAAAGTAATACAAAAAATAATCACAGAAAACCTTTAGGTGATAACAGAAGATTTTAAAACAGGTGGCTGAACTAAATCCTTTGACCATGTTAAGATGTACATTTATTTTGTACCAAATTGAAGGCTAGAGTAGCAAGCATAATAAGCAATCAACAGGTATTCCTTTATCTCTTTCACTTAAAGAAATACATAGGATGAGGAAATTTGGATGTTGACACACATTTCAGCCTTATCAGAAGCAGCATGAGTTATTCTCCCATATAATACGTGGGAAACATGCTTCCCATTGCCAAAAATACCACATGAGAAACCTAGTTAATGATGAAGCTAGGAATTTTGCATGGGAATTTAGAAACTGTGAATCATTTTATTAAAAATATGAAAGGCTTGAAAACAAACTCCTAGTACCAAGTAAGTCTTAAGAAAATCATGGTGGAAATATACAAAAGTAAAGTCTTTTCAAAGTTCAGTTCAGGATTCCAGAATTTTTTCAGGTTTATTTTTAAATGTATGTTTGTTAAAGAAATTGGAAGGAAAGCTACAAAAGTGTAGAAATTGGAAAAAACTGTTATAGTTCCATCATTCAAATGCAATCACAGTTGCATTTTTGGGTACTTCTTTCCAGAATATTTTAATGCACTTTTAAGTTGTAGTAAATGTACCGTAAAATATGTAATTGTTTCCAGCTTTTTTTACTTAATATAATAAGCATTTGTTACAAGCATTTATTCATGGAACTGTGAGCTGTTATACATATATATATACGGTTAGTTTGTTTTAATTAAAAGGATATTAAGGCTGGGCACGGGGGTTCATGCCTATAATCCCAGCACTGTGGGGGGCTTAGGCATGTGGATTGCTTGAGCTCAGGAGTTTGAGACCAGACTGGGCAACATGGTGAAACCCCATCTCTACCAAGAAGGAATTGAAAAGTTAGCCCGGCGTGGTGGCACATGCCTGTAGTACTAGCTACTTGAGGGGCTGAGACAGGGGGATTGCTTGAGCCTCGGAGGTGGAGGTTGCAGTGAACCGAGATCGCACCACTACACTCCAGCCTGGGCAAAGAGAGTGAAACCTTGTCTCAAAAAAGAGAGTATTAAGCGTCCAGTGTATTCCAAACCAATCTATATTCTGAGAAAGGTACAAGAAGAACAGAAGTCAAGAACTATGGAGTCCTGAATTTGCAAAGCAAATGAACAGATAAAGGTACAAATGAAAGAGAAGTTTCCAGAAGGCAAAATCTTTAATATTCCTAAGTGAAGTTAATCAGTTCCTTCTACTCTACTTTCTTATTCAGGTCTACATATTTTATCCTGTATTCTAAAATTTCCAGAATTTTCTAACTGATTTGATGGTGAGACCAGAGCTAACCTGAACTCATTTGGGAGCAAATATGATCTGAACAGATGTGAGGTTATTAATCAACTCCCTGAAGAAATATTAATGTATTTGCTTATTGAGTGCTGTCTTAGGCAAAGAACATTGCAATGCTTGTATGCCACCTTTGCTAGACTCTTAGCTTTTTGAAAGGAGACACCTTTGTCTCCCCAGTACCTTGTGCATAACAGATGTTCAATTAATGATTGCTGTGGCCTGCTGTACCTGACAGAAGAATTAGGCACTGGAATGTCAATAGCAGGTACAAGCAGATGAATCATGGGACCCCATTTCTTAGCCTGTGGATCCCCAGAGATCCTCCTGTGGTAACATTTCAGGGCATGCTCATCACTAGCTTGGACATGTTTTTTTTTTTCTTTGAAGGTTAAACTCCAGCCAAATTTGAGATTTGTAATGTTACTTAGCAGCAGTGTTGAAGGATGTAAAATTCTCATAGACTTATGTAATTTACTGTATTTCTAGATGATCACATCATCTGGATTGACAAACATCGTATTTTGAACTTTTGCTTTTACTGTCTCTTAAATTCGCTACTTTAAGTCAGGGGCTCATGTTTGGATAATCTTTTATTTTGCTTCAGGGTCACTGTGCAAAGATATGCTATTTAAGTGTAAACCTATTTGTTTGCAAATATGAGCATGTCTCTTTTGATTAAATCCAAAATTACCTTCCATTTCAGTCTTTCCAAATTTCCCCAAAGTTCTAGCAGCTTTCTTTCTTTCTTTCTTTACATTGACAAATCACTTTCTCCAAACTCTGAGCTCCTTAAGGAGAAAGACCTAATTCCAGTGTTCAGAATCCTATTTGATATATGTAGTGCTCAGTAATTTTTGGTCAAAGTTTTAAAGTTATTGCCACTGTTCTTTTATGTACACTGAGCTTATACTCATAAACTTCTGATACATGGAAAGCAAACAGGAAAGCAACTAGGAGTGTCAGTATGTTTAAAATATTTATATAATAGCCAGGGGCACCTTAAATACCACCCAGCTCCACTTTTCTCATTGACCATGTAGGCAGAAAGTGTGTTCTAAGTGACTGGCAGAACTAAGTGTCAAGCTGAGACTTAGCACCCAGGCTGTTGTGCTCTTGTCTTGATTTTGCTTCAGGTTAAGCTGCAAATTGCAATAGGCTCTAGATAAGTGAATCTTTTGCACAGAGCAGGCACTCATAAAACATCTATTGATTCAAATGTCACCATGAGAAACAGACCACTAGTAAAAAGAAATGCCCAGATTGGCAGGAAGGACATTACAAAGTAAGATCCCATTCTTGGAATCAGTTGTATCCCTTTAGTCACGAACCTCGATTTGAAAAGCAGTCTGGACTTTATTCAGACTCCATAAAGAGATGGTAGTTTCTATTCTTCATCTTTTAGGGTCTGAAGGGGAATAGGAAAGGGCCATTTAGAATCATTCTTATATTTGTTCTTTATATATAATGTATAACTTTTTCTGGCTGCTTTTAAGATTTTTCCCTCTACTATCAGTTTTCAGCAAATTGCTTCTAACATACCTTAGTGTAGTTTTGTTTGATTTTTGCTTAGAATTCACTGAGAGTCTAAGATCTATGAACTTAAATTTTTCATTAAATTTGGAGACGTTTCAGTCATTGTTTCTCCAAATACTGTTTTCTGCCCTTTCCCTCTCTTCTCTTCTGAGTGCTCCAATTATATTGGGCTGCTTGAAATTACCCCACAGTTCATTGATGCTCTATCCCGTTTTGTTCTCCTGCTCTTTTTTTCTTTCTGTTTCATTTTGGACAGTTTCTATTGCCATGTCTTCAAGTTTACTAATCTTTCCTTTTGCAAGGTCTAATCTGCTGGTGATCTTATTAAGTGTGTTTTTAACCACAGATGTTGTAGTTTGCACCTCTAGAAGTTAAACTTTCATCTACTTTTTAATCTTTCTGTGTTTTCTTAACATATTTAAGCTTTTCTCTAGCTTCTTGATTATATGCAGTATAGTTATAATGATTTTTATTGTCTTTGTCTATTAAGCCTGTCATCTATGTCGTTTCTAGATTAGTTTGGATTGATTTATTTTTCTCACAATTTTGCATCATTGAGTGGTTCCTGATTCTGTGCATGCCTAGTGAATTTTTTTTTTTTTTTTTTTTTGAGACAGAGTCTCACTCTGTCACCCAAGCTGGAATGCAGGGGCACGATCTTGGCTCACTGCAACCTCTGCATCCCGGGTTCAAGTGATTCTCCTGCCTCAGCATCCCGAGTAGCTGGGACTACAGGTGCGCGCCACCATGCCCAGCTAATTTTTGCATTTTTAGTTGAGATGGGGTTTCACCATATTGGCCAGGATGGTCTCGATCTCTTAACCTCATGACCTGCCTGCTTCGACCTCCCAAAGTGCTGGTATTACAAGCATGAGCCACGGCACCCAGCCATGATTTTTTAATTGAATGCTTGTCACTGTAAAATTTACTTTGTTTGGTGCTGCATGTTTTGTGTATCTATAAATACAGCATTCTTCAGTTCTGTTCTGGCATGCAGTTATGTTACTTGGAAACAGTTTTACCCTTTCTCATTTTTCTTGTACGTTTTATTGGGCAAAATCAGAACAATGTTTAGTTTAGCACGAGTTTTACCAACGAATGAAGCAGAATGTTTCTGAGTACTTTACCCGCTGCTCTTTGAGTTAGTTATAAGGCTTTCTACTCTGGGTGGTGAGAAGGGGAATTATTTCTATGCCTGTGTGAGTTCCAGGTATCATTTCTTCTAATTTGGGGGGCATGGCTATTTCCTTGGCCTCAGTAGTTTCTCTACTCACATGTCCTGATTAGCAGACAGCTCAAGATTTGAGTGAGACCATTTGCATACTTCTGGAACACTCTCTGGGGACAGCTCTCTCCTTTCTGGAATTTGGCCTTGTAAATTCTAGCTGCCTGGTCCTCTGTAGCCTCCCAGTTCCATCTCTTCAGTTCAGGGACACTTCCAAGCGTCACCTGGGTTCCCTGTCCTGTTTTTGTGATCTAGAAATTGTCTGCAAGGGGAAAATTGGTACATGTGCTGTCCTACCTTATTTGTTTTTCAGACATGACGGCTTTTTGTTGCCTACTGTCCATTGCCTCTAAAACCATTGCATCCAGTGTCTTAGTTGTTCTGGCAGGAGAGTGACTCTAATCCCTGTTGCTCCATCTTTCTAGAAGTGCACATCTAAAAGGAGTATTTAGAATAAATCTACAGAGAATTTGGTTGGATCATAGGGAATTTCAAGAAAAAAAGTTGAATTGAGGTATACTTTCAGAAAGATATTTTGGAGCAAACTTTCAAATAGCCCTAAAGTTATCATAAAAAACAACAGCATTTCACTTAATGGAGTCAGGGAAAGCTTCTCTCAAGTCAGCGAACACAGCCACAGCTCAGTACAAGATTAACCTGCCAGCTAGCAGTGAGCCAGTGGCCTGGACTGTGGAGCCACACAAGGCTGAGAGACCACCTAGGACCTTGACTACAACCCAGGCAAGGAGTTGTAAGGACTTCGAGTGGAGGTGAGAATCAGGAATGTAGAATAATCAAGAGATAGATCATCCATAGGTGGCCAGAGTGAGGAGATAGGAATTAAGGATAGCTCTGGAGTCTGATTCTGGCTGACCAGGAGGATAATGTGCAACTAATAAAAACTAGAGGTGCTGGATGAAGGATAGTTTTTGAGAAGAGAGGCATTTTTTTGTATATTACTTATGCTTTATTACTTAGGGCTTTGAGACCAAAATAATTAAGTGACGTCCCAAGGCACATTTTTTACCAGTGAGACAAGAATATAACTTTCTTTCTCCTAGTTCACAGTATTTTTCACTTTATGCCTTCTTTCTGCTTAATGATTTGTCTGGATTAGCTATTGTTTAAGCTTCCTCCTTATGTATAACTTGAATTTTTTGTAGGTAAAGCAAATCTCTGTTTTTATTTATTTTTGTTCTTTCCTCAGAACAGAGATAGGTCTTTTACCTAGTGATAATTATTTAACTGACACTTTGTATTATTTTTCTTGGACTAAACAGACTGATCTATTTTTATATTTCTCTATATCTGGTTGAAACTAGCTTGAATTAACTATGCCTTTGCCATTAGTGAGGACCAAAATTGCACTTTGAAATTTCATTTCAAAAATTAAATGCTTACAAATGGATTTTCTCTAGTTTCAGTGGATTATTACTGATCAGTCTGAGTACATAATGCCAATTACTGGCACCTTATGTGATCAGCAGTGTTAGGTAGTAACCCAGAGCAGCCTGAAGGAGAGGCAAGAACTTTATGTCTTCTCAAACCCTGGATTCTCCCTTCCCTCCCATGTCTTGTCTTTCAGAACTATGTCTATTAGAGTCTATGCCCAAAAGTATTTTAGGTTTCAGAACAAATGGATGAGGGCTTCCACTTGAAAAGTGAACTTCTATAGAATGCATATTAATTTTAAATCACTTTCACGTGCTCTTATTTGGAACCCCCAGTAAGAAAACAATATTGTCCCATAGTGATAATAATGAAAAAACTGAGTCTAGGTAAATTCCAGCAAGTCATCAGAGGTCACATCACTAGGCAGTGATAGAAGAACCAATGTAGTTTCTAGTCTAGGACTTTCCTTCATCTCTAGTGTGTCATTAAATCCAGAGTAATTTTATTTTGAGTTTACTTGATCATGTGCATCTCCATTTAAATCTTTGCAAGGACTCTCCACAATTGACAATGTCAAATTTTGAAACTAGGGATAGCTTGGAGATTTTTGTGTCTCTTTTGCTTTCACCTTTCCATGAAAGCCTTTTTGTATGTGGGGACACATGAGTGTGTATGTGGATGTGTGTAGGCATATGTGAGTTTATACGTGTGCATACGTGTATAGACACATGTATGTGTGTATGTGGGGGCACATGTATGTGAATGTGTGGGCAAGTCTGTTTGCGAAGAAGAAGCAGAGGTGTTACTTTACTTGTGATTTCTTCTCAATGTTCAGATTTTGGGAACAACAGAATGACTTTCAGGGTGCAGAGGGCAGTCCACTGACCTGGGGTGGGTTGCACCCCAGTTTGCACCATTTGCTTACAGCTGATAGAATTAAATGACACATGCACACGTATGTTTATTGCGGCACTATTCACAATAGCGAAGACTTGGAACCAACCCAAATGTCTAACAATGATAGACTAGATTAAGAAAATGTGGCACATATACACCATGGAATACTATGCAGCCATAAAAAATGATGAGTTCATGTCCTTTGTAGGGACATGGATGAAATTGGAAATCATCATTCTCAGTAAACTATCACAAGAACAAAAAACCAAACACCACATATTCTCACTCATAGGTGGGAACTGAACAATGAGAACACATGGACACAGGAAGGGGAACATCACAATCTGGGGACTGTTGTGGGGTAGCGGGGGGAAGGATAGCATTGGGAGATATACCTAATGCTAGATGACGAGTTAGTGGGTGCAGCGCACCAGCATGGCATATGTATACATATGTAACTAAGCTGCACATTGTGTACATGTACCCTAAAACTTAAAGTATAATAATAAATTTAAAAAAAAAGAATTAAATGATCAAACAACACTCTGTATGATGGCCACTGCTCAGCATCTCCAGTGTCATCTCTTTTGTCTCATGGACTCAGTACCAGTCATCAAAAACAGCAAGAAGCTTCCTGGGTCGGCATGCCATTTTTGTTTTCTGTGGGTTTTCCTTAATGTTTTTCCCCCTCCCTCTTTTTACCTAAAAATTCTCATTCACCTTTTAATGCCTATTTCTCCTTATTTCCCTTTTGGGGATTAGCTTCTCTTTCTCTTTGCATGTGGTATTGGTGGGCTATAAATCAAGATGCTTCTGTCTTCATCTGGGCAACATGTGACATCTCTCAAGTGAAGAGACGTAAAGAAAGAAAAATGGTGTTCGTTCACTCCAGCAGGAGGGGTCCTGATGAGATGGCCAAGTTCCCTAGGGTGTCCTGGTTGCATTCTCGCCTCATATCCACCGCTGTCATCTTACTGTTAGTTCTGTAAACCAGAGTGCTCCTGCCCACCAGTCATCTCATCCTTCTCTGAAGTTAATTTGGGGCATGTGACTGGTTCTGGCCAATAGACTGTGAGAATGTATGACATGTTAGCTTCTGGACCCAAGGAGATAAAAACCAATGTGCCTCCTCGATCATTCTCTTCCTTCAAAACCACTTGGAGGCAGAACTGCAACGTGGAAGCAGCCTCACTCCCTGGGTCACTGTTTGGCAGATACCCCACTGTTTCAGATTACCACATCAACAATAATCAAGCCTCTGCTGAGTTCATCCACTGTTACTTAAGTGTGTTGTCCTTATACAACTATTCTCTATTTTTCTGTACAGATCATTTCCTGCTTTAGTTGCCCAGAGTTCATTTATTTGCCTTGTACGTAAAGCACCTAGATTGAGATACTATCCATTATGTACCAAAATTAAAACACATAGGAATATTTGTTTATGACTTTACTTCCCTACTAGACTGTGGGCAACCTGAAGGCAGAGACTTTTTCTTCATTTTTGTATTGCTAGTGCCTCACATGGTGCTTGGTGCAAAAAAGGGCTGAATTCAGGCTTTTTGTAAGAATAATTTATGTTCTCCTTGGTTTGTTTGATTTGATTTTCATGTGGCTGGGTAAAAACAATAATTTGATCCTTTGGGAAAAAATAAAGCTAGGCTTGCTTTCTAGTTCAGTCATTTGTTGATTTTCATCAAGTTACTTAAAATTTCTGATATTCTGGTTTCTTATCTACAAAATGAGAACACACATATTACCAATGCTATGGAGGTACTGGTAAAATGAAATAAGAAAACGTATGGAAAATGCTTGGCACAGTATCTGATAAACAGTAAAAACTGAATAAATAGTGGCTATTGTTACTATTATTGTGGTAATGATCATGATTCTTGTATTTAATCCACTTTTGTTTTCTCTAATTATTGCTAACAATACAGTCTAGTTGGCAAGAGAATCCAGTGGGCTTTCTCTTAGACCTTCTTGCTTATGTAAGTGTAGAGGGAATGCTTCCTCTCTGCCCATTGAAGTTTCACTAAAATGACTAACAATAGACAGATTAATAGGGGAAAACGTCACAACAAATTTATTAATGTGCATATACACTTGGGAGTCCCACAGAAAGGAGACTCAAAGAGGGGCTAGATGGTTGAGGCTTAAATGTGAGGTCTGTAGGCCATATTTAGAGGGGTTTAAATAATATGGGGGGCAAATGATTGAGCTCAAAGAACGATGGCTTGGAACAAAGTTTCTCTGAGCTCTGGGGGATCTCGTGGAAGGTAAGAACTTCACTGTGAACAAAGCTTGTCTTATTATGCAAATGAAGTCTTTCAGGTAATCTCTCAGAGCTGCCCTCAGAAAAACAGACAAAAAATCTGTCTGGGTATGGTGATGATTTTTAGCCTCTTCTCTTCTCTGGTGATAAATCTTCCCTTGTTATTTGATGAGATTCCTAGGCAGTGGGGCAAAGGCAATTGCATTTCTTTGGGGACAAATTTTCCTTTATCAGATTAGGGAATTCCAGAGACAGTCCCTCCGTGTGCTTGGGGGTTGGGCGGTGGGTGAGAAACAAGAGAAGGTTAGAAAATTTTTGGTTCTGAGGCAGCTTCTAAGGCCTCCCAATTTCTTTTAATTTAAAGTGCTTATCATGCCAAATTTCCATATTTTGAAGTATCCTTCTCCGCTGATTCCAATAGTTGAATCAAATCTTCCTAAAACAATGCCATTTCCCTCATTCTCTCCCCTTTTCTTGCAGTGTTGTAATGCTCTGCTAAGATGGTTTCTCTATTGATGTAAGAGTAAATAGCAATTCCTCAGGACCTTTTTCTTAAGAAGTACAAACTCTTTTATTCTTCAAATCAAATCTTTGTTATAAATAATTTAGAGTTTTGTAAATGAGAAAAGATAATTTTTTCAGTGTCTAAACATGGAGTCTTATTTTCCCACATATCAGTTTCCCGACAGCTAACCTGTTGGAAGCACTAACTGTTGAGTGGTTTGCATTCAGTAATGTGACCAGAAGTAACGACTCAAACTCAATAGAGGCCAGAAATGATCAGAGGTTATGATTCCTTGGCAACTGCTTGATGTTCAATATTAAACTGCTTTAGAAAACCTCTCTCTTACTCTTGTGGCAAGATACCACAAGGCATTAAAAAAAATAAAATATAATGAAACAAAAATATCCCCCCTTCGTCATACCTGCTGCCCTGCTACCTGCTCTAAGCGGAAGTCACAATGAAAGGGATTTAAATGAGCTGAGAGACCTCACTGAGCTCCCCTGGGTCAGAGGTGGGTGCATTTTCACACCTACAGGAGCTTGCTTTGCTAATGTACCTGTTCCATAAATTACTCTGGAGGAAATCACTTCATTATTCATGACTTGAACATTCCTGTTGCAAAATGGTGATCTATGTCATGTACTGTTGCATTACCAATTCAATTATTCTTTTGTCATGCAAACTCTCTGAGCTGTGACAAGGGGTGGGGCAGGCTCTTCACAGCTGGCAATCTGTAATGCTGCCTAGGAGTAGATTTCTTCTGGGTGCATTGAGCTGGAGAATTTATGAAAGGACTCTCAGGGGAGATGTCTGCCAATGATGGCAAATTGATGACTATTATCTAAACATTTAGCAGCCCTTCTTCAGTTATAATATGGCCATCTTTAACTTGCCTCCATTAACTGATAGCATTTCATGCTTTTTGAAATGAGTTTGGAGTTACGGGAGAGAACAAAGACTGACTCACAGAATCTACCACAATAATCATTTTCTTTTCATTTTCCATTATCTTAGCATTCTGAATCCAACTTTGCATGAAGAGATACTCCAATGCTTCTGAAGACACCTTTTTTAATTTTGGTAATATAAAGATGGCTTTTAAGGTTATTATCAGCCTGATGGCAAAACAAACATGTGACAAGAGTTAACTTCAGTCACTCCGGTGGTTTGAGCCTTATGGTCCAAGGATTCATTTTGTATAATGGCATGGTACGTCATCTGCTTTGTCTTCTGGACTGATTGAAATGTCAGATGTGTTGGTGGAGTGGACAAAGCCAGTGGAATATATTTTTAATTTTAAGCACAATAGTGCCCTACATACCTGTGAATCAGAGTTATCAAAATTTACTGATGCCTTCATATTAACAGAGAAATAGAACGCTGGATTAGGAACCTCATGACCTGGAAGTGAGGGGGTGGCGGTTAGTGTGATTTATATTCTTTTGCTCTCATGTTTTTCTGCACCCCTCCCCCACTGCTGCCCCTCAGTTTTCTCTTGGGAACTTCACCAGAAGCAGGTTGAGAAGGAGTAAGTCAATCCAGTTCTACAATGAACTTATTTTCAACTGGAAGTTGGGTGGAAATTTTTAACATTAATCACTTTCATCTTTGTGGGAAGTTACATTTAATCCTCAAAATTATCCCATGATATTTCAGTTTTGCTGTTGAGAAGACAGATTTTCAGAGAAATCAATGACTTGCTCAAGATCAACAAATGTGATCTATTTCCAAAACTCTCATCCTCTGTGTACACTCATATAACGCTGAGTACTGTAAATAGATGGACTTTCAAATAAGTGTAAGAGAAGGTCTTTTAAATTTAATACTTGGAACTATTAAACTAAATACTGATTAGTCTATGATTAATGAAGGGGTAGACCCAGTTTTTGTGAGATCTGAAACTTGTTCAAATTTGGGAGCTCCTTTTAACAAAAATAATACCAAAATGATAAACTCAACATTAAATTCAAAGCCTTGAGAAGAGCTCATCAAGTGAGGTGCAATGAAGATTAAGCTGATTAACCGCATGAAAAATCCACCTCTGAAGAAATGTTAAGAAAGAAGATAAAAGTATTTCCAAGTGTATTTCCTGTAGCCCAGGGTTCCTTCACGTAAATCATTGCAGCTGCAGGTTGATGCATCTGTGTGGTTTCGGTCAAGCAGTCAGTTACTCCACAGCCAATCAATGCCGCTTTCTTATGGGTGAACTTAGCTGCATGTCATTGGCGATGTGGAAAGAAGGTACCTGCCTTCAGAAGGAGCCAGTAGTTCTTGCAGAAGGGACCAATGTTCTCAATAGAGGGATTTAAACTTTTTTGAAAGAGTTAATCATCTCTTTACAAACGTATACAGCATTTTAAGATCATATTTCAAAGTAGCTCCAGTTCCTGAAGTTTCATGTATTTTAAAGCAAAACAAACAACAGCAACCAAAACTAATTTCGAATTATTCCAAAACTTCTCCTCTTGGTTAAGATAAGCCCTTTAGATCATGATACAGCTATATGTTTGTGTGCGTGTGTTTGTGTGGGGATGTGTGCGATTGTGTGTGTATACATATATGTATACACACATATATATGGATTTGTATTTATATATATAGACCCACATAAAATATATTCTAGGCACTGAAATCTAATAACTTTGAATCTATTTTACTCTAATTTGTTTAAAAATTCTAGTTTTTTCAAATTTCTGGCTTAGAATAAACAACATTTTAGGAGAGCTTTAATGGTCTTTAAAAAATCAGTTTCCCTTTCTATTGATTGCTCATTGCAGAAGCATTTTACATGATCTCCACATGACCTACTAACTATCAAGGTCAGTAAACTGGTGGCTTGAGGCTTTCTCTGCCTAATAACCATTTTTTTCTTCTATCTCCCAATTTCAAACTCTCCTTTGACTTATTGTTTTCTTAGGGAGGGCATATTCTAAGCCTTGTCTCTATAAAATGAAAGTCTTAGTCTTTTCTTTAACTGAGACTTCACTAATCAGGAGGATAAATTTTGGACAGAAGAGGGTATTCCTGCATGTAGCATGTGGCATACATTTCTACAGCATGTGAAGTTTTTTCTTCTTTATCTGCCTGTGCATGAGAATGACCAGGTTGATCATGCTCATTTTATTTGGAAGACAAAGGAGCAAGGGATTGGTACAACCTTCGAGTGCACTCCCCCTGCAGGTCAACTAGTAGTAACTACCAAATACATGCAACTGCAGTAGGTAGGTACTACGCCACGTACATTACCTATAAATCCATAACGAATCTCAAAGGTAGGAATCATAACTCCCCATTTGACTGAAGCATATTTGACTCTTAATGTTAAGTGCAATATTCCATGGGCCCTCTCCAAGGAATACTTCAGAGTTGAAGCCAGGTCTATTCTGTAACTTTGTCTTAGAATCAGAGCTAAAATGATCAACTTTTCCCATAGAAGTAGAGAGTAGAATAGTGGTAACCAGAGGCTGGAAAAGATAGTGAGGAGGGGTGAATATGAGAGAGGAGAAAGGAAGAAACAGGTCAGGCAGGCAGGTAAGGTGGGTCCTTGGTTGAATTCTTTCAAACAAAAGAAAAGCCTGCAGGCACAGATAAGGGAGCTTGCAGAGGGGGTCTTGCCTAAGACATGGCCACAGTTGCACAGATAAGAGAGGTTACACAGGTGGCTTGCCCAGACATGCCCGCAATGGAAAATTCCATCCCCTGACACATATGCAGTATAAGAGTATAAGGAATAAAGCAATATGCAGTAACTCAAGCTAATGGCCCCCATGTGTATTAAGAGGACAGGGTGGAGCTATCAGAAGTTCACATCTTATGCAAATGAGATGTCCAGGCCTCATCAGTTTCTTATAAAAGCCTTTGCATTGAACAGTAAAAATGGTAACCCTCTTCTGGGTCCCCTCTTAACAGCAGAAAACTTTCTTTTTTTCCTTGTTAAACTTTTACTCCAACCTCGCCCTTGGTGTTTGTGCTCCTTAACTTTCTTGGTCATGAGACAAAGAACTCTGGGTCTAACTCAGGCAATGAGAGACTGCTACATTGTGGAGCATTGGCGAGACTGTAACAATAGGGAGGGGTTGGTTAATGTGTATAAAATTACAGTTAGATAGGAGGAATAGGTTCCTTCTATAGCACAATAGGACGACCATTGTTAACAATAATGTATTATATATTTCAAAATAGCTAGAGGAGAGGATTTTTAATGTCCTAACACAAAGAAATGATAAATGTTTCAGGAGATGGATATCCCAATTACCCTGATTTAATCATTACACAGCATATACATATATCTAAATATCACATGTGCTCCATAAATATGTACAATTATTATATATCAATTAAAAATTAAAACATAGGATTGTCAACCATGTACAGGAGAGAGTCTACTTTGTCCTTCTCTGACTACAGGCCGGAGATAAAAATCTGTTCCATGCTTAAACTAATACAACGTTTTCAAGAAAACTAAGTGAATAACTGTAAAACAAAAGCTTATTAAATTGAACCCACAACAATTAAATGTATCCTTTTAATTTATTTCTTCCTTCATATATATGCCTTGAATTTGAGGCAATTGGCAAAAATCTGCAACTATATTATCTCTTGTAAGCCTTTCACTTTTACTTTTATTTATCTTTTGGTTAGCTTATAAGTCACTCTATGTGCCATCAGTGGCTTCGGTTTTGTTTTTAGGTTTGTTAGAAACACAGGGCATTATATTACAGTGAAAAATGTTTAGGTCTTTTAAAGGCTCCAAGTCCAAAACCTGAAATAAAGAGAGAACATTATTAAAGATATTAGAGTCTTAGCACTTTGGAGTTGTATCTGCAGGAGGTGAGTGTGGTCTCTCTATTCCTTGTGTCTCCATGCAGTACACCTTGGCAGTATGAAGAAAGTCAGCAGGGGCAGGCTGTCGTCTGGAAAATGGGTCAGTGGTCAGCCCAGGCAGCTGAGTCTAACAACTATTTATTTTGTCAACAAGTGACAGTCACTTCCACATAGACTTCCATGTACATGAAATATTATTTGAGATTATAATTCAGGGATACTTTAATGGCCAAAATATGAATAAAAATGAGATTATCTCAAAATTCATCTCAAGGTGTTATTTAAAACTTGTGAAAGAGTTGAAATAAAAGTTCTTTTTTTTCTAATGTGGAAAAAAACCTCTTCATATGCAGAAGCTATTTAAATGAGCAGGTTAATTGGATTTTGAAAAATAGCATTTCTCCAATAAAAAATAATTCACTTAATTTTAAACACATGGAACATTTGTAATAATAACATGAATGGTTTAGGAGATTAAAGAGGAACAAAGAGAAGATAAAGAGACAAAGCTGATGTATGAAGAAAAATAAAGAAACCTGAAGATTAAAAAGTCTTAGGGATATTTGAATCAGTGCAGTGATAAAGCCATTGAAGGAAGACAAATGATGGATAAATTATTACATTTTAACATCCCAAGTTAGAAAAAGTCAAAAGATGACAATGAATGCACATAAGCTATAGAGCAAAATATATGAGGAGTTTTGTTTTATATATTAATGAAACAATAGTTTACTGAATGCTTATGAGCTACCGAGTGCTCTGCTAAGCACTGACAATGTTAAAATAGAATTCCCAGTCTAGAATCTCATGAAGTTTATCATCTAGTGAAGAGACAGATACACAAATAAGCTACTCAAGTACAATAAATAAAATTCTTAAACATATTTAAAGATTGTATCTAAAATTCAATAGGGACATAATCCTAGTTATCAATATGACCAACTTTATAATTTAGCCCTTCTGATAAACTGTTGGGAGACAAATTCTCATTGGATTTCTTGTGTTTCTGACCCAAAGGCATGTTTTCATAGTCAATAGCATTGGAAGCTACAGATAATGTATCCTTCTGGAGAGATGTGGCAACTTTTTCTCCCTGGAGAAGTCCCAGGGTAGTAAAGATAAAGCCCTCTTCTCCCTCTCTCTAGAGACATTTTCTTACAGTTCAGGGTTAGGAGTCAAGGGATGCCTTTTTCTTCTCTAGAGGAGAATTACTGGCATTTTGGGATATTTTGAAATCTTTCTCTCCAGAGGGTAGAATGGGCAGATATTCAAGCAGAACCCACATCACTCAGTCTCCTAACTTGGTGGTTCTTCTCCTGGGTTATATGCACCCCTTTGTGTGCAGCTAACATCCTGCCCTCATTGTGTCATCCTGTGGGCATGAGGACTGGGGAACCTGGGCAAGATGCCACTCTGGCTGCTGTTTCTTGTATGAAAACAAACATGGGCTTCTGTGCTTCTCTGACCCAGGAATCTTGAGGTCTCACACACGTGCCCATGTGCGTGTCAGTATATGTTTATATATGTATATAGATGTTTATATTTGTATCACCAGCCAATCATATTTCAGCTTTACTCATTGTTAAGAGAAGCTAATTGTTATGAGTTAAATTGTGTCTTCCCTGAAATCATAGGCTGAAGTTTTAACCTGCAGTTTCTTAGAATGGGACCCTGTTCGTAAACAGTTATTGCAAATGTAATTAGTTAAGATGAGGTCATTAGGATGTGCTCTAATCCACCATGACTGGTGTTCTTATACAAAGGGGGAAATTTAGACATGGAGACACACAGGCAGGAAAACCATAAGAAGATGGAGACAGACATCAGAGTGCTATGCCTGCAAACCAAGTAATTCCACAGATTGCCAGCAAACCACCAGAACCATCCCCAGTAGAGACACATGAAACAGATCTTCCCTCACAGCCTTCCAAAGGAACCCACCTTAGCCCCTGGAAATGTGAGAACTGTGAGAAAATACATTTCTGTTGTTTAAGCCACCTAGCTTGTGGAACTTTCTATGGCAGTCCCATTTATCAATACCTATTTGACACCATTGTTTTGAGCATATGGAACTCATGTTTTCAAAGGGGGCAATGTGCTCCACTCACTAAATCACTAAAGCGCCTCCTCCCGCCACCAAATGGTGGGCACATCTCATTACATCTGCCTGTGTTCTCGCTGCTCAAAGACTGGAAGTCTTACCCTGTCAGGAGGCTGACTGTCAATACTTGGCTGAATATATGGCAGGTGTCTGGTTGAAAGAAGCCTTAGGGACACTGTTACGCTATTCTTCATGTAATGCAGGTCCTACAGGGTCTGGACTGTATTATCTATGTCTACTTGGTCTGTCTGTATATCTGACTCTCACTCCCTTTTTTCCCACTAGACTCACAGTTAATTCACTGTCGCTGGCAAGAGAGTAAAATGTAAATTGTTTGTGGGAAACATGGAAAAAACCCTGCACCAGGAGGTTATCAGCAGTGAGTCTGAACTCTAGTGTGGCTACTCCATTGCTGGATGGGTAAGTCACTCAGCATATCTAAGCCTCATGGTCCCTGTGCAAAATTGATCAACAATAGCTGTTGAATCCATTTCTAACATTGTGTAGCGACTCAAAAGAGACAATGCACACAAAAAAGTATATGCAATATAAATATGACAATTTTTCTATATTTAATTATCATTTTCAATGTTTTTAAACTGAAAAGAAATGCTTGATTCTTAATCTTTTTGACTTATCAAATTTGACATTGTCAACCTCTCTTTTGTTTTTGTAACTCTCTTGCATTGTCAATCTCTCTCTCCTTCTCGTAGCTCTCTCTCCTCTGGATTTCTGTGGCACAGTATGCTCCTGGTTTCCTTCTGCATCTTTGACTACTGTTCTTGGCCACATTCATAGGCTCGTTTTCCTCTATGTAGACATTAATATTAAACATTGAAGTTTTCCAGACTTGGCCTTAGGCTACCGTCTCTGTGCATTTCCACTAGGCTAGCCAATCTATGGCCACAAATCATCACCTCTGCCCCCATAACTTGCAAATAGATATCTCCACTCCAGACACCTTCTCTGAACTGGAGACATGTATATCCAACTGCCCACTTGAAATCTCTCTTTATATTATTCAAGGCACCTAAAACTCAAAAATATCCAAGAAGCAAATTTTGCTGTTCCTAATTTAACCTTGTATTCTTCTAGTGTTCATGTGTTCATTAAGGCCACCAAATCCCTTTTGTTACCAACCCAGAAATCTAAGTCTCCTATTCTTCCCCCATATGTATTCCATCACAGTCCAGTGGATTTTAAATTCTGTATCACTGAAGATGGTTTAGCTACGTGTAATATAAATATTTGTCAATTTAAATTTATTTAAGTTTTTTTTTTTTAATGTCAAGTAATAAGAAGTCCTAGTATAAGAGATATCCAGGGTTGGTTAAGTCAGAACCAGCATTCTTCTCTACTTTTCTCTCTGTTATCATTAACAAGTCTGCCTTGTTCTGAGACTATTTCTATTATAGTAGCAAGTTGACTGCAGCACACTTCAGTTTCACACACAATTTCAACAATGCCCAGCGGATAAAAAGGCCATCTCGTCTTAAGTATCTCCTTTTAGGAATGCAGAAACATTTTTCCAGAAGGCTCCCAGTGGCCTCTCCCTTACATATCATTTGCCTGAATTGTATTACATGCCCATGCCTAAATCAATTACTTGCAAGGGAACTGGAACCAGTTTACCCTGAAGCGCAGAGGAGGGAAAGCACCTGAACAAAATTCACTCATTATTGGCAAAGAAGATAATGCAAAATAGAGTTGGGAAAGAGCAATAGTATTTGCATCACTTTCTAAATATCTCCCAAAACTGATCATTCTTTTTATCCCAATTTCAAACACTTGTGATAGACATTACTGCTACTTACTAACAGTTTGTGTTCACTTGCAATGTGTCCTCTCCAAGCAGAAGCAGTGGTACTGATCACCACACCTACAAGATACAATAGGCTTCATTTTGCACAAAATGTGTGTAGCATTAAGAAAGGATATACACAGGTAACAATACAGTATTGGGGATTATAACCTCCAGGCATAGCTTCCAACTTTCCAGCATTGCTGTACGCTTGGCATGAGAGATGATGCTGAGAGGGTGTGGATGCCTTCAGTTCAGGGAAGCATCAACTATGGCATCTTTTACATTTTATTCCTTGCAAAGCACACAGCTCTGTTAGGCCTAAGTGACTAGTACACATGCCCCAGTGCAGCTGCAGATGATCAAGTATGGGTTACTCAGTAAACGTCTTAGATACAGCTGCTTGGCTTAGTGCTTAGCCAGCTCAGCAAGATACCATATATGGCTATACATTCCTTGAGTCCAAACTGCATTGAAAATACAACCATCCATCAAGTTTTCAGTTGTTCATGGGCCTAGAGCAGGGTTTCTCAACCTCAACACTATTGACGTTTAGCCCAGATAATGTTTTGTTGTGGTTCTTTGCTGTGGGGGGAGTGTCCTGTGTATTTTAGGATGTTTAACATCATCTTTAGCCTCTGCCCATTAGATACCAAGAGGAACTACTCCAGCTGTAACAACCAAAACTGTTTCCAGACATTGTAAAATGTCACCTTGGGCAAAATTGTACCCAACTGAGAACTACCGGGTTAGAATAAAGGCTACATATGAGCCATTAGCTTTGTTTCTGCCAACATAGGTGCATTCCCCACCCCTTGAAGTAAGAAAGCATGGCACAAGTGACTTTTTATTTTTTCCAATGAAATATGAGCAAAGGTTATGTGGTCACTTCCTTAAAAAAGTACTTAAGGCCAGGTGCAGTGGCTCACACCTGTAATCCCAGCACTTTGGGAGGCCGAAGTGGGCAGATCATGATGTCAGGAGATCGAGACCATCCTGGCTAACACGGTGAAACCCCGTCTCTACTAAAACAATACCAAAAAAAAAAATTAGCCAGGCATGGTGGTGGGCGCCTGTAGTCCCAGCTACTCGGGAGGCTGAGGCAGGAGAATGGAGTGAACCTGGGGGACAGAGCCTGCAGTGAGCCGAGATTGTGCCACTGCACTCCAGCCTGGGTGACAGAGCGAGACTCCGTCTCAAAAAAAAAAAAAAAAGAAGTACTTAAAATCAGTGTACTATTTTTCAGTCTCTCTCTCCTGCTTGGGATTTGTGTAAGCACTTGAAATAGAGTGGCCATGAGGTCAAAGCAACCTGAGAGACTGTGCTTGGAGGACAGCTATGCTGGATGGTCAGCTGGGCTCACAGCAGACACCGAATAAACAGCAGATACACATTTGTTTGTTTGTTTGTTTTATTCCATTGGAATTTTAGGGTTGTTTTTTACTTCAGTGTAAACCTATCCTAATTGGTACCCCACCCCACTCCAAGGTGCCATCATCTTCGGATCAGAGAGCTACAACAGTCTCTAAATTGGTCTTCCTCAAACACACTTACTCTCTTCCAATGCAGTAATCCTACTGCCAGGTATGTTGTCTTGAAAATTCAAATCTGATCATGCCATCCCTCAGATGATAACGCTTTACTGATCTCAATAACTTTCTATTGTGTTTAGAATCAAGTCCAAACTTGATAGATATTGCTAGCATGGACCACAAGGCCCTGCATCATTGGATCTCCTGCTTTGTCTCCAGACTCATTTTATGCATTTGTCTCTCTCCATCTCCTTATTCCAGATTTTTCCCTCACAACCTTCAAAAGGAACATTGATTTTTAGTTTCTGGAAATTTTCAGAACCTCACCTGTTACCTGAGCTTTGCATATGCTCTATCCCTCCTCCTTCTATGCCCAGGTAACCCTGACCCTCTCCTCAAAGCTTGAGTCAGTTGTCATTTCTTCAGAGATCCACTCCAGTATCTTCCTAACTAACCTAAGTCTTTTAATTAAAAGGTCTTTCTCATGATACTGTGTACCTCCCTCTATAGTAAATGTTCTGTTGTAATATTTACCTTAACTTGTAAGACTACATCGTTAATGTCTAGGTTAACGTCTAGGCTAATGTCCAGGAGACCATACGCCCCTTGAGGTCAGGGCCGATTTTTAATCAACATTGTTGCCCCTACTATGTGTCCAAGGCATGACGTATAGTAGATTCCCATCTATGTTGAATGATGAAAGGGCTTTTAAATAACTGACAGTCTCACTGTTAGGAAAGAAATGTTTAAGCCTTGATGTTAACCTTCCATATAGTTTCTACTTGTGCAAATGAGATTGTTTTTAAAGCTATAAATCTGTCCTACTGCTTTAATGTCTGAATGGATTTGTGGGCCTGTAAACATTTAACGGAACACACATCTGGAATAATCAACTGGAACCACGAACTTCATATATTTACAAGAACAAGTGAAAGATGACCTTATTTTTATTCAACACCCTATTACAATTGAAGTAAGGAATATAGCAATTCTGACCCAGTTGAATTACTGATAACCATTATGTATAGCTGGAGAGCAGAGGTTAGAAATATATGACCATGTCCTTTGTCTTTGCTCATTCACTTTGCTTAAGAGCAACACCTCATATCGGCCGGGCGTGGCGGCTCACGCCTGTAATCCCAGCACTTCGGGAGGCCGAGGTGGGTGGATCACAAAGTCAGGAGATCGAGACCATCCTGGCTAACACGGTGAAACCCCGTCTCTACTAAAAATACAAAAACTTAGCCGGGCGTGGTAGCGGGCGCCCGTAGTCCCAGCTACTCAGGAGGCTGAGGCAGGAGAATGGCGTGAACCTGGGAGGCGGAGCTTGCTGTGAGCCGAGATTGCCCCACTGCACTCCAGCCTGGGTGACAGAGCAAGACTTTGTCTCAAAAAAAAAAAAAAAAAAAAAAAAAAGAAAAGAAAAAAGAACAAAAGAACAATACCTCCTATCAATATAATTCTTTTAAATTGTAAGATCACTTTCATTCCAGTTGATCCTCATAAATAACCCTGGTCGAGTTAGGACAGGAAACGTATCTTCATCATTGTGCAAAAGAGTAACCATGGCACAGAAAAGTTAAGTAATTTCAACAGTTCAAAAATCTAAGTAAATAGTAGAGTCAAGATGTAGTCCAGGCTTCCTGTCCCCCTATCTGGGGTTATATGATTACTCATGTACTTGTGGATATTTGTGGTAGGATAAATTTGTGGTTGGCAAAACAGGGACAGGAGAAAGAAGCTGGAGATGAAGTCATCAAAGTCTTGAACTTTATATTAATTTTCACTTACTAAAACAAAACCGTAAAAACAATGTATTTAGTAAAATGACATTGTCATATTCCAATGCAATTAATGTTTATCCCGTAATAAATTTCCATTTAGCAAGCATTCATTGTGTTGGCTTAGCTGATAGTATTATTATGATTATTATGATTATTTACTAAAATTTAATTCCAAGAAACATTTCAAAATTACCTCTGCTGCTGTTCCAATAATTTTCTTATACAATAATTTTACATAGAACATTTGAGAGAAGAATGAGAAAAAATAAAAAGGTTTTTAGTAGTTATGTGTATCTAAGCAAATTGCCCAAGTCCTGTTGCTCTGTAGAAGAGAGATAGCTTCCTAAGGGAGAATTAACTGGGTGACATAGTAGCCTTTTTAAATGTAATTGAAGGATAGTTTGTGATATACACAAATAACGTGAGTTCCAGTGTGGGGAAAAGATAACCAGAAGTAAATCAATGTGAGAGAATTTCAGTTAGGGACCCTCAATGCTAGGGACTGGATCACTGTACCCTCTATACCCTTTTAATTTTCCAATGGAGAACTTGGTCTAACAGAATAGAGCACAAGTTTTGAGTCACAGTGACCCGAATTTGATTCCTGGTGCTGCTAGTTATGGCTGTGTTCAGGCAAATCTCCTGCGGTGTCAGACTCAGGGAGCTCATCTGTAAATGGGACAAAAATGGGGCCAGCATGACTGAAATATGTGGGCGAGGAGCTGAGCACTGTGCCCGGCACATACTAACTACTCCTCATACCACCACCCCACGCTGCGGCAGTGGCCTGGCAACTAGGCTGAGTGAATGAGGTGCCAACTACAGCATCCTCTGTCTTCTGTAATGCCCGTCATCCTGGGCCTCCTCCAAAGCCTGTGCTGAAGGAGGGCCCAGGCCACCACTTTCCCCTCAGTAGGGGACACCCAGGCAGCCAAGTCAGTGCAGTGACTTTTAAGTCCACGTGACTTAAAAGGCAGTAATGTGCAAAATGTTGCCTAAACTCGTTTGTGGTTGTTTTAGGCTTGTCTGTACAGAGATTTATTTCCCCCCTTTGTCCAACCATTTATGTTTTATAACTCACTCATTTCTGCCCAAACAACTCTCTCCCTCAACATGATCTCGGCAGACTTCCACATATGTGAGCTACGTGAAAGCCAGCCAAATATGCTCCCACATTCTGAATATATGTAGGATGAGTGTAGAAGGCATCTCTTTCAAAGAATACTTAGCATTTTCAGGATAATTTTTATACCAAAGAGTTCATATCTCTGAAGAAACATTATCTGTATATAGAATAAATACCATTTCAATGTAAACCAGATGAATAAATTGAGCTACAGATATATTCTACTCATTGACTGAAGTCACCCAAAAGACCTCATACCCCAAGAAAACAATCAAGGAAGGCAAAGGGGGGGTGGAAATAATTTTTATTGTGCCCTTTCCTTGGGCCTGTTTCTTTGTCAGACTCTTCACATATCTTTCTTCATTTTTTTTCAAGTCATATTTGAAATATTTTGATATTGGCAAATACTACTTCTCTTACCACCCCCCCCACATTGATATTTGAACATATCTAAATTTTTCAAATCATATATCTAATGAGTTTGATATTCAGAGTATATAAAAACTCATACAACTCAATAATAAAAAGACAAATAACCTAATTTAAAAATGAGCAAAACTTTTGGATGGATGTTTCTCCTAAGAAGATACACAAATGGCCAACAAACACATGAAAAGATGCTCAGCATCGTCAGTAATTTATCCCATTTAATAAGTACAACAGTGTTACATAGGTTTTAATGTTATTTTCTTACAACCAAGAAAACGATCAAAATAAGAAGGATATTGGTTTAATTCAGATTTAATTTAGTGACTGTCAATATTTTTATTTTATTTTATCATTTAAGAAATGATGAAGTTTTTATTCCAATCCAAAATGACGTTTTAGTTTATCTATGTGTGTGCTTTTAACATCAAAGATTCTCATAGTTAGAGCTGGGTGTGGTGGCTCACACCTGTAATCTCAGCACTTTGGGAGGCCGAGGTAGGTGGATCACCTGAGGTCAGGAGTTCGAGACCAGCCTGGCCAACATGGCGAAACCCCGTCACTACTAAAAATATAAAAAATTAGCCAGGCATGGCGGGTGCCTGTAATCCCAGCTACTTGGGAGGCTGAGGCAGGAGAATCGCTTGAGCCTGGGAGGCGGAGGTTGCAGTGAGCCGAAATCGTACCATTGCACTCCAGCCTGGGCGACAGAGTGAGACTCTGTCTTAAAAAAAAAAAAAAGAGAGAGATTTTCATTGTTGAATAAAATGTATATGTTGGAATTCAGCAAATTTGAACAATTCATTTAAAGTTTTAATTCATAGTTCTATTGGATTGCAAGTTACTTAAAAATAATTACATTTCTTCATTAAAATGAACTGTAATCTATCATCTAATCCAGACTTCTACCCACAGAAATTTCCTCCACACTATTCTTGAAATGTGGCATCCAGGCACTGCTTGATGGCTTCTGGTGACCAGGAGCCTGTCACTAGAAGAGATAACCCAGAGGATATTCTATTAGTTTATTGGCTGGCCTTAGTCCTGTTCTACAGATCTAAACAGATGCAGTGACTTCCTTTTTCCACATATGTTAAAACTGAAAGTGAGAATTCTTGCCCTTATTTTAGTGACGGTATTAGCTGAAAAAGTGACAATGTTCTAACATACCTCACAGCATCACCTGTCTAATTTGAGAACGCTACACAGGAGAGGCCTGGGGCAAGAAGGGAGGAAAACATTTTGAGGTTGAGAGGTCAGGAAAGCAACAAAGAGGAATTCTATGAGCTGAATCTTTATGTCTGTGACTTTTTCTTTTTATTGATTTCAAAAAGATCATTTTATTCCTTTTTGGTTTTTTTTTCCACTTTCCTGGTCTTCTTTTCATTATTGTACTGAATTAGAATTAGAATTTCCAATGGGAAACAGCTATTTGCCCACAGTGGAACTGGTGCCTAGGGCAGGAGGGGAGTGGTCTAAGAATACAACCAGTAGGCCTGCCTGGCAAGGAACACGGAGACAATGAGATTCCTGGACTCCTTGTTAACGTTAAGAAAGAACAGCATCTGAAAAAGAGGCCAATTCTCTAAACTGGCAGCAGAAACTATCCTCAGAGAAATTCCTCCCAGTACAGTAAGAATTAAAACTCTAACTGAGAAAACTAGCAAAAGCAACAGTAATCCTCAGGGGGAAGCCAGATCGGAGCCACAAATCAAAGAGCAATATTAGAAAATGCTGCAAAAATGAGAAAGAAACATAGCGGGACAGCAGGAGGGAGCCGGGGGACCGTGCGTTTTCCTTTTTGTTGGACACATAAGCCTGGGGTGTGTTCTTTGAAAACTTCCCAAGAGATCAAAACAAGAAATTACTGCCTGCAGAACAATTGGTTGGGAAGACGAGGAGAGAGCTGAGATGAACAGCAAGGTCTCTTAGAACTGGGTCTGAGCTTTAACCCCTCCCCAGCCTGCATCTGACAGCATTTTCCTCCTCCTGCAGCCGCAGGCTGCCAATGCAGTTGCCGCACGTGCCTGAGGAGGGCGCCCTCCCCTGCTCTGCTAGATGCCGCCCTTGTCCTTGGACAGTCGGCTGGGAGCGGAGAAGTAGTGGCCCTAAACAGTCAGGAGCCCAGCACTGTATACAACAAAGAATGCTTATTTATTTATTTATTTATTTACTTATTTATTTATTTATTTATTGTTTTAAACTTAAAAAATTGTATGTAATGTGTACAAGGTGATTTTTGATATACACATACTTAGTGAAAGTGATTACTGTGATCAAGAATGCTTTTTTCAAATGAACATAAATTGGCATTTTAACCACAATCTTACATCTCTTCCTATTCAACTTCTCCTGACATTCTTACCCACTAATTTAGTGGTGCAAGAGGGGCATTGATATTTTTAGAATCCAACGAAAGGACGGTTAAGTCAGAAGCACAATTAGTTTGGTGTATTTGTAGTTGTTTAGCTGTCGCTTCAGTAGACAGTGTAGGAAAAGCTTCTAGACATGGCCCCGCCACTCACCACACCAGATCAACTGGCATGACAGAAAGACACAGAGACCGAAGTATGTCACAAAATGAAGGGTTCATTGAGTGCCAGAAAAGAAATATGTATGTAGCCAAGGGGAAACAAGGTTTGATACGTGAGGAGCTGGAAGCTAGTCTAGGGAAATTCTTCTAAGTCTCATGGTTCATACAACAAATAAGCTCGATATATTTTTCCCCAGACTTGAAAGCAATCCCACAAATGTTTGTGGTATTACCAATAACAATTTGTGCAGCTAAAATAAACTTTTTTTATGTGATGAAAAACTAAGAAAAAATAACTTGGATCGACTTGCTATAAGCAACATTGGATTGTTTTTCTGTTCTCTTTATAGATAATTGTGCTACAAAATTGATGCCATACAAATGGACAAAGAATTTGCAGCCAAAAATGTACAAAAAAGGTATGATAGAGATATGTCAGTTTGTTAATTAATCAAAATACTATGTTCTTTTTCTGGATTTTATAATGTTTATGAAATGTTTTGTGTTTTAGTAATTTGTATTGTGTTTGGAATTTTACCATTAACATTCCAACTAATTTTATATTTAGGGATTATGTATTCTTTTTTCTTCAAGAGTGCACTCCAAATTGTTAAGCTTCTGGCTCTACAAATCCTGCATCTGCCTTTGCTTCTTTCATTGCACTTAATATATTGTGTCATCTTTTACTTGATTACACATCTCTGTTGCCTCCCGGGTGTCAAGGATGCAAATCTAATTATTTCTATCTAATATCCCCAGCACCTAACGTAGTAAAAGCTAGCAGTTGTTCAATATATTGTTGTTCACTGAAGTCTAATTGATGGCTATTGCAAAGAAAGTGGAGACTGGTGATGCTATGCCTCAGATAGAAACCCTAAGGCAACATCAAGACCTGAAGTGGTATTTTTCCTCCCCAAAGACCCAGACACTTCTGAGACCCCATTTCGACTTTGCAATATTGAAAGGCAGGAACAGAAGCATATTTGGCAGTCATGAATGGGGAAAAGGCCACCACAGAGCCTCTGCAAACCTGGACATCCGTGTGCCTCCACAGGAAAGAGATGCCCAAGAAAGAAGTTTCCCTGTAGGTAGAGGACTGGGTTGGAGAAGGTGTGGACCCTCCTAGTTGCCAGCTGTTTTCGAGCCTTGGGAATCTGGCCCAATGTTTGTGTTTGGGTCATATTTGATGCCTCCCAGAACACCTAAGTGAGGTTTGCACTATGTGTTCAGAGATAATAAGCAGCATCCTTCTCAGCATCACTGGAGGCAGAGTGGGAGAGCTGGAGACTCACAATGTGAATACCTGAACCAGGACAACTTTTAGAGGAGCAGCACTTCCCACTCAGGTGGGAAGATATGAAAGGATATCAGAAACAGCTCCCTCAAGCCATTCCCTGGCTGCCCTCTCCAGTAAGCAGAGAAATCTGTACTTACCAGGTACAATTATAAATGCCAATATAAGCCTGATGCTCATACGTGGCATGTGTGATGTACTAATTAAGTTCCTTCTATATTCTTAGAGTAAGAGACATGGGATAGGCGAAAGATCCCATCTTTCTACTTAGGTAGGACCCCAGTTAAATTTGAATTTCAGATAAACAATTAACAATTTTTAATTGTAAATGTGTCCCTTATATTTCATGGGACATATTCATACTAAAAAAATTATCTAAAATTGAAATTTAACTGGGTGTTCTGTATTTCCTAAGTTTGGCAACCTTACCTAAGAACTAAATCTGCCCTGCTAAGCCATTTTTAAACCTGTGACCAGGGGATCTGGTGGAGATAGGTGATGAAAGACCATCCCAAGGTAACGCCTCCTCTGGAGGGCAAGGATTATGCCCTTAATACTTGTCTCCTTTAATATATATGCATCTTGTATTCTGTGCGAAATGTTATAGTTAAATGGTAACTCTTATGGGAGCAAGTTTGAAATGGGGGAGGGAACAACCACACACAAAAAAGATTAACACATGATGTCTCTAATTTACAATCCAGGGGACATTTTTCTCTCTAGAACAATGAATCTAAATACCTTAAAATTGCTCTGTGGCAAAATGCCCCTTCCTTAGACATAGCTGTATACTAGTATACGCTATTATAGGTTTGCTCCCAGTTAGATGTTGATTTCCATTGACAAGAATATGTTGATTTTGGTTATAAGAATAGGATGACTGAATATACAAGTATGTATTTTTATTATAATTAGCATATTTTAGATACACTCTATCTAGAAAAGTGATGTACTTGAGGGGGTACAGAGTCGAACCTTGGTTCTGTCTCTTACAGAACCCTTGGTGCCTCAGTTTTCTTATATGTAATTTCAGTTGAAAATGGTACTGGTATCAATGAGTTATACGCAAAAATAAAATAACATATTCCATGAAAGTTTTTTATTCAGGGCTTGAAATATATAACCAGGTCCAGCAAATATTAAAGATTATTAGGCATTAAGCCAGGATTGGAGAGGAATGTGAAACATTATATAAAAACAGAAAAGAAGCCTGGCGCGGTGGCTCACACTTGTAATCCCAGCACTTTGGGAGGCTGAAGAGGGGGGATCACTCGAGGACAGGAGTTTGCGATCAGCCTGGCCAACATGGTGAAACCTCATCTCTACTAAAAATACAAAAATTAGCTGGGCGTGGTGGCAGGTGCCTGTAATTCCAGCTACTCAGGAGACTGAGGCAAGAGAATCGCTTGAACCTGGGAGGCAGAGGTTTCAGTGAGCCAAGACCACGCCACTGCACTTCAGCCTGGGTGACAGAGCGAGACTCTGTCTCAAGAACAAACAAACAAACAACAAACAAACAAAGAACAGAAAAGGAGCTAGAAAGAGAGAGGAAAGCTTGGGAGAGCATAGAGAAGATGCTCTAACTTGGATGTCAAAGACACAGAACAATGGAGAAGGAAAACCCTGTTAAAAATGGAGGTGGGTGGAGGTACAGCAAATATTGTAGGGTACTGAATAGTAGATGAATAGTAGGCGAGACTATGAGAAAGATCCTGCAGAAAAAAAATAACCAGTTTATAGGAAATTCCAGTAAGGAATGTATTTGGGAACAAATGGTAGAAAAATAGAAAGCCTAAAATCAATAGCTTTACTTCCTCTGAAGGAGGGAGATTTATTTTTTCTTTTTCTTTTTTTTTCCTTTTTTGTTGGAATTAAATGTAATAGCATGTAAAGCATTTAGGCATTTAGCGTAAAATTGGTCACATAGCAAAACTGATCAACAAACACCATTTTACCCCACCCCGATTTCCCTTTAAGAGCACAGATTTGGACCCAGAAACTAGAAGAGAACGTAAACCAACCACACACAAGTAGCATGCTTTAAAGTTATGAATCTACTTCAGGTGAAGTGAACAGAATCAGAATATATATATATATATATATATATATATATATATATATATATATACTCTCCATATGAGGTGGTTGAGTTGAGTATTGGAAATGATTGTGTGGCCCGAAGTAGGCAGAGTGGGACAAAGAGGCCCCAAAGGAAAAGAAAGAGAGAAGCCGGGGCCCAGAACCTCACTCATCTCCTATCTGCAAAGTCAGGCAGCCTCTCCTCCCTTTTCATCCTCATCTGGCAGTGGTCCTTCATAGCCATCCAGCGACAACATAGGGCTCTTGGTTCCATCTCCCTAGAAGCTCATTTTTGAAGGGAGCTCTTTAAGGAATCGTCTTTAATTGCAATGTGCCTTAATGGATTTTACATTTAGTCAGGCATATCCTCTCACCCATAATTCCCTTCCAACGATGGCAGCTCATCCACTTACCAGCATTATGGCAATTTTCCCTTCACTGGAAATCTCCCCTAAGTGTCTACTTAGGAAGCTCTTTGTTTGATGTGGTTGACATGTTAACAGGAATAGCTCTGTGTTCTCTGAGGTAGTAAACACTGAAAGCTGAAGGAAATTTCAGAGAAGCTGGCAGGGGCCTTCCTTATTCCAAGTTACTTTATTGAATTCTAAGTGGAAAAGGATTTGGAGCAATAATTAAAAGTTTCGAACACAAAGTTTTGTACATGTTAGAATGGAAGAGGCTGGAGAAACCGGCTGCTCTAAATACATGCAGTTGGTTAGAACTGAGGAGGAGCGGCTAGCTCACCTGTGAGTCCTCTTTTGTACAGTCTGTAACTAGAAGTGTTCTCACTTCTACATTTGCACTAAGCTGAAGCCCATTCACTAATCTGATTAATGATAAATCACCATCTATTCTTGAGCCAGGGACTTTGGGGGATAAGTAAGGCATAGAAGCTTACAGTCAAAGTGCTGAGGAGATTACAGTCAAACAAAGGAGAGCAATTTTGGACACAAACGAATAGATGATGGAATGTGATCAAGGTCACAGTCAGAAATAATGGAGGACTATTTGGGTTTCTATGAGAGCCAGATCAATTTGAGTTGCTCTGGTTCAGAGCCCTATGCATTGGTGGGAGTGAGGGAAATAAAAATGGATATTTATCTAAGTTTTGCAAGAGTCCTGGTCCCGTTCCCTTCTGTGTTTCACTAGTTTAGGAATGAAAACAGGCTGTTGTTTTCTACATCCTAGTCCAAGGAAGGAGATGTTGACCACGTGGAACTTTTTCCTAGAGCGAGTGGTTGGGTTGAGAAGGTGTGGACCCTCAGTGTGGCTGACAGTTATACATAAACTGCCTTAGGACAGCTGTGAGCTTCCTGGGAGCAATCATCACTGCCAGGAATGCTACCCCAAACCCATCTGTGTGTCTTCAGAAGACGAAGAGAGAAAGGTAAATGAAATTGACTTCCTTGATTGGAAAGAATGTAGATTAGAGAGTCAGACAGACCTAGTTTCAGGTCTTAGCTTTGTCCTTATTTACTACTTAATCTTGTGCAAGTTGCTTATTTTTTACATATCTCAGTTTAATTAAGGATAATATGAGGTTTTAATCTCTGTTTCATAATGTTCATCTTAAGTCACATAATAGAGCGGCAAAGGGGAGCCATTCCTAAAATTGGCCCCATGAATCATGATACCGTGAACAACATGAAAAAAGTCACTGTTGGTAACTTCAAGCGGTTTCATTTTCATGGAGGTAGAGGCTTTAAAATTCCTATTGTGTCTTTGCTGTATAAGAGTTGCAGAAGGAACTTTTTCTTTCTTTTAGAAAGAAAAAGAAGATACTATTTTACTCAAGGAAAGCTCAAAAGTCACTATTAACCAGAATGCAGATGCTCTAAGCTACAAAAATGTTCCATTTGTTAATAATTGTAGGATATGGTTTAATCGGTAGTATATATGTTTGGAATTTTGTCTTTTGAGACATTTTGAGAAAAGCATTTCTTTTCTCTTTTGCTTATGTTATATACTGTGTTTATACAGTTATTTTGTTGTAGTTTGTTAGGTTATAAACAGTTTGTTAGTAATGAGGAAATTAGAATAGCATTATACAAAGCCAGAGTAGAAATTACTATTTGTTATTTAATATTTTAGATCCTATTCTACTTAACTATTTTAAAAAATATTTATATATAGCTTAAAGCCCTAATTGGGAATTTTTCTTAGTTCATTGCATTTTTTTTTTGTCTAGGTTGGATGTGTCATTTATTTTGTGTCTGATATTCCTTTTTTTCCTCTTTTTTGAATCCTTTTTTTTCTGTATTAGGCTTGCATCGTTTTTTATTTTTTTATTTCACTGATGCTTCATATGAGCAGTTTTACTTTCTAGGAGTTCTGATAATGCAACTCATTCATCTTTCCTTCTGAGCTGTAATCCATATTTCATCCTATGCACATTTTATTGCAGATGCCTTGGGTTGTTGGAGTGTAGGTAGGGTAGAGAGAATATAGCTGCTGCTCTATTCGACACTGGTTGGAGATGTGGGCTCTGTCCACCTGTTTTGCTAACTGTCCTACATCAGAGTTTATTCTTCCCAGGGTTGAATGTGTGTGGTGTGTGTGTGTGTGTGTGTGTGTGTGTGTGTGTGTATCTATGTATGTGCGTGTGCGTGTCTGTGTGAGTGAGTATGCTATAAAGGTATACCCTGGACTTTGCTTGGTTCTCCCAGTCCATTCTGGGGCACTGAAAAAATTAAAAAAAAAATCCTACTGTCATTTCCTCCGTTTTTGATAAGATGGGCCCTTTACAGGGGGAGTTTAGTATTAAGAAAAAAAATTCAACTTTTTTCTGAGTAGTTTTCTAATCCTTCAGTTTAGTTATCTTCAAATTGGAGATTCTGGTTAGATTCCTCAGGCTTTGTCAGATGTCTCTTCTTCCTACAGTCAATTTTTCAGAAATAGAGACAGAACTGAGCTCTGTACTAAGCTGCACTCTCCTGGTGTCTCTTAATTTGTGCATAAAATTACAAAGTTTTAAAAATAATATTTTAGAACTTTTCCTAGTTAATTTTTTACATTGACTTTTTTTCTAAAATGCATTTTATATTGGGAAGAGATTCTGTGATTGTTTCATTCTGCAATGCTTACCCATGAGTTACAGTTTTATATATAGAAGCAAATAAGGAAGTTTATATATAGCTAGATAGATAAAGGAAACAAATATTCTATGAGAAGTTATGTAAATTGAAGTGAAACCGTATTATGAAACAGCATACAACCATCAAAACCATATTTAAGGAGATTTAAAAAAATAACATAGGAAATGCTGTGTTAAATTTTGAAATGTTCAAGTAATACATACAGAGGAGAATAATCTTAACCATGTAAAAAATACAGTTTATTGTTCAAGAAGCCCGACTAAACATATGTGTTTACCTCTCCTTCACTCAAAAATCCCATTGAAATGACAGAAGGAAATATAACAATAGCAATAAATCACAAGAAATGTGGCAATGATAAATAGCCAGGAAAGGAGCCTCTTGCATTTCAAACCAGAATAAAATTTTTAGTTTTTAGTTTTTGGTCAATTGTGGTCTGAAAATATAAAATGAAAAATTCCAGAAATAAATGATTCATAAGTTTTAAATTGCTTGCTGTTCTAAGTAGCGTGGTAAAATTTCACAATGTCCCCACACCATCATGAATCGTGTCTTTGTCCAGCATATCCACACTGTATACACTCTCTGCCCATCACTTAGTAGTTCTCTCAGTTATGAGATAGAGAAAACACAGTTTACACAGGATTTGATACTTTCTGCTGTTTCAGGCATCCACTGGGGGTCTTGGAACACATCTCCTGCAGATAAGAAGGGACTTCTGTACGTGCTTTAATAAACTCACCTGATTAAAACACCTTTTCTTTATTAATAACATGTACAATATACAATAGCAGTATTAGTTTTATGGTCCTAGTTACTAGCCTTTTATTCAACAATTATGAGGTACCTATCCTCTAGTAGGTAGTTAAAATGAGACAGTGTACAAAATAGGCAAAAATCTTGGCCCTCATAGGTGAGCAAAAACAATACAAAAATAAACTATATGCATATACACACACATACTCATATGTATATGTACACACATATATGTGTGCATACATATATATATATATATATATATATGTATATAATTTGTTAGAAGGTGATTCATGCAGTGAGAAAAAGAAACCATAGGTCTCAGTAAAGGATATTAAGATCACTGGTGTGGGACTTGAGGAACAGGTTGTGATTTTAAACAGGATGGTAAACATGAATGTCATTTAGCAGATGGCATTTGAGCAAACACTTGCAAAAGGTGAGGAAGATAGCCATCATAGCTGATGGAACAAGCAAAACAAAAGTCATAAGGAAGAATTGTACTCGTGTGTTTGAAGACATCAAGGAATCCGGGGCGATAGACATAGCAAGTGAGGGGAGGGTATGAGAGGAATTGGGTGGGAGGCACAGTGGGAGGCCAGGGCATTTAAGATGTTGAGGACTTTCGGCTTCATGCAGCATAACTGAGTATATTTAAGAAAGAATGCTCATTGAATGTTCCCGTTACACCATGCACTGAGGTAAGCGCTTTATTTATATTTCTCTGTGATTTTTTTGGTTAGTCTTCATAAGAACCCTACGTACAAAATAGTATTATTAATATCTATATTTTATTAACAAGCATGTTTAGTCCTAAAGAAGTCGATTAACTCACCCAAGGTCACATAGATGGTAAATGATGAGAACTGTATCTAGGCTTTCCGACACCTGTCTGTTTGATCATAGCATTATCCTGAGTCCAAGTTGAATGGCTTCTATTTGATTTTGCAATGTCAAATTACCTGAAATGATGTAGACATGCAATTCAAAGTTCCACTGCTGTGCAAAGACTTAATTCTTGCTATGGGCTGAAAGTTTCCATTCCCCTCAAATTAATGTTATACTGCTAACCCCCAAAGTTGTGGTATTAGGAGCTGGGGAATTTGGGGAGGTGATGAAGTCATTGGGCAGAGTCCTCATGAGTAAGATTAGTGCACTTTTAAAAGAGGCCTAAAAAAGACTCCTGCTCACCTCTTCCACCATGTGAGGGCACAGCAAGAAGGTGCCATCAGTGAACCAGAAAGTGAGCACTCATGAGGCATGGAATCTGCCAGTGCCTTGATCTGGGACTTCCCAGCATCCAGGGCTGTACGAAAGTTCTGTAGTCTGTGAGCCGTCCAGTTTATGGTATTTTGTTATAGCAGCCCAAATGCTATATGTACTTAGCCCATGTGGACTAAGATAATTGGTAAGAGGTCTTCACACTTTCTCAGCTACCAGAAAGTACATTTGAATTCAACTGAGGAAATCTATTTAGTCATTGTTTTGCCATGTTACCCCCACCCAACAAGCATTTGTTATGTTTTCATGTTGCAAGTTGGATTCTTGGAGAGGCCTTTGGGATCAACCCTTGTGAAAAGGAGAGAAGAGAAAGGGGAATAGGCAGAAGAGGAATGAGCTGTGATGGAGGCCCACTGATGGCCTCAGCTGATCTCACCAGAAGCTTGGCACTCTGGTGGCTCTCAGCAAGACTTTATTCCCTTACATCAATCCATCATTGGTTGTGGGCCTCTGAAGGAGTATTGAGGCACAACACCTTACAGCATCCACCACAATCTGTAGCATCAAAATGCTTTCTGATTACTTGAGTTGCCCTGGGTGCTACAAGGGAAATACAAGCAGACTCTAAGTGTGGTTTTATTGATGTTGAAGTAGCTTCCTTTCATGGAAAAAGAGGCAAAAACCTCGACATTTCCCCTATTTCCCCTTCTGGTGTACAGAAATGCATTTGGTGTGGATCTATAAATTTAAAGCTAATAAGATTTCTATTCTACTGATGCTATAACTGTTTGATAATCTAAAAAGATTCTCAAATGATTTTTGTGGTGGGGATAACCTAGATTTGTGAAGGTGCACATATGGGTTTGTGAGTGTGTGTTTTAAACATATAATAGAAATAGAAGAGAGATAACATAAGGAAATGTGTCACTTTTCCCAATTTTTCATTCTCATGAATGCTCACTTCTTCCTTTCGCTTTCATGGTTGCTGAGGGTTATTTGCTGGCGGGACAATAGTCCCTGTGTCAAAGGGCTGGTGGGTCAACTCACCAAGCTAAGCTGCTGCTGACAGATGAGTGATGGAAAGATGTACTGTTGTATCTGTCAGCTCTGATGAGAAAAAGTGGAGCTTAGCTTAGAATCATTCTCATTTCCAGATTTTTATTTGTATTGTTATTTTATTCCTGAAAAGAGGATTGATTTCTTTCTGCATTATGTAGGTCTCTTTTTCAATGCTCCCGGGTAAACCAATCTCAAAGCACAAAGACTGAAATTCCTCTACTTTCCACAGTTTGTAGGCAACGAATTTAGAATGTGTCTCATCACCACTTTATTCTTCTCATCACCTCGAAAAGTGACTAGCAGAATTCCCACTTGGTTTATAATAAAAGAAAGCAACAATTTCATCTACGAATTAGCATACTAGTATGAATGCGCACTCTTGAAAATAAATGTGCTATTTTGTATAGTCTTGTTTCCTGAGAGAGCAGTGACTTGCATTTTTATATAAACATGCTGAATTTTACGTGTGTTTAGAAAAATTTGGCATACATATTTCCAGAATACTGAAAATCTGACAAACCCTTGTGCCCTACTGTTGTTACCCAACGTTCCTTCTCTGGGAACTGCCTATTAAAAAATCCTGCAGATTGTCTCCCATCCCTTATTAAAATGTGCAGGAAATAAGCCTAACTGTTAAGTGTATGAAGGTCTTGAAAACCATACTCTGCTGGCTATTGTCATTGACATTAAACTCCCTAAAATATTCTAAAACAAGGACATTCAAGTTAACCTTACTTCATTATTTAACACTAAAGAAGGCAACATGGATTCTCCAATCTCTGAGATTGTTAGGAGATAAGATCTTCCAGAACCTTATCACTCAATCACAGAATCAAAGAATGTGCTCAGCTAAGACACATTGATTGACAAATCCTTTATGCATATGAGTGACAATGTCAGCTTTCAGGAAGCAGAGAAAAGATGAAGAAAAATAAAATCTCTAGATGACTCACAATTAACTAGGACAAATTTTCTGGACATACAGAGTTCATAGGTACCTTGGGAGGCGTTTATAATGTTTGCCCGTTAATTGAAGCATTTATTTATTTAATAATCAAACATTTATTGAATGCCTATGGGGATCCAGGATTTAAAGATACAGAGCTTAAAAACTGAGACCTTGCCTCTGCTATAGGGATTTACAGAAAAAGAAATGAATTTATAATGCAATAGAACGAAGGCATCTCTGGAAGCACGCTCAGGAATATGGAAGGATATGGGCTGGAAACCAAACCCAAATAGCAGACATGGAGGAAGATGTTTTGTTTTTTCTTCAGGAATTCCACGTGACTTCATATAAGCTTGAAATATGAGTATGGATAGGCCAGGAGGCCCAGGAACAGGGATTGGTGAAGTGGTAGTGATGGTGGGTTGGGGTTACATAAAGGAGAGAAAGGACAGCACATTCGGAGTCACCAAGGGGCAGGATTGAGAAACTGCAAGCAATTCAAGATGGCGGGAATAGAACTGATGAGGCTAGAAATAAAGAGGTTGATCTATAAGAGGAGGACAAGGGCCAGATCGAGGCCTTATAAGCCCTGCTAAGGAATTTGAATTTTATCATGAAGGCAATAGGGACCCAGTGAAGGCTAAGTAGGGAGATCCTATGGACATTTCTGCTTTAGAGCTGGGAGTTACACACAGGGGTTTTAAATCCATTAGGGCCATGAAATTAGATATTCAGACCGGTATATTTTCTTAATGAAATAGAATCAATTATAATAAAAAGGAAATCTTAAAATACATTGCAAGTAGTAATAGTAATTAATTTGTTTTATACAATTTGTGTAGTAGGTCACAAAGTAAGTTTTTGTTACTGAGGGTGTGGCCAAAATAATTTGAGAAGCAGTAATTTAGAAAGATCTTTCAGGCAGCTGAAAGCAGGGAGAGCAGTTAAAAGATTATTCCTAGAACCATATTATACAAGAGGAGAGAAGTGGGTCCTGCAGAATCATGGGAAGATGGGAGGACACGTCATTTCATTCCTGTGATGTCTCTGAGGTGACTAAAGCCTCCAGACTCTGCATTTCATAGATTGCAACATGAGACATGGATGCCTATGACCTCTCAAAGGAAGGGCTTCCACCATGTTTGCAGTGCTGCTTTGCTGTTCCCTCCACCTCAGATGATAGTGCTTCATTTCTACATGAAAGGTCCATTATTCGAAAGACAGCTTAAAGTGTTGCATTTTCCATGAAATTTCCTCAGATCTCCCTATCTAGAAATAACCTAGCATCAATCCTTTCTTCCACTGTATTAGTCATTTGTGTAGCATGCCCCATAAATCCCTTCTTGCTGCATCCACCTGTTGAATGGTCTTCAGAATAATCAACACTATTTGAAAAGTGCTTACAAGTGTCTTTGCATTTCTTCCTTCTCTTCCCTCTTCTAGAATGTGAGACACTTGAGGGCAGGAGTGGAACTGTCTTCTTCACTATTTCAAGGGCCAGGAAAGGGAGTGACATTGAGAAGAGACTGAATAAAAAGTTATTAAATGAAGGAATGGATTTAAAAGCACCCTGATCTGCAGTGTACCTGAAACAGCATATACTTCATATCACAACTGTAGTATCTTCATCCTTGCTCATGTTTTTTCCACTGCACTAAAGTGCTTCTTTAAATAGAAGAATCAAAATAGTGGGATTCAATGATAAGTAGATGCTATTTTGAAATTTTATTTTGATTAGAAATGGATTGCAGTAATATTTTTACTTTCTGTGGAATGGTTATGTACATAATAAATACTCTGCCTGCATTGTATTTGCAAAACATCGATGTCTTTGATTTTGTGGCTTTAGAAAGTTTTTCAAATACAAATTCAATCTGCCATTGTTTGTGTGAGTTGGGGAAAGAAGGGCCCACACATTTTGGAGCTTCCCAAATGGACATGTTGGCAATGATTCCATGAGTCCTGTCTCTGAAGTCTTTGGGAAGGTCTCCAACCTCCTGCCCACTTATTTTTTTCCTTGTTTATTTTTATGGAGGAAGCCAAAATCAAGTTAAGGATATTTAATTATAGGCTGTGGCTTTCTTTAGAATTAAAATAATCAGTGATATATTACCATTTTGCCAAACATCTCATGATGCTCTTGTTTTTAAGGATGACAATAATTTTTAATTTAAAATGCAAACAAACCTGCTGCTTAGCCCTTTGTGCTTTACCTGTTGAGAGTATTTGGAAATCTGACATTGGAAGGCTTGTGTTACCTTTCATCAGGTTCAACAAGGCAGTAGCAACATAAAGAAAACCCTGGGGAGTCAGACTCATGATACACTCATAGGCTTATTTAGCGTTAAGATACAAATATCTAGGATGTGAAGTCCACGCTAATGGTTGATGGAAGAATTTAAATTATTGCTATAACCTGACCATGCACAATTGTCTAACTCTTACTTTGGATTGATTGCTTATATGTGATGTCATAATGTGGTTAAGAAAGGCAAAAATTTACTGAAATCAAAATACCTGGATTGTAATTGCCGTTCTGCTATAAGTTAGTTGTGCAATAATTAGAGGATTCTAAAACAAAGCTATAACAGCAACAACAAATATAGACAAATGTAGTTGAATTCAAGGAATTATAGACAAATTTAAAATCAAATTCTACTTTCAGCACTTACCATTTTTGTTAGATTGAGCAAGGCCCTGCACCTCTCAGAGCCTCAGTTTTCTCATTTGTGAAAAATGGTGCATCACGAGCTTATCAGAATTCACTGAGTTGTGTTATTGAAATGCCTAGGAAAAATGCTGGGGATATTATTTTTTTGTATAACTAAACTCAGGTGAACTGAAGCACTGCTGGAGCTGTTTTGGGAGAAAGTGACCAAGATCTAGAAGAGGTGGGAAAAGAGTCTTGAACAAAGAGTACTTGGAGGATGAAATTCAGTAATTCAAACTTAAAATAATTCAGACGTAAAGCTGTTGGAACTTTATTCTGAGGAATGTGGCTGTGAAGCCTGAGTCGCATGGCATGCGGATGCAACTTCCGTCTTTTTTCTGTAAACATTCAGGACCAAATAGTGCCAAAGAAAAGACACCTCCCCCACCTCAGATTATCCTCCTCATGGAGTAATAAAGTCCTCTTCCTTGTAGCTAATCAAATCACTGGGGTGTTTGCACTGGTCTTGTATAAAAAATATAATCCTGCTAAAATTTCTATGTAAAGGAAACCATACCTTCTCTACTTTGGAATGCTGGCCCCATTCCTTTGGAGTCGATGTTTCTGGGTGGCCCGCCTCAAACTTTGCCTCAAAGAAACTGTATACTTAATCATATTTTCTGAATCTCATTATTTAAAGTTGACAGGAGGAACTGGGAAGTTCACAGTGGAGAAGAGAAGGGAGCATATTAAAAAGAGAAGTGGGTTGAGAGTTGGAAATATGATTTATCCACTCAGCACTGCCACTAAATATGTATGCCATGGGAGGCTGGTGACTGTCCTATTCTGGACCAATTTTTCTTGGCTTAAAAAATGAGAAAGTTGAAGTGGATGACCTTTGAAGTCTCTCACTGCTTTCACAATCACTTGAGTCTGAGGATAAACCGAGCAGCTACTTGCACATTTTTAAAAGTATTAATATATGGTAGGAGGAATAGACTTATTCAGTGCTGCTATGGAAGGCAGAACAAGTCGTGAAAGTTATATTGAGAAAGAATATTTGCTTAACATAAAAAAGGGCCTCTCAAAAAATTAGAATTATTTAATGATAGAAAAGCTGCCTTAGAAGGTGGTAAGCTCCAATGTTGAGATTTTAAGTCTCTGTATTTCCTCTAAATATTTAGAATATTCTTCCTTTCACTTTTTCACTAAGCCGGTTCATATTAAGATACAACCAACTTATCACCTTTTTGGGGGAAACTTCCTAGGGTTTCTCTGTCTGGTAAAATCATCCCCTTTCTTTTCCCTCAGACTTTTGTGCTTATCTCTATTTTGGGGGCCTATTTGGGGGCAAAAATTTGTCATGATGAGAAATTGAAACCTCTCCAAAATGGAAGAATACTTGAAAAATTATGGGATAGCCATGTGATAAAATACTTCACAATCATTTAAAATTTTGTTCATGAAAAGATTGTTTTGAAATACAAAATTATGTTATTTTATAATGCTACCTGAGAAAAGAAAGGTACAAATTGTATATTTAAGTATAGTCTTCTTTTTTTTTTTTTTAAACGTTGTTTCACTCTTATTGCCCAGGCTGGCATGCAATGGTGCAATCTCGGCTCACTGCAACCTCCGTCTCCCAGGTTCAATCAGTTCTCCGGCCTCAGCCTCCTGAGCAGCTGGGATTACAGGCATGCGCCACCATGCCTGGCTAATTTTTTGTATTTTTAGTATAGACGGGGTTTCTCCACGTTGGTCAGGCTGGTCTCAAACTCCCAACCTCAGGTGATCCACCTGCCTTGGCCTCCCAAAGTGCTGGGATTATAGGCGTGAACCACTGCACCTGGCCTAACTCCAACTGTTTTAAATGTGCTTATAAACACTTGAATAGAAGGGTATATATATTAAAATACTCATTTTGAAAGTGGGCAAATCTTTACAGGCAAATATTTATTATTTTATCTACATTTTTCTTTATTTTCTTATGTTCTCAAGTGAGCATGTCTGCTTTTATAATATAAAAATTGTTAAAATAGAAAAACAATAACTTGTATTTTGAAAACCAAGAAAATAGTTGATATTCAATTACCTGGATTTCTGGATTGGGTTTTGTGCTGTCACAAATTGTGCCGTCACAAATGACACACATGACACACAAATAACACAAATGACACAAATGACACAAAACTGTCATGCACAATTCCTGATGAATAATCTTTTTATTTTGCAAGCATCTTTTGTCCTTCATCCTCATCCAGTATCCAGCATCACAGGCCACCGCAGGAAAGCTGAGGCCCCGTGGACAATGAAACCACATAAACTGAGCTCAGAGAAATGCAGCTTGATGAAATAAAGTAGTTGAAATGGAAAAATAGTTCCCTATATTCTTCCTGATTCCTTCAGGTTACCTGCTCCAACTATGGCTAAAGTGCTGGAGAGTTTTGATTGCCAGCCACTTCTTGATCATTTCTTTGAGTCTCTATTCTTTCCTGGTTTAAGCTTTTAACCCTATCCTTCCAGAGCTCCTGGCATGAAAGGGGCTAAGGTCCTAGTGATCGTAATACAACAAAACTCTGATGTTGACTCCAGGGAGGGAAAGAATTCAACATCAATGTGCTATATAATCCAAAGAAAGGATTTGGTTTTATTGTGAGCAGGTGACTCAAGTCAGGTGCCTGCAATAAGCTAGAAAAAGGCAACTTTGTGAAAGTTATCAAGCTGTTAATCTAGTTTAATCTCCTCAACCAGCAAACATTGGGAAAGAGCATACAATATTCCAGGCTCAGTGCTAGGCATTTAGGGTAACATAAAGGTAAAGAAATCTCAAGGTACTCATCAGGGATGGCAGCAAGCAGAGATGTGAAGAAACAATTACGATGCTGAGCCATAGGCACAACTCTACACATTATCCACAGTGTATACACATTATACACATACATGTGCATGTGACTGTGTCTTCCAACTTAGGCGGACATGAACAATGAGAAAAAGAGTTTTAAGACTGAATGAGAATTTACCGAAAAATATGAGCAAAGGAAAAAAGAGGTTTTTAGGTGGATGAAAGTGCCCAGGTAGATCCTTAGACATATGAATAGGTATATGTGATGGGAGATTAATTGTTTACTTTCATTAATATTTAGTGGGAGCCTATGCATATTAGGAACTATATCAGGAACTGTTTTAGGTAATGAGAATCCCAAGCTGAGCTTATATTGTGTCAGGAAGGGAGAAAATAAACCTATTAACAAATAAAAGTATAATTCCTACTCTGCCCTCAAGGAGGTGGAGCTTGTCTTCCTACCCCATAAGTGTGGGTAGCATATAGTGCCTTTCTTTCAAAGAACACAGCGTGGAAAAGAGTAGGAGGAGAAACAACTTCCCAGTGGAGAAACCTGACAAACTTTTCCTCCACCAGGTCATGAAGGTCAACATCAACAGTCATAAATCATGTGTATAACATTTACCTTTGATACACTGCGATGAAAAGGGCACTTCACCTCTGCAGTCTTTCTCCCCAGAACACATAACCCTAGTCTAATCATGAGAAAAAATCAGACAAATTTCAAAAGGGAAAAATTTTATAGAATACATGGCCAATGCTCCTGAAAACATTAAAAGTCATCAAAAAGCAGTAACGTGTGAGGAATTATCCCAGCAGAGAGGAGACCAAGGAGACATGACAGCTGAATGTAATGTGTTGTCCTGGATGGGATCCTGGAAGGGAAAAAGGACACTAAGTAAAAACTAAGGAAATATGAATAAAGTATGGACGTTAGTTAATCATAATGCATTGATATTGTTTTATTCACTCTGACATATGTACCCCTAATGTAAGTTGTTAATAACAGGGGAAACTGAGTGTATGCAATATGGACTCTATAACATCTTCATAATTTTTCTGTGAATCTAAACCATTTTTTAAAAATATATAATACCAAGTCGGTTGATGATAAGTGCTATGAAACATAGTAAGGCAAGGAATGGGGTCAGGAAGGGGCTGGGGAGTGAGGAGTCTTTTGGCAAAGGTCCTAGGGGAGGCCTCCATGAGCAGGTGTATTTGAAAGAGTCCTGAGTGAAGAGGGAGAGATCATGCCAGCACATGGGAATGCAGATCCTAAGGCCAAAAGGCTGAGACAGGCTTGTTGTGTTTGAAGGACAGCACGCATGCAAGCATGCATAGAGCACAGTGAGCTAGCGGGAGTACGATGAGGTTAGAGAGGAAGCTGAGGCTAGATTATGTAAAACTTTGGGGGTCATAGTAAAGGATTTGAATTTTACTTGGAGTAAGATTGAACAGTGTTGCATGATTTGCCTTGTATATTCCTGAGATTTACCTGGTTGTTGCCTGAACTATAGATAGTAGAGGGCAGAGTGGAAACATGTGAACACTTAGTAACCTATTGCAGTGGACTAGTTAAATGTCGATGGCTACCTGGGCCAGGATGGCAGTGGTGGCATTGGTAAGTAGTAGTCAGGTCTTGGATGTGTTTTGAAGAAACATGGCATGCTGATGCATGAGAATCAGGGAAAAGGAAAAAATTAAGGATGTTTTAAAATTCTTTGGGAAATTGGGTGGATGGTAGATAGGTGGTCTGAGTCCATAAACTGAATGAGAAGAATGGTGGAGTAAAAGGGTGCAGATGGGGTTAATAGATTTGATGGTGTAAGGCTGAAGACCTTCTCTGATTAAATCTATTTTTTTTTTTTTTGGAAAATGAGAAGCAGGTCAGTAAGCTGGGAGGAACTTAGGGAGCAACAGATTTCAGTGTTAAAACAAGAATTCAAATTGAGAGATGTGAAGTTTGAGATTCATGTTAGGCTTCCAATTAGAGAATCAGATGGTTAGTTATGTAGATGACTTTGGAAAGCAAGGTAGTGATAGGAGCTGAAGTATACACTTAGTTACCAGTTTATATGAGTGTTTAATCAAGCATAAATTGTGAGTTTACATAGGGAATGACCGTAAGTTAGAGGTGTCTGAAGACTGAGGCCTCTGGAACTGCAAGAGTGAGTGGTCAGAAAGAAAATAATTTAACAAATGGACATTCCATTGATGTGGAAGTAAAAGCAAACAGTGATTGTATTGCAGGAGCCAAATGCAAAAGTTGTTTTAAGATAGAAATCAGTTGGAAATGGGTTCCAAGATGGCCGAATAGGAACAGCTCCAGTCTACAGCTCTCAGCACGAGCGATGCAGAAGACAGGTGATTTCTGCATTTCCAACTGAGGTACCGGGTTCATCTCACTGGGGCTCATCGGAGAGTGGGGGAAGGACAGTGGGTGCAGCTCACCAAGCGTGAGCTGAAGCAGGGCGAGGCATCGCCTCACCTGGGAAGTGCAAGGGGTCAGGGAATTCCCTTTCCTAGCCAAGGAAAGGGGTGACAGATGGCACCTGGAAAATCGGGTCACTCCCACCCTAATACTGTGCTTTTCTGATGGTCTTAGCAAACGGCACACCAGGAGATTATATCCTGCACTTGGCTTGGAGGGTCCTACACCCACGGAGCCTCGCTCATTGCTAGCACAGCAGCCTGGGGGAGGGGCACCCGCCATTGCTGAGGCTTGAGTAGGTAAACAAAGCGGCTGGGAAGCTAGAACTGGGTGGAGCCCACCGCAGCTCAAGGAGGCCTGCCTGCCTCTGTAGACTCCACCTCTGGGGGCAGGGCATAGCCAAACAAAAGGCAGCAGAAACCGCTGCAGACTTAAATGAACCCTACAGCTTGGAAGACAGTAGTGGTTCTCCCAGCATGGAGCTTGAGATCAGAGAAAGGACAGACTGCCTCCTCAAGTGGGTCCCTGACCCACGAGTAGCCTAACTGGGAGGCACACCCCAATAGGGGCAGACTGACACCCATACGGCTGGGTACCCCTCTTGGACAAAACTTCCAGAGGAACGATCAGGCAGCAACATTTGCTGTTCACCAATATTCGCTGTTCTTTAGCCTCCACTGCTGATACCCAGGCAAACAGGTTCTGGAGTGGACCTCCAGCAAACTCCAACAGACCTGCAGCTGAGGGTCCTGACTGTTAGAAGGAAAACTAACAAACAGAAAGGACATCCACACCAAAACCCCATCTGTACATCACCATCATCAAAGACCAAAGGTAGATAAAACCACAAAGATGGGGAGAAAAAAGAGCAGAAAAACTGGAAACTCTAAAAATCAGAGCACCTCTCCTCTTCCAAAGGAATGCAGCTCCTCACCAGCAATGGAACAAAGCTGGATGGAGAATGACTTTGACGAATTGAGAGAAGAAGGCTTCAGACGATCAAACTTCTCCCAGCTAAAGGAAGAAGTTCGAACCCATGGCAAAGAAGCTGAAAACCTTGAAAAAACATTAGACGAATGGCTAACTAGAATAGCCAATGCAGAGGAGTCCTTAAAGGACCTGATGGAGCTGAACTACGTGACCAATGCACAAGCTTCAGTAGCCGATTCGATCAACTGGAAGAAAGGGTATCAGTGATAGAAGATCAAATGAATGCAATAAAGTGAGAAAAGTTTAGAGAAAAAAGAATAAAAAGAAATGAACAAACCCTCCGAGAAATATGGGACTATGTGAAAAGACCAAATCTACATCTGATTGGTGTACCTGAAGGTGACAGGGAGAATGGAACCAAGTTGGAAAACACTCTGCAGGATATTATCCAGGAGAACTTCCCCAATCTAGCAAGGCAGGCCAGCATTCAAATTCAGGAAATACAGAGAACGCCACAAAGATACTCCTCGAGAAGAGCAACTCCAAGACACATAATTGTCAGATTCACCAAAGTTGAAATGAAGGAAAAAATGTTAAGGGCAGCCAGAAATAAAGGTCAGGTTACCCACAAAGGGAAGCTCATCAGACTAACAGCTCATTTCTCAAAAGAAACTCTACAAGCCAGAAGAGAGTGGTGGCCAATATTCAACATTCTTAAAGACAAGAATTTTCAACCCAGAGTCATATCCAGCCAACCTAAGCTTCATAAGTGAAGGAGAAATGAAATACTTTACAGACAAGCAAATGCTGAGAGATTTTGTCACCACCAGGCCTGCCCTACAAGAACCCCTGAAGGAAGCACTAAACATGGAAAGGAACAACCAGTACCAGCCACTGCAAAAACATGCCAAATTGTGAAGACCATCAGTGCTAGGAAGAAACTGCATCAACTAACGAGCAAAATAACCAGCTAACATCATAATGACAGGATCAAATTCACACATAACGATATTTACCTTAAATATAAATGGGCTAAATGCTCCAATTAAAAGACACAGACTGGCAAATTGGATAAAGAGTCAAGACCCATCAGTGTGCTGTATTCAGGAAACCCATCTCACGTGCAGAGACACACATAGGCTCAAAATAAAGGGATGGAGGAATATCCACCAAGCAAATGGAAAACAGAAAAAGGCAGGGGTTGCAATCCTAGTCTCTGGCAAAACAGACTTTAAACCAACAAAGATCAAAAGAGACAAAGAGGCCATTACATAATGGTAAAGGGATCAATTCAACAAGAAGAGATAACTATCCTAAATATATATGCACCCAATACAGGAGCACCCAGGTTCATAAAGCAAGTCCTTAGAAACCTACAAAGAGAGTTAGAGTCCCAAACAATAATAATGGGAGACTTTAACACCCCACTGTCAACATTAGACAGATCAACGAGACAGAAAGCTAACAAGGATATCCAGGAATTGAACTCGGCTCTGCACCAAGCAGACCTAATAGACATCTACAGAACTCTCCACCCCAAATCAAAAGAATATACATTCTTCTCAGCACCACACTGCACCTACTGCAAAATTGACCACATAGTTGGAAGTAAAGCACTCCTCAGCAAATATAAAAGAACAGAAATTTTAACAAACTTTCTCTCAGACCACAGTGCAATCAAACTAGAACTCAGGATTAAGAAACTCACTCAAAACCACTCAACTACATGGAAACTGAACAACCTGCTCCTGAATGACTACTGGGGACATAACGAAATGAACGCAGAAATAAAGATGTTCTTTGAAACCAACGAGAACAAAGACACAACATACCAGAATCTCTGGAACACATTTAAAGCAGTGTGTAGAGGGAAATTTATAGCACTAAATGCCCACAAGAGAAAGCAGGAAATATCTAAAATTGACACCCTAACATCACAATTAAAAGAACTAGAGAAGCAAGAGCAAACACATTCAAAAGCTAGCAGAAGGCAAGAAATAACTAAGATCAGAGCAGAACTGAAGGAAATAGAGACATAAAAAACCCTTCAAAAAATCAATGAATCCAGGAGCTGGTTTTTTGAAAAGATCAACAAAATTGATAAACCGCTATCAAGACTAATAAAGAAGAAAAGAGAGAAGAATCAAATAGATGCAAGAAAAAATGATAAAGGGGATATCACCACTGATCCCACAGAAATACAAAATACCATCAGAGAATACTATAAACACCTCTATGCAAATAAACTAGAAAATCTAGAAGAAATGGATAAATTCCTTGACACATATAACCTCCCAAGACTAAATCAGGAAGAAGTTGAATCTCTGAATAGACCAATAGCAGGCTCTGAAATTGAGGCAATAATTAATAGCTTACCAACCAAAAAAAGTCTAGAACCAGACAGATTCACAGCCGAATTCTACCAGAGGTACAAGGAGGAGCTGGTACCATTCCTTCTGAAACTATTCCAATCAATAGAAAAAGAGGGAATCCTCCCTAACTCATTTTATGAGGCCAGCATCATCCTGATACCAAAGCCTGGCAGAGACACAACAAAAAAAGAGAATTTTAGACCAATATCCCTGATGAACATTGCTGAAAAAGTCCTCAATAAAATACTGGCAAACCGAATCCAGCAGCACATTAAAAAGCTTATCCACCATGATCAAGTGGGCTTCATCCCTGGGATGCAAGGCTGGTTCAACATACGTGAATCAATAAACGTAATCCAGCATATAAACAGAACCAAAGACAAAAACCACATGATTATCTCCATAGATGCAGAAAAGGCCTTTGACACAATTCAACAACCCTTCATGCTAAAAACTCTCAATAAATTAGGTATTGATGGGACGTATCTTAAAATAATAAGAGCTATTTATGACAAACCCACAGCCAATATCATAATGAATGGGCAAAAACTGGAAGCATTCCCTTTGAAAACTGGCACAAGACAGGGATGCCCTCTCTCACCACTCCTATTCAACATAGTGTTGGAAGTTCTGGCCAGGGCAATCAGGCAGGAGAAAGAAATAAACGGTTTTCAATTAGGAAAAGAGGAAATCAAATTGTCCCTGTTTGCAGATAACATGATTGTATATCTAGAAAACCCCATTGTCTCAGCCCAAAATCTCCTTAAGCTGATAAGCAACTTCAGCAAACTCTCAGGATACCAAATCAATGTGCAAATATCACAAGCATTCTTATACACCAATAACAGACAAACAGCCAAATCATGAGTGAACTCCCATTCACAATTGCTTCAAAGAGAATAAAATACCTAGGAATCCAACTTACAAGGGATGTGAAGGACCTCTTCAAGGAGAACTACTTTCACTGCTCGATGAAATAAAAGAGGATACAAACAAATGGAAGAACATTCCATGCTCATGGATAGGAAGAATCAATATCATGAAAATGGCCATACTGCCCAAGGTAATTTGTAGATTCATTGCCATCCCATCAAGCAACCAATGACTTTCTTCACAGAATTGGAAAAAAACTACTTTAAAGTTCATATGGAACCAAAAAAGAGCCCACATTGCCAAGTCAATCCTAAGCCAAAAGAACAAAGCTGGAGGCATCATGCTACCTGATTTCAAACTATACTACAATGCTACAGTAACCCAAACAGCATGGTAGTGGTATCAAAACAGAGATATAGACAAATGGAACAGAACAGAGCCCTCAGAAATAATGCCACACATCTACAACTATCTGATCTTTGACAAACCTGACAAAAACAAGCAATGGGGAAATGATTCCCTATTTAACAAATGGTGCTGGGAAAACTGGCTAGCCGTATGTAGAAAGCTGAAACTGGATCCCTTCCTTACACCTTATACAAAAATTAATTCAAGATGGATTAAAGACTTAAACGTTATACCTAAAACCATAAAAACCCTAGAAGAAAACCTAGGCAATACCCTTCAGGACATAGGCATGGGCAAGGACTTCATGTCTAAAACACCAAAAGCAATGGCAACAAAAGCCAAAATTGACAAATGGGATCTCATTAAACTAAAGAGCTTCTGCACAGCAAAAGAAACTACCATCAGAGTGAACAGGCAACCTACAGAATGGGAGAAAATTTTTGCAATCTACTCATCTGACAAAGGGCTAATATCCAGAATCTACAAAGAACTCAAACAAATTTACAAGAAAAAAACAACCCCCTCAACAAGTGGGCGAAGGATATGAATAGACACTTCTTAAAAGAAGACATCTATGCAGCCAACAGACACGTGAAAAAATGCTTATCATCACTGGCCATCAGAGAAATGCAAATGAAAACCACAATGAGATGCCATCTCACACCAGTTAGAATGGCGATTATTAAAAAGTCAGGAACAACAGGTGCTAGAGAGGATGTGACGAAATAGGAACACTTTTACACTGTTGGTGGGACTGTAAGCTAGTTCAACCATTGTGGAAGTCGGTGTGGTGATTCCTCAGGGATCTAGAACTAGAAATACCATTTGACCCAGCCATTCCATTACTGGGTATATACCCAAAGGATTATAAATCATGCTGCTATAAAGACACATGCACACGTGTGTTTATTGTGGCACTATTCACAATAGCAAAGACTTGGAACCAACCCAAATGTCCATCAATGATAGACTGGAATAAGAAAATGTGGTACATATACAGCATGGAATCCTCTGCAGCCATAAAAAAGGATGAGTTCATGTCCTTTGTAGGGACATGGCTGAAGCTGGAAACCATCATTCTCAGCAAACTATCATAAGGACAAAAAAACAAACACCGCATGTTCTCACTCACAGTTGGGAATTGAACAATGAGTACACTTGGACACAGGAAGGGGAACATCACACACCGGGGCCTGTTGTGGGGTGGGGGCAGGGGGAGGGATAGCATTAGGAGATATACTTAATACTAAATGACGAGTCAATGGGTGCAGCACACCAACATGGCACATGTATACATATGTAACAAACCTGCACATTGTGCACATGTACCCTAGAACTTAAAGTATATTTAAAAAAATGCTGGGTGCGGTGGCTCGCGCCTGTAATCCCAGCACTTTGGGAGGCCAAGGGGGGCGGATCACGAGGTCAAGAGATGAGACCATCCTGGCTAACATGGTGAAACACCGTCTCTACTAAAAATACAAAAAATTAGCTGGGCAAGGTGGCAGGGGCCTGTAGTCCCAGCTACTCCTGAGGCTGAGGCAGGAGAATGGCATGAACCCCGGTGGGGGAGCCTGCAGTGAGCTGTGATCCTGCCACTGCACTCCAGCCTGGGCGAGAGTCTGACTCCATCTCAAAAAAACAAACAAACAAACAAAAAACAAGAACAAAACAAAACAAAACAAAAGAGCACCTACCTCGTAGACTGCTGTGAATCTTAAAGGTGCCAATGCACACTAAAACTTTGCATATTTCCAGGCACATAGCAAACCCTTAGCATTACCTATCTCAATATTTTTCTTGGTTTTGTTTTGAATAAAAGCATTTGGACCTAATTTTAATTGTTAATTATAATAAATAATTTATTTGTGAAAAAAAGATAGAAATCTATTGTGTCAAATGCTACAAAGAGTCAATTAAGTAAGTTCAGGTGTGGGAACTGACCAGTGAATTAACTCCCTTGACAAATGCGTGTTAGGGTAATGATGAGGATAAAGGCATGACTCGATGGAATTCAAGAGAGATTAAAGGGTGAGAGAGTGAAAACAGTGTAAGCAACACTTGCTGTAACTTTTGTCAAAACGAGGAAGGAAATGTTAATGGTATCTGTTGAAGGAAATAAAAAAAATTTTCCTATTGGGTATTTATTGAGCACAATTTTTATTTGGTGAAAATGATCCAATAGGGAAAGAATAGTTGATGGCATGCAAAGAGATGGGAAAAATTGTAGGAGCAAAGCACTTTAGGGACAAGAATAAATAGGACCCAGGTCACAAATAAAGGGATTTGCTTAGATAGGGGGTCTGAGTCCATTCACTGAATGAGAAGAATGGTAGAGTAAAAGGGTGCAGATGGGGTTAATAGATTTGGTGTATGGCTGAAGACCTTCTCTGATTAAATCTATTTTTTTCAGAAAATGAGAAGCAGGTCACCAGCTGAAAATGAGGGGGGTGGAGTGATGATTTAGTATTTTAAAAGCGAAGAAAAAGTGAGAAATAGTTGTTTTGGTGAGTAAGAGAGTGAATTGGATGAGCAAATATAATAGATTTCCTGGACAGAGTTTGGATCATACATTTGAAGTTAAGCACAGTTAGCATGTACTGTGATTTCTCCAGCTTGAATCATCTTGCAAGGATGATAGAGACAAAAGCAAAAGTCGAATTTAAGCCAAAATTCGGATTTCGTAGATGATTATGATGAAGGAAACAGGCAAGAAAAAGAATGACATAGACAAGTAATGAGATGATAACAATAGATGAATCATACAGACTTTCGACTGAATACAAAGGTAGTGACAAACTGATGGAAGGTGGAGAAGAAAAGGGGAAAATGTTAATGGAATCACAGACCTATCTGATGAGTTGTTGGAGTGTTGGAGTGAGAGATCTAGAGAAAGTAGAAATGGAAAAATGAGTGTTGCTACACAGAAGACTAGATGCTGAGGTGAAATATTTAATTATGTTTGAGTTATTGGTAAGGACAGTCTAAGAAATGGCCTGGGAAGTGGGGACAGTTAGACAAAGGAAGGTGGAAATGTAAGATGGGGTGTTTGGAAGATAAGAAGACAAGCTATTGAGAAGCTTGAGTAGTAGATGGTTTTGAGTGATCAAGGATGATGCTAAGAGTAGTAAGCAGTGGAGAAACCGAGCTAAATTAGGTGCTAAAAATCTTGCAAAAATTAGGAGGATTGCTCAGAAGGATAGCAATGTGACAAAGGAAAATAGTGGCTGGTATAACTTTGCAGTGTATTTGTCAAAGAAGCTGGAAGGTTTAGGGAGGATGAAGGAGCAATATTCTGGAACTGACAATGGAGATCAAAGAGGATACTTATCCTAAGCCCAGTGAAATAAGAAAGATATCACGCCATGGGAGGGCTGTAGGGAAGGATAACCTCTGGGGAGAGCCAGGTTTGTAGAATGGAAGGTAAAATATTTAGAGAAGTGGTTGAATATATAATATGGAGATTTTACTTTTCCTAGAGTTTAAATTCTGGAGAAAGTATTTTGAGGAGTCTGGAAAGGATTACAGCTTGAGTCCCATGAGGGAACTTACAGAACAGTGGATGGAAGAACAAATTTTGACTTATTGTAGTAATAGAGACAAAAAGGGCATCATGCTAGTGTTCTCTTATGGAGAGGGGGAAACTACCAGAGTATACACAAAGACTAAAGAACAGAGTATGAATATCTTGATTAAGAAAGGTCACTTGAGCAATTCCTAGTGATGTAGCAGACAGTGTTGGATGGAGAGAAAGTGGAGTTCTATAAGCCTCCAGGAAATCCAACTGTGGGTATTGTTGATACCAAAACTGAAGCTAAGACAGCAAGCTAAAGTCATGGGAAGAAGATTGGACTTAGTCTTTAGGCATTAGGATGCTGTATTAGGTTGAATAATGACACTCTCTGATATGGTTAGGCTTGGTGTCCCCACCCAAATCTTGAATTGTAATCTCCATAATCCCCATAGTCCCTTCATATCAAGGGAGAGACCAGGTGGAAGTAATGGAATCATGGGTGCAGTTTCCCCCATGCTGTTCTGGTGATAGCGAGTGAATCTCACAAGATCTGATGGTATTATAAGTGTCTGGCATTTCCCCTTCTGGCACTTCTCCTTCCTGATGCCTTATGAAGAAGGTGCCTTGCTTCGTCTTCACCTTCCACCTTACACCATGATTGTAAGTTTTCTGAGGCCTTCCCAGTCATGCAGACTGTGAGTCAATCAAACCTCTTTCCTTTATAAATTGCCCCATCTCAGGCAGTTCTTTATAGCAGTATGAAAACAGACTAACACACTCCCTCCCCAATAATATGTTCATAACCACCAAACCTGTAAATCTAACCTTATTTGGAATAAGTGACTTTGCTTTTGTAATGAAGTTAAGGATCTTGAGATATAATCATCATGGATGAGTATAAGCCTTAAATCTAATGACATCTTTATAAGAGAAGAGAAGATAAAAGAAGATAAAAGAAGAGAAGAGAAGAGAACAAAGACACAGACACAGAGAAGAATGCGACATGAAGACAGAGGCAGAGATTGGAGTGAGGCAACAAGCCAAAGGGCACCAAGGATTGCCAGCAGCCATCAGGAGCCAGGATAGAGGCATAGAACAGAGTCTACCTCAGCGTCCAGAAGGAACCAACCAAATACCTTGGCTTCATACTCTAGCGTCTAGATCTGTGAGTAAATGGGCTTCTGTGGTTTTAAGCCATTAAATTTGTGGTAATTTGTTATGACAGTCCTAGAACACTAATCCATATGCCTAAGTAAGAATAACTTAGTCACATATATGAACACATATGCATGACTTCTCGCACTTTTGAAGCAGCTAATTTTCAGAGACCTGTGGCCAGCATGGTCTGAGATGTCCTCAGCCCAGAGTGCTTATTGAATTGATAGAAACACATAGTAATTGCATTACTGAATGCTATTCTAATATTGTGTTAGAAATAACTTTATGTTAACAGAATGTGCAAAGAGATTGGAATAAATTAGGTGCATGAGAAAAAAATATTGTGTGTAAATGAAAGCAGGTCAAATATTTCAGTAGATGAGTTAACCCAAAGACAGTTTTCTGAAGCTGGCAGGACTCCTTCTTCATAAGATCAGCAAGAACTGATTGACCAACATGCCTTGGGGTATGAAGGGACAAGAAGTGTCATCTGACCTGACTTTGTGCCTTGACTTAGGACTGGCCCCCAAAATACACCACAGAAAACAAAATAACACATCTCTGCAGAAATTCTCTTGGACTCTTTCTGTTTGTTCTTTAGTCTTCATGGATTCTCTGGTAGTTTCTACTGTCTTCCCCCATGATGTGGAGAAGTTTCCTCCAGTCTGCTTCACCCTGTAAAGTAGATTGTCCGTGATCATGGCTATGCCATGAGGAATCGCTGTAGTTTCCCAATGACATCCTGGTATTGGCTCACCTGGTAGATGCTTCCTCTGGCTTCTCTGTGATAGGTGATAGACTTTTGTGTTATTCATTTGTACATCAATTTGACCAATATTTTACCTCTTACTCTTTGCCAAGCATTGTTTTAGATATAGGAGATAAAAACATCTCATAAGGCATATATTTTAGTGAATGAGCAAGAAAATTACCATGTGAAAACATAAATGCCACTTCAGAAAAGAAACAAAATAAGGAAATATACAAAGAGGAATGTTATTTTGGAAAGAGTAATGAAGACAAACTCTAAGGGGTGACAGTAGAGCACAGATATACATTATCATGCATGTGGGGAAGAATATTTTAGGTAGAGAGAAGAGCAAGTGAAAAGCCCTTAGAACTTGCTATATGTGAGTAACAGCAGGATGCTGTGGACTGAGTTGGGGGAAGAGATGAGGCTAGAGAGACTGGATTTTAAGTGTCATTGTTTTAAATGATGGTGGAGGAGTAAAGGGAGCCACATAAACTGATTTATATTTCCAAAATATCACAATGGCTTCAGGGTGAAGGAGATAGTGTAGAAGCCAAGAGTGGACTTGGAGAACCATTTGAGAGATGTCCCCAGTAGTTGAGATGAGAGATGATAGTGACTGGGATGATGGTGACAATGGAGAAAGTGCCAAAAAGCAAACTGATTCCAGGAATATTTAAGGGTAGAGTCAACAGAATGTGCCGGTGGACTTAAAAATGGATGTGAAAGAAAGGGAGAAATCAAGACTCCTGGGCTTTGGACTAACAATTGGATGAATATTGATTATATTTATTGAGATGAGGAAGGCTAGTGAAGTGTCATGTTGAGATAGGAGATGGGAAACAAAAGAGGTCTGTTTTTAGATATGTAAGTCTGCAATGTATTTCTGATGTTTAGATGAGACATTGTATAGGCAGATAGAAATATGAGTTGATGCTCAGGACAGAAATTGAAGCTAGAGTTACAATTATGGTGTGCAAAGCCATGAATAAGGATGAGCTCATCCAGGGAGTGAGCGGAGGACGAAATTTCCATGCTGGCATGGAGAGATAACAAAGAGGCCTGGAAAGTCTTCAAATCTGCAAAACAGTATTGCTGCCACCCAAACTATCCTCTTGTGTAAGAGAGATGGACACAGCACTGATGGAATGGTGTCAAAGGCATCATCACAGACTTCAGTATTAAATTGAAGTTGTCATTTGCTTGTCTTCCAATTATATCGGGACACTGGGTAAATGTACTAATCTTTGGTGATTTGGTGTGTGTGTGTGTGTGTGGCTGGGTGTGCTCTGTGTGTATTTATGTGAATACATGGACTTTTAAAATATGGATGATTATGAAATATATTAAAAATGGGTAACCCATATCCACTTGCTTTGCATTATAAAGCTTTCTTCCTGAGAAGCTATGCTACGAAACATTGGGGACAACTTTTTTTTTTTTAAAGAGAAATTGAGACTATTGTGTCCTGGCATCAGGCCACCATCAAAATGAGTTTGAGTTTGGTATTACAGAGGATGAGAAATTTAATGGAAAAATTTAAGAGGAACTTTGAGATGTGGAATTAAATCTTAATAATGTGATCAAGGCTGGAGATATGAATTTAGGTGTCTTCCATTTATAAGTGAGTTTTGAAACCATAGAAATGGACATGTTTTCCAAGAGAAAAGCATGCCCAGAGACGAGAGGGCAGGGAGTAAAGCTGTGTCCTTGTGTAAGGGCATGGATTCTTATTTGACAGCTAAACTTATACAACACAGAGAAATGTCATTCCAAGAAGCTTAAAGCTTAGCATGTGGAAGCGTCACATTAAATATTTTTCCAGTTCATGAAAAAAGGGAGTAAATGAAGACGTAGTTGAAAGGAAAAGAACTTTGCACAGAAATCTGAGAAGAAATAGTTGGAGATATAGCAGCAGAACCAAGTTAGAATGTTGTCAAAAAAGGCAACATGGTAGAAAACTAAGAATTCTGAAGTTGTTTAAAATATTAAAAGAGAGGAATTCAGTTAGCAATGAGTCAATACTCATAGTTTATTGTTGACCTTGATGACAGCAGTTTTAACATGATGCAGTAGAATGCTAGGAAATGCAGAAGAGTCATAAATCCAAGGAACAAAGTGAGGGTGAGTCTCTGAAGGCTTTCTGGAAGAAGTGTTACTAGGCTAGAGTCTTAAATGGCTAGGAGGAGTTTCCCAGAAAAAGTCGGAAGGATGAAAAATATTAATTAATATTTTCCAATCACTGTGTGTCCTGTTCCTTTTGAATTAACCCCTGACAGCTCTATGGAATGTGATTCTTATTCACAAATCCTATTTTATACTAACTGAAAAGAATCTCACATCAATCAAGTTCTAATAATGACTATATAATTTTTTGAGTACCTTCTATGTACCTGAATCTGTGCAAAGTACTATGGTAGATCCAAAGGTGCCAGAGCACTGTTCTGTTCTCAAAGTGCAAATGCTACATTTGCAGATCAAAAAAAATTAAGGTCCATTTATAAAGCACAGGTTACATGTCTGGTCCTATGCTCTGGATTGCGGGCATTAAGATAAAAACATAAGGCATGTTTTTGGAGAATTCACAGTCTAGTAATATTTGATATACATGCAAACAGACACAGTTTCTCATGATCTATGATATGACAGGGTACTGTGAGAACAAAGAGGAGGGATGCCTAACCTAGGTCACATGAGGGGTCATGGAAAGTATAGAATGGGTAAACCTTGAGTGCAGTCTTGCAGGGGACTCTATCTAGGAAGTTATCTAGGTGAAGTTATCTAGGAGAAGCAGAATATCCTGCAAGGGTTAATGCAGAGATCTGAGAGAGTAAGTTGCATTTGAGCATTCAGAATAAACACCTGAAAAGTAAAATATGAAGGTGAGGGTGATAGAGAAAAGACTTGAAAGCATGAATTTTGGCTACAAAATGATAACCTCAGATTATCCAGAAAAGTGTGACTTTCTAACCTTTTAACAATTCCATACTTCTTAGTAAACCTTCCAATAACATCATCTTTATTAACAGCTTCTACAAACCCACTAGCATGATGGAGTTCTGCTTCAGCACATCTGGATCCCAAATGGTTGTCATTAGTCATTTCAAAGGCTTAGCTTATTTTATTTATGACTTGCTTCAATAAACACACTATTCCTACATGGAATTTAATGTGAACTTTTGACAGTGATTACTATTCAACATTTGGCCTCTAATCTCTTCTGTGCCTCGAAGTAGTTAACGAGCACTCATTCAACCAGAATTTATTGAGCACTTGCTACATGTCTGGAACCAGGACAGGTGCCTTACAGTGGTGCTTCTCAACTTTACTCTTACTAAACATTAAATATCACTCTTTAAAAAATATCAATTGCAATTTCAAAATTAGCTTCAATTTAGAACAACAGATATTTACAGAAGACAATTTCGATATGGAGATGCTTAAAGGCTTTTCTTGGCTCATACGACGACAATAGAAAGACAAAGGTGCACTTGATTGCTTGTTAAAAACTTCTCTATCCTAAATTTATAATGTTCATTTAACCAATATTTATTGAAAATCAGCTCTGCACTGAGCACTGATCATTTTTGGGATACTTCAATGAATACAACAAATTAAAAAAAAACAAAACCTGAAATGGAGCTTATGTTCTAGGAAGTCCAGACAGTAATATACACAAACAAAATGAATAAGCTAAACAAAGTTTACCTTTCCGTTCAAGTCTAAGGTGCTGCTGCTGCTGCTGCTGAAATTCATCATCAGTGCAAATAATGGTCTCAAAACCCACGTGAAAGATTGCAGGACAAGGGAATAAAAAAACTTCCCTTGGAATCTTTCAGTCAAAGACTAAGCATTGGTTACTTAAGCTCACAGGCAGATATAGAGGTGGCCGTAGAGGTCCCTGGAATCAGACTAGCTTGGTTCAAGTCTTGGTCCCCCCACTTCCAGGCCAGGTGACTTCAGCAAGTTACCTGGCCTGTCTTTGTCTCATCTCCTCACATGAAAAAAGTGGCATTAATCTTCCCATCATAGCATTCTGTGAGAATTAAGTGAGATAATACACATAAGATACTCAGAGGTGTTGAGGATCAAGACCGCTGATGGCAGGTACCCGTGTCTGACATAGACTAAATTCTCAGTAGATATCACTTATTATTATTGCTGAGAAGACAGTTTCATTCATGTGTTTAACAGAAACTTTCAGCTCCAATGTGAAGAAAATATCTTCTGCACACAGAGTAGATGAGATTTGATACTTTCCCTCAAATCGCTTTCAAGATCTTTGTCCTTGAGAGTCTCATCAATCTGAGAACACGAAGAGATGTTTTAGTACCAATTCACAGTGTTCATAGATATATTTTGGCTATAAATGGTGAAGTATGTCATAATAAGTAAAGCTATTGGTATTTGTCCCTAAGCTTTTTGTGTCATGTATTCAAAGCTTCAAAATGTATGTTTTTATATGCTGAACAGAACTGTAAAGCATAATTGTGGGAAGTTTGGAGCAAATGATTGTTTTAATGGCTTTCCCAAAGCAGCTTATTTCCCCTTGACCACTAACAACCATACAATTGAAGAACTTTGTGATTGGTCTTCAGATTTGCACAGAGACAGGCAGTGGCCATGTTTTTATCTTTACTGTGCTTGTCTTGAATGTCATCAGCTGACAGGAAGCATAGCAAGACTGAAGGCCTCTTGTGAGTTAATGGGCAATTTTAGTTGTCAAAGCCAGGTAGAGAATAATGGAAGGAGTTCTTAAAATTAAAGTGCGTCTGTGAGTGTGTGTTTAAATGAATTGTATTTGTTTTGTTTTTCTTGTCTTTATTTCTTTTTTCTTTTTTTCTAACAGAAGAAATCCTGACACTCCTGCAGAAAGCTTGGCTGACTCACAGTCAGAACAGGCCCTCTTTATTAATTTCAAATTCACCTCATTCACTCCAGGACATAGCTTTAAAGAAAAAAAAAATTAGCATTTTTTTTTGGTAATATCCTAGGTTACAGAAAGCATCAATTCTTCTGCACATAGTTAAACACAATTCCTCTTATCACTGAAGGCTTTAAAACTAAAAGCTAAAGAGAGTGACAACCATATATTTGAAAAATGTTGTTGATCTCCTTTGTTACATTACCAATTTGGCACTTAACTGAAATTTCTTTTAAAATGTATAATCCAAGCAATGTTTTCCAAAGTAGCTATTCTATACATTTTTATAAGTTTTTCTATGTTTTTTAAAATTTTCTATTTCATAAAATGTTTTCTTAAGCTGTGAATTCCTGGTACTCTTTAGTCCAATATTGCCTAGCTTCATGAGTAGGAAGAGCCAAATTAATCAACCAATCACAGAAACAAACAAGCAAACAAATAATAAAAAACATTTGTTTAAATCATGTACAATATAAATATTTTTTACTTAACTAATTTTTAAGTCAAGAGAGCTCTGCTCAGGTTTAAAACATAAAACTCACAGACAAATTTCTACACTCTTCTTTACAATGTATACAAAAAACACCGACTAGGAATGCACTGGAGGTTGGCATTGGCCTTGATATTTGACCAAAATCTGATATTTGGCTTCTATATTAGTATTCAAAGGGCTGAGTGTCTACTTCAGTATAATTTTAATTTTGTGATCAGATAGATTACCATCGATCTAGTCACAATAAAGGCATGAGTACCAGGAGCACAGACAATTTTGATTCTTTAATGCCTAAATATTATTTTTCAGATATAAAAATATTTACCTGTAACTTGAAGTGAACATTTCTCGCCCTACTTTTATACATGAAAAAATTGTCTACTTGGTTGAAGAGTAAATCTATATTTACTATTACAAGTAGAAAATGCTGCAAAAATAAATAATGTTGATTATGAAAAATGTTAATTTTATTTTAAAAACCAATAAAGAATTCACCAGTAAAGCCATCTGGTCCTGAGTTTTTCTTTCTGAGAAGTTTTTGGTTGTTGATTCAATCTCCTTATTCTCTATTGGTCTGTTCAAACATTCTATTTATTCATAATACAGGTATGGTAGGTTGTAAGTTTCTAAAAAATGTATTTATTTCTTCTAGATTATGCAATATGTTGGCAAATAATTGATCAGAATAATCACATGATTTTTTTATTTCTGTGGAATCAGTTGTAATATGTTCTTTTACAGTTTTGTTTTTATTTCCATCTTCTGGTTTTTTTTTGTTTGTTTTCTGAAAGCTAAAAGTTTAACAGTTTTGTTTATCTTTGCAAAAAGCCAACTTTTAGTTCTGTTGATTTTTTTCTATTGTTTTCCTATTCTATATTTAGCTTATTTCTGCTTTAATATTTATTATTTCCTACATCCTACTAACTTTAGGCTTGCTTTGTCCTCCTTTTTCCAGCTCATTGATTTGTAAAGTTAAGTTGTTTATTTGAAATTTTTCTTCTTTAATATAGATTTTTATCACTATAAGCTTTTCTCTTAGAACTGCTTTTGCTGCACCTCATAAGTTTTGGTATGTTTTCTAAATTTTTATATATTATCTAAATCCCCTTACAATATATTCCTTGGCCCATTGGTTGTCCAAATTCCACATATTTGTGATTTTTTCCTTCTTTTTGTCATTTTTAGTTTGGTATTTTTAGTTCTTAGTATTTTTTAGTAATTTTTTTAGTATTTTTAGTTTTTTTTCTGTTATTCATTTTTAGTTTCATTCATCTCTGTTGGAAAAGATACTTGGTATAATTTCGATCTTCTTAAATTTATTAAGACTTCTGTTGTGACCTTATTTGTGATCTGCCTTGGAGAATGTTTCATGTACATTTGAAAAGAATGTATTCTGCTCTTGTAGGCAGAATGTTCTGTTTATGTATGTTGATCCATATGGTGTATAGTGTTGTTCTAGGGAGAATTAACAATAATCCTTCAAAAACTCTTCCAAAAAAATTAAGAAGTATAATTTCCAAACTAATTTTATGAGGTCAGCATTATCCTGATACCAAAGCAAGACAAAGACACTATAAGAAAAGAGAACTATAGGCCAATATCCTTGATAAACATAGATGCAGAAATCTTTAAAATATTAGCAAACTGGGGAAAACTGGCTAACTATATGCAGAAGAATGAAGCTGGACTCCTACCTCTCAATATATCCAAAAATTAACTCAAGATGGATTAAAGATTTTAGTGTTAAGACCTTGAACTATAAACCTCCTAGAAGAAAACCTAGGAAATATTCTTCTGTACATTGGCCTAAGCAGGGAATTTATGACCAAGTCCTTAAAAGCAAATGCAATAAAAACAAAAATTGACAAGTGGGACATAGTTAAATTAAAAATCTTCTTCATAACAAAAGAAAGTATCAACAGACAACCTACAGAATCAGAGAAAATATTTGCCATCTGTGTATCTGAGAAGGGACTAATATCCAGAATCTATAAGGACTTTAAATCAAGACAAAACAAATTACTTCACTAAAAAGTGGTCAGAGAACATGAATACACACTTTCTAAAGAAGATATACAAGCAACCAATGAACATATGAAAAATTCCCTGCATCACTATTGGAGACATGCAAATCGAAACCACAATGAGATACCATCTCACACCAGTCAGAATGGCTAATACAATAAAGTAAAAAATAACGTGTTGGTGAGGTTGTGGCAAAAAGAGAACACTTATACACTGTTGGTGGGAATGTAAACTGATTCAGCCCTTAGGAAAGCAGTTTGAAGATTTATCAAAGAACTAAAAATACAACTGCCATTCAACCCAGCAGTCCCATTACTGGGTATATACCCAAAAGAAAATGAATTGCTCTACCAAAAAGACACATGCACTTATATGTTCATTGCAGCACTATTTACAACAGCAAAGACATAAAATCAAACTAAGTACCCATCAATGGTGGATGGGATAAAAGAAATGTAGTACAGACACCATGGAATATTATGCAGGCATAAAAAAGAATGAAATTATTTGCTTTGCAGTAACATGGATGCATCTGGTGGCCATTATCCTAAGTGAATTAATGCAGAAACTGAATACAAAATACTGCATATTCTCACTTATAAGTGAGGGCTAAACATTAGGCACACATACACATAAAAATGGGAAAAATAGACACTAGAGACCCCAAAAAGTAAGAGAAAGAGGGACAAGGGGCAAGGGTTGAAAAACTACCTATTAGTACTATGTTCTCTATATGGGTGACGGAATCAATATAAACCCAAACCTCAGCATCATGCAATATACCTATGTAATGAACCTGCACGTATACCCTGAATCTAAAATAAAAAATATATATTTTAAAAACTGGCAAGATAAATTTGATAACACATTTTTTAGTTCTTCTTCAAATATTTGTGAGAATTCACCAGTGAAGCCATCTAGTCCAGGGCTTTTCTTTGTTGGGAAGTTTTTGATTTCTGATTAAATCCTGCTTGTTATAGGTATATTTAGATTTTCTCATTTTCTTGCATTAGTTTTGGTAGTTTGTGTCTTTCTAGGAATTTGTTAATTTGATCTGCAGAGTATTCTTTCATAATCCTTTCAATTTCTGTAAAGTTTGTAGTGATGTTTCTACTTTCACATCTGACTAAGTATTTTTGCTTCGTGATTAATTTTTTGTTAGTCAATTTACTTAATGATTGACTAATTTTATTGATCTTATCAAAGATCCAACTTTTGGTTGTACTGATTCTCTCTATTGTTTTTCTATGAACTATTTTGAATGTGGCTTTCTAAGATTAACTGTATTCAGTGCTTTTGGATGTTGTAATTTCCTACAGAAACTCTTTCCCAGCTTTGCTTCCCAGGCTTTAGGGAGTCTTTTGTACATCACAACTACAATCTTTTGCCCCAGATAACTGGGCTTTTGATTCATCATCAAATGTTTTTGAGCAATGCCTTCTCCTTTTTCTCCTTGAGTTCTGAGTTAGGTGAAAGAGAGATAAGCATCTTCCGCAGTCCTTCATGTAGCCTCTAGACTAGTTAGAACAGACAAACACACGAATTTTCAAATAAAGTCTGCTCAGCTCCATTAAGAACCAGGGACAAGGACTGCACTGGAAATGCAGGGTGTCACTTTCAAGTCTGCAGCAGAACTAGGAAGGGTAGCCAAGGGCAACTGAAAATGCCACAAACTTTTTCTACTATTTTTATGTTGCTTTTTTCTTGATTCAACATTCACTTACTTCCTGTATGCTTTTGACCATTTTCTGGGGCTGTGACAAAGCGGTTTCTTATAATTCTGCTTGCTTTTTGATGTTTTTGTGGAGGAACAGGTGTTTCGAGCCACTTGCTCCATCAGTTTGCTTACCTCACCTATCCAAATTTATTTTTGATCCCAGAATTTAATTCTATGATAGTGATTATCAGTTTTGGCCTCAACTTTCAGCCACTTTATAAAATTGGGCCTTTTGACATTTGGCCAAAATGTGTATTCATTTCACCTTATTATTGAAATGGGAGGAATTTTCCCTTATCCCCCTAGCATGGCCAGCGACAGGGACGGGGGTGTGGCTGAGTTCTTCAGTGCCCCACAGCTCGAAACCCTAGGGGGACCAGGCAGACGGGCAGGCCATGGGGAGCATTTTTGGGCTTCGACTCTATGGCGATGTCTAGGGTTGAGAGTTTACAGCTCCCAAAGCCCCAGTGGGTGTGTATTACAGTGTGCTCTTTCAGTTTTGCCGTCCACAGGTGGCTTGTGTTAAACAGCTCAGTTAGACCCTCGCTTTATCGCAAGGACAGAGGGATTTCTGTATCTTGGGTGCTTGCCTTAGTGTACCGAAAAAATCAGATCACGCTTGGGCTTGGAGGATGGGTGCAAGGTTTTATTGAGTGCTGGAAGTAGCTCTCAGCAGATGGATGGGGAGCCAGAAGGGGGATGGCGTGGGAAGATGGTCCTTCCGTGGAGTCTGGCCTCTCAGCAGCCAGGCTCTTCTCCAACCGCCTGCCCTTGGCCGAATTCCCCTCTGCATTCGCGTCGTTCTGCCCTCCATGGCCTGCGAGCGTCTGTTGGTGGGTGTGTTTCTCTGGAAATCCAGCCACTTGTACGTGCCCGCTAGGGCCTCGGGGTTTTTATAGGCACAGGATGAGGGGGTGTGGCAGGCCAAAGTGGTCTTGGCAAATGCAACATTTGGGAACGAAAACAGGAGTGCCTGTCCTCACTTAGGTCTGTGGGCACAGGCCCAAGGATGGATCCCGTGGCAGGGACCCCATTCTTGTCTCCCCAGCACTTTCCTGCAGCCCTCCCATATCTTTAGGAACTTTGGAAAATGTTCAGTCTTGTCACAATCTTGATTTATTCCTTCTTCTTCCAAAACATAAATATGAGGAGTATTAATGAGGTTGTCTAATTTACGTTTTGGAGAAATTAATGGATTCTTGGCTTGGCTATCTGCAGTATTTACTCATGTCTGAACCTTAAGCAAACCTGCTTTCACATTTATGTCTTGATCTGTAGTCTAACACTTGACTCAATTTAATAATGCCCAAAAGAAGATTAAAATGCTCTTTATTTGATAAAATAGTAATTTCTAGCATAATGATTTCAAGACAAAATTTTTAAAAATGGAAGTGGTAACAAAAATAACCTTGTTGAGTTCAAACCCGATATAGTTTCTAAGACCAACAAACAAAAAATAGTTTTTAAACTTCTTCATTTTTAAAAATAGAAAGCTTATTTACATTTATAATATAAGAAACATTCTTGAACTGAAGTGTAATGCAAATAGGAACAGTGGTTATGTTTTAGAGGATGCTGTCACTTGAGTAGTTTCACCCATCAGACAAAGAAACAAGGATGGCAGAAAACACAGCACCCTTTTCATGTGTAAAATGTGACTTGTCACCTGTCAAACTCTGAATGATAATCTGGAACTCAACTAGTTGGCAATTTGAAAAGTACACACAAATATTTATCCAATATGGCACACAAAACAACTACCATTTTGGAGAGCCTTGAGGCAGTATCTCATTAATTTTAAGATGTGCATACATTACTATCTAGAAATGCCCACAGTTAGGTAGCTACCTTAGAAAAATTTTCAAATACTTGTCACAAGGACACATGTAACACAATGTTCTTTTCAGAATTCTATAACACAAAATAATCATAGAAAATCAAAATTATTACAATTAGAGAAAAAAAATTAAATGGTTGCTCTTCTTTCCATCCATGAGTTTAAAATAATATATCAAATTAATAAGCATAGATAAATGAATGAGATCTACATGTATTAACATTGATATAAACATTACACTGAGTGAAAAGTTGTAGAAAGATACATTTCATCAGTTACATATATTTGAGAAACACAGGAAATACTATATATTCCCTCAAATGTTTTTGAGCAATGCCTTCTCCTTTTTCTCCTTGATTGAGTTCTGAGTTAGGTGAAACAGAGATAAGCCATCACTTCTTTTTTCATCCTAGGGTGAAATTTGATATCACCCTATGATATTTGTTATTTGAACAATAAGAATATTTTTTCATAAGTATTTTCTTTAGTTGTCCCCAAATAAGTTAATATTACAAATATAGAATAGGCTTGTTTACATTAAAAACACCCTTCTCCATCAAAGAAATTGTGATGGTTGTACTGCCCTTTCACCCCTTAGGTGGTTGCACTGCCCTTTCACCCCTCCTTCCTACTCCCACCCTGGATAAGCCACAGCTCCGGGGCACGTGAGAGTAATTTCTTATAAGATTTCTCTGTGATAGACTTCAGAAGACAAGTTATATACTCATGAGATTCTGAAATTGTAAAATATTAGTGCCAAAAATCCCTCAAGAACTGAATTATCTTTTACAACACCTCAATGAAAAGACTAAGAACTGAAGGTTAGTGGGGTGTATTCACCTTTCTAGGGTCACATAATGAAGCAGGGCATGTAATACACAGCAATAAAGGAGAAGAAAGGGATTAAATGCTGAAGTAAGTGGTGAGGTTAACAATTCTAAAAAAGGCAGAAACAAAATTGATTTGAGTTGTTTAAAGGTTACTTAACATTTCATGTAAACTTTCATAGTACAGAAAACTATAGGAAAGCATTCCAAATTTGCGGACCACAGTCTGATAAAAGAAATGAATAGCTTATTCTTAAACAAGATCTGTTTGGCCCATCTAGGAAGTTATGCTGGGAAAGACATGAAATTAACACGCATTAAGAGATAGACCCTCTATCTGTGCAATGTTTCTTCTCTCATAATTAAGAAAAATCCACTGAATTCATGCCAGGAAGTCTGTCTGACCCTGATGCCTACCTTACTGTCACCATAAAACACTGTCTTCCAGGATGTTGGGGAATGGAGAGATTGAATGGGTGTACATTTTGGGAAAAAAAACTTCAAAGGCAAATATTTTGTGTGCGGCTTTAATGCTAAGACCAGCAATTAGCTATTGAGGATAATTATACCATGGGGCTAACTTCTATGACATTTAAATTCGTTTTCATTGTGAATCATTTCAGCCATATAAAAAAGAATAGCAATATAAAAAATAATCCATGTGTTTACTAATATGATTTATGAAATGTTGACATTTTGCTGTATTTGTTTCATGTTGTTTTTGTTTATCTTAGAAGTTTTAGATAAGATAAAAGCTCCTCCTCTTTTTGTTCCCCATCTTTCAGTCCCAGAAGTAACCATTTCCTGAAGCAACTATTTTGGTGTGTGGCCTCCTGAAGCTACTTCATTCTTTACAACATGTCTACCCTATATATTCTTATGTGTATAAAGCCTATATAATATTTCCTGTGTTTCTCAAATATATGTAACTGATAAAATATATCCTTTTGCAACTTTTCAATGTAATGGTTATATCAATGTTGGTACATGTAGCTCTCATTCATTTATCTATGCTTATTAATTTGATGTATTATTTTAAACTAGTTGATTGAAGGAATAGCAAGCATTTAATTTTTTTCTCTAATTGTAATAATTTTGTTTTTCTATGATTTTTTTATTATAGAATTCTGAAAAGAACATTGTGTTACATGTGTCCTTGTGACAAATTTTTCTAAGGTAGCTACCTAATTGTGGACATTTCTAGATAGTAATGTATGAACATCTTAAAATTAATGAGATACTGCCTCAAGGCTCTCCAAAATGGTAGTTGTTTTGTGTGCCATATTGGATAAATATTTGTGTGTACTTTTCAAATTGCCAACTAGTTGAGTTCCAGATTATCATTCAGAGTCTGACAGGTAACAAGTCACATTTTACACATGAAAAGGGTGCTGTGTTCTCTGCCATATTTGTTTTTTTTCTTTGTCTGATGGGTGAAACTACTCAAGTCACAGCATCTTCTAAAGTATACCCACTGTTCCTATTTGCTATTTTTTGCTTTTTGTGATACAAAAAGAAGGGGTAGGAATTTGCTACATGACCTTGTTCCATGCATATTTGCTACATGAGTCACATGTACACCTGTGACCTCCTGCAAGAATGCAATCAGTACCAGAGAAAGAATTTGCCCTCAAACCTCCTCCATGAGCTGATAAAGATTCCTGAGTCCTACTGACTGCTTGAATTGTCTAATGGATAAGATGTAGAGTCTTTTTAGTGGACTAATTGGTATCCTGTCACATGTTAAAGATACCCAAAAATATGAATTGTCCAAATATACTAGAAGTCATTTAGTCATTGAAGGTTTACCACCCAGAGGCCAAAATCCATTCAAGCGTCAAACAACTGTGTCTCACTCCTTCAATTTTACCCTGATGGAAAATGGATCCTGCTGATGGTTATCTGAGGCAAACTCTATCATGACTGGTTAATAATAATCATATTTCTTCTTGGTATACCTTTACCAACCAATTAAGCCCTTTTCTGTCAGCGAAGAAAGCTGAACTGTGTCTTTCATTTGAACCACATAGCCCAGGAGGTGCAAATCTTCTCCTCTGTCACTAGACTCTGAGATCTCTAAGTGATATGGACAATGAAGACCTATGCATGTGATCTTTCCAGTCAATCTCAAGAGCTAGAATCAAGTTCTGCCATACCTAGCCACTTTGTGTCAGTATGAAAAAGGTGTTTCTTCCATGTGAAAGGAGCGCTGTTCAGGGTGTATTAGTTAGAGGGAAGAGCCCAGGCTGGGATTGGGCCCACTAAGCCCCTTATCAGGGCAGCCCATTGCAGTCAACACCCGATATGGCCATAAGCTGCAGCTGTCTGCTAACAGTTGGCTCCCTTTGTTATTGTGCTGTTCCAGAGAGGGATTTGGGAAAGGGCAGTAAGAGACACAAACTCAGATTTTCATCTTCTCACAATCCTCTCCAACATGTTTACATTGTTTATAGATAATTTTAATTAAAGGGGATTACAATGCAGATAAAGTAATTTTATATCCTATTTTGTAGGGTTGTATTGTATTGGTTCCATTTTCTGATGTCATTAAATTTCAATAAATGCAAATCTTGCATATTTTATTGTATGAATAGATATTGATCATAAGACTTATGTGACTAGAGCTCTGTTTTAAAGACTTTTATTTCCAGTAATTTTTAGCTTAGTACATAATGCTCTGATAAACTTTTTTATGCATACATTTTGGTCTGCTTTTCAGACTACTCTCTCATTCTTTCATTTTGCACATATATATTTTGTGTGTTTTATGGGACAGAAACTGTTTCTAGCACTTTTGATACACCAATAATGAAGAATTAAAAGGAAATATGGGACTCTAGAAATCTAAATAATTTAATGTTCTTTACAAATATTGGCAGATTTGCACCTATGATTTTAAAGTTAGAGATGGTCTTCAAGCACTACACATTTTGAAGCCTTGAGATTAATCACTGATTGTTGGAGGTGGGATCCCAAGACCTGTCTCTTCTTTGCTCTACAATACAAAATATTAGAAGTTACTTTCAAAAAACTATTCGTCAAAGGAAGGTAGCAATATCAGCTTTATTGAGATCAAATGACTGCAGAGCACGATTTCCACCTGAGATCCACACTGCTGGTTCTAGTTTCTCCCCACTGACAAGAAAGACCTTTGAAGAAGCAGCTGAAGAAGCTACCAGAAGGCACAGATCCTGGTAATATTCCTGTGCTAGCCAGAAGCTCAGAAGGCCCAAGCTTCACTCATCCATAAAACAGGCAACATAACAGAAGACGCAGCTTGTTCCTTACACAGAAATCCTATGCACCCTCACCAGGTTCCAGGATTTATCTCGCTCTTTCCAGTCAAATTATCTATAGCTCCTTCCAGCTTCCTCCATTCAGAGAAAGAATAGGCGGCCTATCTTCAGAAGGAATGTGAGGAGGAGTATTTAAGAAAAGTTAGTCCTTTGGAGAATATTGAATGAAAGTTATAGGGAGCAATATGGCTTCCCAGAAGGGGTAAGGCAATAGGGCTCTGATTCCTGGACACTTACTATCTATCTAACCTTGAAAAAATTACTCAAATTATCAGAACTTAGAGAGTGAGAAATAAGACACTCATTTCATAGTGTTGCATGAATTAAAAGAGATAATATTGTTGAGTAATTTTACCTCCCTACGAAGTTGCCAATTCATTGACAGAGAGAAAACTAAACACACACACACACAAAACAACAACAAAAATAGTTGTTTGATACGTTACCTCATTGAATGTTATAGCCATATAGGTCAATGGTTAAATTAGAGATGCTTTGTATATATTCTCATTACTAAGACAGTTTACTAGATCTTATGGCTCCCATAGTCCCAATATACATAAATCAGTCACACATAATTGTCCACATATGCTCCACATTATTACACTAACATGAGCTTGCTTATTTTATTTGTATGTGATATTAACAGATTTGTTTCTTACTTGATAGGCCTTGAAGATGACTTAGTTGTTGAGTTCAGTACCTGTGTCTGTTCTACCGTGCACTGAATGTTACTGACTTGTACAGAAATCATGCTCAAGGTTTGGTGTCCACACTGATTGTCTCTAGAAGATTAAAATATATATAAATGACTTATCTATATTTACTACTTTTATTTATGGAAAAATTAAATTCTTTATAGAGTCTTATGGAAGCTTGCTCTGATAAAATTTTTCCATAACTGTCAAAGTGGAAAGTATGACGAGTTCAGGATTAGATTAGAATCCTAATGGTATTATGGCCAGGAACCCAAATATTTCTGAATCCTTCCTGGGATATCACCTTTTTTAACCATAGGATACCAGAGAGAGTTGCAAAACAGAAAAAAAATAATAATGGCATAAGTAGGAATTTGGAATGTAGTTTATGTGCAGATTTCTGTCAAAAGGCTAAGTGGACGCTCATGTCTTAGCCTAGAAGCTTCATTGATGCCTCCAAATCTCCTATCCCAGGATCCTAAAATCTGGCATGCTGCAAGAAACAAGACACTGAAAAAGGCTTGGAGTCTACAGAAAAACCTTATGAATCCACACAACTACTTCTGATGGAAAATAAGACAAGACAGAGATTCACTAAGCCCACCTGAGTTGTCAAGCATCACATACCAAAGAAAGGCAGAAACTGGAAGGCACCAAAAAGACTGTAAAAAGCATTTGGTTTCTGACTGTAAGACATTGAGACACTCATTTGTTAGGAGCAACTCCTCAGCTCTTGGCGAGCAGTGGGGATGAAAGCCCAGAAAGGTAGAAGCTCGCTGGTTTGTGGATAGGGTTAGAAGTGTTAACCTTTCCCTATATTTCCCTCTCCTTAGGCACCTTTTAAGCGATTAGACTTAAAAAAAAAAAGTTCAGTGAAAGGGCAAGCAGAGAGGTGGGACCCACCTTAGGATAGGAAAGAAATAGTCAAAGCTGCTCTCTCCCTCCTGCTGTAAGCTACTTTCTGGGGCCCTCTTTGGCATCTTGGAAGACTAAGATGGGTAAGTTGTTTCTCTAAGAATCCACGAAATAGATCAGAACTTGAAGTTAATTCCAAAGAGGCAATGCACATTAGGATGAACAACTATTCCTCTTGAATTTCTCAACTCATGTTATACCTTGTTATGTCCTTTACCCTAGTTTACCAGAAGGGCACATTAGGAGTACATATATTATAAAACCATGATACAATTAAAATGACATGGAGTCAAACAAGGAAACTGTCTTTCTTCCAGAGAAATTACATTTCAAATTGAAATTTCAGAGGTGACATGAATGGAAATATTGTAAAAGTGATATTGCTATCGTCTTTTGGCCATCAGTTTTCTGAATATGCCTTCTAATATTTAGATCCCTGGAGTGAAAGAGGGGAAGTCTTGGGAACTCAAACTCCAATAAATTAGAGGTCAATTATAAGGCCATATAAATGTTTGGTGCTTAAAGAGCACCTCACTAAAAAATGATAGGAGCAGGCCAGATGTAGTGCTCACGCCTGTAATCCCAGCACTTTGGGAGACCAAGGCAGGCGGATCACTTGAGGTCAGGAGTTCGAGACCATCCTGGCCAATATGGTGAAACTCTGTCTTTACTAAAAATACAAAAATTAGCTGAGCCTGTTGATGGGTACCTGTAATCCCAGCTACTTGGGGGGCTGAGGCAGGAGAACTGCTTGAATCTAGGAGGCAGAGGTTACAGTGAGCCGAGATCGCATCACTACACTCCTGCCCAACAACGAAGCAAGACTCCATCTCAAAAACAAAACAAAACAAAACAAAACAAAACAAAACAAAAAATCTGGTGTAAAATACCTCCAAAAAGCTGCTCCTTTATAAAGGCAATGAGTACACTGGAAAAGTAGTAAATAAACTTTTTCAGAACTCAAACTAAGCAAAAGCTTGCAAACAAAAAAATGAAGTTCTTATTTAAAAAAATAGACTGAATCTCAGTAAAAGGGAACTTTGTGATGTTTTACCTTATACTATTCTCAGTTCCCTCCCTTTCAGACCCAGAATAGCTGTTACAGATTGAATTAAGTGGTTTTCCCCACCACAATTCATATGTTAAACCCTAATTCTTAATATGATTGTATTTGAAGATACTGCCTTTGAGGAGGTGACTAAGGCTAAATGATGTCTTAAGTATAGGGCACCAATCCAATAGAACTAGTGGTCTTTTAAGAAGAGAAAGAGGTACCAGAGCTCTCTCTTCCTCTGTGTGTACAGAGAGGAAAGGCCATGCAAGGACATAGCAAAAAGGCAGCCATCTACAAGCCAGGAAGAGAGGTCTTACCAGAAACCATCCCTGATGATAACTTGATCTTGGACTTTTTGTCTCCAGAACCTTGAGAAAATAAATGCATGTTGTTTAAGCTATTCAGCCTATGGTACTTTTTAATGGAAGCCTGAATAAATGAATACAGAAGCCTTTAAAACCAACAGACTTATAAGGCAGAGTTGTAAGCTGCCTGCCTCAGTATTGAAGTCATACCCCAACATGGACACAAACACTACCGTCAAAGGCAGCAATGCTTATTAATCCTAAACATTTAAGAAAATCTTTGGCTGGTCAGCAGTTGACCACTAAGATAACTGGGCAAAAACTTTGGTGACCATACAAAGAAAATAAAAAATTTACAGAATTCTTTCCTGACAAGCAAACAATAACAGCAACAAGCAGCAACATCAAACTCAGTGTGGGGAATGGAAACTGACTTTCAGAGTTTCCATATTATATTATTTTAAATGTCCAGTTTTCAACACAAATTATGAAATGTACACATTAACAAGAAAGTGTGCCTTATATGAGGAAAAAAAAATCAGTCAATAGTGTCCCTGAAGATCCCAGACACTGGACTTGTTAGAAAGCATTTAAATCAACTGTTTTAAATATGTTCTAAGAACTGAATAAAAACAATCATTTCTAAGAAAATCTAGGAAAATATGAGAACAATATTGCACCAAATAAAGAATATCAGTAAATTAATATAAATAATAAAAAAGAAACCAATAGAAATTCTGTAATGTGCAGTAATTGAAATAAAAACTTCCCCAGAGGAGCTCAACACAGATTAGACTTAGCAGAAGAACAAATAACTAAATATGAAGATAGATCAGTTGAGATTGTCCATGTGAGGAACAGAAAGAAAAACAAGCAAATAAACATAAACAGAGCTAGACATCTGTAGTACGCCCCCAATCACACAAACATATGCATCATGAGAGTTTCAGAAGAGAAAAAAGAAAGAGGTAGAGAGAATATTTGAAAATAACTGATGTCCCTAATTTTTCCAAACATTAATCTTCACAGCCAAGAAGCTCAACAAACTCTAAGTTGGATAAGTTCAAAGAGAGACTCTTCAAAGCAGCAAGGGAAAGCAATTGATAAGATACCATTAATAATATTAATAGACATTCTCAGAAACCATAGAGGCAAGAATAGAGTAGAATGACATGTTCAAAGAGCTAAACAAAATTAATCTCAATCAGTATTTCCATATTTCAGCAAAAGTATCCATCAAAAATGAAAAAAAAAATTATTATCAGTAAACAAAAATTGAGATAAACTGTTGCCAGAAAATGTATTCTAAAGGAAACATTAAAGAGAATCCTTCAGGCTGAAATGAAACACTAAACAGTAAGTTGAATCCATGTGACAAAATAAATAACACCAATATAAATAAGTGCACAGGTAAATGTAAAATACAGTATCAATGTATTTTACATTTACAAGTCATTTTTCCCTTCTATTTTATTTTCAAAAAATTGTATAAAGCAATAATTCTACATTGTGTTTATAGGCATATGATGAATAAAGACACAACTTGTATGATAATTACAGCACAGAGAAGGAGGAAGAAAATGAAGTTATATAAGAGCCAGGTTTTTGTATATGAATGAAGTCAGTGTTCATCTGAACTAAATTGTTGCAAATTAACGTGTTAATTGTAATCCCCAGGGAAACCACTGAAAAAATAACAAAAATAAACAGTAAAATAAATTACAATTTATTGGTTAGAGCTACAGAGAAAAAAAAGAAATGATAGTGATATTAAAATACTACAGAGACAAATATCTATTTAACAGAAAAGACAGTAATAAAGAAAAGGAAGAAGAAAAAATAAGACATTTGACAAATAAATATCAAATTGGTATATAAAGGAGAATTTTCAGTAACTGTATTAAATAAAAATGGGTTAAATACTCCAACCAAAAGGGATTGACAAAATATTAAAACAAAAACAAACCATAGTCCACAACATGCTGCATACAAAATACTTTAGATTAAAAGATACAAATAGGTTAATAGTAAAAATATGGAGAAAGATATACTAAACGAACAGTAACCACAGAGCTGGAATGGCTATGTTACTCACAGACAAAACAGATTTTGGGATAAACATTACCAAATACAAAGAACATTATATATTAAAAAAGCATCAATCCATCAGAAATATATAACAATTATAAACATACATGCCCATAACAAAGGGTCCGAAAATACACTTAGCAAAGCATGACAGAATTGAAGGAATAAATAGACATTCAACAATAATACTTGGAGAGTTGAATTCTCACTTTCAGTAATGGCTAGACAGCAGGTTAGTAAATCAACAAGGGAGAAGAAGGTTTGAAAAACATTATTAAGCAATTGGACCTAACATACGTCTACAGAAGCCTCCAACTAACAACAGCAAATGATTTTTTCTCAGTTGCACATTAATATTCTCCATGATAGACCTTATGTTAGAACACAAAACAAGTCTTAATAAATTTTAAATAATTTATACTACACAAATATATTCTCCCACCGTAGTGGAATATAATTACTAATTATTAATAAATGGAAAATTGGTAAATTGCCAAACATGCAGAAATTTAAAAATATATTTCTAAATAACCATTGTGTCAAGGAAGAAATCACAAGGGGAATTAGGAAATTATTGGAGATGAAAAACACAACATATAATTTATGGTAGGCAGCTAAAGCTGTACATAGAGAAACACTTATAACTAAGTATCTATAATTAATAGTAACTGAAATCAATAACATAATTGTTCACCTTTCAAAACTAAAAAACTAGAAACAACTTAACAACCCTTGCTAACAACCTTAAGCAAGCAGAAAGAAGAAAATAATAAGCGTATGAGAGAAAAAGGAATGAAATAGAGAATAGAAAAACAATGGAAAAATAAAAAAACCAGAATTTAGTTCTTCAAAAATATAAACAAAATTGATAAATGTTTAGCTGGGTTAGATTAAGAACAAAAAGAGATTAACCATGTAGCTGGATCAGATTAAGAACAAGAAGAGATTAAAGTTAATAAAACTTGGACTAAAAGAAGGAATATTACTGCTGATTAGGAAAACAAAAATGATAATATGACATACTATAAATAATTATATGCCTACTGATTAGATAATGTGTATGCACTGAAAAGATTCCTAGAAAAACAAACCACTAAAATTAAATTATGGAAGAAAAACATCTGTATAGACTTTTAACAAGAAAATATGTAGAATTAGTATTAAAAAAAAACCTTTCCTCGAAGAAAAGCCTGGTCCACATGATTTTACTGATGAATTCTATCAAATTCTTAAAGAATAAGCATCAATAATCTTCAAACTACTTCAAAATATAGAAAATCTTCTTATTTTATTCTATGAGGCTAGTATTATCCTGACATAAAAACCATACAAAGTCATCACAATAAAATTAAACTATACATTAGTATCCCTTTTGAATACTGACACAAACATTCTGACAGAATACTTGCAAACTGAATCCAGCAACATAGAAAAAAAGGATTATACAATATTACCAAGTTGGGCTTATGCCAGGAATGCAGGGTTGGCTCATTCTATGAAAATCAATGCAGGTAATATAACATACAACCAGGCTAAGGAACAAAAACCATATGATTATTTCAACTGATGCAGAAAAAGTACTCAACAAAATCTAACACTCTTATATGATTAAAATATAAAAATAAAAAACACTAAACAATCTAGAGATACAAGTAATGTCTTTAACATGTTAAAGGGCTTTTGTGAGAAGCCCATAATTAATGTCAGGCTTCTTGAAGACTGAGTCCTTTTCTTCCTAAGATCAAGAATCAGACAAAGATGCCTGCAATGTCTGCTCCTGCTATTTCCATTTAATGTTGAAGTGTATGCTCAGGCCATGACAATTAGGCCAAAAAAATAAAAAAAGAAAAAGAAAAAAAAGAGAGGAGAGGAGAGGAGGGGGGAGGGGAAAGGAGGACCAGGGAGGGGAGGGGAGGTGGGGAGAGGGGAGGGCAGGGGAGGAGAGAGGGGAAAGGAAGAGAGGGGAAAGGAAGGAAGAAAGGAAGGAAGGAAAAGGAAGGAAGGAGGGAAGGAAGGAAGGGGAAGGAAAGGAAAAGGAAGGAAGGGGAAGGAAGGAAGAGGAAGGAAGGAAGAAAGAAGGAAAGAAAGAAGAAAAAGGAAGGAGGAAGGAAGAAAAAGGAAGGAAGAAAGAAGGAAAGAAAGAACGAAGAGGAAGGAAAAGAAAGGAAGGAAGGAAGAGGAAGTTAAAGAAAAAGAAAGAAAGGAAGGAAGAAAGAAAGTAAGAGAAAGTAAAAGTAAGAAAGAGAAAGGAAGGAAGAAAGAAAGTAAGAGAAAGTAAAAGTAAGAAAGAGAAAGGAAGGAAGAAAGGGAAAGGAAGAAAGAAAGGAAAGAAGAAAGGAAGGAAGAAGGAAGGAAGGAAAGAAAGAAAGAAAGAGAAAGAAAGAGGAAGGAAGGGAAGGAGGGAGGGAAAGGAAGAAAGGAAAGAAAAAAAGAAAGAAAAAAAGGAAGGAAGGGAAAGGGAGAAAGAAAGGAATGAAGAAGGAACAAAGGAAAGAAAGAAAGAGAAAGAAAGAAAGGGAAGGAAAGAAGGGAGGGAAAGGAAGAAAGAAAGAAAGAAAGAAAAGAAAGAAAGGAAAAGGAAGGAAGGGATGGATGGAGGGAGGGAGGGAGGAAGGAAGGAAGGAAAGGAGGGAGGGAGGGAAAGGAAGAAAGGAAGGAGGAAAGGAAGAAAGAAGAAAGGAAGGAAAGAAAGAAAGAGAAGAAAAGAAAAGAAAAAAGAAAGGAAGAAAGGAAGAGCGTCCAAATTAAAAATAACATTTAAAATAATATCTATTTGTAGGGTACATGATTTGCATAAAGAAAATCCAAAATAACTTACAAGAGAGCTAACAAATTAATTCAGCCAGGTTGCAGGATACAATATCAACGTAAAAAAACTTAATTGTGTTTCTACACTATCATGAAACATTTGAGAAATTAAGGAAATGATTACATTTGCAGTAGCAGCCAAATAGATCCCTTAGTAAATTGTGCTTAGGCAGCTGGATATTCACTTGCAAAAGAATTCAGTTGGATTTTCATCTCACATTATGTACAAAAATAAACTTAAAATTGACTAAAATATCTAAACATAAAAGCTAAAACTATAAACATCTTTAAAAAACAGAACCGACCCAAATGTCCATCAATGATAGACTATATTAAGAAAATGTGGCACATATACACCATGGAATACTATGCAGCCATAAAAAATGATGAGTGCATGTCCTTTGTAGGGACATGGATGAAGCTGGAAACCATCATTCTGAGCAAACTATCACAAAGACAGAAAACCAAACACCACATGTTCTCACTCACAGGTGGGAATTGAACAATGAGAACACTTGGACGAAGGTTGGGGAACATCACACACCAGGACCTGTCATGGGGTGGGGGAAGGGGGAGGGCTAATATTAGGAGAAATACCTAATATAAATGACGAGTTAATGGGTGCAGCACACCAACATGGCACATGTATACATATGTAACAAATCTGCATGTTGTGCACATGTACCCTAGAGCTTAAAGTATTAAAAAAAGAAGGGGGGAAAAATTCATGACCCTGACTTTGACAAAGTTTTCATAGATATGATACCAGAAATACAAGGAACAAAAGAAAAAAAATAGATATGTTGTGCTTCATCAAAATTTAAAACTTTTGTAAATAAAAAGTCATTAACAAGAGAATAAAAAGGCAATTCAAAACATGGGAAAATATATTTGCAAATTATATATCTAATAATGGACTAGCATCCAGAATCTATAAAGAAATCTTAGGACTCAACAAAAAGAGATAAACAACCAAATTAAAAATGGACAAAGGCTAGAATGAATGTTTTTCAAAATAAGAGGTAATGAATGTCCCACAAACAAATTAAATGATGTTCAACATCCTTAGTCATTAGGGAAATGCAAATAGGGACCACAATAAAATGCCACTTCACACTTGCTAGGTTGCTCAGAATCAAAACAATGAAAATATAATGCATATGATCAAGCATGTTGAAAAGTCAAAACCCTTGTTCCTTGCTGGTAAGAATGTAAAACTGTGCAGCCACTCTCTCTGGATAACAGTTTGGTAGTTCCTCAAAAGTTCAAACATAATTTTCGTATTACCCAGCAATTCCACTTCTAGGTACATACCAAAAAGAATTTAAAATAGTTACGGAAATGCAATTGCATATATTTTCATAGCAGCATTATTCACAATGGATAAACGATGAAAATGCCCAAATGCCCATCAACTGATGAATGAATAAAATGTGGTATATTCACACAGTGGAAAGTTATTTAGCCATAAAAATGAAGGGAGTACTGATAACGTGCTATAACATAAACAAGCCTTGCAAAAATTGTGTTAACTGAAAGCAGACCTACACAAAATATGATTCCACTTGTATGAAATGACCAGAATAGGCAAATGTATAGAGATAAAGAGCAAGTAGCTAATGTCTGTGGATCGGCAGAGTGGCGAGTGATTGTTTAATAAGTGTGGGTTTCGTTTTTGGAGTGATGAAAGAGTTTTGAAACAATGCTGTTGAGGGTCACAAAACATTTTGAATATACTAAAAAACCCTGAATTTTACACCTTGAAATGTATAATATATAATTTTTTTCCCAATGAGAAGAAATAAAAATTTGAAAACATCAACAAAAAATTCCTGACTATTGCTACCAACAATAGCAATAAATTTTCAGCTATAAATTTACCAAAAGAAAATAGAAACACTAAATTAGTAGAAAGAAAAATTAAAATGAGGAAAACAGTCAACCAAGTTCTCTTAGTGCTTTGGAATTACCTAGGAAAGTAAAGGAAAGAGATGCCTAAATTTTAACCTTGTATGTGGTTACACTTTTCTGTCATTGGAGTTTAGATGGCACTGGTAAGTAAATCAATTGGGCATATTGATATGAACTCCAAAATATTTAAAGCCAACTTTCGATAAAAGGGTAAAATCAGAGCATTAATACAGATATGGACATTTTAAGGGAACATGAATATTGATCAAAATATTAACTGAATATATAAGTAGGGGAAATTGATTTTGTTACACTGTGAGGAGGGTGGACAATTGAATCTCCACTGGACAAAACATTGTCTGTCAGTGACCTATGACTTATAGCATATAAAGGAACTCAAAGACAATGAAAGTCTAGTATCAGGTAACCTGAAGTGGTGTCCTCTAGACCAGATAAATTTTTCTATTGGGACTTCTTTTTTTCTACACTATTCTACAACATCAAATAGAAAGTTAGACTTCTTTCTAAAAGAGGGTTCAGCCATTAGAGTGACAAAGTGCCTATCACAAACATTTCTAGCCCCAGGCCTGATCAGGGGCCACCAATGACATTCCTAAATCTAGGTGTCAGAAAGCCTACTCCCTAACCAATGAGGGGCTGACACATGGAGATACAATTGTTAAGACAGAACTGGCATATTGAGAAGCCCGGGGCAACTGAAAAATCAAAGTGGGACAATTGGAGCAAAGACCATATTAGAGAGAAGGAGCCATCAGAGTTTCTAGAGGAGTGGAAATTAAATCTGCTTCTACTTCATAAGAGATGATCTGTAAGTTCCTAGTGAGCCACATGGCCTGCCTCCTGAAGAAGAATCATTATGCCTAGCACTTGAGCTCCCAGGAGGGTTTTTCTTGCTGCCAATCTCAAGCAAATGAAGCCACTATCCTGGATTTGGCAAGAATGGAAGCTCACAACCCCTGCAGCAGGATGTGTAGACATGACAGTGCAAAATAATCCGAAGATTGGCTGCCTCTTGAGGGATATAACCATTTCTCTGGTTAATGAACTTCTGATCCAGGAAAAGTTTCTGATTTCTGGGTCCTGGAGCTTTGGGGGAGGCCTCACAGACTCATCCAGTAAGTACTGTCAAAGAGTTTAAATATATGGGCTTGCTTCTGACTCCTCACAATTCTAGTCTTCTTTAATTGGAAGTATCTATGAGACATCTGTATTAGTCCGTTCTCACACTGCTGTGAAAAAATACAAGAGACTGGGTAATTTATAAAGAAAAGAGGTTTAATTGACTCACAGTTTCACATGTCTAGGGAGGCCTCACAAAACTTTCAATCATGGTGGAAGGCACCTCTTCACAGAGTGGCAGGAGAGAGAATTGCAGAGCAAAGGGGGAAAAGCCCCTTATAAAACCATCAGATCTTGTAAGAACTCACTCACTTTCATGAGAACAGCATAAGGGAACCACCTCCATGATCTAATCACCTCCCACGAGGTCACTCCCGCAACTCTTGGGGATTACAATTCAAGATGAGATTTGGGTGGGGACACAGCCAAACCAACATCCAAGCAAAGATATCCCAAAGAGATCTGGAGGGTTAGAAGGTGGTGGTCCTGTGAGGTGTTCGAATCAGTAATGTCAGAAAGGAACAGTTTCTTATGGTGACACTTGAGGAAGTGGCCTTAGGTAGGAATGTCTGGCTGAGGTGTCAGGATAAAGAAGACCACCTCATTGGCCCTGAGGAAGCCAAGGTCTTGTGAGGCCAGGATGTTGGCTGGAGGCCTCTGGGGTGTGTTGAATTTCCTAGAGTGATGGTAGTAACTGAGGTAGAACTGGAGATCTTGGTGGACTTGCTAACAACTTTATTTAGTATAGAGAATATCTACAGGTAAGAAGGTGTTGGCAATGGGGATGAGGTGGAGAAGGCAGCATCGCAGTTGGCATGGACTTAAATGGGGCAGGGGTTTTTACATGAAGATTGAAGGGTGATAAGTGAAACAAAAAAGAAATACATAGAAAAGAAAGAAAAGGAATTGATTCCAAATACATATTATAACATACGTGTTACGGACTGAACTGAACTGGGTATACTTTGTTATGGCAACCTTGCTAACTCACACAGATTCTGGTATCAAAAGGGAGGATTCTGCTGTAACAAATAACCAAAAATCTAGAAGTGGCTTTGGAACTGGGTAGAGAAATCCATCTCATTTGGATGTATGTTACACAAAGCCTAAATTGATTGGAAGAGAGTATTGTTAAAAATATAGATGCTGAATGTGATTCCCGTGAGTCCTCAGAAAATTAGAGAGCTGTAGAGAAATCTTCTAGCATCTCATAAAAATACATGTACAGTCATTAACAAAATGTTGCTAGAAATATGTATGCTGAAGGTGCTTCTGGTGAGGTCTCAGAGCTTAGGAATATGTAATTGAAAACTGGAGGAAAGGAGATTCTTCTTACAAGGTGGCAAGGACTTGGCTGAATTGTATTCTAGTGTTTTGTGGAAAATAGATCTTGTAGGTGATGATCTTGAATAATTCACTGAGGGGATTTCTAGGCAAAATGTTGAAGGCATAACTTGATTTCTCTTCGCTTGTATGGTAAAATGTAAAAGGAGAGATAGATTGAAGAATTGTCAGCAAAAAGATACCAGAGCTTGAAGATTTGAGAAAATCTCAGCCTATCAATATTGCAGAAAATAAGAAATTGTGTCCTGAAAAATATCAAGGATAGGGCTGGATAATGATTTGCCAAAAAAATAATTATAGGTGTGTGACTTATGATTCCAATCAGCTGTCTCAGCTGAAACCATGAATGGAGATGGGGATTTATACCAGTAGAAGCACTGTCAGGTTGACTGAAGGAGAGAAAGATGAAATGAAATGAAGCAAGGCTGTTGGACTCCTGGGATTTTATAGCATGGGCTAATACAGACACGTGGTTGTGAACATATGCTATCTTTCATGAAAAAGGAATGGCTGTGAAGGCAGTTCAGAGGTTGTTGGGGCTGCCACTGTCAACGTGGATCCTCAGGTCTGAGAGTTTTGGGGTAGTGCCACCACACTGGTGGGCCCAAAAGGCAGCGTTAGGACTAGGATGGGCTCTGAGGACACAGCATGGAGTCAAAGAGGATTATTCTCAAGCTTCAAAATCCTATGGAATTTTCCTTGCTAGGTTTCAGACTTGCTTGCAACCTGTTACCCCTTTATTCTTCCCAATTGCTCCCTTTTGCAATGGGAATGTTTACCTCATGCCTATTGCTCTAAGATGAATTTTGTCTCCCCAAAATCCATACATCAAAACCCTAACCCCCAGGATCTCGGAATGTGACTGTATTTGGAGATAGGTACTTTAAAGAGGTTATTAAGTTAAAAAGACAGTTAAGATGAGCCCTCATCCAATCTTACTAGTGTCCCTGTAAGAACAAGAAGCGAGCCAGGTGCAGTGGCTCATGCATGTAATCCCAGCACTTTGGGAGGCCGAGGCAGGCGGATCACAAGGTCAGGAGATTGAGACCACCCTGGCCAACAGGGTGAAACCCCATCTCTACCGAAAATGCAAAAATTAGCTGGGTGTGGTGGTGCGTGCCTGTAATCCCAGCTAATCAGGAGGCTAAGGCAGGAGAATTGCTTGAACCAGGGAGTCAGAGGTTGCAGTGAGCCGAGATGGTGCCACTGCACTCTAGCCTGGTAACACAGCAAGACTCTGGCAAAAAAGAAAAGAACAAGAAGCTTGGAGACACAGGAAGGTACCAGAGATGTGCAAGCTCAGAGAAAAGACCATATAAGAACACAACAAGAAGGCGGCCACCTGCAAGCCAAGGCAAGAGGCCTCAGAAGAAACCAAATCTGCAAAAACCTCGATCTTGGACTTCTAGCCTCAAGAACTAAAAAAGAAAATAAATTTCTGTTATTTAATGTTATTTAAGTCACCCAGTCTGTGGTATTTTGTTATGGTACCCCTAGCAAACTAATACACCTACCATTCTATTTTAGAAGTAGATAACTCATCAATTTCACAGGATCACAGCTGGAGAGCAATTTTGCCCCAGGAATCATGACTCAAGTCTCATTCATACCTGATTTAGACAGTATTTATATGAGATTTTGGACTGAGATTTGATGTTGCAATGAGTTGACTTTTGGGGCTGTTGGGATGGTGTGAAAGTATTTTGTATATGAGAAGACAATGAATTTGCAGAGTGGCAGGGGGTGAAGTATTATGGACAGAATTGTGTTCTCCTCAAATTCGTATGCTAAAATTCTAACCCCAGTACCTTAGAATGTGACTGAATTTGGAAATAGGGATTTTAAAGAGGTAATTAAGTTAAAATGGGGCTGTGTGGACACTAATCCAATATTACTTGAATCCTCATAAGAAGAAGAGAATAGAAACACACAGAGAGAAGACCATGTATGGAGACCAGAAAAAGATGGCTATCTCCAAGCCAAGGAGAGAGGCCTCAGGAGAAACAACCCTGCTGACACCTTCTTCTTAGACTACCAGCCTCCTAAATGGTGAGAAAACAAATTTCTGTTGTTTAGGTCATCCAGTCTTCAGTACTCTGTTGTGGCAGTTTAAGCAAATGAGTACAATGGGTGAATCTTGAAAACATTATGCTAAATAAAAGAAGTCATATGCAAAAGACCACATACTATATGATTCTGTTTATATAAAATGTCCAGAAAAGGCAAATCCATAGACTTATAAGGCAAATCAGTGGGTGTCAGAGGCAAGGGAGTGAGCACTTAGGAGTGAGTGCTAATGGGTATGGGGTTCCTTTCCAGGATATGAAAATACTCTGGAATTATATAGGGGTGATGGTTGCACAACTCTGTGAATGTACTAAACACTACTGAATTACACACTTACAGAAACAAATTTTATGATACAATGTATCTCACATAAAAAAATGAAATCACAGAATTTATAGCTTCAAAGTTCACAGAGCTTAAATACTTCCTCTGACGACTGCTGCTTGGTTAAGCAAGAAGCGTTGCACCCGGTGGCTTGATGGGGTCTGAGCCATTCCCCTTTGCAATAAGAATAGCTCCTTCCATATCTCCAAAGTAGATCTGAGGCCTTGCCACACAGGTGTTCCACTTTTCTAAAATTCTAGTGAATCAAAAAGATATATAAACATATCTTAAAATTCTCAGCAAGGAAAGTATTTTATCCATAGCAATATGTTTCCAGAATCCAGTTTACATTACTTACATCCATACTGCTGTTACAAACAAAAATCAGTAACAGATTCTTACACATTTACATAAAGAAATTAGAATTGAGAGAATTAGAATGGAGTAAGCAAGTTGAGTCTCTTCTGTTCAGCATTTTCTCCCACAAGGATGTCTGGCATTCCAGACAAATTGTCTGGAGAAACTGTTACCTTTAACTGAGTTGGGATAATTCTCCCATCCAGTGTCTTTTGTTTAGCTGAAGGATTTTCCTAACCCTATCAGAGGCCCAAGAGCAACTTAGCCCCTTCCTGCTGCTGCAGACCTTCCCTAGACTGGGCATTGATCTTTGCCATATGATTGTCCCCTAAATTGTGAAGAAGGGTAAGGCCTTTAGCCTTGTGCTGTCTCTGTTTTTGGAACATCTCAATCTACATCTTTAGAGGACCAGAGAGAAGCTGTGACCACCCTCTCCTCCATCGTTTTTTTTCTTTTGTTAATTGTTCTTATTCCTCTGGTTTTATTTTATCTTATCTACATCACCAATGACATAAAAAGATTCTTTCAATCTCAAATGTTCCTGCTACAACAGGATTTTGATTTGATGCTCCTCAGCACTGGCTGAGAAAACACAATCTGCAGCGGCCACATATATTCCCCAAAGCTCTGCCCTTTTGAGTTGAACCCCAACTTTGGCCTCTCCATGTGGGACTCTGTCTAAGGAATGAAAGGTTGCTTTGGGAGTTCAAGGTCTCCAAAAGCATCTCTCCTATCTTCCCCCAAATTTTCTATTCAAGCCAAGACCAAGTCATAATTTGCTTTGTCTAAGATTATGAACGGACCTTGTCTTACCCACAGGTCGATTGTCTTTGATAATAACACTAGTTATAGCCACACTGGATAACTCAAACTATCAACATAATATCTGCCAAAACAATCATGGTACTTTATTGGTATCCATAGAGTTTCTTTCCTCATGAGATATTCAGAACCCGCTGGCTAGTACCTGTGCAAAACTTACTCTATTCCTGCTTCTACATTCTATGAACACTCCAAAGTGGACATTGCTAATCAGATTGGTCCTAGATATGGAGACGAGATAATTAGAAGAGGGATCCCTTCACTTGAGGACAGAAGTTCGAGACTAGCCTGGCCAACATGGTGAAACCCTGTTTCTACTAAAAATACAAAAGTTAGCTGGGTGTGGTGGTGCACACTTGTAATCCCGCTACTTGGGAGGCTGAGGCAGGAGTATCACTTGAGCTTAGGAACAGCGAGCCGAGATCGCACCACCGCACTCCAACCTGGATGACAGAGTGAGACCCCATATCAAAATTAAAAAAAAAAAAAAAAAAAAAAAAAAGAAGAAGAAGAGGGATCTCTGCATTTTAATTGCATTTTAACTTAGGCTCCCTGGCTCATAATTTTAAACTTTTCATGGAAGACTTAACAAGTTGAAGGTAGCCTTTCTTGGAATTGTCACCTAACTTTCTCTTTTTCTTTATGATTCCTGTGGCTTGGTTGTAAACGGACTTGACATCCATATTGGCACTAGCTGGGCCTCTCTACAGACACACAGGCAGAGTGGCAGGCCCTTCTTAGGCGTGGAATATGAGCCACAGCAATTCAGCATTTGACCAGAGTACTGCATAGAGTTCTGCAGAATTATTAATTATTTAGTGAACATTTTGCTGTTATTTCTTCTGATAACTTTTTTTAAAATTTTGGAAGAATGTATGGATAATCATAGGTTAAATTTGTGGAAATTATTGGCTTTCTTACTATAACATCATTGTAATATTCCACAAATTAAGGGATTTCCTACTTGTAGTTGCAATATTCTATAAGCTATTATTAGCAATTTTGGCCTGGACAATTTTGAAAAACAAAATGAAACAAAAAAACAAACTTGACCAACAATGAGAATTATAGTAATAAAGAACTATGTGAATATGTATATATATGAGTGTGTCTCTATGAATTTTAAATTAAATTTGGCTAAAGAAACCAACCTGTGCAAAACTTAAGCTCTAGCAATAGCCTCAGCCTTAATATTTAAAAGACACTTAACGGAAATTTAGCAAAAAGCTCCAGCCATTGAGGACAATTTTATCAGATGCCCAAAATGTGGCCTTGAAGCTTATCTAAAACCTGCTCAAAAAAATCTGATGAATAAGGAATATGGAGAACTTTCAACTGGGAAGATAAGACATGAAGATAAACATCTGTGACTTAAGAAAGACGCAATGTCAGCTACTATGGAAGGACCAAGGAAAGTGACACCCATGTAAAGAAAAGGCAATTTGAATGTGAAGACAATGGGGTTGTCATCACCTCATGTGAAAGTTAGCCACCTACTAGCAATGATCTGGAAGGAACAAAACAAATCATAGTCAATAAATGTGCAAAGATAAATATTGTGTTAGTAACTATTTGTGCTTTTTTCTCTTGTCGGTTGTCCAAGGTGTCTTAGCTTCAAATTAGGATAGCTTATGACAACATGGTGGCAGATTGGAGTAGGGGAGGATATGCCCATACCAGGAGGTCTGGAGCTGAGGATTCTGACTTTATCGAAGGGCTAGGCTTCAAGATGGAAGATCAGTAGTTTTTGTTTGTTTGTTTTGTTTGTTTTGTTTTGTTTTTTTGTTTTGTTTTGTTTTGAGACAAAGTCTCGCTCTGTAACCCAGGTTGCAGTGCAGTGGCACGATCTCTGCTCACCGCAACCTCCACCTCCCTGGTTCAAGTGATTCTCCTGCCTCAACCTTCTGAGTAGCTGGGATTACCAGCACACACCACTCCACCTGGCTAATTTTTTTTTTTTTCATTTTTAGTAGAGAAGAGTTTCCATCATGTTGGCCAGGCTGGTCTTGGACTCCCAACCTCAGGTAATCTGCCTGCCTCAGCCTCCCAAAATGCTAGGATTACGGGTGTGAGCCACCACACCCAGCCGATGGTCAGTGGTTTTGTAAACAGTATTATTCAAATGCAGATAGTAAGTTTAGTTGTGATTTACAACCATATGATATATAAGGAGGTTCAACTCTGTAGGATACCCAAAACAAGAGTAAACTGAATGTAACAGTGTTTTGTATAAGTCAGGGATAGGGGTCTCTAGTGAAAAGTACATTCCAAGAGCATATAGAAGCAAGTTTCACTCATTTGAAAAGATGCTTTATTAAAATTAGGTAAAGTGATGGGTTTCCAGTTATAAAGGGTAGGGTTGGCCAAATATCCATTTTCAGTAAGAATCTGAAACCAGTGGGTATGGAGCAACGAAAATCTAAAGGTCAAACCAAGATACAGAGATTTAGCCAACATGGCAGGGGGTAATGAAAAGACCTACAATTCATGGCCAGGTGTGATGGTTCATGCCTGTAGTCCCAGCATCTTGGGAGACCAAGACGGGCAGATCACTAGAGGCTAGGAATTCGAGAACAGCCTGATCAACATGGTGAAACCCATCTCTACTAAAAATACAAAAATTGGCTGGGAGTGGTGGCGCATGCCCGTGGTTCCAGCAACTGGAGGCTGAGGTGGGAGAATTGGCTGAACCTGGGACCTGGGAGGCAGAGGTTGCAGCAAGCTGATGTGGCACTGCTGTACTCCAGCCTGGGCTGCAGAGAGAGACACTGTCAAAAAAAAAAAAAGACGAAAAAGACGTACAATTATTGGATATATGTGTATCCAGAGTTTACCCTAACTACTGCAGATACTAAGCCTGCTCCATAGCCACCCAGCAAATTACAAAACTAATGAGTGGAGCAAGACTTGGGAGTTGTAGCTGATCTTACACAGTGCCTTTAGTTAAGTGCTTCATGTTTTCTAGATTTCCTGGTTTCCCAAGTTACTTGTCAAATAAGCTTAAAAATCATTTACGTAATATTTCCATTTGGATGGATTTATAAAGCATATTATCCTATAGTAAATAACAATAAAAAAAACACTTTGCTTCTCCCAATTCTATTATGATCTGTTTTTGCCCACAAAACACTTCTGACACCAAATGTGTGGGTTTTGTCTACACCAACAACCAGTTCTTCAACTAACTCTCCAGACATCAAGTGGGTGTTCAACAATTCAGTTCAATTCTGATGCTAACTTTAGAACCCAGAGGTGAAGGGTGCAGTCCCACAAGACTGCTCCCACTTGACATGACCACTGCAGGTCCTGGATTTCTCATACTTCTGACTGACTGGCTATAAATTGGGAGTTCCCACAACCCCCTCCTTGGGTTCTATAATTTGTTACAACAGTTTACAGAACTCAGCAGACCAGTTTCCTTACTACTGGTAGTTTATTTTTATAAAGGATATAACTCATAAAACGCCGGAAGAGAAACATAGGGTGAGGTATGAGGGTTATGTGTGAAGCTTCCAGGCCCTCTCCAGCTGTGCCACCCACCCACCATCTCCATATGGTCACCAAATTGGAAGCTCTGTGAACTCTGTTTTGGGATTTTATTACAGTTTCATTACATAGGCATGATTGATTAAATCATTGGCTGTTGGTGATTGATTCAATCTCTCCTGCCCCTTTTCTGACCCCAGAGGTTAGGGTGAGGTTGAAAGTTCCAACCCTCTACTCATGTGCTTGGTTCTTTTGGTCACCAGCCCCCAACTTAAAGCTATGTAGGGCCCATGGAAATTCACTGCCTTAGCATAAACTCAGGTACAGTTGAAAGGGCTGACTATGGATATCAAAAGATGTTTCTCTCACCGCCACCACTCAGGAGGTTACAAGAATTTTAGAAGCCTTTGCCAGGAACCTGGGACAAGGACTAAATATGTTTCTTATTATATTACAATATCACATACTTAATATATTATACCAAAGCAATGTATTAATATATTGCAATGTCAATGCATTTTCATTACTTAAGAAATGAATCCTTGGAAAAGTACTTTGAAAGTCTTGCTTTAATCCAATACATTTGTCTCAGGACCAGAGATCCAGCAATCTGATCCAGAATATATCCAACTCTGAACATCCTTTTCCAAAAAGTATTGTTCACTCTATTTTCTGCGTTGCTGTCTAGTGTCTGTCCTTGATCCCTTTAGCCTCTACTCTAAGCATTTTCTTTCCTAGAGAAGGAGCTGCCCAGACTCACTTATTTCTTACTAGCCTTTGCACATACTATTCCTCACCACAAGAATGCCTCATACTTCACACACTCTCCCCACTTAATTTGTGTGAAGTCCTCCTCCTAGATATTCCTAGCTCTCTTTTGTTTGTATTTGTTGAGCACCTATTTTGTGCCAGGTTCTAGGTGTTTGGGTTACATCTGTGAACAAAAGTTCTGGCGTTAACATCTGTCTCACTAGATCCTGATGTTATACCCGTCTCATTAGATTATAAAGTATGCCCTTTGCTTACCTAGTTCTCATGTTTAACTCTAGCTCTGTAAGAAAAGAATCCATCCAATTAGGTGAAAGTATTATTCCTGAAGCCCAGCATAGTTTTTGGCATGTCTTAATCATTCAGTAAGTGCTTGATGGAATTTAAAAACAATCACATTATTTCTTATTCATTTTTTTCTTTGTTTGCTACAGTTGCATCTATCAAAATCCTATCTGGGAAGCTGTGTCTAACATATCCAAATAATTTATAGTGCAAACCTCAACAGAAGCTTCTACAGTTTTGCCAAGTTCCCCTTGGCCATCTCTCAGTTTTCTACCAAAAATGTTTTCTGTTATCTCAGAAATATTTTCTAGAGTTAGGAAGAGTCCAGACTGACTCATTTGAATTAAGTCCTCCCTTTGTCCTGGTTGGCTTCTATGACTTTGAGAAACTTACTTAACATTTTTGAGCCTTGCTCTCTTTATTTGCAAAACAGGAATGACTATGGTAACCTCCAGAATTATGCTAACAGCCAAAGAAATAGGAGTGGCGCATACCTCGCACAGTCGTGTGTCTGACATATAGTAGAAGCTCTATAAATGTTAGTTTCTTCCTTCTCCCAAGAGAGGGACTTGCCTTTTATGGAAAGGATTGGGGAAAGCTATATGGGAATGTCAAATTTTGGTAAGAATGTTAAATGAAGACATTTTAAGGTGCAAATTTTATGTCTCCCTTAGCTGAGCTTTCATTATTCAAAGGACTGAACAGGAGTAACTTGAGGTAAAGGCATCATTTAAAAAAATTACTGACTTTATCTACAGAGGCTCTTTCACTTGCTTGAGGTCTGTAATTAAGACTTGTCTGAATAAGCACTAGTAGTTTAATCGAGGTATAAGAGGAAGAAGATGAAATGCAGGGAAGATGGAGCTTCCAGCTTTCTTCAGAATGAAAGATTACTCACTTTAGAGAACAGAGTGAGCCTTCAAAAACTGCTTACAATGGGAAAATTTTAACATTTTCTTTTAACTACACAAGTAACATCAATGTGCTAATTATTCTAAAATGAGCTCAGAATTTGCTGTATGGTTACACTTTATGAAATACTTGAGCTCCATTACACCAAGAAATAAAACGCTGCAAATTCATTTCTGTTAATTCATGCATAATTGAAGAAAGGGTTGGTGTGAAGACTCTAGAACATGCATATTTTTGTTTCTTTGTTCTCACTGCCATTATAGTTGAAGGTTTACAATAACAAAAAGGGGTAAATACATTGGACTCATAACTTTTATGAACTGTTTAAATGCACAATGAAGGTGATTCATAAAAGTCTCTAATTGTATAAGCACATCACTAAATATGGATTGTAAAATATCTTGTTTACTTTTTATATAAACCTACTATAGATGAAGGAATATTGCAAACATAGCATGTATTTTGTGCAGAATGGAGATTGGATCTACTTTTAAGAAAAGTGGTCCCACATCATTGAGGCCAATTTTTCTTCAATTCCTTTTTAACCAAAATCAGAAAAATCATTCTGGTAACATCTTGGTAAATATAAATGAGGGCCATGTTTAGCTGAACTTCTTAATTAAAGCTTTAAGCTAAACCACATTTATAATAATAGCTAAAAGAGAGGTTTTGAATGTCTTCATCACAAAGAAAAGATAAATGTTCAAGGCAATGGATATGCTGATTACCCTGATTTGAGCATTATATAATTTATATATGTATTGAAACATCACTTTATACTCCATAAATACGTACAATGATTACATATCAATTATAAATTTTAGACATTTCTGCTTTGAAAATCTTGTTAAAATGTTTGAATCAAGCCCCTGCTGCCCCTAGGCCCCACCTTCTAGATAAATATAACATACTATTATGATTAGATCATTATTTGTCTTGCTAGGGTTTTTGTGTGACATTAAGAAAGTCACAATAGCTATTATATAATGATCAGGTAGTTTAGGCCAAACATATTTGTAATTACCTGTTCTCCTGTATGCCTCTCCAACCCCACCCCCTACCTTCTAGACAGTGATCCAGGAATCAACTTCTTCAGGCATATATCAGGTACTGGAGGCACTCAGGACTGTTCATGAATGATTTTTTTTTTAGTTCATTTGTGAATAAATACATGGTGGGAGAAATTTACAGTAAACATCTCCAATCCCCTGCAAACTCTTTGTGGCAGCATTAACTAAAAAAGTCTGAGTCATCTAGCCATTGTAACACTGAGGAGAAATAAGAGGACCGAGTTCCACACCAGGTCTTCGAGATCTAACCTGAGTTGTTTCCAGTGCTCAAACTGTGCTACAACCCCACCTGCCCAAACAGGCTCACTGGCTTGGATTGCAGGAAACTAAAAAATATACAGGGGATGAGGGGTTCCATGGACTTGCACCAACCTCTGAAAGGTGGGTTTCTGGGTCCAGATAAAGGTAATTTTTGGTTTGCTTCCAAATTGTTTTTTAGCAAGTATCTTTGGTTAGTGGAGGTTGTGGTTAGTTTCTCTTTAATTGGTGTTTTCTCCACCTCAATGCCTGATACTTGGGATTCTATAGACCAGGGGAGACTCTGGGGCTTATAGGATAACATCAATTTTGAGCATCAGCCTAGCCTAATATAATTGGGATGGGTGGGGTTCTTCCCAATTAGCAACCACACAGATGACTGAAATTAAAGTTGGTGGTTAGAAAAGTCATGCCTAGAGAGTAAAAAGGAAAGTTCATTAGTTTTTGTAGAGGCAAAGGGAGAACTGCCCATTGGTCCTCTGAAGGTTCACTGAAAATCAACTGACAAAAGGCAGATTCATAGGAGGAAAGGTATAGAAATGTACTAACACGCACAAGGGGGAAATCCCACAGTGATTACCTCACTACCCAATGAGGTAGAGGTCCTTATATACCCTCTTCCTAGGAGAAAGGGAGATGGGGAAGTATGGATGATTTTGAGGGGTTAGTAAATTATCTTTAGGATTATCAATGGATTTGAAAAACATACAATGGCCTGGGACAAAGTCCGGCGGGCCCACAGAATAGTTTGTGACAAAAGTCTGCCCAGCTGCGTTGACAAGCTTCAGTTTTTCTTCCTGCGATATGAGATTCAGTTAATGAAAACTCAGGGAAGGGACCAGAAGTCACTGTCACCACCTTTTGGTGGTCTGGACCTTAGGCAGATTAGGACACTTTAGAGAACGATTTTATCCTGTGCTTTGGAAGAGAGAGGGTGGAGCTGGGGAGGGTCACAGAGACCTTGAGCGGCTTCTTCAGTTCAGCAAGTTGAAGCGCCATATTTTGGGGTATAGGTTTCTGATCCCCAATGCCTTCTTCACTAAAGCTGAATGCTTTGGAGGGGAACATGTTCCAGAAGAAACTGTGTAAGTTTGGGAGTCAGACAAAACTAGATCCTAATCCTGGTATACCCATTTATCGACTATATAACTTTGAGACAGTTACTTAATCCTGCTCAACCTCAGTTTCTGTTCTGTATAATGGGGACTCACACCTCACTTGTGAAGTTGGGATAAGGAATATTACACATATATATGATATATTTGAAGTACCTAAACCATAAGTTTTGTCTTTAAACTCTGGCTTTTTGCACATATAGGTTGTCTGAATTCTTGGTGGAACTTACAGAATTATCATCATTTGAGGTTACAGCCATCAGAACTTCACAATAAACTAAATATCATTTTTGGAGGAATTATACATAATTAAAATATTTGTAGCCTGCATCATCAGTGGTAGTTGCCAAGACTGTGAGAGATGAAGATATATATATATATATCTTCATCTTGTGGCACCTAGAACCAACTAATAAGCCCCTAGGGAGAATGCTAAATGGCTATGATTTCCTCATGCCCTGGAGTTATAGCTGAGGCTAAATTACAGCTGTAGAAACCGAAAAGCTGGAAACAGAAGCCATCAGCCCAGCATGCTCTTCCCAAGGCACTCGGTTCTGGAAGTCTGAAGGCCCTGGAGTGGAGCTTTAAGCCACACTTGGACTAAGAAAAGGGATATAATTTGTGAATGCCCTAAACATTGAAGGCTTTTATTATTTGAACGCTTTGATTATTTGAAGGCTTTTATTAAAATTTAAAAAACACAATTTTCAACTAATTAATGGATTAGTTTATTTTATCATTCAGAAAGCAGTATAAACCTGTGTATATAAAAAGTCTCCTTAAATTTATCCTCCATGTTTTTATTGGTTTTAAGCACATAAATACATAAAAGTGCCTACACGGCATCTCTCCCCTTCAAACATAGATTGCAATACTTATACAATGGTAAAAGTTGGATGTATACCTTTCCAGAAATGTATGTAATGGAATACACAGAGAGAGAGAGAGAGAAAGAGAGAAAGACAGAGAGAGAGAGAGAGAGAGAGAGAGAGAGATCATTCTACATATATTGTTCTGTCATGAGTTTTGTTTCATAATACATGTGGACAAATTAATACATAATGGCCTTTTCATTCTGTTTATTGCTTATATAATATTCTTTGCACAGATGCATTATGAATAATTTAAACATTCTTTTCCTGATATACACGCAGACTTGACATCGTTTGTTATTTTGGCTAAGTCCAACTCTCCTGCAGTGGATATTCTTTTATGCCTTTGCATGCATTCTGGGGAAAGACTGTTTGAAGTAGTTACTAAAGGGTGTGTACAAATTGCCGTCCAAAAATGCATTTTTATCCACAATACATGTCTTCTCATTCTTACCAGCTCTAGATGTTTTGTTTTGTTTTTGAACTTGTCAGTCTGAAAATTAAAAATGGCATTTAATTTTACTAATATTTGTGTTTTTCTAATTACTAGTGAGCTTGAGTATATTTAATATCTTTATGTCGTGGAAATGAATTTACTGTCGAGTGAGCTTTCCTCTGATCCATGCCCACAATATGAAAACCAGTTTCTCTGATTACAAGAAAACAGAGGAGTATGTGTGTGGCCTGGTGTGTGTGAGTGTGTGTGTGTGTGTGCGTGTGTGTAACACCTACTGCAGATAAGCAAGGCCTCGTTGGCATTTTCATTGTGTTTGCTCTGGGTATTCATTTCTGCAAAAGCACACCTTTTTCTAAATAAAACTAAATTCATCATAGGTCTTTTATTTCTAATTTGGAAATATTTTAGAATTTCTCAAAGTATCATAAAATAATTTAGAAATTATTTTAGAATTTCTCATAAATACCATTCAAACTCCTAAAGAATATGGAGAAAGATATATTATAAAACAAGAACTTAGAAGCTCTACTTTAGAGGAATTTTTAAGCATGAAATCATGTCTAGTTCCCAATTCTAAAAAATAGCCCTTGACTCAGTCAGCCCACAGACATTAAGCATTTGTGACATGCCACAAGTAGGCTGGTATGGAGATTCAGAAACGAAGGGGATATTCTCTACCTTCCTGGAGCCCTCCAGGGGAGGAGGAAGTGAAAAGTAGAGATAAGCATAATACAGTGCCTGAATGCTATAAATATTGAGTGTAGTGGCAACCCGAGGAAGGGGAGTGTTTGGGACCTGCTGCCTGCTTTATTGTCTCTTGTCACAGGAGGAAAAATAATTTTCTCCTGTGACAAGAGAATAAAACCTCAGGACCTTCCAAATTTACTATGCCAAGGGGGAAAGTTAAACCTTGAAAACGGGCTTGCATAACACAACTGTTTTTCTTCTCTGGTTCCTGACTACTGCTTACTGACCTTTGCGTTGAGACTTTATACCTTGACCAGACTCCCTGTTCTTCATTCAAACCTAGACTAGATGACATGAAGATAGAGACCCTTGTGACTATTACCCTTTATGACAGAATGTTAAGCAAGCCTTTTAGAGTGTAATCAATAGTAGCCAATCAAATCTTATATCTGTATGTTAGCCTTTGTACGGAAAATGTTATAGTTCAGCCCCTCCATTTTTGCTTATAGAAACAATCCTCATTTTTCCCCCACACTAGGAGCACTGATCACTATTCTTTGGTGTAATTCTGCTCCCTTGTCAGCTGCCCTACCTTTGTGCTTGAGTAAACTCTTTTAACCGGATGCTGAGCCTTTTGACTGTTTTATGTTGGCATTCGCTACCCTTCATAGTTCTTAGCTGGGACAAATCCCTGTAACAAAAGAAAGATTCACAAGAGAAAAACAAACAGAAGTTTAATAACATGTATACTTCATGTGTACATAGAAGATATCCAGGGAAAATGAGTAAATCTCAAAGAAGTGGCTTAAATTTAGGCTTAAATGCCATCTTCAGCTGAAATGATAAGAGTATTTGGGTAAGGAGCAGTTAATGGGAAGATGACCACAGAAGCACAGGAAGCAGGATAAGTTTTGTTATGCAGGTTGGTCCATGTCTTCTCTATAGATGAGCGTTTCTAGTGACTGAGAGTCATCCTTCCCTTCCTGCTACGGAGAAGAAGACATTCTTACAAATGGATGTTTCCTTTATAGATATAAATTGCTCTTGTGAAAGGACAACTTCTACTGTTTTCAGAGCTTCTTTTATCTTTGCTGTTGCCCAAATTAATCAGTTCAAAATAATCCTTATGCTAAAGAGGCATATTTTGGGGTGGCATATTCTGGTCTCCTACAGTCATATTTTGTTGTGGTACATACTAAACACCACTACTCCGTAACAGCTCATATGCTGAACACCACTATGCAGCAACAGCTCATATATTAAATACCACTACTCCATAACAGCTGTAAAATTCTGTCTAAAAAGAAATCTGCTTTTTGTGGGTGCATGTGTGCATGCTTGTATGTGTGTGTTTGCATGTACTAAACATTTATTGAATTCGCTGATCTACAAAATGTATGACCAACTTCCATCCAGAAATTTTAATAAGATTGCACCATACCAAAAGCCAGAGAATCAGGAGATAGATTACAGACTATGCTGTAATTCAACTACAGAATACAGAAGTAGAGGGGATTAATAAAGGCTAAAGTTGGATGGGTGTGGTGGCTCATGACTGTAATCCCAGCACTTTGGGAGGCCAAGGCTGGTGGATCACCTGAGGTCAGGAGTTCAAGACCAGCCTGGCCAACATGGCGAAAATCCATCTCTACTAAAAATACAAAAAAATTAGCCGGGCCTGGTGGTGGGTGCCTGTAATCCCAGCTACTTGGGAGGCTGAGGCAGGAGAATAGCTTGAACCTGGGAGGCGGAGGTTGCAGTGAGCCGAGATCATGCCATTGCACTCCAGCCTGGATGACAAGAGATAAACTTCATCTCAAAAAATAAATAAATAAATAAATAAAGGCTAAAGTTCCACATTTGCAATGAGTTGCTACAACCAGCAAAAAAATTAAGGTTTTTTTCAGATGCTAGCAGTCACAGAGGTGAAGGTGCAGGAATCAGAATGGAGAGATCATTAGGAGCAAAGAAAGCAGGCATTAAGATAGAATGAATCACCAAAGCTGATAACACTTGAAGCCCCTGATTTCAATTTTAATGATTCCTGGCATGGTTGAAAATAGTTGACATACTGTTCCTCTATTATATTTGTGTTTTCCTGCTGCCTTCACTCTTTCAGACAGAGGGAGTAGAGCTACAAATATTAAAAGAAAAAAATTTTTTTGCAGTATTTTAAAAAAAGCTAAGTTAAAAGTGCTGAACATTTTGCAAAAACTTGTCCTTGTCAGTTCTGGAAACTCAAGGGTTCCATGTAATTCGAGTAAACAAAGAACACCTTTCACTGACACTTTCTTTCTTTTTTTTTTTTTTTTTCCTGTCTCACTCATTCCAGTAACATTTTGGTCCTTGCATTCCTGAACATCTTCCTGGGAACCCACCGTTTCTTCTTATTACTGGTCTATTGCTGTGCTTTATAAACCCCTTAAAGAAGCTTTGAACACTCTGAAGAACTGAATAATATATCTCAGAGGAAAGGTATAGACTAAATTGACTACTGCAAATAGTTTGCACAGAAAAGTAATGTTTGGAAAAATAGATTGGGGTCTCAGTATTGGGGCATGGAATGTTTGGTTGTGGAGTTTAGAGCTTATTGAATAGGCCTCAGGGATACACACTTAAAAAGTAATGCTTTGGTGAGATTAATCAGATGTAAACCTAGAGAATGACTGTAGGATGGGGATAGGAGAAGATGCTGAAGACAGACTATTACAACAATATGTGTTATAGAAATATTATATAATACTACAGAAATATTGCAGAAATACTATTGCAGAAATATAGAAATGTGAGTTGCAAATTCATATTTGAAATATTGTCGAAAGGGAAGATTAAGAACACATGTAGAGTCATAATTCAATCATTAAGCTTTTTATTTGACATTTGTGTTGCATGATTTGAGAAGATTCAAAGATGTATCAAGCCTGTTTTACCCTGTAACAGCTTCTATAACTAATTGAAACTTTTGTATAAAATTTATTCAAGCACAACCTGCTGAAGAAAGCTTTCTCTGATACCATGCAACATTGAGAGTGATGCTCAGCTTGATGCTTTCAGAATCTTGGTGGTTTCTATCATCAAGTGCTCTTCACACTGTAATCATGATCTCTTTATATGTATACTATCCACTTTACACGGTGAGGCCCTTGAAGGAAGGAACTATGTCTCATTTATGTAGGTACCTCAGAGAAAGTAGTGCAGTGCCTGCAACAGAGGACGAATCAGCATTAGCCAAAGGAATGATGGCTGCAAGTATGGGAAGAAACACAATTCTGGTACAAAGTGTTGTCAATACCGTTGGGTAAAAAAAGTATTATTGCTTGTATAAGAGCTGGGCAAGTGTTGGAAAACCAGAAGAATGGTAATTTTTCTGTGAAGAAATTGAGTTCATTTAATTACATGTTGCATGTGAAGAGATATTTGCTGTCTGGCAAAAATGTAAAGAAGTCAAGTCAAAAGCACAGCACTATCAAGGACGGAAAGCTCTACACAGATTTGGAGAAGGAAAATTAAGTGTTAGATTTAAAGAAAGAAGAAAGGGCCTAAGGAATGAGGGAATAAAGGAGCAGCATTAAAAATCAAAGAGATTAAAAATATGTAGGAAGTTGAATACAAGATAAATTGGACTGTAAAGGTCAGTTTGGAGACAGAGCAATCAGAGGATTCTGGAGACCAATTTCTTTTCTTTTCTTTTTTTTTTTTTTGCGATGGAGTTTCACTCTTGTCACCCACACTGGAGTGCAGTGGTGCAATCTCAGCTCACTGCAACCTCCGCCTCCAGGTTCAAGCGTTTCTCCTGCCTCAGCCTCCTGAGTAGCTGGGACTACAGGTGCCCGCCACCACGCCCAGCTAATGTTTGTGTTTTTAGTAGAAATGGGGTTTTACCCTGTTGGCAAGCCTGGTCTTGAACTCCTGACCTCAGGAGATCTACCCATCTCGGCTTATCAAAGTACAGGGATTACAGGCATGAGTCACTGCCCCCAGCCCCAGAGGCCAATTTTTACGCAGTGTTGATCTTATGGCATTGGGCACACCTGCTGCTCAAAAAGATATAGCAACCAGGGCATGGAGCGTCAATGTAGCAGTCTAGAGAGCAGCTAGGGTTGTAGAAGTTGCTTTTCAAAGGACAGTCCCAGATGGATTTATAGATGCCATTCAGTTATTCATTATTGCAACATTTTTTAATGTTTATTGGCTAACACCGTTTGAGAAACTGAATTGGCTTTAACACATTTTTGCTAAATAAATGCTAGATGCTTTGAACATTACACAAGTAAGATACATGCTCTATAACTCTAATTCTAAGTAAAACATGAAGATTTTAAGGGACAGAGAGGACCAGTTAGAACACCATGAAAAGGCATCAGTTGATTTGATGCTGAAAGATAAATAACATCCTAGCAAATAGAATTTGGGAAAAGGAATTGTGAAAGAGAAATCTAGACATCAGGAAATGCAGGAATAGACATTTTATACCAGAAAATAGTACATGTGTCTAAGAAAATGGTAGGAGTTCTGTTTAGTAAAATAATAGGACATGTGCGTAACCTCCATTAAAATGAAGATTCTATTGGTGAGATACTCACTTCATACCAAGTGAAAGGCCGATGCAGTTCAAGGTTGATAAATGTACATAATAAGTAAGCAGTCATTCTGCACACATTTATGAAAATGCCCTTAGAGAATTTATCCCTCTCCCATAGCTCGTCCTGTGCTTTTCACACTGAGCCTCAATTTTATTCACAAAGATCGTGATAAAAAGCAACTAGTGGAACTGAAAGTCATTAAATCTGAAAACAGCCTTGGACCAGGTAGAGAAACCAGGAGCCAGCCAGGCTTTCCTTCTGCTTAACAATGTGACTTTGGAGATACTTGATAAGAGAATTCTGAGTATCAATTTCCCCATATGTTAAAACAGTATTGAGCTAAATGATAGCTTCAATTCTTTCTGGCCCTGAATAGTTGTAAGTTTATTTCTGTTTTTTGTTCACATTTGTTTAAAGACACAGAAAGAAAGTGCATGATCTGGACAAAGCAGTACCTTCTGATGATGTTTTCTTTCCCCCAGATGATTCATATAACTACATAATGGGATATTTAAAAACAAATAGACCGGGCACGGTGGCTCACACCTGTAATTCCTGAACTTTGGGAGGCCAAGGTGTGTGGATCACTTGAGGTCAGGAGTTTGAGACCAGCCTGGCCAACATGGTGAAACCCCATCTCTACTAAAAATACAAAAAAATTGGCCAAGTGTGATGGCAGGCACCTGTAATCTCAGCTACTTGGGAGGGTGAAGCAGGGGAATCTCTTGAACCCAGGAGGCGGAGGTTGCAGTGAGCTGAGATCACACCACTGCACTCCAGCCTGGGTGACAGAGTGAGACTGCGTCTCAAAACAAAACAAAACAAAATAAAACAAATAAACCATGATAAAAACAAGTGACACTAGCATCCTATAATTCTATAGATTGAGTAATGACATAGTAACAAATTCACTATTGCAGAACTGGGGTGGGAGTTCCACTCCCTGGGCAAATTAAATCCACCCAAGTCATCAGACCTTTAATTTTCATTTTAAAGTGAGAAAATACACAAGAAATCATCTAAAAATATAATTACAGGGTGAAATAAATAAGGCAGAGTATGTGTGTGTATGTGTGTATTTTAAGTTACTCTTTTCAGAATAAATGGCTTTAGGAAATTATTTTTGTGGAATGAGTTTCTCTACTATCAAGGAGACTTCCCTCTACTGTATTCAAATTTAGGTAAAATAATAGGTAAAAGTGCATATTCCAGTACTAAACTAATAAGCAATCAGAAGGAAAAATAGATTTCAGCCGTTATGCCCATAGAATGAATTTGATTGCTGAAGGTGGTATCTTCAGGATCCTGTTATTGTTACTTTTGCTGAAATAATAGGCCAGATTTTATTTTATAAAAGAAAACTATAGATTTTTCTTCTAAGTTCAGACTTGCCAGCTAGTTCTACTGTTATTATTCTGAAGTGCATAAAGTCCTCATTAACTGATGCCAGCTGACCGGGAAGCACGTTGATAGATGCCTTCTTACTGGTGGGGAAGTTCACTTAACATCTGTACTTGGACGTGCAGGCGGGTGCTTGGCAGGTGACAGCCTGCAATGGGTGCTGTCATGCTATAAGCAAGCAGGCTGCAGAGCCAGAGTTTAGCTTCTGTTTAGCTCTCTTTCCCAGCATAATGTGTGCAAAACACAAGTGATGAAATTGATGCACAGCGCTGTGTGTTCCTACACCACTGCATTATATGAATAAGGAACATGGAACAAAATGGCAACATTAAGGGTATGTCAGATTATTTCGCAGAAATCTGTTCCTTTTTCCCCTGCAGTCAAACCCACAGCATTCTATCTCAGAAATGAATATAGAGGATTCTGTTAGATTTTGCCTTGAGGTTTGTATTTGTCCCAAAGAGAAAAGGAGACTTATTTAGAGGACTGGTTGTGCAGAGTTGAGGACATTAGCCTTTCTCTCAGGCATTATGAGATGTCAGCATGATTCTGCAACTCGGACTTCACAATATCAAGTGTTCGCATATTTCTGGAAAATGTGAAAGTAGGCAGCCAGAAAGTTATTTAAAATATGAAGAATTTACGTGAAAATTTTTCTTGGGTCCAAATCCACCAATTGGTTAAAAGGTTTACCCAAACTGTGTGCATCCAGATATTCCACTGACAAATATCCATTCATTCACTCATTTATACATTCACTGCACAAATATCTATTAAATACCTGGTACAACAGAAAAATTAAGAGAAAGTCCTGCTTTTATGAAGTTTATATTCTAGAAGATCCTTGTGATTTTAGCATTTTTATAATTTAAACATTTTTCATAGATTTGCTGATATGTTTGGCTTTGTGTTCCCACCCAAATCTCATCTTGAATTGTACTCCCATCATTCCCATGTGTTGTGGAAGGGATCTGGTGGGAGATAATTGAATCGTGGGGGTAGTTTCCCCCATACTGTTCATGTGCTAGTGAATAAGTCTCAGGAGATCTGATGGTTTTAACAGGGGGTTCTGCTTTTGCATCTTCCTCTTCTTTCTCTTGCTGTTGCCATGATTCTGAGAATTCCCCAGCCATGTAGAACTGTAAGTTCAATTGAACTTCTTTTTCTCCCCAGTCTTGAGTATGTCTTTATCAGCAATGTGAAAACAGACTAATACAGTTGTATACCTACACACACACATGCACACACATGCACACACGCAAAGGCACACCTACACGTAGTGTTTTCATCAGCTAGGGTCTTAATAGGAAGAAATAACAGAAATAGGAAGCAATAAAAAAACTGACTGCAGTTTGTTTAAACTAAAAACAAATTGTTGAAAGGGTATTGAGTAGTTCATAGAATTGTAGAGAATGCTAGGTAACCAGGTTTAGATATGAGGCAGGAATATAGAACCACAGCCAGTAAATACTACAGAGCCAGCAAGGGAAGACTCTGCCATCACTGCTGATGAACAAACAATATTGTAGCTTCAACCCTGGAGACTGGATGTTGCCACTGAAAACCATAAGCTCTTGCATCTGGGCTTTCAAAGTTATTGCTTCCAATCTGCCTGTTTCTTAGGATCACAGACTATGATGCAAGTCTCAGGGAGGCAAGTTTGATTGGTTGGGCCTGGTCTGAGTGAACCAAAAGTTGAGTCTTAGTGAAATACACACTGCATTTGGTCAAATGTCAGCGGTTGTGAAAAAGGTAGCTACCTGCACCCTCATCCCCATTTTATTGTATCTTCATGAGACAGGACATGTTTGATTTTACCTCTGTCATCTCAGTTTCTAGCATAACACAGGCCACATGGAACATATTTATTAAATGTAGGAATGGAATCATTTATTAGGTGTGGTGGTGAAGGTAGCTTTATACTCATGCCACACATTTGCATTTTTTTTATTTTCTCTGAGGTTTGAGTTAGCTCCTAATGCTTTACCTAGGTTTCTAAAGGCTTAGACTAGGATGAGTCTTTGGTCTCTTCCAGATCATATCAGGATTCAGGGGCCTTTGAGCTCCTTTGAGAGATAACTGAGTGTTGAGTGGACTCTGAAAGGAATTTTTCATCCAGGGAAAGAAGTCCACAGAGGAAACAAGGCAGAGACAGCAGAGCTGCTGCTGCCGGAGGCCTGAAAACTATCAACTCTTTCTGACTCTCCTCTGAGACTGGGCAACAAGTGTGGGTCCACACCATTCTTGTAACTGTTTAGGATGGGTTATGCTGCCCTGAAAAATTCACCTTGAGATTCAGGGTGGTCTGCATGGGAAGAAAAGAATGGTGCAATATTAGTGTCCCATATTCAAGGAGGCTTAGTTCTTGAAAGGCTCATTATTCAGAGCAGACATTTAATCAGAGGGAGTTGAGTGTTAAGGTCAAACTCCTTGAGATGAGCCACTGTGAGGAGACTCTTCTACTTTTCAAGCTAATTTCATGTGTGCCATAAATCTTGGAAAGTTAAAAAGAGGGCGGGATTTGCTAGGTAGTCAATTTAGCAACATTTTCTTACAACTTTAAGACATTTTTTTCTTTACTATTAGAGAACTATTTAGAACCTTTAGGACTCTAATTATCATGCACACAGCTTGGAAGAAATTAACCAACAAAGTTCAGAAAGCAAAAAGTTTATAAGACATAATTTAATGCACTTTATATATTTAAACAGCAACAATGAAATGCTATCCTCCTGTGATGTAAAGTTCTCTCTTTCCACCTTCTAAATATAAAAAAACGTGGCTCTCATATACAAATACAAACACACACATGTGCACACGTGAACACACATGCATACACATGGACACACATGTACCTCACAAACTATATTAAGAAGAACAAGAGAAAAAATAATCCAATTTATGTGGTGCTTACAATGCCAGACTAAGGAGGTGCTTTTACTTGCCTTCTAATTTATTAATCACATAGCAAAGTTGACGGTAATGTACTAAAATTACTGTTTTTTTTTTTGTAGAATATAGCTTAGAATCAAAGAGGTTGCATATGCTTTTCAAGCCAATGCAGCTAATAAATGACAGAATCAATATTTGATAATGAAGGGGTGGAGCAAGAGAGTTGAATAAAAGGCTTTACCAATTGTCCCTTCTGCAGGTACACCAAATTTAACAACTATCTACATTAAAAAAAAATCCACCTTCTCAAGACCAAAAATCAGATCAGTGTTCACAGTACCTGATTTTAACTTCATATCACTGAAAGAGGCATTGAAGAGACTAGGAAAAGCAGTCTTGAACTGCCAATGTCATCCCTGCCCCATCCCCTGGCAGAAGTTGTATAACATCAAAAACTAATAATATTTGTGCTTGGGAGAGGGAGAGTGTAGTGATTGTGAAACTCTGCATTGACCTCAGTGTTGCCCTGTCATAGTGAAAAGCAAAATTGGGCTGAATTCGCCAATGCCTGTGTACAGAGGGAGCATTTAGATCAGCCATAACGAGATGAAAATTGCCCATTCTAGAGGTCAGAATTTGAGTTCTGGAAAGCCTCACCATAGGAGGCTAAAGTGCTCTGGGTCCCTAAATAAACTTGAAAGGCAGTGTAGGCCACAAGAACTGCAACTCATAGGCAAGTTCTAGTCCTGAGCTGTGCTCTAGGCCAGTGGGCTTGGGGGACTCGTGTCCTACTGAGATGCCAACTGGGGCAGCTAAGGGAGTACTTGTTCCATCCCTCCCCCAGCCTCAGGCAGCACAGCTCACAGCTCCAAAAAGACCCCTTCCTTCAGGAGAGGAGAGGGAAGAGTAAAGAGAACTTCATCTTGCATGTTGGATGCCAGCTTAGTCACAGTAGGATAGGACATAGGGAAGAGTTAATAGGCCTCCATTCCAGGCCCTAACTCCTTAATGACATTTCTAGACACACCCTGGGCCAGAAGGGAAACTGCTACCTTAAAGGGAAGGACCCAGTACTAGAAAGATCCATCACTTGATGATTGAAGAGCCCTTGTGCCCTGAATAACCAGCAACAACACCCAGTTAGTGTGCTATGGGCCTTGGGTAAGACTCTGAGACATGCTGGCTTCAGATGAGACATAGCATATTCTCATCTGTGATGACTATGGTGAGAAACTCCTTGTCCTTAAGAAAAGCAGAGGGAAAAGTAAAGAGGACTTTATCTTGCACCTTAGGTACAAGCTCAGCCACAGTGGGGTAATGCAACAAATGGGCTCCTAGGGTTTCCAACTCCAGATTTTGACTTTTGTACAGCATTACTGGACCTGGCTGGGTGAGAGGGGAGCCCACTTCCCTAAAGGGTGAGTTCCAGGGCTGGCAGCATTCACTACAATCTGACGGAAGAGCCATTAAGCCTTAAGTGAACGTCAGCGATAGCCTGGCAATACTCTGCATGGGCCTGTGGTGGTGGTGGCCATGGGATGAGCCCCCTCTGCCTGTGGAAAGATAAAGGAATAGTGAAAAGAGCTGTGTCTCATGGTTTCAGTGCAGCTCAGTTGCAGTAGAATAGAACACCAGGTAGGTTTCTAAAGTTCTTAACTCTAGTCTCTGGCTGCCAGATGAAATCTCTGGATCTCACTCAGTGCCTGGGGGAACTTGTCAGCCCAAAGGGAAAGACAGAACCCTGGCTGGCTTTGTCACCTGCTGACTATAGAGCCCTAGGGCCATGAGTGAACATTGGCAATAGCGAGGTAGTGGTAACAGTGGGCTTTGGGCAAGACCCAGTTCTGTGCTGGCCTCTGGTCTGACCCAGCACAGTCCCACTGGTGGTAGCCACAGGGGTGCTTCTGTCACTTTATCCTCAGCTCCAGGCAGCCCAGCAGAGAGAAGGAGATTCCATTTGTTTGGGAAAAAGTAAGAGAACCAGTGTCTCTGCCAGGTAATCTAGAGAATTTTTCCAGATTTTATCCAAGACCACCAAGGTCTTGGGCAAGAACCACAGCATTACTGGGCTTGGAGTGCTCCCTAATGCAGAAATAACTTAGATCACAACATCCAAGACTTTTTTTTTTTTTTTTTTTTGCTATCTGGAAAGCCTTCCCAAGAAGAACAGGTATAATAAAGCCCAGACATTGAAGACTACAATACCTAACTCTTCAGTGATGAGACACCAATAAACATACATAAGCATAAAGACCATCTAGGAAAACAAGACCTTACCAAATGAACTAAATGAGGCATCAGCAACCAATAATGGAGAAAGACAGATATGTGACCTTTCAGATAGAGGATTCAAAATAGTGTTGACAAAACTAAAAAATAATCAGGTTAACTCAGAGAAAAAAATTCAGAATTCCATCAGATATATTTAGCAAAGAGATTAAAGTTAATTAAGAAGAATTAAGCAGAAATTCTGGAGCTGAAAAATTCCAATTGGCATACTGAAGAATGCATCAGAATCTCTTACCAGCAGAACTAATCAAGAAAGAAAGAAAGAGAGAAATGGCGAGCCTGAATGCAGGTAATTTAAACATACATACAGGAGACAAAAGAAAAAAGAATAAAACATGCTACAGGATCTAGAAAATAGCCTCAAATTGGCAAATCTAAGAGTTATTGGCCTTATAGAGAAGGTAGAGAAAGAGAGAGAGGTAGAAAATTTATTCAAAGATAATATCAGACAATTTCCCAAACCTAAAGACGATATCAATATCTAAGTATAAGAAGGTTACAGAACACCAAGCAGACTTACTCCAAAGAAGACTATCTCAAGTCATTTAATAATCAAACTCCCAAAGGTCAAGGGTAAAGAAATAATCCTAAAAGCATCAAGAAAAAAGAAACAAATAACATACAATGGAGCACCAATAAATCTGGCACTAGACTTTTCAGTTTACACTTTACAGGCCAGAAGAGTGATGTGACATATTTAAAGTGCTGAAGGAAAAAAAACTACACAAAACTTTTATCCTAGAGTAGTATATCTGGTAAAAATATTCTTCAGATGTAAAGGAGAAATAAAGACTTTCCCAGACAAACAAAAGCTGAGGGATTTCATCAGCACTAGACATGTCCTACAAGAAATGCTGAAGGGAGTACTTCAATCAGAAAAAAAAGGACATTATTGAGCAATAAGAAACCATCTGAAGGTACAAAAAAACACACCAAAACTTGACTTGTACTAGTAAGTGCAAAGAAGAACAGAATGTTATAACTGTTAACTATGGTGTGTAAACTAAATTTTCTTAAGTAAAAAGACTAAAAGATGAACGAGTCAAGAATAACAACCTTTCAAGACACAGACAGTACAATAGGATATAAATCGAAGCAAGAAAAAGTTAATAAGCCAAGCAACACAGTTAAAGTGTAGAGTTTCAATATTTTTGTTTGTGCTTGTTAGTTTGTTTATATAATCAGGGTTAAGTTGTCAGCTTAAAATGATTAGTTATAGAATAATATTTGCAAGCCTTTTGTTAACTTCAAATCAAATAACATACAACAAATACACAAAAATAAAAACCAATAAATGAAATCATACCACCAGAGAAAATTATCTTTACTAAAAGGAAGGCAGGAAAGAAGGAAAAAAGAAGGAGAAGACCACAAAACAACCAGAAAACAAATAACAAAATGGCAGGAATAAGCCCTTACTTTTCAGTAATAACTTTGAATGTAAATGGACTAAACTATCCATTCAAAAGTTATAGAGTCCCTGAATGGATTAAAACAAACAAACAACAACAAAAAATAAGAAAAAACAAGACTGTATGATCTGTTGCCTACAAGAAACACATTTCACCTGAAGACATACATAGATTACATATAAAAGAATAGCGAAAGATATTCCATGCCAATAGAAGCAAAAAAAAAAAAGTGGAAGTATCTATACTGATATCAGACAAAATAGATTTCAAGATAAAAACTGTAAGAAGAGATAAAGAAGTGTTCATTGTTAGTATATGGAAATACAAGTAGATTTTGTGTGATGTTTTTATACCCTGAAATTTTGCTGAGTTCATTTATTCATTCTAACACATGTATGTGTTTGTGTGTGTATGTGTGTGTGCCTGTGTATGTGTGTCTGTACATGTAATTTTAGGATTGACTGCGTATAAGATCATGTCATCTCTGAACACAGGGTGAATTTTTCTTCCCTTTTTTTCTATTTGAATGCCTTTATTTCATTTTCTTGCCTAATTTTGCAACAAGGATTCCCAGTACTGTGTTGAATAGAAGTAGCAAAAACAGGCATCCTTGTCTTGTTCTTGATCTTAGAGGAAAGGCTTTCAGTCATTAATTATATTAGCTATGGATGTTTCATATATGGCCTTTATTATGTGGAAATATATTTTTCTATTCCTAGCTTTTTGAATTTTTATTCATGTAAGAACATTTAATTTTGTAAATTTTTTTCTGCATCTATTCAGTTGTTCACATAGTATTTTTTCTTCATTCTGTTAATGTGTATAATATTAATTGATTTGCATATATTGAAACATCCTTGCATCCAATAAATAATTCCCCTTGATTTTGAGTGTATTTTAATTTTAATATATTGTTGAAATTAGTTTGGTAGTATTTTGTTGAGAATTTTACATCCATATTTATACAGCATATGAGTCTGTAGCTTTTTTATGTTACAGTGGTTTTATTTGTTTGTTTTTTGAATCAGGCTGATACTGGACCCAGAATAAGTTAGGAGGTGTTCCTGCTTCAATATTTTGGAGGAATTTCAGAAGAATTGATGTTAACTCTAAATGATTGGTAGAATTTATCAGTAAAGTCATCTTGCTCAAGATGTTTCTTTATTAAGAGGTATTGATTACTGACTAAATCTGCTTACTAGCTATAGGTTTATTTAGATTTTCTATTTCTTTATAATTCAGCCTTGGAAGGTTGATTATTTATTGGAAATTGCCTGGTTCATCTAGGTTATCCAATTTGTTTGTGTGTTACCATTCATAGCATTTTCTTACAATCCTTTTTATTTGTATAAAATCAGTATAATGTTTCCACTTTCGTATCTGATTTTAGTTATATTAATCTTTTTCATAGTCAATTTAGATAACTTTATTAATTTTGTTGATATTTTTGAAGAATCAGTTATTTGTTTTGTTAACTTTTTAATTGTTTTTCTATTTTGTTTACCTCTGTTCTAATCTTTATTATTTCCTTTCTTCTGCTAATTTTACATTTAGATTTGTCTTCTTCTTAAAGTGCAAAGTTAAGTTGCTGATTTGATATCTTTCTCTTTCAATTAAAGTGTTTGTAGGTATGATTTGTTATATTAGCATTACTTTCACTGCAACTCGGAAGTTTTAGTAAATTGCGTTGTAATTTTTATGAAGATATTTTCTAATTTTTCTGTAATTTTTTTTATTTATTGCATGTCTAAGGGTGTGATGCTTAATTTCCTCATTGTTGTGAATTTTCCAGTTTTCCTTTTGATATTGATTTTGAGTTTCACTCCATTGTGATTGAAAAATATACTTTATATGATTTTAATCTTTTAAAATTTATTGACTTGTTTTTTTGCCTAACATGATCTACTCTGGCAAATGTTGCATGTGCCCTAAAGAAAAATATGTATTCCATTGTTGTTGGGTTGAAAATTCAGTGTGTGTCTTTTGGGTATAATTGGTCTATACTTATTGTTCAATAGAAATTTCTTATTGATCTTCTGTTAGGTTGCTATATCCGTTATTGATAGTGAGGTATTGCAATCTCTATTTTTGTAGTGCTATTTCCCTCTTCAATTCTGTCAGTGTTGTTTTATATATTTTGGAGCTCTGATATTTGGTGCATATATGTTTATAATTATTATATCTCCTTGGTGAATTGACCATTTATCATTATATGATGTTTTCTTTAACTCTTGCCACAGTTTTTGACTTAAAATCTATTTTTTATATTATTAGTGTAGTCATCTTGCCCTTTTTTGGTTACTGTTTGCAAGTAATATCTTTTTCCATTCTTTCACCTTCAAATTTTGTATGTCCTTCCATGTAAAGTTATTCTATAGTTGGATCATGTTTTATTATACATTTTCTCAAACTATGTTTTTTGATCAGAGAAGTTAATCTATGTAAAACTAAAATGACATTTATAGGGAAGGAGTTACTCTTCCATTTTGTTTTTTGTTTTCTCCTTGTCTTGAATGGTTTATAAGAATCCATTGTCTTCTTCTTAATCATCTTCTATTGTAGTTAATTAATTTTTTAGTGGACTGTTTTGATTCCCTTTTCATTTCCTTTTACAAATATTCTACAGATTTTATTTTTTGTTACCATGGAGATTACTTATAACATTAGGAAGTTATAACAATCTAAGGTGATACCAAGTTAAATTTAGTTACATACAAAAACTCCCCACCCTTACAGCCCCCCCTATTTGAGGTTATTGATGTCACAAATTACATCATTAGTTATTATGTACTCAATTAATATAGATTTATAATAATATTTATTCATTAGCCTTAAAAATGCTGTAAGAAATAAAACCTGAAGTTACCAACCAAAATGAAAAAAATAAACCTTGTTTTTATATTTGCCCATATCTTTATCAAAGATTTATATGTCATCATACATTTTTGAGTTACTGCCTATCATCTTTTCATTTTGACCTAATTTATTTCATTTAACATTTCACATAGGGTTGGTCTAGTGATAATTAACTCTCTCAGATCTTATCTGGGAATGTCTAATTTCTCCCACAAACCTGTCTGAAGGACAGTTTTGTTGCATACAAGTCTTTCTTGACAATTTTAATACAAGATCCCTCTGCCTTCTGACCTGCATGATTTCTGCTGAGAAATCTGCTTATTATCTCATTATGGATTTCTTGTATATAATGACACTTCATTTTTATTTTCTTTTTGTGTGCCTGTGTGTGTGTGGACTTTTTTTTTGTCTGTTGACAAAATTCTCTTTGTCTTCAGATTTTTAACTGTTTGATTATAATTTTTTTAATGTGAGTCTTCTTACATTTATTCTATATGATGTCTGTTGAGCCTCTTAAATTTGTAGATTCATGTATTCCATCAAATTTTGTAAGCTTTCCATAATTATTTCTTTAGATAATCTGTCTTCTCTTTCTCTCTCCCTTCTTCTGTGATTTTCATAATACAGACATGTTTGTCCCACAAGTTCCTTAAGTTCCTCTGTTCACTTTTCTTCACTTGTCCCATAACACTTGATGGTGTCCCATTAGTTCCTTAGGATCTGTTCACTTTTCTTCATTCCTTTTTTTTTCTGTTTGCTCCTTAAATTTGATTATTTCAAATGTCTTTTCTTCAAGTTTGCTGATTCTTTTTTATGCCTGTTCAAGTATGCTGTTGGACTCCTTTAGTGAGTTTTTCAATTGTCATTCTATTTTTCAGCTCCAGAATTTTCAGTCAGTTCCTTTTTACAATATTATCTTTGTTGATACAATCATTTTGTTCATGTATCATTTTTCTATCTTCCTTTATTTATTTTTCTGTGTTTTCTTTTAGCTTTTAGAACATATGTAAACAGTTGCTTTAAAATATTTTTCTAGTACACCTGATGCCTATGTTTCTTCAGGAAATACTTGTACTAGTTTTTTTCATTTGAATAGGCCATGATTTTTATTTTTTCTTTGTATTCCTTCTTCCTTTTTTTGAAAATTCATCATTTGAATAAAAAGTTACTTCTTCTGGTCTTGGCAGAGTGATATTGTGTGGAAAATACCTCGCTAATTAGTAGGGCATGCCCAAACAATTCATTTTGCCTGGACTATATGTGTGCTTTTTTCAATTCCTTTATATACATGGCTATTTTTAAATGTCTTTATTTGACAGAGAGTTTCATCTCAGCCTATCCATGGGGATTTAGGTGATCTATTATGTGTCTTCATCTGTATTTTCTTATGCCAGAGTCTGCAGGTCAGTAGTCCCTGGCTGTTTTCATGCGCAATGCCTGTTACTGTTTTCCATAGCTTTTCCCAGGCTGAGATCTGAGCTATGTCACTTTTCCCCATACAGCCTTTTCTCCAAACAAGTATATATATAGAAAAACTTCTGGTCTTTATTTCTTTTCTTATAAGGACAACAATTCTGTTGAATTAGGGTCCACTCTTATGACTCAATTAACTTCAATTACCTCCTTACATGTCCTATTTCCAAATACAGTCACACAGGGTTTTAGGGCTTCAACATATGAATTTGGGTGAGGGGGTTCCAATTCAGTCCATAGCAGACAAAACAATTGCATGTTGGTGATTAATATTTGTTTGCTTTTTATTTATTTATTTTTATTTTTTGTGGTTGCTGGTTTTACTTTTTCTTAATATGTCATTATTTTCCTTTCATTCTTGAAAGGCTATTTTACCAGGCATACCATTCTAAGTTGGCAATTATTTTCTCCTCTCCCTCTGATAATATTTGTTCCACTCTCTCCTGACCCTTTTGGTGCTATTGATAAGTTTACTGTTTCTCTAAATAATGCTTCTTATATTCTTACTTAAAAAAATCAATTTGCTTTTGGTGTTCTGTATTTTCACCGAAATGTGTCAGGATAATTTTTTGTCTATTCATAGTATTTAGAGTATGCTATGCTTTCTGAATCATAAGAGTTCTTTCCTTTATAATTTCTGGAAAATTCTCAGTGATCATTTTATTAGTTTGGTTCCATTCTCTCTAAGTTCCTATGTTCTCTTTCTCTTTATGTTCTGCATCAGGAAACCTGAGTCAATGCACGTTAGACCTTCTGAATTTATTTTCCATTTATCTCATTTTTACTTTTACTCCTCTTTCTCTGAGTTCTGCATTTCATTAACTTTTTCCTATATTTTTAGTTTACTAATTCTCCGTTCAACTATGTTTAATCCGTTCTTTAATATATTTATTGGGTTTTTGATATAAAGGGAGATATTTTTAATGTCTGTAAACTCTGTTTGATTCTTTAAAAAATAAACATGGTCATTGTATAGCTGCTTTCCCTTCTTATGCTTTCAATTCTCTGTTTTGTTCCTTTACCCTTTTCCCATATGCCCCAAGAATACTTTCTAGCAGTACTTGCGGCTGCAGCATTTACCCTGAGATAACTTTGCCACAAAATATCTTGCTTTTATTATTAATTTTTGCACCACTCTAGTATACCCACTTTGGAAACAAATGATATCATTCTATTTATAGCATTCTATTTTTAGTAGTGGTTACTTGTATTTATGAAATATAGTAATTCTCCATCGCTGAATTAATAAATCCATTTTCTTCTAAATATATGATTGACGATTCAGATGATTCTGATGTTAGTTCTGTTTAGAAATAACTCAAACAATAGCTTTATATTTTATTTTCACATTAAAAATCAGATTTGCTTCAGCCTCAAAGAGTGTGTTTATATAAAATTAAATGAGCATTGACAGTGAGCTGCCTTTTTTTTTCTAAATAAGAAAAGGGTTAAACACATAAAGTGTATTTTCTGTGTGTGCTATTTTCAATACCTGAAGTCTTTGGAAGTCTAATTCTGTTGTTTTTTAATTTCTGCTGACTCTCCCTAATAATGGCTTATTTTCATGCAAATTTTGAAAGATTGGGGAAAACCCAATTAATGTGAAGCTCTGTTTAAAAAATGTGAAGGACTGAGGTTATGGATTTTTTGAGGAGAATATTTTTTCCTCTCTACCACTTTGGGTGCTGTAATTTACTCTCTCATATCTGTTCTAACTTACCTCCCACCTTGGAGATGCCTGATGCCTTCTCTCCTGTACTGTTAAATCTCAATACTCTGGATCACCGTGAATCATTGGTTCTCAGTGCATCTGCTAGCTCCAGAGTGTACTGTTCAACCTTCAGGCTTCTGCTAGTGAACTGAATTCTTTATTTAAAAAATCATATTTTATCTTTTTTTTTTTTTTTTTTTTTTTGAGAAGGGGTCTTGCTCTGTCACCCAGGCTGGAGTGTAGTGGTGTGCTCTCGGCTCACTGCAACCTCTGCCTCCTGGGTTAAAGCAATTCCCCTGCCTCAGCCTCCCGAGTAGCTGGGATTACAGGCGTGCGCCAACCATGCCTGGCTAATTTTTTTGTATTTTTAGTAGCGGCAGGGTTTTACCGTGTTAGCCAGGATGGTGTCGATCTCCTGACCTTGTGATCCACCCGCATTGGCCTCCCAAAGTGCTGGGATTACAGGCGTGAACCACCGCGCCCGGCCATCACATATTATCTTGTATTTTGTAGTTTTAGCTACTTTTTTTTTTCTTTTTTCAAGCTTCCTGTTTCTTTATGAGAAAGGAAATGGTAAATAATCACTTAATTTTGAAGCTCTTTATGTGAGTACGTGACTGTGTGGGAAAATAAAAGAGACATTAAGCCAAGTGAATTCAGGAAAAGCTTCCAAACCAATAGAAGGGAAAATATATGGGAGAAAAATATATATTTTTTTCTTTTTTTTTTTTTTTTTTTTTTTTTTGAGACGGAGTCTCGCTCTGTCGCCCAGGCTGGAGTGCAGTGGCGGGATCTCGGCTCACTGCAAGCTCCGCCTCCCGGGTTCACGCCATTCTCCTGCCTCAGCCTCCCAAGTAGCTGGGACTACAGGCGCCTGCCACTACGCCCGGCTAATTTTTTGTATTTTTAGTAGAGACGGGGTTTCACCATTTTAGCCGGGATGGTCTCGATCTCCTGACCTCGTGATCCGCCCGCCTCGGCCTCCCAAAGTGCTGGGATTACAGGCGTGAGCCACCGCGCCTGGCCTATATTTTTCAATCCAACAGATAACAGAAAAGAAATAAAAAGAAGAAGTCTGGCAACTAGGAAAAAAAATGATATGGTTTCATCAAACCTACTATATCAGTACTCTAATTCAGAAGGTTTAAAGTAATCTATTAAACGATTTTTCAAAAATGGATTACATATTTTTGAAATCCAACTTTATTCTCCTTATAAGACATGAGTATTGACCCTATGTTTTACAATATCTAAAACTGTATAGTAAGTACCGTTCTCTACCTTAGCATATATCAACTCTCATTGAAACTTTACCATGTCACCATTATGCATAGTCTCTTTATGTGTAAACTTTTTTAGTCTAGAAAAATTATTTTTAAAAATAGATTATCTCTATCTTCTTTCTTACCAACCCATCCTCTGGGTTAAATTTGCTTCTTTCTAATTTTTTTTCATACTCATACTTTTAGTTATAAAGTCTGTAAGTTCAACTTAGTGGTTTATATCTAAAGTTTTTATTTTGGCTTTACAATTGCATGATTGTTTGCCTTGATGTATAATTCCAGATTGACAATTATCTTCCCTAAGCACTTTCATTCTATTATTCCATTTTTGTCTGGCATTTATTATTGGTGATGAAACATCTGCTTGTCTTGATAATAAGACATTCTAATTGCCATTTGCTAGTAAGTAACCTGTTTTTTTGCTTTAGAACGTTACATTTTTTATGTTCTTCAGTTTTATTACTATATGTTTACTGTAGATTTATTTGGATTTATCCTTTTTAATATTTAATATCTTTTCAATCTGAAAACCATGGTTCTTATAAATTATAGAAAGTTCGCATCAAAAACCTTTTCGAATGTTTTTTTTTTTTTTTTTTATTCTCTTCTTTATCTACTTTGGGAATTCTTATGAAGTGAATACCAAAGCCTCTTAATCTATCTTTCATGTTTTAAAATTTCTTTCACATTTTCCTCATCCTTTTAGCTTTCTGTATAGTGGTCAGCAGTGTATTCTAAAACTGTATTAATATACTGTAGATGTTACATTTTTGAAGACTTTTGTTTCAATGGTCATGTTTCCCTACTCCAGATTTTTATTGGAATGGCTCTCTTTCTATATTCTGGTTACTTCTCATGCAGCAAAAAGCTATCTTTTCTTACCACCTTTTCTGATAAATATGTTTTACTTATCTCTCATTTCTTTTTTATTTTTTGCTTCATTTCTTCTCATAACTCATATTACTTCCTGAAATGTTTGTTCTTAATTTCTTTCTTTCCCCACTCCTTCTCCCTCTCTTTTTCTTCCCTTCACTCTTGATTTTCTCCCTCACTACAAGTCAGTAGTGACTTCTGTGTTTTGTTCATGTTTCTTTCTAGCACCTATAATAGCGCCTGCTACATAGTAATGTTCAATAAATACTTGACGAATGGATGATTCTCTTTAATTTTCCTTCTCTTGATACAAATCTATTTTTGTTTTTAAATTCGTTTGGTTAAAATATTGTTAATTTCTTTAACTTTTGAGAGTCTTTAAACATGCAGTTATTCCTTTCTGATTCTTTTGGTAGTTAAATTAATTTTTTGACTGTTTACATTAGTTTGCTCTTTTACTTAGCCTACTTTAATCTAGGGGATTTGGGATTTCAGCCTGCATGTTCCCTTTGAGGACCGTAATTCTTTTCTCCCATGTTCCCTTTGTGTTCTGCTCCCTTTGTGCGTATTGGTTTAATGATTGCATCTACCCAGACACATTCCAAAATCAGGTTTCCAAGTGGCACAGAATGGACAGAATAGCTTTTGTCCTCAGTGCTATCAGAGCTTACTCACTGATCCTGGGGGTGCTTTGGCAAGGTCCTGATTATCAGGCTGTCTCTGGTCACTCCCACCATCCTAGTCGTATAGGCTGACATAAAGCAAAACCCTGACAGTGGTCACTATTTTCTTGACCACTTTTACATAGGTGAGAAATCTATTCTAGCCCCTCTTTAGGCCTGGTTGTATTCTCCTATTCTCCTTTATTCATGGGAAGACTTTTTTTCTTTTTTCTTTTCTTTCTTTCTTTTTTTTTCTTTTTTTCTTTTGCCTCCGTTGTACTAAGATAAACTCCCAGTTACCTCTACCTATTTTGGGACCTGGAATGCAGAATTGTCAGTTTGTGTCTTCAGCACACTTACTGATTTGCATTTTAAAAGTAGCTAAGTCTTACAATTCAAAAAAAATGATTATCAAAGTCGTGCTTAGAACAGAAGGGTTGGGAGGAAATTTAATGCAAGAACTTGACTAAGTTTTTAAAATGTTAAATATAATACAAATATAGAAGAGTGCATAAAATAAGTACACAAATTAGCAAGTTGTTATAATGTAAACACCATGTTAAAAATAATCCAAATCAAGAGATTTACCAGCACCCAAAGTTCCTCTCATGCTCCTTCTGTTTTTATAACTACGGTTTGTCTCTATTGCTGTGTAATAGTCCATTCTACCAGAGATCAGCAAACCATGGCCTGGGAGTCAAGTTCAGCTCACCACATGTTTTTGAAAACAAAGTCTTGTTAGGACACAGACATAATTTTTTATTTAAAAATTATTTATAGCTTTTTTTTTTTTTTGCTAAAATGACCAAGTTGAGTACTTGTGACAGAAAACATACGGCTCAGAAAGCCAAAAGTATTTATTATCTAGTCCTTTCAGAAAAAAAATTGTCACTCTCCTCTTTATATGATTATATGGTAATATTTTATCCATTCTAATGTTGTTAAAGATGCAGATTATTATTAACTTCTGATAGTTCATTAAATGCTACTAAAATAATTCATCTTCACTTCTCTTGGATCACATATCTGTGTCTCTGTAGCGGTATATTTAGGAAAGGAATGACTGGGTTTTTGGTACACTTACCATCAATATTATGAGACAACGCAAACAGTTTTCCAAAGTCATCATATCATATATACATATATATATGTATTGCATTTCCACTATGAGTGTGTTAGAGTGAACTTTATTCTACATCCTTGGTAACACTTGATATTATTGAATCTTTTAATTTTAGCCATTTTGATGAGTGTGTAGTTTTAATTTCATTTTCCGGTTGGCTAATGAGATTGGTTATTTTTTTATATGTTTATTGGCCATTTAGACATTCTGTTTTGTAAGTCCATATTCAAATTGTGTGTTTGCTTTTCATCTAGGTTCCCCTTTTACTTCTAAATTTTGAGAGTACAAATTACCTGATAGTGTGTCAAATTTTTCCCCACTGCTATATAACGTCATATTTGTAAACAAACAAACAAACACCTCAACAAATACAAATTCATGGGTCCATTTCTAGGGCTCTGTAGCTTGTTTCAATAGTATTCTGTCCTAAGTCCTGATACCCAGAGAAGCAAGTCCTCCTGATTTGTTCTTCAAAAATATCTTGGATGTTCTTGAACCTTTATCTTTCCATATTAATTTTACAATTAGCTTTTCAGTTTACACATGCATACACACACATGCACACACCCTGTTATGATTTTTAATGTGGATTAACTTTATAGGTCAATTTGAAAGTTTTCAAAAAATATTTTTGCTTTGGCTTCCAGGAAACTCTGAAAAAGATTTTGATTAATCTGCATATTTGTTGGAACTTTCTATGTCCTTGACCTTTTATTCCACTGTTTCATGTTTCCTAAGAATTGCCTGAAATTATGTGTGGAGGGAAGCAAGGCATATTAACAATTTACAATTGGAGCAGGAGCAGGAGGATGTGGTGTAACTCAGTACCATCAATGTCTATCTGATTAGGACTATAGTCTTAAAACCTGTGTTACTTTAAAAATACAGATATAATTTTTAGATCCAAAGCATGAAGATATTAATGCTGGCAGGCCTGAAATTTGACTGACTTATCAATATTTTTAAAAATCTTAGCAGGTGTTTCTAATAGATAAGTCTAGGTTGAGCATTGCTGGGTTAGGATGTTGTATAGAGAGCAGGGCCTCTTGAAATGCTGATAGCAGCATCCTCTCTGGCCTTGAACAATACATCAAGACTTGTGTTTGGAGTCAAAGTTACTTAATTTTCAAATAAATGAATTATGAGTATATACGCCTAAATCTTTGTGTACTATCATAAAATTCTGCCACCCTATGAAGATGGATTGATGTGAACATGGCAGTTGGGACTTGTCTCCTCTTATTTTTATTTTTTTGTGCATGAATATAGTCCTAACAAATAAATCCCATCCTTGGTGAACAATTTAATGGTTATGTTTCTGTTCTCACTGAACAAACACAGAAGAAATATGCCAGACTAAATTAATGAAGTGAAAACGATATATTCAGTAATCCCATACATTTTCTAATATAGACTAAAAACCTATTTTCTTCCATCTTATCTTCAGACATAATGGTATGAGGAAAAAAACAATTCAAAGAGGAAGTCTTTAAGGCAATTTCTACATGAAGTAACATTTGTTGGGTTCATGTGTCACATAACAGGCATTCCACCTTTTACAATTCAATCCCTTTAAGCGGCTTATGAATTAGGCAGCTATTTCTATTGAAAAAATGAAGATAATAAAATCAGAAAACTTAAATAAATAAAAAGTTACATTCAGTGAATGAATAGGAGTAGAGTCTGGATTTGAATCTTGCTTTTGGCTTTTGTGTGTGACCACATGTCACATTCTTTCCACCACCCACAGAGACAAAGCGACATTCACATTGAAGGTGTAAGAGATGGCAATGAATCCATGACCTCAGAGAATCACTTCACTGCTGCATGAAATGGATAATAATTATTTCTTCTCCTTTCGCTGGATGTTGTGGCTTAATTCACATTTGTAAGATGTTATGGATAAAATCACTGCAATCGCTAACAGGCATTTATGTCCCACAGTCTCTTTGGGCTTCTTGCCTTTTATCTTCCAGCATGCCATAGCGATGGTGCTCGCTGGATTTATGAACACCGTGACTGTCTGTTTGGAACACTGAGATGTGAAATTGCCTCCACATTGAACAAGATTTGGCTCTTGGTGGTAGGAGGGTTGTGAATAAAGTGAGCACTGGTGGTACAGAGGAGGACATGCTGCAACATTATTTTCAGTAATAATCCTTTAGTTACCAGGAATGATCATTTTTTCTGATTCATTGTTTAGTTTGAAAACAATTAACAACTAAAAATATCATACATTTAAAGATAATATTTAAGTAAAATATTTGCATGTAGAATAAAGGTTTTTACTTACCAAATAAAAATACTACACCTTGAAGTTTGCATTCTGCTTTACTGTTTTACATTTTAGACAGAAATTAACATTTGAAGTGGTCACAAAGAATGATAGAATGAAAGTCACTCATATTCTGTTTGTTCTTCTTTACAGTTAAGACATTATCTGGTTTATTTTGACTGCTGTTTAGACATGAGAATAATGTGGTCCTACAGGCTCTGAAGACATGAACTATAATGCACTGTCCTCTAAGTGAGCTCAAATGATTCTAACTCCTTACCAACTGACCCTCCAAACAAACACCTGTAGCTGAGTCTGTATTTGTCAGGGGCCAACAGTATGACTGGGAGTTCTTAAAGTAATTTGCATGTGGAACATAATGTTTATTATAGGATAGGTCATAAAAATGTGCTCATTTGACACAGAGAAATGTAATATCAGATCTCAATAGCAGTTAAAACACTCCCTAGAAGCTAGACCAAAAAAAGATTTTTTGAGGAGAAATATTTTTCTTTGACATTGTTTATAATTGGTGAAGCACAGCAATGACAAGTAGCTGAATTTCAGTTCAGTGTTTCCTTTTTTAATTATCTACAGACAATGAACATCCTTGCTGTCTGCATGTGGGATGGATCACTTCACCCTGTAGCCTAACAGCACTTTTTCTGTGACTGTTATCACAATCCAAGAGACCTTGGAGAAAAGCTGCTTTCTTACATAAAACACTTTCAAAGAAACTGAGCAAAGATGCTAAGTGTGCATGGCACATGGCAAGGGTGAGCACAAATGGATTCAGGCTTCCTTGGAAAATCAAGAGGATAGAGTGTGTTGACCAAAATATCTGTGAATGGATATAGGGCTAGAGGAGTCTGGTGGGGTCATGTGTTGCAAAAGAAGGGGAGGTGCCCATTCTGAAATGAAAAAAGTTAAGTGAAAAGTCTACTTATATGTGATTCAGGGACAGAGGGAATAACTGAAAACCCTCCCTCTCCACGGAGGCTCTGGGCTAAGTCAGCTGAGTGTTGTGAGTCATGAAAGCCGAGATTTGGAGAGTCCAGTGTAAGAAAGCACAGGGCATGAATGCCACAAGCACATTCAGTGGGGGAAGCCAGGTAGACACTGAAGTCAGGGCATTCAGGGGGATGCCAGCAGAGAGACGTGGATTAGGAAAATGATCATAAGATAAAGTCTTAAGCAGAGCTTGAATTCAAGCTCTGCCATTTATTAGCTATATCCTTTTGGCCAGTTTACTTAACCTCTCTGACCATTAACATCTTCAGTTGCAAAATGGAGTAATGACATCTAGTGTTTCTGGGATTGTTGCAAATATAAAAGAATAATATATGCAAACCTCTTGCCATGTTGAAGGTATCTAGGAAATGTTCCCTATCTAGCTGTGGCAGTAATAAAAATAAGCATGCAAAGCCACAGCCAGACCTACAGGAGGAGCCCAGAGCTATGATGGCAGACTTGGGAGAAGCTGGAAGCCAATAGAGAGGGGCCCCTGAATGACTCTTGTTGTTGAAAACCTAGGACCAAAGTCAGGAGAATAGATTTCAGCTCTTTCCTTGCCACTGGCTGGCTGTGTGACAGATGGTTTGCTAGTTGTCTTTCCTGGGCCTCCTTTAGTTTCTTCTAGAGCAAGGTTATTGTTATTGGGTCACTTTGTACCAGTCATTTTATCACCAGGAATATTTTGGTCCCGATAATATGAATGATAATTGTCCCCATGTTTAAGCTATGATGTTAAAAACATGCTACCTCTTTTTGGTCTGTTTGCCTACCTCCATGCCCAATCCTTACCACACCTGACCCTATGCTGTCCTCACTCCCACTGCACCCCAGAGCCTTGCTTACCCTTCCACCCAGGTAAGGTGCAAAGATTCCATGGAACTGTGTTTCGGGCCCAGTAGTTAGTAACAAGGGAAAGAAAATGTATCAAAGATTCATTCCCTAGATGGTTGTGTTGTTGAGGTGGGAGAATCGGACTTCCTCTGGGTAGATAGCCGTCAGGGATAAAGAAAGCTCAGGGACATGTTTAGGATGCTCACTGCAAAAATTATCTAATAATAAAAAAATTCACACATAAAAATAATGGTTTTTAGAGTCCCAAAATGGTGGAGTTTTTATTTCCCTGGTTTTCTTTAAAAAGGCACATTTTTATTTTCTATCTGTCCATTTAGTCATTCATGTATTTAACAAATATTTATTTAGTTCTTCTTATGCCCTTGGTGCTGTTTTAGGTGTTGGGGATAAAACAAGAAATCAACAGTGGATACAACAATAAACAAAGAGATAACTACCTATAGCATATCACAGGTATTCCAAAAGCAATAAACAAACCAGGATAAATAGTTATTGACGTGATGGTAAAGCTGCGTATCTCCAAATTTCAGTGGCTCATAGCAGCAAACATTGTTTTCTCTTGCACAGTGGCTTGTGCTTGGCTGGAGTGAGTGACCTCAGGCTGCTTTCACACTGAGTTCTGCTCCACTGTGCTTATCCTCCTTATATTAGCAGCCACCGGTGCTGCTAGTAAATGTTCTCTTCTTGTAGCATGATAGGAACACAAGGGGGTGAAGGGAAAGTCATATGGCTTCTTAGGCTTCAACAAGAAATTGCAAAATTCTATCTGAGGCCCACAGTCTAGTAGACAATTCATGCCACGTGGATAAGCCCAAGATCAATTGGGATGTGAGGGGTACAGTCAGTTCATAGTGGGTGGTACTGCAATGTCATATGGCAAAGGCATAAATGCGTTATTCTATTAAGGGAAGGAGTAAAGAACTGAAGACAACAGTGCAATCTACCACACAGGGAAAGGATGATGAGGAATGTCAGGGTAAGGGGGGGTGGCATTTTGTATACAGTGGTCAGAGAAAGCCTTCACCATAGATGACATATGACCAGAGACCTTGAGGAGGTGAGCTGGGTAAGTAATTGGAAGGAGAGTATTACAACAGAGAAAAGAGCTAGTGCAGGGGTTTGCTTGAGAGGTCAATGGGGCCGAAGCAGTATCTGAGCTGGAAAGATGGAGGAGGTAAAGTCCAAGGTATATTAGGGGAGGAGCATGTGTGATAGGGGGCTGAAGCAGGTAATATAAGCCCTTATAAAGGTTTCAGTCTTTACTCTGAATAAGGTGAGAAGATATTGGGGGACTTTGATCAGAAGAAAGATGTGAATTGATAAGTGGTAACAATATAACTGATGGATGTATTGAGAGTGCATGCAGAGAGACCAAGGTGGAAGGAAGCAGTACACTTACAAGTTTATTGCATTGATCCCTATATGGACTGATGATAGCTTGGTCTACGGTGGTGAGAAATGATAAGGCTCTGGATATATTTTGGAGGTGGTGATGATAAGATTTCAAGGTGTATCAGATGTAGGATATGAGAGACAGAAAGGAGTCAAAGGTGATTTCCAAATGTTTGGTTTGAGACTGGAAAGGTGCATTGCCAAAAAATAAGGTCAGGAATATTGTCAGCCACGATATTTAGAAAATCTGATTCTCATTGGTGAGGATAGGAATCTTTCTTCCCCTGCTCTGCAATGCTGAGAAGTCTTTATGAAAACAACGCAAGTACCACAATAAAATACTATTCAGGTTTTTATATGTTCCACTTAAACCAAACCACTGTATCATATAAGCTAGAATTATGTCCACATTAATTTTTGTTGTACTTTGATTTTAAAAGTCATGGGAAATGGATCCTAGAAATAAATAATTCATGGAAACTACATTATTAAGTTAATTCTAACCAATAGCATGTCATTAAGATACAAATGTGAAAATAGTTCAATTTTATTTTTTAATTAACTCTTCAGAAGTAATAGCCGACAATTGTCCTTGATCAGGTCAAATGCTGTTTTTAAATGCCTGACAGTTTTTAAGTCTTTAATGGAAATCAATGGCCCAACTTCCTGAAATGTATTAATTACATTTATCTTTCTAGGCAGTTTTTAGTAAGGACCAGGACTTAAAAATAACTTCCAAACATTCTCTGGCTAAAGTCTATTTTTTTCTTAATAAATTCACAGTGGGCATTTACTATTCTGGTATCTTCCCCACAATATCCAAACTTTGTTCACTAATTCCTTTTCCTTTTCTCTCTACATCCATATACCACTTTATCTTTCAAGCATCAGCGTAAATCCCATTTCCTACATTCAGTGACCCTGCCTCCAACTCACACTGATCTCATATACTTCAATGTGATATTTTATATGGAAGTCATTGTTTTTTGCATAAGATTGCAAAGTGATTTGGAAAAAAAAACCAAAAACCTTGGTAAGCAACCATTCAACAAATACTGCATTTTTGTTTTTCATTTCTCATTTTGTATCCCTTTTTATACTGATTCTCGGCAGGAGTATCCAAGAGTGGAAACATGCAAGGTTTCAGAATCTTTTGCAACTTAATTAGGCTCTCCGTGGAATATTCTGAATCCCTGGACCATTGGAGCAGCTGAACCTGGAGTTTGGAGGAAAGATGGGACTGGGAGGCAGCGAGTGGGGATGAAGGAGCAGCCTGTGTCCCCTTCATTTGATGTGGTCCTGGCATGCTATATAAAAGGAGTGGGGATTGAGGCGTCAGCTGTTTTGCTGGTGTCCATGGCATCATTTACTGGATGAAACTTGCAGGACGCTGAGGTTTGGACAGGGAATGGCTGAGCCAAAACTGAATCTTCCTTGCTAATCGCTGTGCACAGAGAGGATAAATACAAATGGATGCACCCCAAGAGGCAGTCACTGTCATTGAACAAAGGGAAATTAGTTAATTATTGCTATAGTCCATGAAGGAGGGATCTGTCTGTCCTCTTTCCAATCCTCTCCTCACAACAGTGGTAGTAGTAGGAGGAGGTGAGATGTGGAAAAGCAGACCCCACCTCCCCTCCATGCCAGGCTGCATGAGCTGCAAGGCTAGTCATATCTGGAAGTTTTAAATTGAAAATAAAATTAAAGTTAGTAAGTGAACAACAGTGAGCCAGCACTTTGGGAGGCCGAGGCGGGTGGATCACGAGGTCAAGAGATCAAGACCATTCTGGCCAACTTGGTGAAACCCCATCTCTACTAAAAAAAACAAAAATTACCCTGGTGTTGTGGCGGGCACCTGTAATCCCAGCTACTCAGGAGGCTGAGGCAGGAGAATCGCTGGAACCCAGGAGGCGGAGGTTACAGTGAGCCGAGATTGTGCCACTGCACTCCAGCCTGGCGATAGAGCCAGAATCCGTCCCCCCGACAAACAAATAAAATAAAATAAAATAAAATAAAAAAGAAGCAATAACTCTTCCAGTAATCAAAAAAGTCTTAATTTTATGAACTCAGGATGAGATTGTGTTAAGGGAACCCACCACCCAGTGAGAAATGATTTGACCAAAGGCAGATAGTGGTATCTGTCAGGACAAATAAAAGCATCTCATGCTTATAGCCCAATAAGTTAAATTTTCTCATTAAATTGGTGATTTTCTGAAGCTAGTTTCCTTCTTTAGAAAAAAAAGCAATAATAACAATCTGTTATTATTACTATGATCCACTGGCTGGTAATCATGAGCCGGACGTGCTGACTCTCTATACCTAGCAGTCTCAAGGGCACCTGTGAGCGGTAAAATGGCTTTCATCCATCTCACAACACTTGAACTGTGCACATGTTTAGCGAACAAATGTTTACTTCTCACACTTTGTTTTTATCTGTAGTATTCCTGTAAGCTGTGAACAGGAATTCCTGTAGGTGTGAACACTCCAAGGTGCCATACACTTAGTTTGACATCAAAGGAAAACTACTCTTATCTTTCCCCTTGTGGTCTTTGTTCTGCACTGTTTGTCTCAACACCACATACTTCCCTCTTATACCGCCAATGCTCCCAACTTTCTCAATCATTATTCATCCTTAAATTTCAGGCCTTGGTGTTCCTTTCCGCTTGACACAGATTTCCTGCATAAAACCTTGGCTTCTCTTCAATCACCATACAGGTTTTCTGGTAGTCTTACACTGCTGTAGGTAAATATTATTCAGTTCTATCCAACAAAGTACACCCACCAGTTCTGTTCAGGTTTGTTAGAAGTCAATTGGTTATGAGTGATTTTTCTATACAGTCATATGTACCAAATTCTCTCTTATGCATTGCTGAGAAGTATTATAGTCTCAATACTCACACTGAAAAAGTTGCTTGCTACTTCTCATCTGCCTGTGATTACATGAAAAAGCTTTGCATGTAGGTCAGAAACAGGGAAACATAAGGAGCCAACACTCATTTCTAACATTAATGGAATGGAGAATAAGGACATTCAGTTTAGTTGTAAATAAATTAAAAGAAAATAATTTAAAAAGCTATTGTCTTCAGCATTTAAAGTTTTCTCAACACTTGCTCAGCAATGCTATTATTTCTCAGATTCTGAAATGGCTACCCTCTTATCATTTTAATGTAAGTGACTTTCTGTATTTCTTTCTCTCTTTTTAAGTAGTTATTCTTCAGGAATGAACATCAGGATGCAAAGAACAATTCACCACCTAATCAGTCATTTATGGCAGAAACTGAATCAAAATGATTAGACTTAGTGACTCTGAGTGTATACTTTGATTATTGCTTTTTCAATTTGACCTACTGAAGAGAACATTATTTTATGCCTGAATTTACTTTGCTCTACTTTTTTAGTTAAAGTCTTATAAATTAAAAAAGGCATTTAATAGAAATAAAATATAGTTATATTGGCATGAGGGAGATTTTCCATATAAATCGATGGAAAGAAATTGAATCAACACTTACAAACAACATTGTTTTGGTTATTTAGGATTACGTTTACCCACTGGGCTAGCAAGTAGATGACATTTTGCCTCATATTTGATATTCGACTAATTCTTTTTTCAGTGTGGAATGAGGCAGGTAAAATGTGCTTAAGATGTTCTAAGAAGTCACAAGGTAGGTAAAAAATTGTGATCTTTGAAATTGGCCAAATCTGTATTTGGGTTCACATTTCATCACTCAATTGTTGAGTGTCTTTCTTGACCATCTTGTTGGACCACTCTGAGTTTCACTCTTGCTGTTGAACTGAGGCTAATAAACCCTTCTCCTCAATAGACATTGTCTACAAGGTGAGCAGTCAAAGGCATTTATATGCTATGCAATGATTTGAAGCACACTTTCAAATATATGGTTCAAAACAAACTCACGATGTATATATTATATTTTGTCATCACTCTTTTGAGCTGATTTGATGAGAGGCATTTTAATGTAGCCAAAATAAACAAGCCATTGAACATTAACCTTGATGGACGATGCAACTCAAACTAAAAGTTCCTTGAGAAGTAACTGATCTGCTCAAGGTCACACACTAATCAGGACAGAGGCAAGGCCTGACTCTTGGTCTCATGAGCTAATATTTATTTATGTTGACCATGCAAGCTATATCCAAAAATAGTACAGAATTTTAGAGAATTTTAAACTCTGTCATAGATGGATGTTTGATTAATCGAGCGGACTGTTTTTGTTTAATGGAAACAATTAAAATTATCTTTCTAAAATAATATATTGAAACTGACTCACAATACTAAGTTATATGAGTAGAATGACATCTGTTATAGCCACATTCTATTTATTATCTTTAATATATTATTTTAATATACTTGACATTTTATTTACTCTTTAAGTAATAAATATCAAATAAGAGCAATAAATAAAGCTGATTTATAAATTACTGTTCTTCTATATGAGTTAAGATGCAGTAGAATATACCCTCTTGAGATTACTAGACTGGGTTTTAGTATAAAACATGAGTGCAATTTGCCCACATAGATAGGTTATGGGAAGATAGTTTTGAAACTCAGGAAGAGTCACTCTGAAGAATTGAGACTGGAGTTCTGCCAAGAGATGTGCAAGTCAAATGGAATTCTGCAACTCCAGAGAGGGAGAGAGAGAGTAGAGGCTTGGAAGGAGGAAGAGACAAAGTTTTCAGTTCTCACTAGGCACAGTTGAAATTTCTACTCTGTGTTTTCTTGAAATTTAAGTGACTCTTTCCAATCGACTCTTATGTAAGTCAGTCTGAATCACTTTTGGTCTTTGCAACCAAAGGATGTATTAAAACCATCTTTTGCTTGTCAGTTAAACATATGGCTGTTGTTTAAATGTAAGAATGGAGAGAAAAGGTGCCACGTAATTCAGGAGTCTCTTCATCTTTGTCACAGAGCCTTGAACTATCTTCCCAATAAATATTTGATTTGAATCTTCAGCACTGAGGGGAAGTGTCTTCTGAAATAATACAGGCTAAATTGTTATGTAGCAGCCATCTATACAAAGCAAATTTTTGTAATATACAAAAGAGGGGATTTTGCTATTATATCAGTTGGCAAGAATCATTATCGTGATTGGAAATAAATAGATACAGAGAGAAAAGAATGAGATTTAAAAAAAAAATTCAGCTTCAAGGAAATTGGATTTTCTGTTGAGTATGGAATCGAGACTTTGGAAACTAAAAGGCTAGAAAAAGATTGCTTTATTAAGAAAAGTAAAAATACATTTTTTTCATTTGAAAAATGCCTACTAGACAATAAAACATCTGGCTAAAAAATGAAATCTTCAGTGACACATCTGGATATTTGCTCCATAAGATATCAAACATGAGGATAATTGAAAATATAGAGCTAAATTACTTAAATGTTAAGCTCCCATCCAGATGTTTGATGCTATGTTAGATGAAAAAACTCTTTACATGCCAGACATTAAAGCAATCAGGGATATCTAAATGCCACCATAAATAAAATAGCATTGCAAATATGGTTCACTGGAAAGAATGTATTAACTGATAATTACAGACTACACAAGAAATTTGCTTCTTAGTTAAAAGTTTTTTTAATTTTTTTATTTTATTTTATTTTTTTCCTTCTGATCAGTAGTAACTAATAAAACATGGAAACACGAAATAGACATCCGTAGACGACAACTGGTCAGGCTTATTGACAAACAAGTGGATTTCATTTCCAAACTATTTTTTTACTATATATAGAAATATCAATGAGTTAGAGGTTTTGGCTCCTAATTAGAGAATATAAAACTTGATTTTTGGAAATGCATTGGAGAAATAGGACAAAATTTTGAATTTCAATTCTTTGGCAATATTTATAAGGAATAAAATCCAAAATAGATGAAACTGATATAATTTAGCTTCAAGAAGTACCAGATGACAACTGAAGTTGGCTCACAAATTATAATCTATGGGAGAATGGGAAGCAGTGAGAGTTAAACAGTCAAGGACAGCATCAGTCGTTTGGCTGACACTGCAGATTTATACAGACACAGTTTTAAATCCAGGCAGATCTGTTAGTGCAGAGAAGAAAGCACTGTATCTCTTATGTGGTTCAGGCAGGAAGCAAGGGTTATAATCTAGGGAGTCAGAAAAGTTAAAGAGTGCCACCAAGTTATGTGAGTGGACAGAGTTGAATGTTGCCTCAAGGACAAAAAAACAATATCTTCTCTGTTCTACTTTTTAAAATGGACTTTTAACATTTAGGCCACATTAAAATTTTTGCAATCAAGACAGATTCATCAGGATGTTGGTAACAAATTCTAATACATCTATTGTAAGTGTCTACTCAAAATGAAGATAAATATTTTAAATTCCATTTATGTAAGAGGAAAACAGGGGCTCAGAGAATTACCATGACACATCCAAGAGTAACACTCTGTCATGAGGAAGCAGAGTATGACTACAAATCCAGGCCTGGCTAATTCAAAAGACCACACTTTTTCACTTGTCATGCTGACTCTTAAAACATCAAAACCTGATCAGTTGCTTTGGTCTGAACTAAGGTAAAAATTGCTACAGATGAACTGTTTCCTAGATTATTGCTACACATAACTCTTTCCTAGATTAATGCAGATGTGTAGATGACACAAAGTGACTTGAGCAACAAATCTGATTACTGAAAAGATTTAACATATTGTACAGACTACTGTGTGCCTGAACAACAGAAAGTGCTGAATAACAAAAAAAAATTGTAGGTTTAAAACATTTAAAACAATCAAATTCTTTAAAACATGCATGTAACTCCGTGATACTGACTCAGTGTTTGGCACACAGAACCCTGTGAATATAAAATGAATGCCCGCCTGAGGAAACTAATTTTATATCTATATCTACATCTTTATCTATAGATACATGTATATATATTTTTATCAATATCAATATTTTTCTTGATGTCAAGGTCAGGATCGTGGCTGGTGTGTCAGGGTCCACAAATGTCATCTCATTCAGGAAAGTATTTCAGGCTTAGGTCAAATTGTCAGAAGCATTTGAACCAAAGCAACTCCATCTTAAAGAGGAGCTTGGTAAAATGAGACTGAAACCTACCGGGCTGCATACCCAGATGGTTAAGGCATTCTAAGTCACAGGATGAGACAGGAGGTCAGCACAAAATACAGGTCATAAATACCTGGCTGATAAAACAGGCTGCAGTAAAGGAACCAGCCAAAACCCACCAAAACTGAAATGGGGATGAGACTCTTCTCCGATCGTCCTCACTGCTACACTTTCACCAGCGCCATGACAGTTTACAAATGCAATGGCAGTGTCAGGAAGTTACCCTATATGGTCTAAAATGGGGAAGCATGAATAATCCACCCCTTGTTTAGCATATCATCAAGAAATAGCCATAAAAATGGGCAATCAGCAGCCCCCAGGGCTGCTCTGTCTATGGAGTAGCCATTCTTTTATTCCTTTACTTCCTTAATAAACTTGCTTTCACGTTGCACCGCAGGCTCGCCCTGAATTCTTTCCTGCCTGAGATCCAAGAACCCTCTCTGGGGGTCTGGATCAGGACCACTTTCCTGTAACAAAATCAAGCATCTTTCCAGACAAAGCGTGGTTTTACCCATTCTAGAATCCCCTTCTTAATTTATAAGGCCGAGACAAGTGTCCAGGTAGGCCTTAGCTGCCTGGTGAATAGTAGAGAAACAGTTGGAATTATATCTGCTTGGTTAAAATCCAAGAAAGCATAAGCCAGGAGTCAATTGGAACCTCTCAGCTCTTAAAAGTAATATTGGAATATTTTGTTCCAGTATTTATCTATTTCACTTTGCACTGCAGGCTCTCCCTGAAGTCTTTCTTGCCTGAGATCTAAGACCCCTCTCTGGGGGTCTGGATCAGGACCCCTTTCCTGTAACAAAATCAAGCATCTTTCCAGACAAAGCATGGTTTTACCCATTCTAGAATCTCCTTCTTAATTTATAAGGCTAAGAGAAGTGTACAGAAATAAACTTCTTTGATAGTTTTTAGCTGCAACAGAAGTGTGGGATGGGGCAGTGGAGTGAAGAGGGAATTGTGTTTTAGTGGTGAACTTTGGATCAGAATCTGGCTTCTGCCGATTTGTTTAATTGCTTAACTGATTTTTTTCTTTTTTTTTTTTTTGAGACGGAGTCTGGGTCTGTCGCCCAGGCTGGAGTGCAGTGGCGCGATCTTGGCTCACTGAAAACTCCGCCTCCTGGGTTCATGCCATTCTCCTGCCTCAGCCTCCTGAGTAGCTGGGACTACAGGTGCCCGCCACCACGCCTGGCTAACTTTTTTGTATTTTTAGTAGAGACGGTGTTTCACCGTGTTAGCCAGGATGGTCTCGATCTCCTGACCTCGTGATCCGCCCGCCTTGGTCTCCCAAAGTGCTGGGATTACAGGCGTGAGCCACTGCACCTGGCCAGTTGATTTTTTTTATCCTTTTGTGATGCCTGAATTTTGGGCTTGAAAACCCAGATGTCAAATACACCCTTTTCTTTAATATTTGCAGAAAGTCCTCATTCATAGACATTTGTAGTTTGCCGCTTTTATGAGAGATACAGTAAGAGGAGGGGGTGGAAGAGGGGGTACTCACATCTAAGGTAACCATCCCACTGGCCCACTTTTGGCCACCCATTGTGAGAACTTTTCCCATGCCATCTCATCCCTAGCCTTGAACCTGCTCCCGCTCCACTTTCTCCCTTTTCCCTTCACCAGTCCTCCTCTTTTTTCTATATCTTCCTCTCATTTTCATATGCAGTACCACTTATTCATCTTTTGTTTGCTGCTGGCTGTTGTTTTGAAGGTTTTAAGTTCTATTGCAAGGTGCTTATGAAATAGTTTCTTAAATTAAAAAAAAACTTCTAAAGTAACTTTATGGTGCAACTATTATTTTATCTTATTTTATAAAAATGATATTTTTGGGGACTAGGCACAGTGGCTTACGCCTGTAATCCCAACACTTTGGGAGGCCAAGGTCGTTGGATCACTTGAGGCCAGGACTTCCAGACCAGCCTACGCAACATGGCAAAACCCCGTCCCTACTAAACATACAAAAATCAGCTGGGCCTCGTGGCACACGCCTGTAATCCCAGCTACTTGGGAGGCTGAGGCAGGAGAATTACTTGAACCCATAAGGCAAATGTTGCAATGAGCTGAGATTGTGCCAGTGCATTCCACCCTGAGCAACAGAGCGAGACTCTGTCTCAAAAAACAACAACAACAACAACAACAGATCTTTTTGGTATTCAATCAGGTATTTTTAAACCATATTTAATACATCTAACTAGTAACTTTTAGATTTTATCTCATTAATTTAAGTGTTTTGATGTCTGAATATTTAACATCTGGACAAAATGGCTTCAGTAAAGGCAGGTGTATACAGTATTTTGTGTAATTCCATTATAATTCTATTTTTTCCAGTGCAAATTCTTCAATGTTCTCATCAAAAAAGTTATCTATGGAAAGGAACACGGCTTCCTTTGCATTCTCATTTGAAGCAGGAAGTGTGAAAGACCGCGCTAGACTCAGTAATTGGCTGTCATACACTATTTAGAACGCTGCTTTGAAGAAGACCTGCTTCCTCCTTTACTCTTCTCTGTTTGCACCACAAAATATTCAAATGGAAAGATCAAAGTGGAATGTTCATTTTTATTGCCTCTATTTCATGTGTGATACTTATTCTAATCCTTCTTGGAGTAAGGGTCAAAGATTGGGGGATTTGAAACATAAAACAGAATTTGAAGGGGGATGGATTGAGTCTGGTAGCTGACCAGGAGACTGACTTAAATTAGAAGAAGCTGAACTGTAGTATTCAAAATACAGGTAAAACTTGTAATGTTGTCTTTATATACATGAAAGCAGGAATTCATCATGTGAGATAATAAAATGCAAGGTCTGGAAGGAAAAAAAAAACATGAGAGAAAGATATCCTCATGAATTTGTTTACTGACTGCTTGGTGAAGTTATGGATTACATGCCTGCAGTCCAAAATGGAATTCTGCCTCTGAGAGCTTGCCTTTGCCTGACTTCTAAACACAATTGCCTGGAAGAAGATGGTGATGCGTCTGTAAGGAGACTGGTTTTACAGGAAGTGTTACTTCCCGTCACACTAATTCTCCTGGAGCTAACATTTCAAACACTTGCACTTATAGGTTATTTCTCTTTGTAGAACAGAAATGAGCCTTCATTTTGGCTACCAGTACTTTAGAATACTTGGTGAAAAGTTTCTTTCTCTCCCTCTCTCTCTGTCTCTCTTTCTCTTCTCCACCCTTGCCCATCTTCTCTCTTAATACATTTTATTTTATTTTATTTTATTTTAGAATCTTACCTGGATTCTCCTTAAAAATGGTGCAACATAAATATATACTCAATTTTGTTTTTCTTTGCTGCATAAAACAGTTTTTTTTAATTAAAGAGAAATAGCTATAAGTGGTCTACCATCAACAAAAACACAACAAACAGCTCCTTTGTACCACTGTCATGTTGCCTTCCATCTTACAGTCCTCAGTTTCTTACTGCTCACCCCCAGTGGCCATAGATGAAACTAAAATCTCTGGATTTCCCTGGTTTGTGACTCTCAACTGGCTCAGCTAGCAGGGATTGGGCACTGGGATAAAGCCTCCCATTTTCTGCTTTCTTTGCTATTCTTCTCTGAGTTGGTCTCTCAGCTGTCTGGTAGGAGTCAGCATGGGCACATTGGGTAGGTCTCAGGAAGGCATATCTCACAAGAAGTCTCAGGACACTTCTCTAATGAGGCATCCGGCAGAGTTATGAATGGAGCCAGAAACGACTGACTGGGCTGGAGAGGGGCACCTGGCGATTGGCAGAGCAGTCAAAGGTTGTCAAAATGCACAGGCTGGAATCAGATTGCACTTGATATCTTAGGACCGAATGTTTCATGAGTTGAGATACTGTGAAGAAAAATAGGTGGAGAATATTTCTGAGCAATTGGTTGGTTTACAGGATTATTTCCCACGTCTTTTTTATAACCCCTCTTTCCACCTGAAAAACTCCTAGTTAACCTTCAAGATTCTGCCTTGCCTGATACAAGAATTAACTTGGTTGCTCCATTCAGGTCCCTTCAAGGAAACGTCATATTGCATAAGTGCCCCAATTGATCCTTTTAATCATGACCTGGTCACCTAGGTGTCCACATCTTCCCTTGACCTCAGTCTTTTCCCTGTGTTTCCAGTGCAATCACAGTTCCTGATATGAGGATTCTTAATAAATAGCTGCTGCATGAATGAAAAACAAGACATAGAGAGGAAGCACTTATTAGATTCCAGACTCCCTGCTATGCATTGGGGATTCAACAACAAATGTCACAAACTTGTTCCAAAATATTATTTGTACAGTGAGGCCTGTTTATTGCCTGGTATGGGTACTGTTGGCAGATACGGGGCTTCTGGGTGTTTAGGAAAGGTCAGGTACCTTCTTCCTGAGAGTTTTAGAAAGACTGTGTGGTCTATTTTTTAATAGGAAGCCTTAAGAGTGGAGTCCAGCGGCACATGGGAAAATATAACATTGAAACTATTGGAAAGCATGGCATCAATGTGGAAAAACGGGGTCCTACATTGCAATTTAAGTTGTTGTAGATGAAAACAGTAAACTCTGAAGAGTGGGGCCAACATTAACCTGCTGGTAGGGGTTCCTCTCAAGGTCAGGTAGCCCTGAGATTTATGCTAAAGGACAAGGCCAGTGCTTACCACATTTAGCAACTTCTCTCTCGGTGAGTCCTAGTTTAGCACGATATTGCCACACTCAACGACTCGACCCCACGATTTCAAATGGCAACCCCGTTGAAGTGGATATGGAGTTTTGCTTCTGTATGTCCATTGAAGGTCATGTATGAAGATGTTACCAATGTTAAGCTATTCTGAATATCCCCAGTATCTCTTCAAGTGCAAAACTTACAGCATTATAAAATAAGGGGAAGATATACCTGAAAAAACATGAAGATTTGGTAATTTAAAAAAAAGTTTTAAAAACAAAAATTGCTTAATTAAAGTCCTATATGAATTTAGGCAAAATACACAAACTAGCTGATCTCCAGATTCCCCATATAGATGACAGGCAAAGAATGTCTACAATTATTGATAAGATTAAATGAGATAATGTGTATATTTCTTGCACATTGCATAAAACTTCAATAAACATTTGCCTACCTAAATTTCCATTTTCTTTCATTATATACCTCTGTATAAGGCCCAGTCAGAATGCCTTTCCAGATATAAAGCATGGCAATAACTAGGAAATTTGGAATACTGGTAAAAATTTCTTGTATTTTTCTTTCTTTCTCTTTATGGGGTTCCATCAAATTTTGCTGGACCATGTCACTTGGATATTTTTAGATGAGACCTTAAAAAAGTCATATATGGGCCGGGTGTGGTGGTTCATGCCTGTAATTCCAGCGCTTTGGGAGGCCGAGGTGGGTGGATCACCTGAGGTCAGGAGTTCGAGACCAGCCTGGGCAACATGGTGAAACACCATCTCTACTAAAAATATGAAAATTAGCCAGGTGTGGTGGCGGGTGCCTGTAATCCCAGCTACTTGGGAGGCTGAGGCAGGAGAATTGCTTGAACCCGGGAGGTGGAGGTTGCAGTGAACTGAGATCACACCGTTGCACACCAGCCTGGGTGACAAGAGTGAAACTCCATCACAAAAAAAACAAAAAAACAAAAAAAAACCAAAAAAGTCATATATGTTACGCCAAATATGGCTGATAAAACTGAAGAGGTTGAACATGTAAGTAGTAGTTGTGCTCAGACATTAGAGTGCCTGTGAAGAACTACAAAGCTTGCTATCGTTTTATACATTTGTTATGGTCTGAAGAATTGTATTTCCTCAAGATTCACATGTTGAAACCTAACCCCCAAGGTCACGGTATTACCAGGCGAGGCTTTTGGCTGATTAGGTCAAGAGGGCTCTGCCCTTAAAAATGAAATTAGTGCCCTTGTGAAAAACGCTTGAGGGAGCTTGTTCACCCCTTTTGCCATGTGAAAATGCAGCAAAATGTGTTATCTACAAGGAATGGGCCCTTGCCGCATGTTGAATCTGTTGGCATCTTGATCTTGGACTTTCCAGCCTTCAGGACTGTGAACAATGAATTCTGTTGCTTATAAATTACTCTGCTTATAAATTACTCTGCTTATAAATTCTGTTGCTTATAAATTTGTTACAGCTGCCTGAATAGATGAAGGCACCATTCGAGTCTCTGGATTTTACTTTCCCAAAATTCAGTGAGTTCCAGTATCATTCTTTGAGAAATCCAATAATTGTTTTTAACCTTAAGATTAACAGGTAGGAAAGTGACACACACCTGAAACCTGTTACTCTAGTGGTAGAATCTCATGGTTTGCAAACGTACTGCTGAAAATATTTCCTGCATATGAAAGGTACTCTGAAGCCCCTCAGAAGACACCACACCACCCAGACTGCTACTAGATAACATAGACTCCAAGAATGGCATTTGCTAATGTGTGTATAAAATGGCATTTTAGAATTGCCTAAATATCCTTATTAACACTTTCTAAAGAATTGCTGTTAACTCTTTTAAAATCAATTAGATTGCCGAAGGAAGAGGGAGGGGATAGGTTTAAGTGAGGTACTACATCACATAGTGTTGGATACATTTTCCAAAAAGATAAATGTAAGTCTTTTTGAACACATAATTTTTGTGGCCATATTGTCTCTGAATAAAAGGACAATTGGGTTGTCTTCAATCTGGAGAGTTCTAGTTGTTTTCATTTTTTTTGCCTTTATTCTCCCCAGTTTCTTCATGATGATGCATTTGTTTATAGCCTGCACACCACATCTGATACATTTTTAATCTTTAGTGAGCCATGACAAACTCAGAAATGATTAGAAATTCCAAAAGAACATGTTTTTTAACTTCACTGAGTACTTTTTTTTTTTATTTCACTCTTTGTTTTCTTTGGAAAACAAATAAAATGTCTGCTTCCTCTTAGCCATATCTCTCTAAAGTGTTCTGTTGTGTGTCATTAGCCAACAGGCAGCTGGGTAAATGCTGGCCCACATCCAAAATGATGATTGCTTTTCATAAGCACTGTCTTTGCTGTTGGCTTTCTGACTAATGGCTTCTGCTTGTAATGGATACAATGTAGTATGATTAACTCTCAGGTGATTAATAGATGGTGTTTCTGAGAACTAAATAATGAAGAAGCAATTAAACAAATCTGATATGCTGTCTTTACCACAAATCAAATAACACTTTTTCTTCCTATTCCTTGGACAGTGGTTTGGAGGTCATAAAGCTGTTCTGACTCACAAATGGGAGACTTTGGCAATTGTTTTAGGATAAATAAAGACAGGAAACATAGTACACCCTCTTCACCATCATACTCACCTGTGTTTGAGATTTTGTAGTGTGTGATATGAAAAATAGGTGTCATTTAATCCGTGAGCCCCAATTTCTTCATCTCTAAAACAGTGATTATAATAGATAATTTGTACCTTTAAATGAAGATTAATGAAGATTAAACAACACAATGTACACAAAGCATCCCACAAAAATGCCAAATACATAGTATTCAGTTAATATATGTTGGTTTCAAATACCTCCCTTTCTTCTAGCCTTAGCACTCATTTTTCTGGAAGCAAAGAATATTAGGAGATAGGATGAGGATTGTCAGAAACTTTCTTTTCTTCTCTGACCTTCAGTAATTCAGAAAAGAAAAAGATTCATCCCTCTACTAACATGAAAATAATTGCCATTTGCAGCCGTGATAATCATTTTAAGTTATTAGTATTAAAAAAGGCATATCATAGATTATCGTATTTCTAGCCTCCAATATCAATTTCTATACTCCCTGTTACTTGGCCTTGGCTGTGTAGAATTTTACCATCTCACTAGAAATAATAAACAGCAAACATCAAAACAAGCAAAAACAAGTAAGCAAACAAATTATAGGTAATTAATATATTTTATACTTTAAACATTTGAAGATGGTGAGTTTTTTTTTTTATTTTTATTTTTTGAGACCGAGTCTTGCTCTGTCGCCCAGGCTGGAGTGCAGCGGCTCGATCTTGGCTCACTGCAAGCTCCGCCTCCCGGGTTCACGCCATTCTCCTGCCTCAGCCTCCCTAGTAGCTGGAACTACAGGTGCCCGCCACCACGCCCGGCTAATTTTTTGTATTTTTTAGTAGAGACGGGGTTTCACCGTGTTAGCCAGGATGGTCTCGATTTCCTGACCTCATGATCCGCCCGCCTTGGCCTCGAGATTTATTTTTAAACGGCAGAAATAGGTGGCTAATTTGTCTTGGAACAAGTAACACCTTTTGCTTGGTTATGTCTCATGAACAAACAATCCCACAATCTCAGTGGCTTATAGCAACAAGGGCTAACTTCTTGCTCACGTCATACCATAGCTGAAATCATTTCCCAATTTTATCTTTTACCGGTTGGAGATGAGAAATAATTACACTTATTGAACTTGCTAATAAATTTGTTAGTCTTTATCTGCAGCTCCCCTTGTTTTCTCAACTTTATGTTGAAGTATAATTTACGTATCATAAAATAAATAGTTAAGTATTTCTATTAATCAGTTTTTGTAATAGCATGCATTCATGTTACCACCACCTAAACAACAGAGTTTTTTCCATCACCCACAAACATATTCTTTGCTTCTTTCCATTCAGTCTCTGCTGAGGCAACTTCTACTGTCTGTTAGTTTTACCTACTTCAGAAGTTGATTTAAATAGAATTCTACAATATGTGCTTGTATATGTCTGACTCTGTCTAGTCAGAATAATCTGTGTTTTTTACATTCATGATTTGTATGTATCAGTAGATGACATCTTCTTTTTGCTAAGTAGTTTTCCACTAAATGAATATATATAACATCATATTTTATTTTCTTATTCTTTTTTGATGACCATTAGAATTGTTTACAGGTTTGGACTATTATGAATAAGTCTTCTGTTAATTTTGTAGAAGTCTTTTTTACACGTTTTTATTCCTCTTGAGAAATTACCTAGGAGTAGAAGTGGTGAATGATAGAGTAGGTGTATATTTGACTCTATAAACAACTGCCAAACTGTTTTCCAATGTGGTTGTGTCATTTTACATTGTTACCAGCAGTATAATAGAGTTCTGGTTAGTCCACTTTTCATCATCTTTAAGTTGTCTTTCATTATCTCAACAGTGTCTTTTAAAGTGCATAGGCTTTTAATTTTGACAAATTTAAATTTACCAGTGGTGGTTTTTTTTTTTTTTTAATAAATTGGGCTTTTGGTGTTAGTTCTTAGAAATCTTTTCCTAATTCCTGCTTTCTTCCAGCAGATTTTTAGTTTTTATTATTTCATTTGGACCTACGATATAATTTGAGTTAATTTTTGTATGTGGCACAAGAAATGAATCAGGGTTTTACTTGTGTTTTCGTTTTTTGGGTTTTTTTGTTTGTTTTTGCTTTTGCTTTTGTTTGCTTTTGCAAGTGGATATGCTATTGTTCTAGCACCATTTGTCAAAAGATCATTCTGTCTTCACTGAATAGCCTTTACATCTTTGCTGAAAATCAGTTAACCTATATGTGTGAGTTTCTTTCTGCAATCTGTATTCTGTTTCATTAATCTGTCTATATATATAACAAAACACGCTGTCTTTCTTACTATAAGGCTTGAAATCAGATAGTTTTCAAACTTGGTTCTTTTTTCTTTTTTTAAAGTTGTTTTGGCTAGTCTAGTTTCTTTGCCTGTCCAAATAAATGTTATAATTAACTTGTCAATATCAACAATACAATCTTATGTGGTTTTTATTAAGATAGTATTGAATTGGGATTGTATAAAGATGAATTTGAAAAGAATTAACATCTTAACAATATTGCATCTTCCAATCCATAAAAATGGCATAGCTCTTCACTTACTTTACTCTCTTTACTTTTCTTCCAGCAATGTTTTGCACAGTTCTTTCAAATTTTTAAATCACATCTATCCCTAAATATGTCATGTGTTTTAAATGGTACATATAATTTTCGGAAAAAAACCATTTTTTTAAAGTCATTTAATGAAAGTATATATAAGTAAAATTTATTTTTATAACTTTTTAATTTGTTCTGTATGTCTTGAAACTTTGATGAACATATTTATTAATTCCAGTGCCTTTGTTTGTAGATTTCACTCCATGTTCTACAAAGATGATTAATGCCATTAGTGATTAAAGAAAATTTTAGTTCTTCCTTTCTGATTGTGGTATCTTTTTCTCGTGCCTTAATGTACTGATAGGGACCTTCAGTAAAGTGTTGAGTAGAAATAGTGAGAGCAGAAATCTGTGATCTGTTCTTGATCTTATTAAAAAATTCAATCTTTTACCATAAAGCTTGATATTAACTGTGGAGTTTTCCCTAGATGTCTTTTTTCAGGTTGAAAATGCTCCCTTCTATTTCGCATTTGTTAAAAGTTTATATCAGGAATGAATACTAGAATTGTCAAATGCTTTCTCTCTGTTAAGCGGCTTTTTTCTTTGGTGGTTTAGTAAGATGGTGAATTTTCTTTCTTGGCTGTCAAGTGTTAAAGAATTAATGTTTGCAGTCCCAAGAAAAATCCATTTGGTTATCATGTACTATTATTTTTATATATTGTTGAATAAATAGCACTTTCTAAAATTTTTTTCAGAACGCTGACATTTTATTCATAAGGTATGTTAGTCTATAGTTCTCTTTTCTTGAAATATCTATTTCTGGTTTTGGTTTCTGGATGATGCTGGCTCATAGAATGATTTGGCAGATAATACCCACTTTTCAGTTTTCTGAAGGTTTTTTGTAGATTTGATTTTATTTCTTCCTTGAATGCTGGTGGTGGCACTTATTAGTGGTCATCTGGGCCTGGAATGTTCTTTGTATGAGTACAATTTCTTTAGTAAATATAAGACTATACTAATTATTTGTTTCTTTTTGAGTGTACTTTGGTGGTTTTTGTCTTTCAGGAAATTTGTTCATTTCATCTAAGTTGTCAAAGATATTGGCAAAAGGTGTTCATTCTACTTTCTGATTATTCTTTTAGTGTTTTTAAAATCTGTGGTAATGTCACTACACCATTCTCTTCCTTCTGATTTTGATAAGTTCTGTCTTCTCTCTTCCTTTCCTAATCAATCTGACCAAAACTTTAACAGTTTTAAAATAAGCTTAATGATATTCTTAAATAACTAACCATCATTTGGTTTCCTTTCAACAATTTGTATAAATTTAAGGGGTACAAGCGCAATTTTGTTATATGCGCACATTACCTCCTAATGAAGTATTGACTTTCAGTGTATCCATCACCTGAATAATGTACATCGTACTCATTAAGAAGTTTCTCAACGCCTTCCCCACTTTCACCTCACCCCTACTTCCAAATCTCCAGTGTCTATCATTCACACTCTGTTGTTTTTCTGTTTTGTATTTCATTGCTTTTTGTTTTGATATTTACTATTTTTAAAACTTACTTTGGGTTTAATTGGCTCTTCTTTTTCTGGTTTCTTGTGGTGTACACTGAGGACATTGTTCTGAGACCATTCTTCCTTTCTAATACTGAGACTGAGACTCAATGCTCTAAATTTTTCCCTGAGCACTGTTTATCAGAATCCCATAACTTTTGACATTTCATTTTTATTCAGTTCAAACTACTTTCTATTTTCCATGTTGATGTTTTAAAGCTTTGTTATTTATTTAATTTGAAGCTATTTGGAGATTTTCCAGTGACTTCTATTTTTCATTCCAATTTAGTTATTTTCAGACAAAAAATTTTTTCACAATTTGAATCTTTAAGTTTATTGAGAATTGTTTTATGGAAAAACATATGGCCTAACTTGAAAAATGTTCCATGTACACATGAAAATAATGTGTATTCTGCTGTCGTTGGGTAGAGTGTTCCACCCATTTTAATTTTGTTAAGTTGGTTGATGGTTTTCATATCTTTAATAGCCTTTTTAATTCTGGCTACTTATTCTATCAGTTACTGAAAGAGGTGTATTAAAATTTCCTACAATAATTATCTGTTTCTCCATACAATTCTATTAGGTTTTGCCTCATATATTTTGTTATTAGGTACGTAAATGTCGTAAACTAGCATGGTGTCTTAATGTATTCAGTCTTTCATCTTTATAAAGTGACTTTTACCTCTTTGCTCTAAAATCTCCTTTTTCTGATGTTAATATTGCCACTCCAGTTCTTTTCTCTTGGTCTAGTGTTATCATTACATATCTATATTTTTAAACTATTCTTTACCTTTTGTATTTATATGTGTATTTGTAACTAAAGTGGATTTTTTTTTTTTTTTGGTGGGGAGCTGTATTTATTTCCCAGGGCTGTCAGAACAAATATCCATAAATTGGGTGGATTAGAACAACAAAAATTTATTCTCTCTAGAGAAGAACGTTTTCTTGCCACTCCCTGGCTGCTGGTCATTGCTGGCAGTCCTTGTCCTTCCCTGACTAGTAGCTACATCATTCTCATTTCTGCCTCTGTCTTCATATGGCTGTCATTTCACTGTGTGCTTGTCTCTGGGTCTTCAAGTGGCCTTTTTATAAGGACACTGGTCATTGGATGTAGGGCCTACCCCAATCCAATGTAACTTCATCTTAAATAATCACATCTGCAAAGACCCTGTTTCCAAATAAGGCCACATTCACATGTACTGGAGTTAAGGACATCAACATATCTTTTGGTGGGGGCAGAAGGGGCAATTCAACCCATAATAGTCTGCCTCTAGGCTCTCAAAATTTATATCCTTCCTATGTGCAAAACTCATCCACCCCCGTCCTAACCTACACAAAATCTTAGCCCTTTTCAGTATCAACTCTAAGTTCAAAACCTCATATAATGTCATCAGTTTTTAAAAGCTCCACTTCTCATTTTCTAAATCATCTAAATCAAGTCTGGATGAGAGTCTGGGTATGGCCTACTCTGCAGTAAAATTCTTCATGTGTGGAGCTGTGAAATTAGAGGATAAATTATATGCTTTCAAAATGCAAGGGTAGTAATAGCCATAGGATTGACACTTCCATTTTAAAGGAGAGAAATTGGAAGGAATAAAAGGGTCACAGACCCCAAGATATTTGGAAATAAAGCAGAATAAATCCCATTAGTTTTCAAGGCCTGCAAATAACCCACTGTAGCTTGTCACTCTGCCCTCTGGGTCTACAGAAGCCTAATTCAGCTTCAGAATCTGCAACCCTAGAGGCCCCATCAGCCTCTTTGGTCTCAAGGCAAACTTGGAGTTATTCTTCCCTTTTCTTGAAGAATCACACATGTTCACAACTCATTAGCTCTATTTGCCTTTTTGCTGCCTGTAGATCTCAGAAGTCTGAGAGACTCTCCTTCATTTCTTCTCATCTCTGTTCCATCAGTCAAAGCTGGCAATGTCTTTTGTGCTATCACATTAAGTAGTGAATTCAACAGTTAAGCCATCTGGTCCTGGACTTTCCTTAGTTGGGAGATTTTATATTACTAATTCAATGTTTTTGGTTGTTATAAGTTTGTTGAGAGTCTCTACTTGAGTCAGTTTAGTTATTTACATGTTTCTAGGAATTTTTTTATTTCATCTGGTTGTCTAATTTGTTGACATATAATTTTTCATAGTGTTTTATTGTAATCCTTTTTCTTCCAGTGGGGTAGGAAGTAATGTTTCTACTTTCATTTCTGATTTTAGTTATTTGTGTCTCCTCTCTTTTTATCTTTTTTGTAAGTCCAGCTAGAGATTTGTCAATTTTCTTGTTCCTTTCAAAGACCAATTTTTGATCTCGTTGATTAAAAAAAAATTATAAGCAACAAAACAAATAAAAACAAAATAAAATGAAAGCCAGAGTGATAGTGAGAGTGAGGGCAAGGTGGGTGGGGGTACAGGGAAAATAACCACTTCTCCTGGTCTTTGCAGATTGGTTCTGTGTCAGGACCCTCCTCAACACTTAGACAGGTTTGCACTGGCTAGACAACAGCCCACGATGAAAACTCAAGGTCTTCTGAGGCCTTTGCTGAGCATGTGTCTTTTGGGTACACATGTAGCTTTCTGAATTTCTCAGCATACTTGTCTCCTTTTGTTAATTTCTAAAGAAACGCTCCCTAGCTTTCAGTTTTGACTTTAGGTAGTCTATTGTATGCTTTGACAGTCAGCTTTTGTCATAAGCATCTGAGGGTCCTTACTTTGGCTTGCAATGTTCCTGGCAATACTAGCTGCCTTTCCAGCCTGAGTTTCCAGTTTGGCAAAACAGAGATAAAGAACTTATGTCACTCCTACAGGTAGCCCTACACAGGGCAGAACTGATAAACACAATATTTTCTAATAAGATCTTATTCTTTTCACTCCAGACCAATGGGAAAGGGTCCCACACTGGGAATGCAAGCTATAGACACTTGAAGACCAAGACTGTTCAAAGAGGGTAAGGTGGCAGGTCGGGAGGAAGGGAGAGTACAAAGGTTTCCTAGCATTTTAAAGTACCATTTTCTTGATTCTGTATTTTTTTGATTACTATAATGTTTTACTGTATTCCTGAATTCTGACAAAGTTGGTTCTGACAATTTCTGCTTGTTTCCAATGTTTCTGTTGGGAGACGAAAGGTTGGAGCTTCCTCATCCATCATTTCGCACATGTCTAGGTCAGAAGTTTCCTGATTACTGTCTCTTCAAGTATTTCCTCTGCCTCATCCTGTCCCTGCCACCCTCTGAAGCTCTCATTACACTTCTGTTAGACATTTCATGTTTTATCTCAGATATCTGATGTTCTGTTTATTTCATTCTTTTTTGTCTTTGTATTTCATTTTCAACAGTTTTTATAGATGTGTTCTCAAGTTCATTGAACTTTCCTCTGCTTTGTAGAGTCAGTTGTTAAGAGCAGCTAATAAATTCTTCATTTATAATATTTTCCACTTCTAATATTTTCATCTGTCCTTTTTATTTCTATCTCTCTGCTGAAGTTTGCAATTTCTTCACCCATGTTGTCTACACATCCACTAGATCCTTCAGCATTTTAATTACAGTATTTCATTATCCTGATTTTTAACAGGATGTGTTCCCTCTACAATTATTCTTTGTATTTAATGACTGAAGTTGGTTTTCCTGATTGTGACCTCTGGTGTTTTAAGGACTTTGGTTTTAATTTGTTGTCCAACTCTTGGCTTCAATTTGCTCTCCAGGGCTGACAGGTGTTCCCAAGCTCTGGCCTGGGACTCATGCTTAGTCAGTGAGATTCTTTTTATACAGCATGTAATGGAGCACAGCAAACCTTCTCTGATCTATATCCCCATCCCTCTCTCCGACACCCTTTTGAGACTGGTATAGGCCCCTTCATGTAGTAGGACACTTAGTTATGATGTCGCTACATTGAAACACAGTGAATAATAGTATAAGCCTTAGAATAGATGCACCTGCACTTAAATCCCATCTTCATCCTTTATAAGCTCTTTGATTTGGGGAAAACTCACTTCACTTTTTCAAGCCTTGGTTCCTTAAATTGTAGGTTAGACAGAAAATAATACACCTTGTAGAATCATTGTAAAGATTAAATAAAGAACAGGGGAACACAGTGCCTGACATTCATTAAGCAGTCACTAAACTGTAATTGTTATTATTTGCTTTATGACTCTAACCTCACTGAGCTTTAATTTCTTTATCTGAAAAATGATGGTTATGTTGTATAATAGTAACACAGTATCATGTGCCTTTCCCTATAAAATAACATGATAATTTTAATGACTAAAATTCAGAACACAATTTACAAATTAAAAAGTGTTCTTACACAGATCACATTTCCCCAGAAACTCAAAAGGCAGGTGTTGTGTTCCCTTCCTGTAGATGAGGAAGCTGATTCTAGGAGACTGCTACCAGGGTGGGTCATAAGCCAGTGTCTGTGTCTCTTTAATCCTGGTTCTGTGCTTTTTACATTGCATGAGTCTAAACTCTGCAGGGGGAACTCAACCGTTCCTATTCTTTAGGCCAATATACACATATGGTCTCATGATTTCCTTTCATTTCCCTTAATGCATTCTAAACGCTGCTGATTTGCTGTTTTATGGACTTCTTGGCTGTGTTTCTGAGTATTTTTCCATGCTGCATTTCATTTCATCATCTTCTGTCTCTATTTCCAAATGTAGCTATTTGTTCAGCCTGGTTTTGCTCTGTGAGGTGTTATTTACAATACTTACTAATTTAATCTTTGTTCGGGGAAATCCAAGGAGCAATTGCATACTTCTGTGAATCATTGATAATTCAAGCCTGGAAAAATTCACCTAGCACTAGGATCCTGCTCTTTTTTTGTTCAGTGCCATATGTATATATAGTGCCATACGCATACATATGTACAGCCTTATTCCATTCTATACTGTAATTGATGTTATTTTGATTGTTTTGTAGCCCTTTGAAGCAGATCCCATTGCCTACAAAATGAAAATGGGTAAATATCATTCACAAAATGGTGATTGATTGCAAGCACGGTTTACCATACATCTAATATGAACAGTAATGTATTCCCTAATCACAAATTCTGGATACAAACTCAGAAGCCAAAAATGTGTGACACTTAAAACTTGAGAAAGCCAAAACTAAAAGGGAATTCACCCAGCCATTTTCCTGTTCCCAGCAGATGAAACATACACAGCAACCTGCAGTAAGTCACATATGATGCACGGCACATGTGGGCAGTCAGAGCCTACCACCACACTGCCTGTCCCCAGACCTTTCTGGAAAGCATCCTTGTATTAACTCTGGATTTCATTCTAGCATTATTTATCTGACTGTTTCTTCATGTACATGGAGTTGGAGGCTTTGTTAAAAAATCCACTTAAAATACTAATTTTAACTACTTTCCCGGTGTGTAATGCATTTCTAGGATGCATTACTTAATGCAGTACATCAATTAGATTATAGAATTTAACACCGGATTCAAATATATATTTATTTGGTTAGAATAGCAAGCAATTATAGGAAGAACTCAGCCTGAAGAAGGAGTTTTAGTTTCCCATTTCTGTGGTTGGCTACTACTAATAATATTATAGTTGCTATGATTTTAGAGTTTGACTAAATATCAGGCACTCTGCTATATAAATACTTGCTTTTTTTTTTTTTTTGAGACAGGACTTTGCTCCATTACTCAAGTTAGTGTGCAGTAGCGTGATCTCAACTCACTGCAACCTTCACCTCCTGGGCTCAAGTGGTCCTCCTGCCTCAGCCTCCTGAGTAGCTGGAACTACAGGCATGTGCCATCATGCCTGGCTGATTTTTGTATTTTTGATAGAGATGGGGTTTCGCTATGTCACCCAGGCTGGTGTTGAACTCCTAGACTCAAGGGATCCTCCCTCTTCAGCCTCCCGAAGTACTGGGATTACAAGCTTGAGCCACTGCTCCCGGCCAATACCTGCTTTTCTTTAATGGGTGCTGGTGAGGTTAAAATGAAATTATTTCTGTACAAGGCAACTGAATGGCTCTTGAGTAATCATAAAGAACATTGTCATGGTTTAGATGCGTGTCTCCCCAAGCCTCATGTTGAAATGTGATCCCCAATGTTGGAGGTGGGATCTACTGGGAAGCATTAAGTTCACAGGGGCGGGTCCTTTATGAAGGGCTTGGTGCCATCCTCACAATAATGAGTGAGTTCTCACTCTATTAGTTCCCATGAGAGCTGATTGTTAAAAATATCCTGGCATCTCCTGGTCACACACAGGTTCCCCTTCACCTTCCAACATGAGTGGAAGCCTGAGGCTTTCACCTGACACCCAATCTTCCAGCCAGCAGAACTGTGAGCCAAATAAACATTTTTCCATAAATTACCCAACCTCAGGTATTCATTTATAGCAAAAGAAAGAGATGAAAACAGACATTAAATGTTATATATATTTTTTAAATTTTTGTTTAAGATTTTTTTTTTACCAGTAACTGACAAGCTAATTTAGTATACACTGTTCACTTAATATGTTTTTCAGTCTTCATAACTTAGATCTTGTTGGATTTTCGGCCTCAAATATTCTTACTCTTTTCCATCAAGATGTCTGTAAATCTATTTAATCCTTCAAAGTATAATCCAAATCCTTCTATCCTTGAAGATTTTCAGATTTTTCCAAACAAGGTAATTTCTTTTTCCTCTGAATATTCATAGCTTTTAAATCTCTGCCATAGCAATTGTTTTCTACTTTAAATTGCCACTGGCTGCGTGCCTCTCTTATTTGCTCTTGTGAACTATGAGCCCCTCAAAGCCAGAACTTATGCTATATAAATATTTTTTCTCTCTCTCTGAATTAAAAAAACAGTACCATATGACTCTCAGTAAATAGTTGATAGGCATTGCTGAATGATTTTCAATTTTATCTAATATCGGCAAGGGTTGCAGGACTGCAAAATATTTTTTCACTACTGGTTTTGAGAAAAGGTACAACGGATGAAGTGTTCAATGGCACTTCCTCAAAAACCTGTTGAAGTTCTATCATTTGGCAGTTGGCTAGGAATCATACAGGGCATTTATCTTTGAAATCAGTGTTCTCTTTGTCTTGAAAAGGGTAGGCCTGTCATGCTGGCTCACGCCTCTAATCCCCGCACTTTGGGAGGCCAAGGGGGGCAAATCACGAGGTCAGGAGATTGAGACCAGCCTGGCCAACATGGTGAAACCCTGTCTCTACTAAAAATACAAAAGTTAGCTGGGCATAGAGGCACACACCTGTAGTCCCAGCTACTTGGGAGGCTGAGGCAGGGGAATCGCTTGAACTAGGAGACGGAGCTTGCAGTGAGCCGAGATCGCACCCCTGCACTCCAGCCTGCCATCTCAAAAAAAAAAAAGGGGGTCACATTAGGAATTTTTTTTTTTTTTGTAATGCTTATGTATAAGAAACCAGCTTGGAACTGAGAGGGAAGTGTTTTATTAGTCATGCAAATTGAGTTTATTAGCAAGATGGTGCCCCTGTAGAGTCAGGTAAATTTAGTGTGTGTTTGTTTATGTGTGTTTGGTATGGCTTTTGTGTTTTTCTCTACATTTGGATTTATAGTGCAGTCTCTAAAAAGTATTGCTTCTTTTGGGAAATGTGTCTCTGAAACTGCCTTTGAAGAATTATAGGTAATGAGATAAATCTAATATGAATGACTCCACCTTGCTTCTAACCTCACAGACTATTTTTATTTTCTTAATCTAGCATGGAGGCCAAGATAACTATGAGAGAAATTTAGTTTTAGTTAAACTTTGAGGCTAGGGAAATTGCCCCTCCTCCTTGCTGGAAGATTGAAGCCAGATTCATAGGGCAATGTTAGAATTATGGCACAGGTTGTACTTTTCTAAAGAATAGGCATTGTTAAACCATAACCTGCCATGGCTTAGCTTGTTTTCCTGTAAGTTGTTTGCTGCCCCAAAGTCATGTAACTGGGCTTGGGTAGGTGGGGGGTGTTACTTCCCACCTACATCATCACCATAGACAACATCACCACTGAGATATTTTTCAGATTTAGCATTTCAGCAGACCAAGAGCTGCCACCAAGTTCTGAGACTCCCTCCCAAAAACTGACTCAGCTGCATGAAGGCTGTTTTAGACACCTCTGTGATTTCATCAGTTGTTTCAGTTTCCCAGCCCCCTGCTTGCCAAAGTACCCTAAAAAACCCACACCTTCAAATTCTCATGGAAGGGTGGGTTTAAGAAGTTTCTCCCTGTTCTCTTCACTTGGCTGGCATTGTGATATTAAACTCATTTCTTTGCTGTAATACCTGTTCTTCTCAGTACATTTGACTTTCTCGGCAGCAGGCTAGATGAACCTGTTGCACTATTACCACTCCTCTATCCAAAATCCACCAGGGCAGTTATGGGTCAGAACTTTAGAAGATGACAGAAGGCGAAGGTCATCTTTACTTTGGATCCCAGAGGACAACAACTAACCAGTTAGCAGTGCCATTGCCACGCTGGTTTGTTCTATACTAACCCATAAGGAATGCTTTTCAGTGAAAAACCTAGGCTCTAAGAAAACAGTGATCAAATACTTTGTTTGCCTCCACTAGGTCAGAGAGTAAGGTGAGGCACACTTGGGGCCTGGGGTGAGAGATTGGCTATCGCCAGCTGTGCATTATAGAGAAGCACTTTGCCTGCAGAAGGAAGGGAGGCTTCTGTGTTGAGGAAAGTGCTATCAAGAAAATTAACTTAGAGTGTTTTCTGAGAATAAGCAAGAGGGAAAGCCAAATCATTTATAGGGGAAAATATGGAAAAAGTTGAGGGGATTTAGAAATTTTCTAGGGATGGATAATCCCTCTTCCAAATGTGAAAATGGCCTTTGGCAACTTAGAAAAGCAACAGAATAGAATGATTTTTCAATTCAGAGTCAAGGATTGTGGCTAAGGTTCTCTCTCTTGGTTTTGGGAGGATGATGTCTGCAGGACAGAGGGAAAAAGTCAGAAAGCGGACATACCAGAACTGTGTGGCTTCAAGCTTATGGGTAGAACCATTGCTGCCAGTGCATCTAGGTATCTGCTTTTTCAACTGTGACCATATATTTTGGTGTTATAATTATTTTCTTAAGAAACTATACGTTTTTATTGGGGCTTACTATGACCCCAGTATTTTATCTAGGTAGGTTATAACATTAAATATAGTATTAGGCTCACTTTATTTTATTTTTTATTATTTTTTAAATTTGGGGGGTATATAATAGCTGTTAAAATTTGTTTTAAGTAGTGTTCCTCAACAGAGCCTAAAACGCAAGACAAAGTAAGTGAAATCTTAAATCTAATTGCTTCAGATATGTAAACATTTTATAGAAAATAAAAACAACAATAAAACAAATAAACAACATCACTACCACCCCCAACAAAACAACCAAACCAGCCAAAAGGATCAAGATCTTGTAAGATAAATGGACAGTTTTTTATATTCATACCTAGAGTGTCTGTGATATTTAGTATTAATATTATTATCTTCCATTCAGCTTCGTTTAAATATCTTTCAACATAGTCTAATATTTCAATAAATGAATTATTTTTCTGGGAAAATACCATGAAACATTGCATTCTGAGGCTCATCCAATTACATTCTGAGCAAGTATCATCTTACGGAAAAGAAACAAGTTCTATTATGCCATTGAGTTGAGCACTTCATATCCATTTTTTAATTCAGTCTCCTTAACAACCCTGCAAGGTTGTTGTTGTTAGCTTCATTTTATAGTTGGGGCAAGTGAAGCTTGATGACATTTGGTAACTTGTGCGAAGAGAACTAGAGTTCATAAATGGCCAAACTTATTCTAAAGCCAAGTCTATAGGCTTCCACAGTGCATTTCCTGAACCGCCATGCTAGACACCCCCTGGGTAAGAGCGCTTCTAACTCCAAACTTCTGTGATCTGGAGAAGTTTGGAAAAGCAACAGAATAGAATGATTATTCAATTCAGAGACAAGGATTGTGGCTCTCTTGGTTTTGGAAGGATGATGTCTACAGGACAGAGGAAAAAAGTCAGAGAAAAAAGTCCTGATAATGAGAATTGACAAAGCACTAAAAGATTTTTCACCTTTAACCAAATTTTGTTCTATGTCCCTGGATCTTTCTTTAATTAATTATGAAACTTTTGATTGCTTAAGTATCATGTATAGTTTTGACTTTATTTGAGAAATGTGCATTTTGGGTAAACTCATCTTGAGTATAATGATTGTTATGTTTACTAGATCTAAGAAATTAAAATATCTAAGTCTTTGTACACTAAAGAAGTACAGGATTATTTTTAAGAAAGCAACTCATATGTTTGGGAACATCTGTATACATCATTAATATTTTCTTTTGTTTGTAGATATTCATTATTATGTAGACACCACTCTGCTTTAAATCTTTGAAGATCAATTTTGAGAAATTTGATAGTGTTTGGAACAAACAGTATTCTGCTCAACTGGCATGAGTCAAAGGTCCACATTACCCTTAGGAAAAAAAAAAAAATTATTGCTTTCTGTGAGGGGTTTTAAAGATGTGACATTTTTCAATATCTGCTTTATAACTTTTGATGATAAAAACAAAATAATAAAAAATTACAGCAGAAAACATTCTTTGAAGGCTTATAATGTGTCAAGTTCTATTAAAAATGTTTTATATGCATATTTAAATTCATCCTCATAGCATCCCCAAGAGATAGAGGCTATTAGAACCATTTTACAGTTGGGCCAAATTCAGTCAGCTCAGAAGTGACAGTTCTGGGAATTTTCTTCTCCAGAGCCCAAGATTTTAAACATTGAGCATATTTCCTTCTAAAGCATATTGCCAAATACTATAGAAGGACCGTGAATTATACCTTGTGATTCAGGCTACCATCTTGAAACTAAATTATGAGTGAAAACATTTTGTTTGGTTACATTTTTTATATTTAAAATACATTTGAAAAGAATTTGGAATGTGTTAAAGTCAGAGTCATATATTGAGACCTCGTATCTGAATTGAATTACTTTAAACAAAGTGGAAAGAACTTTTTCCATCAATTTGAAAAGTAAAGTAAAAGACAGAAAGAAACAGAGAGATTAAATGTTTTTCCCTTATTTTGTATATTGTGGGCAGTGCCATTTATCTTAGCTATGTTAATAAACACTGGATTTTCAGAAGGTTTATGCTTCATCCTTGCTTTATGCTGTAATGTAGCCACACAGAATGTCTCTTTATGTTGACTGAAGTTAATATATGCATCTTACCTTTTAATATTGCATCAACTATAGTCATAGTGGTGGAAAATAATAATGCTCTGTGTTCTGCACTATGGTGGATGTTTTATAAACAGTATCTGCAATTATTACAAACTCCTATTAGAGAGCTATGTCTAACCTTATTTTACATGTAAGACATAGAAATTCGAAGTTCCCAGAATCAGTGAGTAGTAGATTTGAACTGAGTTTTAACACAACTCTAAAGCCCAAGCCTGGCCTCCTTCCGCTGCGCAATTCTCCTCCAGAGGGAAAGGCTAGCACCATCCCTAAGAGGGGCCGAAAGTCTTCTAAGGGCACCTGAACCATTGTGAAGAATTGTGTTAATAACCCAGTAATTCACACTTGTTCAAATTTTCAGACATTTCCTGGGATGCAGTCAAAACTTTTAGGAGTCTGAAGCCTGAGGCTGCCTGCTCTCTGCTGCTGATTATAGAGCTCTCTAGTTGATGAGTGGTGTCCTGGAGCTCCCTGGCCATACATACACAGTGCTCATGGGTCGACTGTATGGCACCAGCCTCTGCTGCTCTACCCTTTTCAGCCTTTTTTTCTGGAATGCATGCTGAGGTCCTCCTTGTGCCTTTGAAATTTTTATGAAGAGGGTGATTATTTTTGGTACAGCAAAATATGTAGAATTTGCACTTCTTAGGAATTAAACATCTCAATTTTTTTCCCCCAGAGAAAATAACTCTTGAGCAAGGGAACACTCATCTCACCGCTCAGACTTTGAGGTGGCCCTACATGTATACAAGTTTGGGGGAACATGAGAATTCCAATTAAATTCTGGGAAATCCAGACATATATTCAACAAGTATTTATTATGTGCCAGGCGTTATTTTGAGTGCTAGAAATATAATGGCAAATAAAACGAAAAGAACCCTGATCCTGATGGAGTGTGCGTCTAATGAGAAAAATATACAATAAGGACATAAGCAAATAAATTCATAATATAGCATCAGAGGCGATAAACAGTAGAAGGAAAAGTACGTCAGTGTAAGGCACAGAGAGCTCCCGGGGGCAGAGTGTTTTCATTAGGTGGTCAGAGAATATCTTGTTTTTTTGTGAGCAGCTTCAGCCAAAGTAAGTAATCAAGAATTATACTTGAAACGATTGGTTTCCAGATGTTAAGTATAACAAATATTAAAATTCCTCGGTCTAACACCCTACTCATCTTCCAGCTGCTTTAATTAGAGTAGTTTCTATTTGTTCTACAAATAGGGCTTCCTTGTAAAATTTTCTTTGGAGATGGGTTTCATATCTGAGAGCACTGCCTCAGACCAAATAAATATTAACACAGGAGGAAGCTGAGCGTCAAAGGGAAGCAGTAACTTGGCCAAGGATGCCAGTGCTCCCAGTGGCCAAGGGAAACCCAGGCTGCGGTCCTCTCTGTCCAAGCTCTGTCCTCGGCCCTCAGGTCCTGGCCTCCAGCACTGAGAGCAACACAGAGTGCCTGTGAGGCGGTCTAACTTCTGCTGACTGGTGAAGGTGGATCCCCCAGCCCCAGGAAAAGTCAACCAGCAGCTTGAACAGCGCTTCCCTCGCGGAGGCTCAGCACTCAGCTCATCCCCCGCCATCGGGCTGTAATTCAGGTGCCAGCGTTGCTCCTCCAGCAGGAACATAAGCCCAAACTTAACAAATTCCTAAAGCAGAACAAAGAAAGTGTCAGAGGGGAATGGGCACGGAGCCTGTGGACCGCACTAGAATCTTCTAATTCTTAGGAATGCAGATCGCCCTGTGTAAGGGGCCGCTCAGAGCGCCCGAGGAGCGCCGGTGGCCTCCCTTGGATGCTTCGCTATTCATCCCACCTTCTGGAAGAGGCTATTCTTTTGTGGCTGTCTTGGTGTTTGGCTGAGTTGTTATTGAATTCCTCCCTGACTTCTTTTTTTTTTCCTTCGGAAGACAGAAGAAAAGAAGCCGGCAGTGGAAGTCTTCTCTGGGAAGCCTCCTCCTCCTGCATCTGGCTGCTCCCTTTGGGGCAGCCTGGTCCGCCTCTCTGGGCGCCAGGTGCGTCTGCAGCGCTCTCCTGGAGGCCGGCTGCAGGTTCATTAGTGCTCACAATAGGCACGCAGCGCAGGGGAATATGTAAAGAAAGTGGAGGACATCGGAGTGGCATTCAAAGCGGCAGGCGGGAGTAGGAGTTTCCCTAGCTTTTCTTCCTTTGTTTCTAATCACCTTTTCTGTTTCTTCAGAGAGGATGCTAATAGAGTGAATACCTGGGCGTTCCAGGAGAAGAGTTAGTGGAGGTTTCAGAAAAGGAAATGCAATCTGGGACGAAAAATAGCTTTTCTTCCCCTTGGGGTGTGTGTGTGTAGTGTCTGAATGCTTTGCCACCGATGAGGCCGAGGACTAAAAGCAGGATAAAGGCTGTGATTGGCACAGAAGACCCCTGGTGAAATTTCTGGCTCAGGTACTAGCTTTCTGTGAGTCCTGTGCAATTCGGCACAGCCCTTGGGGCTTTGAGTCCTTTTTTTTTTTTTTTTTTTAATAAAATAAGAGACTTGGCTAATAGGATTTCTAGCCTACCACTCCTTTACAGTTTTAAGATATCATTTTAAAAAGTTACATTTCAAGACTGTAGTAAGGAGGTGACATTATATACTTAAACATAAAAATGTGGAGTGATTTGAAGAGCACTGAAATTATTCCACTCTTCAAAGTATATGCATTTATGTATACATACATGTACATACACGTGTACATAAACAAACATATACATATAGTCATTTTCAGATGCCTGAAATTCTGTCCTTAAAGACAGTTGTGAATCCCAGTTCTATTAGTATTTGACTGTGACCCTCTTAGTTTTGCCTACTGTCTGCAAGACTCAATTTTTCTTTTTTTCCTCATAATGGGAATAAATATTGTCTGTCTTCTAACTGTGTTATGATATTTAAATGAGGAAATGTGTTGAATGGTAGTTCTTCTTGTCTGAAAGATAAGAATACATGGGTGCCATCATCCAATCTCAAAGTCATTGGGTTTTGACAGAAATGGTATGATGGGTAATTATCCCATTTCTCCAAAGTCATTAGGAACCTGAAGTAATTTTTTTAAACTTGTTTTTCATGCACCTGTGTTGGCTAGATCACAGAGCCTGGGCCCATCCTCTTGAGGAAATATTATCTGCGTCAACCTTCCTCAATGCCTCCTGGATGACTTTACCACCATCTTGCAAATGTCTATTATTTGTTAGCTCTAGAAGACTCAGAGCAATGATTGCACCAATCTGAAGGTTATTTCTTCCATGCTGGTCTTCTGCCATTGGTGATATTACAGATGTTTGTCCAGAACATTACTGATGACAGCTACACACCTGGAAAATAAAGTTTCTTGTTTGTTCCTTCCAAATTAATTTTCTGAATGAACACCAGCAACTCAAAATGCATTCAGTTTCAGAATTCAAAGAACAGAAGAGCAAATTTGAGGGACACTCTGGCACAGTAGAGGGTATGTACAATCATTGAATGCAAAGTCTTTTACATTTTACCTTACACGTCAATCTCAGCTAATCAGGCTTTATTTTTCAGGAAAGTGCTGCAGAGCAGAGAAGCAATTCTCAACAAGACAAAGCTACTATAATAGCGACTTGTGGAGTCACGTTAAGAAGAAAATAGGCAGAGAAGTGGACTCTTGACGGGAGTCTCATCCATCATTTCCTCTCTGTGCAACCTCAGGCAGGGTACATAATCGATCTAACTTTTAGTTTTCTCTTATGTAATCTGGAGATAATAACATATATTTTATATAATTATTGTGAGTATTAAATACCAAAACCCCTTTATGTCACATGTTTAGCATAGTGTCTATATCACAGTATGTGCGTCATATGAAACTCAGTGCTTTGTACCCGCTGATTCCTGGTGAATGAAATACGGTCACACATCACAATGACTGTCTGCTGAAATGCCAAAATCCTGCCTGTAGTTCAGGAACCAGAGTAAAGGAAAATGAACCCTGTAGTGTTTTTACTTTTTCTCTCTTTTTAGAGAAAGATCATTTGCATGTGGCTCCACCTTAATAATTGCATTTGTAATGCTTTCATGTTGTCACATGGTCTAACCCCCAGGATCTTATCTTAATAAAAATTCAGTTAAACATGTGTTCAAATTGGCCAGATCAGCCAAATCTGGAACAGGGAAAGTTGTTTTCCTCCTAATGAACTGTCCCCTGGACACGGGCAGTGCCACAGAAGTTCAGGAATATTTATTGTCCATGGCATTTCCAGGAGTTACACTCTTTGTTGAACCCTTCCATCGTGCCAGGGGGAGGCTGGTGATTCATTAATTCACTGTGATGATTTGTCCTAATTATTCTAATTACTGCCTTGTCTCCTCAGACCAGCTGGTGCCTAAAGCAGAGGGAAAGTCACCAGTCATGAGGACTGCGGTGGTGGCTGCAGAATCCCGGGCACTGGATCTGTAGGATTCACTGTCACCACATCAAAAAAGCTTTGCTGCTGCTGCTGCTGCTGCTGCTGCTGCTGCTGTTGCTGCTGCTGCTGCTGTTGCTGCTGCTGCTGCTGCTGCTGCTGAGCCCAACTTATCCTTGGTGCTGCTCTGGCCTGAGTCCGGGTTCCCGGGGCCCTGCCATGCATGCATTCTCTCCTCTGCTCCTCTTGTACCTTTTCAGGGAGAGAAGAGCCCTGATACAGGTTGCTTTTCTGTCTTCCCAGCTTGCTGCCCCACCAATTCCAGACAGCATCTGCTGTGTGTTCTTTGTGCACCCATCCCTGTCTGAACGTATCTTAAACCCAGTCTGGTTTCTAACAACTGTCGATAATAAAAATATCTATTTCTTACTGCACACTATCAAGTGCCAAGATGGATGTTCATTGCCATATGTGCACTGTCTCTAAGTGCTACAGTTTGCAGTCTTAGTTCATATATTAAGGCTCTGCATGACCTAGAGACTAGTTTACATTGCCCAGCAAGGGAGTAACACATGGAACTGAATCCCAGATTGCTGCATCCCCAAAGTCGGGGGGCCCTTTATGCGTCTCTCTTTTCCCCTCCCACAAGCCTTCCTGGTCATCTACAGGACTCCTGCTGAAACCTTCCTTCGGTCTTTTATCCCTGAGCTCCTTTGCTGTGATAACATAGACTGTTCTGTCTGGCAGCCCTGGGCAGTCATCAGTGTTGGCTTTGCAGGTCAGCTTGGGGTCCCCAACCAGGATTCCTGAGGCCACAGAATCTTGCTGCAAACACAGCTAGTCTTGGAGAACTCATATCTGTGCCTTTCTGATGTGCTGTATCACCCCAGCCTGCCCTGTGTTTCTTTGGGATATTTTCACAGCTCATACTTCAGTGGTATTTGCCTCTTAAGTCACTTACCCCTTATTACTCTGAACAAAACTGGAATCCGAAAAAAACAAAAACAAAAACAAACAAACAAAAAACACTGGAACTGTGGCTCATCTCTCAGGGAATGAGCTGACACTTAGTAGAATCTATGACATGAGGGCTATGTTAGAGACCCTGAAATGAAGCTGGGTGAAAAATATCAAGGTGTTGTGAGTGACAAAGATGATATTCCAAAGATTCAACTGAGAAAGAGTCAGTGTATCTTATTATTAAAATTGCTTCTGTAAGAGTCATCATAAGCTTGACTTGTATTTCTTGACCAACTCTTATTTCTATTCATATCTCAGCTTAACTGTCATTTCTTCAAAGAGGCAGACATCCCAACTCTACAAACTGTAGGCCACCAGCTTCTGTCATTTTATAAGAACAGGTGAATCACTTCACACTTGAACTTATTTACTTATTTTCTTTTTCTTTTTTTTCTTTTCTTTTTTTTTTTTTTTTGAGACAGGGTCTGGGTCTGTCACCCAGGCTAAAGTGCAATGGCATGATCAGGCCTCACTGCAGCCTCGATCTCTCCGGCTCAAGTTATCTTCCCACCTCAGTCCCCCAAGTAGCTGGGATTGAGGGCATGTGACAACATGCCTGGCTTATTTATTTATTTATGGAGGCAAGATCTTGCTATATTGCCAGGGCTAGTCTGGAATTCCTGAGCTTAAGTGGTCCTCCTGCCTCAGCTTCCCAAAATGCTGGGATTACAGGAGTGAACTACTGTGCCTGGCCTTGAACTTATTTTCTTAATGCTTGCTTTCCCAAGTAGGCTGAAAGCTTTGGGAGGCTAAGAGGCAACATTTTGTAATTACCTGATATTCTTAGTGCCAAGAGAAGGCTGGCTCTGGGCAGGCCGTCTGCCCATGTGCTCGACAAGGCCTGTATTTATGTATCTGCAGGCAGGCCCCTCATTTGTAGGCGACTAGGTCTTCTTAGGGATTCCTGGCCATACTAGGAGGTCATCTGCAGGGACGCCTGCACTGATGGGGAGTCCTTGAGAGCCAGCTGACTACAGCTCTGGGATGATGAGGGTGGGAAAATTGTCCAGTTAGAAGAAATACTGAAAACCTCAATGGACAAACTGGAACTTCAGGAAGAATGGTGGTGGACAGAAAAAAGGAAAAAAAAAAGAGAAGAGTGAATGAACCAAAGTGAATGAGCCTCATTTCTAGATCTACAGACTTTTGATAACACCTGGCCTGTTTATATCACAAAGCTGCTAGGCTTTACAAAACAAATTCAAAACAAAAACAACAAAAAGCCATGAAGAGCTATCTACGTGCAAGAGGTTTTATATTTAGTTGTGCTTTATTTTACTAACCAAACTGAAGACTAGCTTGCTGGGTTCCATTTCACACTGCCAGCTCTTCACTGTGTGCATTCATGAGCCTGATGCTAATGAGACCTAGAGTGATCTCATAGGCAACTTGCAACGTTCAGGCTGGACAGGTAAGTGTGATGTGTTGTGTTCAAAAGGAACAGATGGTTTAAATTTAAATTCAAATTTTGAAGGAAACACAAAGACAAAGTGAAACTCTTTGAATGTTAGATAAAAATGTTGATATTTATTAATGATGATATCAGATTTAATGGAATTTGGTTGAACTATTAAACTGTCCACTAAGTAGAAATTAATGCCAGTTCTTTGATCTTTTTATATAATTACAGTAATAATTTAGACTTTTCTTGACTGCAACTCTGGGGAGATGTAATGATAGAAAAAACAAACCAAACTTCAGGGCATATTCAGCATGATGTCTGATAAATTAATGCTCTTGATCGTAATTTGAAAAGGAGCTCTTGCCCTGCAGGAAGCTGACCGGGAAACAGAAGCTTTATTAGTGCAGAGATGGCATTGACTACACCTACGGTTTATCTCCACTCTGCTCTGAAGCAGCAAAAGTAGTGAGACACGGACTGAAACAGGATGTTAGTTTTCTGAAGGAGCAGATACATTTAAGCCCAGCTTCATGCAGTGGAAAGGGCACAGGACTGGGGCTAAGGAAATGTGTGTTCTACTTAGAGTGACCAAGGAATCAGTCAAATTCTTTTTTGAGAGTTAAGGGGAATCATTTAATAATTATGTTGAGGTAATACGTGTGAACTAGAACGATCCTTGGCAAATCAGGACCCTAATTTGGCTCAAGACTAGTCACTTAATAATTCTCTCATCTCATGTGATTCTCTTAGCTTTCTCGGATCTCAGTTTCCTTATTTGTTGCAATTCTTGCCTGTAAACCCTTAAGAGTGCTAAGAGAATAAGGTAAGAGAACATATGATAATGAAAGGTTGGAAATAGGAAGGTGAAAATAGTCATTTGGTAGCATTGTTCTGATGAAGAGGGTAAAGCTAATTCTCCCATAAATTATTTGTGTTTCCCCTGTTGACCAGAAGAATGAAGAATAACTGAGACAAAAATTCTATTTATTTCATAGCATGATGTGGCCACACATTCTAAATGTTAAAGCCTTAGTTTTGGGTTAGGAGCTTACATTTTAGCACCAAGTTTCCCTGTTATTATTTTTCCTATAGGACTGTCAAGATTTAGGCAATATGGCCGCTTTAAAACATAAAAATTAACTTTACTCATCAAAAGCACAGATGACTACCAATCTCAAGCTTTTAGTCCAAATGAAAATTCAGTGTAAATACCTTTAGTACACAGAATTCCAGCTGAATGGGAAAAAAAACTGATTAACTCATATTGTATTATTTGGTGAGAAATTATTCTTTCTTTGGGGCTATTGCTGAGTACTAAGAAAAGAAAATGAATATCCAGGATCTGCTGCTACTCCCCAAAAAATATATTATTGTCTTCTTTCTTCTTGAATTTTCTAAGGGCCCCAGTGAGGGCTGGGCCCTTCCACATGCCGTGGTAGCTAAGCTTCAGAGCCAGTTGCCAGGGATCGGAGGCTCAGCAAGGCTCAGGAGAGTATCCAAGGTCAAACAGCTAACAAGGAAAGGAGCAAAGACTGAAGCAGGTGACAAATCCTCTATGCTCTCCTCTAATCCAGTCACTAACCCTACCTTTGGTAGGAATCTGGAAATAAGAGGAGAGATTAAGTACTTTTCAAATGGGTACAAAAGGGAAGTTTTCTGGGATTTTAGGATGGTGTGCATATATGCTGAAGTGTGCTTGAAAACAAAATAAAATGCAGGTGTGGAAGAATTTTTAAAAACCATTGTAACCAAGGGGTTGATTGACTAATATAATGTTAGCAATAATACTTGCCATCTGCAATTTTGCCATTCTCATAAGAATTGGTTTAGCTTAAAAACATTGAATAGCTAAGCATGTGTTTAAAAAACTCTACTTTAAAATAAAATAGATTTAATATGTTATTTGACTTCAGACAGGTCTTATGTGATGATTTGATATAGATCATCAATACTGAAATGAACCTATGTTTCATTTGAGAATATCTGGAAAAGAGAAGTGTGAATGTCAGATTTCAAATCAAATTATTTCTATTTTAAAATATAATCATCACAATACTTTTAAAGCTCAATGAGCTTATTTTATCCTACATATGCAAACCAGAGTAAGGTTAAGTATGCAACTTCATCTTGCCAACAGCTGTAAGGGTGACCATCACCTGGGAACTCCCAAAAACCCTAAAAGCACCTGGCTGGGCTCGCTTGCCTGAAGCAAAGATGCCCAGTGGGAGGATCTCGCTCCATGAAGAGGCACTGAGAGGGCCAGTGATGCTAGCAGACAGAGAAAAAGGCATTCTGCTGCAGGAAAAGGGCACTAGCCAAACCGGGTGTCCCACAGATCACTAGCACACTATCAAGTTGGTGGGACTGTAAACTAGTTCACTAGTTCAACCATTGTGGAAGTCAGTGCGGCGATTCCTCAGGGATCTAGAACTAGAAATACCATTTGACCTAGCCATCCCATTACTGGGTATATACCCAAAGGACTATAAATCATGCTGCTATAAAGACACATGCACACATATGTTTACTGCAGCTTTATTCACAATAGCAAAGACTTGGAACCAAGCCAAATGTCCAACAATGATAGACTGGATTAAGAAAATGTGGCACATATACACCATGGAATACTATGCAGCCATAAAAAATGATGAGTTCATGTCCTTTGTAGGGACATGGATGAAATTGGAAATCATCATTCTCAGTAAACTATTGCAAGAACAAAAAACCAAACACCGCATATTCTCACTCATAGGTGGGAATTGAACAATGAGATCACATGGACACAGGAAGGGGAATATCACACTCTGGGGACTGTGGTGGGGTGGGGGGAGGTGGGAGGGATAGCATTGGGAGATATACCTAATGCTAGATGACGAGTTAGTGGGGCAGCGCACCAGCATGGCACATGTATACATATGTAACAAACCTGCACATTGTGCACATGTACCCTAAAACTTAAAGTATAATAATTAAAAAAAAAAAAAAAAAAAAAGGAGAGCCTCGTCAACAAGATGGAGTGAAGGTAGACGGGTGCTTCAGTCCCTGTAAGACAAGGCAGGGACCGGCAGGGCTCACTGAGCACTTGCAATAAGTTATGCACAGAGACCTTCCCTATATTTTTTCATATATGTTTTACTGTAACCCGATTTAGTAGATACCCTTTTATAAATGATGAGTTCCTGGAATTCTTGGAATAAAGAGCGATTAGATTGCTTGCCCAAGATGACAGTTATAAGTGATGAAGACAAGATTTGACCTTCTGTAGTAGGATTTCTCTTTCTGAATTTTTAACCACTCACAAAAATAAGTGCTTTAAAACCTAGAGGATTTGAGGATTCTAATAGTTACTAGAGGAAAGAGATGAAGAAGAGGAAATAGGGCAAATTTTTTTAGTATTATATTCTAGGCCGATTAAAAAAATCTATTAGTGGACTTGATCATTTGTTACAAAATTTCCTGACTTTTTTCTAATGAAAACACAGAGACTCAGAAACATTAAACAAGATTTCAACATCACTCAGCTAAAACAAAGATGAAAGGAATTTTGCATCTGTGATTGCAGTCAGTATTCTCTCCACTATTATATGCTGTGGAGATATGACTCTCTGAGAAATAGTGAAACAGAAAATATTGGCCTCATATCTCTTCTTGAGTGGTACTGGCTGGTGCACCCACTTTCTTCCATTCTGCATTTTTGAATATTGAAAGGCACTGTGTTTCAACATTTCTCTAACTCTGCCCTCCTAAAATAAAAGCCTTTGAGTCTGCTCCTCACCTGACGGTCAAAATATATCTGTGTCATGCCATAGTCCCTCGGACTTTTACTAGGGGACTTATTGCCTAATGTTACAGACACATTTTATATGTGTTTAGTATGGTTTAATATAACGTGCTCCATCGGGGGAATTGGTTTTAAATTGTGTCTTTATGAGAGGAAATGATTTATTTATTCAACACTATTGGTTGAGGTGTCTCTCTGGACCAGGCACTGGGTACCTTACATGTTGGCATGTCTGACACCGTGGCATATTTAGTGTGGCATCTAGGGGTCATATTTTCTATTTTGGTTTTTTTTTTTTTTTTGAGACAGAGTCTCGCTCTGTCACCCAGGCTGGAGTGCAATGGTGAGATCTCGGCTCACTGCAACCTCCACCTCCCAGGTTCAAGCGATTCTCTTGCCTCAGCCTCCCAAGTGGCTGAGACTACAGGCACGTGCCACCATGTCTGGCTAATTTTTTGTATTTTAGTAGAGATGGGGTTTCACCGTGTTAACCAGGATGGTCTCAATGTTCTGACCTCATGATCTGCCCGCCTTGGCCTCCCAAAGTGCTGGGATTACAGGCGTGAGCCACCGCTCCTGGCCATATTTTCCATTTTAATATTAGGGAGTATATTAGAGACATAGCTGTTTCTCACATAGAATTATCTGTCCCTACTGCATAAGTTAACATACCAGTTAGGTTTCCCCAAAGCTCCCATCCTTGTTTCTCATTCCTGCTTTTAGAGATACTGGGGACAGGAGAAGTCTGGTCACCTCTCTACCACCAAGGAGCCAAATGTCAATTACACAAGTCCTCCGATTTATAGTTTCTCCATTAATAGAGTATGGCTAAGTGTTTATATTTCTGATTTCTTAGGTTTTTCATGAAGATCATCCAGGATTGTAGATGAAAAAGTACTATAAATACTGAAATGTACTTATCCTATGTAACATCATTATTTTATGTAATAAATCAAGGCCTCTGTTATGGTTTGATTGTGGTTTGTTCCTGCCAAAATTTATGTTGAAACTTGATCCCCAGTGTGGTAGTGTTAAGAGGTGGGGCCTGGTCTTGGGCATGCAACCCTCATGAATAGCTTAATGCCCTCTCAAGGGGTGAGTGCATTGTTGCTCTCATGAGAATGATTAGTTCTCCTGTGAGCAGGTTGCTAAAATGAGTCTGCCTTCCTAGGTTTCTCTCTCTTGACATATGATCTCTTTTCATACATCCCCCTACTTTTGTTTTTCCCATTAGTGGAAGCAGCCTGAGACCCTTGCCAGATGCAGCTGCCCAATCTTAGACTTTTAAGTCACCAGACTTATGAGCCAAATCAATCTCTTTTCTTTAAAAATTACCCAGCCTCAGGTAGTGTGTTATAGCAACACATAGACTAAGACATTCTCTAAGCCACATCCCTGAAAACTGTTTTAGAACCTGCATCTATATAAGGGCTTTTTAATATACTTGGTGTCAGAAACCCACCCTTTCCTCTAGAAAATATATGAAGAGAATAGATACCTTGTGGATGACTTCTCTCCCACTTAAACTTCAAACTGATCATAGTAATCAACTCCCTGCCCATTCCTCTTTCTTACATCTGGATTTTCAGTAATCAATAATAACAATCCAGTAATGGTGCAGCTGGTATGGCAGAAAAATTATTGCAGCAAAACATTCACAATGAGGCTAATGAGATCATGTGAGAGAGGGAAGAGGGTTGAATCGATGTTGAAACTAATTTTATTTCATTAGCACTAGATGTAAATTGCAGTATAATGGAATTAATCATTTAAAATGGATTGTTCACTTAGAAGTTACAAAAATACCAACATTCCATTTGGTGCTATCTTTTTCCTCTGATGAATCAATTTGGTTTTAAAGGATTTGTTTGTATTTAAAGTAAAGGGAACCAAGGGGTTTATACAGCAATTCTTGGGAACAGGAATGAGATAAGAAAAACAGCTAGAGCAGAAGGACATCAACAAACAACAAAAACAACAACAAACTGAGCAGATTATGAAAGGGCAGGAGATAATTTCTACCTGGAGTATGTGAACATGGCAAAATCAACTTAAAAAATAAGTCTTCTAAAGACTTAATCCATTCTGAGCCAACCTGAAAACAGTGATTCTTAATCCTTCATATACATCATAATCTCTTGGGAAACTTTTATTAGATAGCAATGCCTAGGCCTCATCCTAATTTAATTAAATCAGAATTGTTAAGAGCTAGTACTGCAGAACATATATAATGCCAACTTCCTATTTTTATTTTTTATTTATTTATTTATTGAGACGGAGTCTTGCTCTGTTGCCCAGGCTGGAGTGCAGTGGCTCCATCTCGGCTCACTGCAAGCTCCGGCTCCCGGGTTCACACCATTCTCCTGCCTCAGCCTCCCAAGTAGCTGGGACTACAGGCGCCCACCACCCGGCCTGGCTAATTTTTTTGTATTTTTAGTAGAGATGGGGTTTCACCATATTAGCCAGGATGGTCTCGATCTCCTGACCTTGTGATCCGCCCACCTCGGCTTCCCAAAGTGCTGGGATTACAGGCGTGAGCCATTGCGCCCAGCCAACTTTTTAACAATAAAAATCACGTGGGATTTGAACAAAAAGTATACTAATCAAAGGAATAAATATTTATATATCTCCTGAGCTGCATAAGGAATTATGGGATTAAAGTGGTACAAGATTCTCTTAAACAGGGCAATTACTAGCAGATTAGGGATATAAAAATATATGCATTAATTGTCCGTTGGTGGTGCAAATGTTATATACCAGAGATATTTAGAAGAAGGAGAAATGACTTTGGACCCAGGAGAACTAGGGAAATCTTAGAGTTAATAGGAGATGAAGCAGAATTTAAAGGACCATGTATCAGCAAACTATTGCTACACAGAAACTCATCTTAGTCTTAAAGACTTTCTAAACAAACATGCTTTAAAGAGTTTGCAGCCACCTCAAAGTTGGTCTCAGCTTGGGTTGAGTTGCTAATGATCATAAATTTTTGTGATGAACAATCTATTTCAGAAAGATGCTCACAAATTTCTGTGACAATTGTGACTCAAAGTCATTTCACAAATCTTACTACAAAGAGATCTAAACATTCTTTTCTCTGGCCAGGCACAGTAGCTCTTGCATAAATTCCATCTTTTGGGAGGCCGAGGCGGGCGAATCACTTGAGGCCAGGAATTCAAGACCAGCCTGGCCAATGTGGTGAAACCCCCATCTCTACTAAAAATACAAAAGTTAGCCGGGCGTGGTGACACGTGCCCAGCTATTGAGAAGCTGAGACATGAGAATCGCTTGAGCCTGGGAGGTGAAGGTTGCAGTGAGCCAAAATTGCACCACTGCACTCCAGCCTGGGTAACAGAAGCTAACTCTGTCTCAAATAAATAAATAAATAAAAACAATTTTTTATCAGCAGCCTTGACGACAGGATCATTAATGAAATAATTCTGAGGAACAGACTCGCTACATGCATAATTTTATAGAAAATGAAGCTGATTTAAAGTGTATAAATGATGCAGGGTGTGATCAATTTAAGACTTGAACCCAACATTCATGGCTCCAAATGCAGTGCTCATTTTCCTGTGCAATTACACATGGTTTTGGACAAAGGTCTTCGTGTTCTATTTTATTCATACAATAATTTCAATTTAATTAACCTCAATTTTAATAAGCAGTTATTCCCAAGACAGAAGCATTAAGAGAACCAACATTTTTTAAGAGCTCACTAGGTCTCAGACAATTACAAGTCATTATTTAATCTTAGATGTTGTGCCCTAAGTGCCTTGCTTGCTTCACCACTGCCATGGCCCTACCAGCAACAAGAACTTATCCAAGGTTTTGTAGACATTTGTACCCAAAGAGGGACAAACTGGAAGGCAGTACTTGATGTATGTTTTCATCTATCACTGTCAAAAACACGCGCCTGAAACTTCCATTTACATACCTGTCCCCACATCTCTCCTTCCCAGTCCCCACTGTGCTTCGTGCTCCTATTTTGATGATATTCAATCTGTTACGTTCTCTCCACCCCAGTCCCATGATTTCTTCACTTTTACCTCATTAGCGTCCAGACTTTACATGTGTCGTGGATAAAATACACTTTTTCTAAGTCTGTTGAGAAAATGATAAAAGTGGTATCTCAAACAGCCCAAGGAGACAGCCCAATGGGCGCTCGAGCCCTGGACAGGCATGTTGCAAACAACGTCCATCAGTAATCAGGACTGAGAGAGCATAAAGCCTCAGAGGTCAGAGGTCAATGGGAGGTTCCAGTTGGGTCAGAAATGAAAACTGCAGAGAATGCAGCAGATACATGGCACTGTTGAAAGAGAGGCCTAGAAGCAGAAGACAGGTGAGTTATATTTAGCTGGGGACCTGTGGGAGGTTGCAGGTGATGCTCAGTGGAGATATATGAATCATCCTACCTGTTACATAGGCCAGCTGGGATCAAAGGAAAGATTAGAGTGTGACAAATGGCTTTGTATCCATAGGAGTTTGGGTTGATAAGACATTAAGAGGATTTAACTTTAATAGCCTAAACTAGTTTTATAAACAGTGTTTCCAGATAAGACACAGAATGCCCATTTAATGCTGAATTTGAAATTAACAATGAATATTTTTAATACAAATATGCCCTAAATATAGCATGAGACATACTATACTAAAAAAAAACTGTATCTGAAATTTAAATCTAATTGGACATGCTATAATTTATTTGTTAAATACCCAACCCTGTGTATAGAGTTGGAAATCACCCTCTTTACTGATTATAGGACTGGATATTCCTGTCTAAATGCTAATAGTGAGGGTAGAGAGAAAGAAAACTTGGCCACATACTCTGACAATACTGGTATAATTGTAAATAATGTTAAACTCCGTTTGCTAGCAAGAATTAAGGGAGCTATGTCTGAAATGGCACTGTTTTGTCAGTGAATTCTGTTTACCTTTTTCTTCTGTCTGGAGTGTATTTGTGAAGAGTCCCTTATTATCAGTTATGTTTTATGAAAATCAGCACACTACCACAATGACATTTAAGCACAGAATCATTAGTCCATGTTTTTAATAAACACATCGATTAAGAAAAAAAAAACTTGGCCACATAAAAGTTATTTGAACTTCAGTTTTTTTCTCCGCAAAATGGGCATAATCTACCAACGCCTCCCGTAGTTGCAAGGGGATGTGCATGAGATAACGTTTAAAGTACTGAACACAGGCCTGGAAAGGTAGCAAGTATTCAATTGCTTTCAACCACTGCTCAAGTCAACCTTTTATGAAGGCGGGGAAGGCTGAGTGAATGGGTAAATAAATGTTCTTGGTAAAGCAGCACACCATCAGAATTTCACTAATATTCATCACAATTTATTTTCTACCCGAAGCTCAGGATCCACCCCATTCCGTATGGGAAACAATCGAAACAAAGTGGCATAGTAAGCAGTCCCATGACAGTTGTGTGGAAATGCCACCCTTTCTTTTTAAGGTGAAGCAGTAAAGCTTAGCAAGTAGCATTTGTGCCTTTGACAAATGGTAGGCTGACAACACTTGGACGTGGTTGACAAGTACAAAATAGCATTCAGTAGGCAGGTGCCAGGGAGGGGAAAACAACTCTTACGTATTGCTATCTGTATTGAGCCAGACTTTAAAGAACTGGAAAACTCTCTACATGGGAATTAAGAACATGAAGATATTTCAGTAAAATCTGTTATTATTTTTAAGATACATTGTTTTCAAAAGCTCGTTTTTTGGCCATATGGGATTGTATTGGAAAAATATTCCTAGAAAATATAATTCAGCATATTTTGATGGAAATCATTTCCCTTCATTTATAAGTATCCAAATAATCCATTGTGAACATCAGAAATTATTGAAATCTCTAATGCAGCTTTAATAAATTCCTTCCTGTGGAATATGGGCGTGTTTTCTGAAGCTTTATTGAAAAATGAAAGTCTCACATAAAATGTATTTCAGATCATTTAACTTTTCTATCTTATTTTATGATCCAGTGAATTTTATTCATTCTAGCAAGTCGTGCTGAATCTAAACACTTTAGGATTAAGATTAAAATACTGAGTATATAAATTAGGGTTAATAAAAAAATCCAATATATGTTTGGAAATGTAGCTACTGTCACTTAAAGGAAATGGTGCAGCTCGGAAGTAGAGTGTAGATAAATTAACCAATTTTTTGAAAAAAATTGATGTCCACAGAAATAAGACTCAGATGGTCTCATTGTTAAAAATTAAGGCTGATCAAAGTGACTCAACTCCCTAGCGAATATTTTCTCTAGACACTAAATCAAGTGCCTGTAATTGCATTTCTATAGTTTTATTCCATGGTGTAATCAGGGTGAAAAATTAAGACAAGTCTCTGGACAATAGAAAATATCTTTCAGATAGATTTCAATTTCAGTTGGTTGGATTAGCTATAGGAAGCTTGTCCAACCCACAGCTTGTATGTGGCTCAGGACAGCTTTGAATGTGGCCCGATACAAATTTGTAAACTTTCTGAAAACATTATGAGTCTTTTTGTGTGATTTTTTTTCTTAGCTCATCAGCTATTGTTAGTGTTAATCTATTTTATGTGTGGCCCAAGACCATTCTTCTTCCAGTGTGGCCCAGGGAAGCCCAAAGATTGGATGCCCCTGAGCTAGAGAATATAAGTACAAAAGAGAAAAGCTATGAAATGAGTAATAAGCACCTGAACTTTATACCTGAACTCTAATGAAATTCCACAAGTAGGGGCCGGGCATGGTGGCTCATGCCTGTAATCCTAGCACTTTGGGAGGCCAAGGCAGGCGGATCACGATGTCAGGAGTTCGAGACCATCCTGACCAACATAGTGAAACCCTGTCTCTACCCAAATTAGCCAGGCATGATGGCACATGCTTGTAGTCCCAGCTACTCAGGAGGCTGGGGTGGGAGAATCGCTTAAACCTGGGAGGCGGAAGTTACAGTGAGCCAAGACCACACCATTGCACTCCAGCCTGGGTGACAGAGTGAGACTCTATCTCAAAAAAAAAAAAAAAAAAAAAAAAAAAAAAAAAAAAAGAAATTCCACAAGTAGGGTAGGTACTGGGCAAAAGGGAATTAAGACTATTTGTCAGACTTAGTACGTGACCTGAGTTAAGACACTGTATATATGCAGGTACATATATAAACCTGTATGTATCTTGGGAGATCTCCTCTGTTTGTCTTCACTGGACAACAAAATCATAGAGAAAAAATGCTTGTGACACACACAACAACCTCTCCCAGCCTTGCACAAACAGGCACACCCTAGAGAAACAACATGGTTAGAAAGGCAGCCTTGACGTCAAGGTGACGAAAGGATAAGTATAAGACCAGAGGTAAGATCACTGCTTGAGAAGTTGTTAAAATAATCTGTCAAGAAAGAATCAATACCTGGACTATGATAGTGACAACTCAAGTGGAGAGAAGTCAAGAAAGTTGAGAAACCAAAGTCAGTGGAATAACAGGACGCAGAAGAAAGAGGGTGGAATTCAAGAGCAGTCAGGGACCAGGTGTTTCATGATGCTACTCAACAAGATAAAAAAGATATAAAAAGGAAAGGGTGATGGGGAAGACAATGACTCAGTTTTGCATAAGTTCAATGTAAGATACTTGTGGGACACACTAATAATCACTCTTAGCAATGCTTTTGATAGTTTTAGACATTCAGATTGTCCAAGGTCACTGAAACAATGGAAGTCAATGAGACAGGCTGGAGGACTAAATAAATTGGATGCAGGGTGTGAGACACGGTATGCACAAAAGAGAACTTATTTGTCATTTTAAGTGGATCCACTGAAGTTCTGATGTTTACGATGATGCTGAAAAATACACAGAGCAATAGAGAAGTGTAAGTACCATGGCGTGTTGGAGCCAATAGATAACTTCTTGGTAATTTTGTAAGCTGGGTGTTAGAAACAACTATTATTCGATATTAAATTGTATAAATTTAGAATACATAAATTTATATTAAGCATAAAGATAATACAAACTTACAACTTACCATTTCTTATTTTATTTTAATTTATAATTTACAACTATCTATGTTTGTGAAGCTATTTACATCTATTTTGTCTATATTGTGGAAAAACCATAATGGTGTGATGTTGTGTAATTCTTTCCAGCTCTGCTTTCAGTAGCATCACCTTGACAACTTGAAATCACACTAAAGTAATCAGCAAGCACTACAAATCAGAACTTCCCATCCCAGGGAGCTACCTGTGAATCATCTACCAGCACAAGACTAGTTAAGTAGGACCATCCATATCCAAGGAAGGAATAGTAGAATACAAATGTGTTCCACTTACTATTGCTGAATTAGAAATTCACTCCATAATTTATTAGTAGCTTAAAATAACAATTATTTCATAATTAAAGCTCAGCTTCTGTTTCTGGAAAGATGTGACTGGATAGTCCTGGATTGGGGTGTCATGCAGTTGTAGGGCTAGAGCTGGAGGGTCAGGGCTGATCAAGCATCTCTCTCTTCATGTAGCCTTCTCCACACGGTCTCTCTGCATGAACTATTTTGGACTTTTTATAACACAATGGCCTCATGGTAGTTGTCCTTCTTACATGGTGTCCCAGGGCTCCAAAGGCAAGTGTCTTAAAGAAGAAGGTAAAAGCTACATTACTTTTCATTTCCTTGCCTCAGAAGTCACAGAATCATTTCCATCACCTCTTATTGGTTAAAGTCACAAGCCTGCCCAGACTCAAAAAGAGGGAAAGGAGACTCCAATTCTCAAAAACGGAGTGGCAAGGTTTAAGAAGAACATATGGGATTGGAGATATTTTGGGGCCATCTTTCAAAATACAATCTGCTGCAGATCCCAAATCACAAAAGAGGGAGACAACTATATGTAGCTACCAGTAGGAGGGCTACTCTAGAGGATGCTTGAGAATTATTGCTTTCATCAATCTGAGACAAAATTCACACACATGAGCTAGAATATCATTTCCAAATGATAGGTTGGTAGGATTTGGGGGAATTTTATGGAGTAGAGAAAACCAAACTTAGATGATAATTAACAATAAATATTGTCTGTATCTTTATGGCTTAGGAAAGTTTCATGTCTGTAACCAGGAACTCACTACTTTTTATTTTTGTTTTGAACATTTCTTCTCAATTCATTCCTTGCATGAGATTTTGTCCCCATTTTGACCATCATACTTGTTTGCATTCTCCTGCTTTTGTCTTTAATGCTTTAATTTGGGGATATATATCCATATGTCTATGGATACATGTATATGGATATGTATGATTTGGGGATATATATCCATATGTATATACATATGTATGTGTATAGAGATAGACAGATGATAGATAGATAGATAGATAGATAGTAGATTCTTCTCTACTTGCAATGGGGTGATGTCCTGATAAACCCACCAAAAGCTGAAAACATTATCAACTGAAAAATTATGGTTATTTAGCCTTGTGCCCATGGGCTAAAGAAAAACTGTGGCTCATCCAGAATCATAAGAGCTTATCCTAACCTGGAAAAGATCAAAATTCGAAATTCAAAGTACAGTTTCTACTGAATGTGTATTGCTTGCACCATCGTGAAAACAATAAATCACATGGCAAACCCTCATAAGTTGGAGACGTTCTGTGTGTACACGTGCGTGTGTGTAGTTTGTTCGTTTGCTTTTTTTTTTTTTTCTGTTTTCCTGATAACTTTAGTTTCTATGGACAGCATATTTAGTTCTCACCTGCTCATGCTGCCTCAGGTTTTCTGATGATAGGGTGAAGAAGAAAATGCCTCTGTGGCCTAAGTTCTGACCCCTCTATTAAGTCCAAAAGCCCAAAACCGTATTTCTGGACTTCCAAAAGTCCAGAAATAAAGATACAAAGAAGAAATTCTGAGCGGGCAAAATGGGTACTGCATTGTTGAATAAATAAAGGGAAAGTTCTAAGCAGAGTTTAAATTAACTAACAATTTTTTTGAGACAAGACCACATTTTGGAAATTTTAGAAAATTGTTTTAAGAAAGAACATGTTATGGTATTTATTTTGTATTGAAAATAGAATAACAGAAAAGCTTAGAGGCAGAGGTTAGAATCTATAGAAAATTCTTTAGGGCCGGGCGCGGTGGCTCACGTCTGTAATCCCAGCACTTTGGGAGGCCGAGGCGGGCGGATCACGAGGTCAGGAAATCGAGACCATCCTGGCTAACACGGTGAAATCCCGTCTCTGCTAAAAATGAAAAAAAATTAGCCAGGCGTGGTGGCGGGCACCTGTAGTCCCAGCTACTCGGGAGGCTGAGGCAGGAGAATGGCATGAACCCCCGGGGGACGGAGCCTGCAGTAAGCCGAAATCGCGCCACTGCACTCCAGCCTGGGCGACAGCAAGACTCCGTCTCAAAAAAAAAAAAAAAAAAAAAAAAAAAAAAAAATTCTTTAGCTGTTCTCTAAATTTGATAAAAATTATTGAGAGTCTGCCAGGTGCCAGGTTCCATGCTAGGTTCTTGAGACAGAGCGAGAAGTAAGATAGAAACAAGCATCTGGTAGGCACTTAAAATATATGTTGAAAATTACATGATGCAGTAGAGCCTGCCAATTAGAGGCTCATCCTCTAATTTTGGAGATGTGACAGCTTTTTATGGGAATTAAAAGGCCAAAGAAAGCTGAAGGTCAGGTCTAGACACAGTCCAAAGGTGAAATATAATTAAAAATGCTCGCTTGTTCAACAATATCCAGGTTGCCTGTTTGCTCATAGTTATTAGATGATTAAGTATCTGTAATTCAGTTAAGCATTCTAAGCTGCAGAAAATGCTATAAACCAGTGGGTTTTTTTTTCATTTTCATTTTCTATTTTTGAAATAGCGTCTTACTCTGTCACCATGGCTATAGTGCAGTGGCGTCATCACGGCTCACTGCAGTCTTGAACTCCTTAAACCAGTGGTGCTTCAAACCTAGCTTTTTCTCAGAAAAACTAGGCAGCTTAAAAGTGATACTGACCAATGGGTACCAAACTAAATCACTCAAATCAGAATAGCTATTGGTATGGCCAGAATGGATTTTTGTCAAAGCTTCTTGTTATTTCTAGTGTGCAACCAGCACTGCAAACTCCTGACCTAACCAACTTGTGTTTTCTCTTTCCCCTTATGTGCTATCCCATCTGCCACCAGATAGCTCTTGGTAAGATGTTACCTGGTGTGTTAGTCCGTTTTCATGCTGCTGATAAAGACATACTGGAGACTAGCAAGAAAATGAGGCTTAACTGGACTTACAGTTTCACATGGCTGGGGAGGTCTCAGAATCAGGGCAGGAGGTGAAATGCACTTCTTATATGGTGGTGGCAAGAGAAAAATGAGGAAGATGCAAGAGCAGAAACCCTTGATAAAACCATCAGATCTTGTGAGACTTATTCACTACCATGAGAACAGTATGGGGGAAACTGCCCCCATGATTCAAATTATCTCCCACAGGGTCCCTCCCACAACATGTGGGAATTATGGGAGTACAATTCAAGGTGAGATTTGGGTGGGGACACAGCCAAACCATATCACCTGGTTATCTGAATTCTGATCAAGGGCACTTCAGGAATTTGGGAAATTTTCAGGTACTGTTGTTCTCAAACGTAGCTACATATTGAAATAACCTAGAGAATTAAAAAACAGAAACTCACTTATGCCTGAGTGCTATACCCTCCTCTGCTTACAAGTATGTTCAGTTCATATGGGGTATGGCCTGAGCATAACAATGTCTGAAGCTTCATAAATGACTGGTGTGTGGTCAAGTTGCAGAACCACTGTGCTAGAACATCCTGATGATAAAGATCTGACTGTCAGTTCAGATACAATCTAAATATAGAGAAATTCTTAACAGAGGATGCAGAGTAAATGACTTCAGGTGGAAAGCACGTAAAGTAAATGTGAGAAGAAGGTCAGGTGGTGAGTGTGGGGAGCTGGGGAAAGCATGCTCCTGGGCTCCCTCCAACAGAAGCCACCTGTAGCCTGGGACCAGTGTGCTAGAGGAACCTGTTTTCAAAGAAAGCCAGAAGTATGGATGCATTTTTATTTGCAGCCTGATGATTTTTATATTTTGGCAACTAATTCACTTTATTAAAAAATACTGAATAAGCTCAAGAAATCTGTGAGCTGGATTCAGCCAAAGCGAATGCCAGTTTATGACTTTCCTCTTGGAAAGAAAAGTCTTTCATGTTGATGTATCACATTTTCGCCAGCTTTTCTGGGGTTATGTTCTCAGAAGTTTCGTTTAGTTTGCTCTCATGAAAGGTGACGGTAATGTTCCTCAGCTACTTATAAACATTTGAAGAAACTTTTCCTCTGTATTCTTAGTTTTATACTCAGTGAAAATATAAGTCAAGTATTCATAGGTATTTCACTGTTAGATCACCATATTGAGGAATGAGTGTTAGTTCATTAATGCCGTACACAAACACCCAAACCAAAATGTGCAGTGCTTGTGGAATCACGATGAGATAATTAGCAATTTCTTCACTTCCCACTGAGCAGGATGAGTTGAGGATTAGCTTCTCTCAGTAGATTACACATTAGAGAGAAAAATGTCAAACAGCAAAGTAAAATGGGACTCTACGTCTTCCCACACAAGCATCTCCAGTGCACTAATGAGCTAGCTTCCTTGTCACATTCACAACTAGCAGCAGATGACCTAAGAATAAGTCAGAGAAGCTTTCTATTAGAGGAACTTTATCTTGCCTCTAAATATATAGTAAAAAAGTGGGTCAATTGGTACTTACAGAAGATATTTTAGTTCAACTGGAGAAACTTAACTATTTTAGAAATAAAGAACCCCTGGAAAAGTTAGTCTCCCTTATTATGCATGGAAATAAAAGCACTTTCTTAATTTGAAATAAGTGAATTTTTTACTGAAGAAATTCCTTTATGCTGTCCTCAGTCCACATATTAACCCCATGTATCAAGGCCTCTGATCTGCCATCTCAACCACCTTGTCACTGTCCACTAACCTCTTGCTGCTTCCCTTCTCTCCTTGTTCCACCTAGGGTTCACAGTCTCTGCTTTGAATCAGACATTCACAGGATCAGACATGTGATTCAGGGACTTAGCAAGAGGGAGTGATCAGTGCATTGGCCTCTGTTTTATGACAAACCACCAAAGGACATGTGTCCTCACACAACAGGTACACTTGCTTTGGCATACAGAACCTCCCCAGATGGCTGTGCTGGAGGTGAGTAGATGGCGTGAAGGAATGCCTCTGCACATATTTGTCATTTCCTGTTTCCCATTGATCAAAATCTCTCCAAAGAGCACACTGTCTCTCCTTCTTTATACTTATGGACTATGACACTTGGCCACACTGAGAACTGCAAGGGTAATCAGATCCCATACACTGCAGTATGTATTTTCATTGAAGTGTACAAATGACAGAGGAGTTAACACTTTTGGACTGCCCCAGTCCTCTGGCAGAAGTACTAATCCCTCTGAGAAATACATTTCTGTTCTTTATCAACTGCCCAGTCTCAAGTATTTTGTTACAGAAGTACACAACAGATTAAGACATATGTCTTCTTTTTAAGAAATGCCTAATCAGGTCCTTTATCCATTTCAGTATTTTATTTTGTTTTGTTGTGCTACTGAGTTGCATCAGTTTCTTATATATTTTGGGTATTAACCCCTTATCAGATATATGGTTTGCAAATATTTTTGCTCATTATGTAGATTGCTTTACAGTCTGTTGATTGTTTCTTTTGCTGTGCAGAATATTTTTAGTTTGATGCAATCTCAGTTTATTTTTGCTTGTGTTGCCTGTGCTTTTGGTGTCATAAACAAAATATTTTTTGCCAAGACCAATATCAAGAAGCTTTTTCAGATATATTTTCTTCTAGTAGTTGTACAGTTTCATTGTCTTATATTTGTTTTTAATATGATGTGAGAGAAAGGTCAAATTTTATTTTTTTTGCATTGGATTGCCAGTTTTGCCAGCATCATTTATTGAAGAGATTATCTTTTCACTGTTGTGTGTTCTTGGTATTTTTGTCAAAAATCAGTTGACTATCAGCGTGTGAATATTTCTAAGCTCTCTATTCTGTTCCATTGGTCCATATGACTGGTTCTATGTTAGTACCATAGTGTTTTTATTACTATCGCTTTACAATACATTTTGAAAATGTGATGCCTTCAGCTTTATCCTTCTTGCTCAATATTGCTATGGGTATTTGTGGTCTTTTGTGGTTCCAAATGAATTTTAATTTTTTTTATCTCTGTAATGAATATCACTGAGATTTTGGAAGGAATTGCATTGAATCTGTAGATCACTTTGGGTAGTATGGGCATTATAACAACATTAATTCTTTTGATCCATGAGTGGAGAATGTCTTTTTATCTGTGTCTTATGCAAAACAATATGGAACTTCTTTAAAAAATTAAAAATAGAAGTACCATATGACTCAGAAATCCAATTTCTGGGTATATATCTGTATTAGTCCGTTTTCATGCCTCTGATAAAGACATACCTGAGACTGGGAAGAAAAAGAGGCTTAATTGGACTTACAGTTCCACATGGCTGGGGAGGCCTCAGAATCATGGCAGGAGGCGAAAAGCACTTCTTACATGGCGGCAGCAAGAGAAAAATGAAGATGCAAAAGTGGAAACCCCTGATAAAACTATCAGATCTTGTGAGACTTATTACCTACCATGAGAACAGTGTGGGGGAAACTGCCTCCATGATTCAATTATCTCCCACTGGGTCCCTCCCACAACATGTGGCGATTATGGGAGTACAATTAAAGATGAGATTTGGGTGGGAACACAGCCAAACCATATTGCTCTGCCCCTGGCCCCTCCAAATCTCAAGTCTTCACTTTGCAAAACTAATCATGCATTCCCAACAGTTCCCCAAAGTTTTAACTCATTTCAGCATTAACCCAAAAGTCCACAGTCCAAAGTCTCATCTGAGACAAGGCAAGTCCCTTCTGCCTATGAGCCTGTAAAATAAAAAACAAGCTAGTTACTTCCTAGATACAATGAGGGTACAGGTATTGGTAAATACAGCCATTCCAAATGGGAGAAACTGGCCAAAACAAAGGGGTTACAGGGCCTACGCAAGTCCAAAATCCATCAGGGCAGTCAAATTCTAAAGCTCCAAAATGTTCTTCTTTGATTCCCTATCTTACATCCAGGTCAGGCCACTGCAAGAGGTAGGTTCCTATAGTCATATACAGCTGTGCCCACGTGACCTTGCAGGGGATAACCCCCCTGGCTGCTTTCATAGGCTGGCCTTGAGTTTCTGCGGCTTTTCCAGGTGCACGGTGCAAGCTCTCGGTGGATCAATCATTCTGGGGTCTGGAAGATGGCGGCCCTCTTCTCACAGCTTCACTAGGCGGTGCCCCAGTAGGGAATCTGTATGGGGGCTCCAACTCCACATTTCCCTTCTGCACTGCCTTAGCAGAGGTTCTCCATGACAGCCCCACCCCTGTAGCAAACTTTTGCCTGGGCATCCAAGTGGTTCCACACATCTGAAATCTAGGCAGAGGTTCCCAAATCTCAATTCTTGACTTCTGTGCACCCGTAGGCTGAATACCACATGGAAGGTTTGGGGCTTGGACCCTCTGAAACCATGGAGCGAGCTGTACCTTGACCCCTTTTGGCAATGGCTGGAGTGGCTGGGACACAGGGCACCAAGTCCCTAGACTGCACATAGCACGGGGACCCTGGGCCCAACCCACAAACCATTTTTCCCTCATAGGTTTCTGGGTCTGTGATGAGAGGGGCTGCCAAGAAGATATATGACATGCCCTGGAGACATATTCCCCATTGTCTTGGGGATTAACATTTGGCTTCTTGTTACTTATGCAAATGTCTGCAGCCAGCTTGAATTTTTGCTCAAAAAATGAGTTTTTCTTTTCTACTGCATCTTCAGGCTGCACGTTTTCTGAATTTTTATGCTGTTTCCCTTTTAAAACGGATGCTTTTAACAGCAACCAAGTTACCTTTTGAATGCTTTGCTGCTTAGAAATTTCTTCTGCCAGGTACCCTAAATCATCTCTCTCCAGTTCAAAGTTGAATCTCTAGGGCAGGGGCAAAATGCCACCAGTCTCTTTGCTAAAACATGACAAGTCACCTTTACTCCATTTCCCTACAAATTCTTCATCTCCATCTGAGACCACCTCAGCCTGGACCATATTGTCCATTTTGCTATCAGGCTTTTGGTCAAAGCCATTCAACCAATCTCTAGGAAGTTCCAAACTTTCCTACATTTTCCTGTCTTCTTCTGGGCCCTCCAAACTGTTGCAACCTCTGCCTGATACTCAATTTCAAAGTCACTCCCATATTTTAGGGTATCTTTTCTGCATCACCCCACTCTACTGGTATTTATTTTACAATTTACAACAATCTATGCTCTTGAAGCTATTTACATCTATTTTGTCTATATTGTGGAAAAACCATAATGGTGTGATGCTGTGTAATTCTTTCCAAATCTACTTTCAGCGATGTCACCTTCATACTAATGCCCAGGTCTCACTGTATTAGTTCATTTTCACGCTGCTGATAAAGACATACCAGAGACTGGGAAGAAAAAGTGATTTAATTGTACTTACAGTTCCCCATGCCTGGGGAGGCCTCAGAATCATGGTGGAAGGTGAAAGGCACTTCTTATATGGTGGTGGCTAGAGAAAATGAGAAAGATGCAAAAGCAGAAACCCCTGATAAACCCATCAGATCTTGTGAGACTTATTCACTACCATGAGAATAGTATGGAGGAAACTTATCCCAAGATTCAAATTATCTCCCACCAGATCCCTCCCACAACACGTGGGAATTATGGGAGTACAATTCAAGATGAGATTTGGGTGGGGTTGCAGAATGAAACCATATCAATATCCAAGAAAATAAAACTTGGATCTTTAAGTAGTATCTGCACTCCTATGTTCATTGTAGCATACATATATATATACACACACACATATATATAGATATGATGGGATATTTCTCTGCTTTATTTTTAGCCTTAGAAAAAGAAGGAAACTCTATAATTGGCAACAATATGTACGAACCCGAAGGAACTTATGCTAAGTGGAATATGCCAGACACAGAAAACAAATACTGCATGATTAGATGTGAAACTGAAATAGTCAAACTCACAGAAGGACAAAGTGGCAACCTGGTGATTGCCAGGGTCAGAGTGGGGAGGGGAAAATTGGGAGATGTTTGTCAAAGAATACAGTTTTAGTTATGCAGAATGACATTCCGGTGATCTAATGTAAAGCATGGTGACTACAGTTTACAATAATGTATTATATGCTTGAAATTTACTAAGATGGAAGATTGAAGGTGTTCTCACCATTCCAAAAAAAAATGGTAATTATGACTTCACTATATATATATAATATATATATAAACATTACATTGTATACTTTATAAGATTTCTATATGTCAATTATCCCTAAATAAAGCTGAAAAAATTTAAAAATAATCCCCCGAAATATATGTAATATGAACAATAAATATAAGCCACACATGTTTTTTAAAAATTTGTCATGTTTTTACCCTGACAGCAAATCTCCAATTGGATAGCCTCATTTCAAGTGCTCCACAGGCACAACGAACAACCGACTACCATGTGGGCCACTGCAGCCCTAGGAAATACGAATGATGGGCTCTGAACCAATCTAAGTGGAATGACTTTAAACAGAAATAATGACTCAAGTTCTCGAACTTAAGTATGCTTCAGTATCATGTGCAGAGCTTGTTAAAACATAAATCGCTGGACTCCACACCCAGAGACTGATTCAATAGTTCTGAAGTGGGGATCCCAAATTTCCTTTTCTAATAATTTTCCAGGTGATGCTAATACTGCCCTTCAAGAGCCACGGGTGATGAGGCTTTGGGAAATCAGCTTTGTAACTTTTAAGTGGAAAAAGGGACATATAGTTCCTAAACATGATATAAATCTCTCCTCCATTACAGTAACAATTAGTGCTATAGTAGAAAAGACAGGTGGTCAAATTGTACTTAAGATTACAATTTGGTCACTAAATGGAATAACACATGTTTTTTTTTTTTTTTTTTTTTTTTTTTTTAGTCTTGTTAACCAATTGCAGTTGAAGATGCAGGTATTTGAATATTATATACACACATATGGCACATTTAACTTAGTATAATTTGTGCATTAAAGTAAAAATCGAGTCATCTACATTTCCATTCACTGAAGGAAACATCTAGGCATAATTTCAGTAAACAAACTGGGGAGTGGAACGTTATAACATGTGCATAATTCAATTTATTTGAAATTGACTGTAAGTCCTCATTAGGCCTTAAGTCCCTTTTCAGGTGAACTATGTCTCACATTTACTGTTGCATTTCTAGTTTTTAATATCTTGTATACTGTAGGTCTCTAATAAATAGATGCATGAGTAGTTTTATTTGTTTCATATATTTTTGGGAATTCAGCCTTCAGTTATCCTGAAATTTTAATACAGTGTTGAAGTCCCATTGTGAGGTCAGGAGAGTCTGTATGTATGTAAAGATAGACATCTCTCTAAATCTTTTGTTCCTTTCTGTAATAAGTATTAGGAATATAATGCACTTCAGAGTAAAAGTCCAGATGCTGACAAGCTACTTTTAACCTTGTGATTCTGGATGGTCTGATTATAGAGTCCATTTCCAAACTTCCTTTCACTACACAGGAGCCTGGAGATGAATTAAAAATTACCTGATGCTCTGAATTGACATTTCACAGTGCAGTATCATAACATATTGTAAGAAGAGATGCTACACACGAATTTTTAAACGATTAAAAATATATCTCTACTGATGCAAGAAAGGAACTTTATGAATGTAACATTTTCTCAAAATTGGTCTCATAAATGAAGATCAAAAACCTTTAGTCAAGTGGAAGCCAATTTAGAGTTGTTACTGTCAAGCATCTATAACTTTTCAAATAACCAAATGCTATTGCTAACATCAGGCTGTAGAGTTTAAATTTTCATAAATTCGACTATGGAGCCTACTTCATTGCCGGACTAGAATGACAAATACATGATAACCTACATGGGATAATTCTTTAATATTGTTGTTTGGGGTTGACAATGAGAATCCACCCATTGACTGAGTTCCAACTCTTTTCCAGGCACTTAATTTTTACTCACTGAAATACTTGTCACAGCCACCTTATAAAGTAAAAATTATTATTTATGCCCATTTTCTATAGAGTATACTGAAGCTCAGGGAGCTTAAGTAGTTTTCTCAGTGACATGGATGGTAATTGGTCAAATCTGTTTTGAAAAGTTCCTCAGACTCTGCAGCCTGCATTCCTATGACTGAGCTATGCTAATTAGCAAGAGACAGAGGCCTTTGGTACACACCTTTTTATCAGGGAAAAGACTTCTTGTGAATAAATAAACACTAAGTCGTATCAGTATACAACTAAATCGGCCCTAACGCAAGGAAATCCTTAATGATAGCATCATTATGACTCTCTTAAACTATTTCACTGGAAAGGGAATTTTTAACTCTGGGGCTTTGAGAGCTGGACTCAGTCTGAAGGAGCTGATAACATCAAGGATTTGTGCTGGCAAGGGCAAGTGCAGTTGCTCCACTATGGAGATCATAGGTTGGCCCTACAGCTCTTTCCTTACAAAAAAATCTATAGAAGGTGATTTTTATGGCATTATCTCTCTTGCAATAGACAGTGAGGAAATCCTCAATTGTTCTATTTCTACAGTTTCGTGGATCAGAGTACAATTCTTGCTTCCTTCGTGTTTAGGCTCCGGAAAGGGATTTATCATGAGAGCAAACAAATAAAAAGAGGTAGTTCAGATAAGACAAAAGACAAAAGAAATAGAAGTATGCCCCAGAGGAGTAGATTTACTATTTATTCTTTCCTGCTTTTGACATGAGATCTATACCATGATCTTTGGCCCTGACTACATTCTGGACACACATTTTATATAGTGTTTGTGCCTTAGGGGAACAGTGGCTACTATGCCTCCTACCTGTTATCATTAATTTTTCTTTTTCAAAAAAAAGTCAATGAACCATATTTCTTAAAAACATTCACCAAGCTCCTCAGAGAAAATGGTTTACTCTGCTAGAAGTTATGTCTCAAGATCTCCCCTCTACCCCAGACAAACTAATCTCCATCATTATGACAATTCTCCCATACTTACACTTGATGACAGGTCACAAATTTATGAAGTTGACTGAGTTATGGCTCAACAATTTAGTCTTTATTTTCTTTGGGGAGAAAAATGATATGAAATCATATAAGATAAAAATTTTGGAGCAATAAATCACTCAATTTGAAATAAACATCAGTACAGGACATAAAGATGTCATGAAACATTTCCACCCAATTGTTTAATCCACCCTCTTAGTCAAGTCCAGAGTATGACATTATCTTTCTTTTCTGCTTTGTGAAGCCAAGCTCATGTTTGAAATGAGTTTAAAAACAAATGAATTTCAGACTTACAGAATGTTCATCTTTTAGTGTTGTTATTAAGAAAGTTAATGAAAACAGTATTCTTACCCTGATGCTCCAGGAAAGGCATTAGATCCAAATGAGTACATAACATTCCATCATTCTAATTTCGAGGTTGATATGGATAGCCAATGAAATCCTACAATTGCAAATTGCTTCAAAGTATTTCACCATAATGACTAGACTGCAATTTTGATGGGTTACTGATAAACACCAAAAATTAATAATAAGGAAATAGATGAAATCACTTGCATTATTGTATTCAATACAATCTTAGTAATTAATATAATTTGGTCATAATATATTCATTTGTGAACTTACCATATGCCTATTATGCATAGAGCACTGTGTAAAGCACTGGAAATTTGTATTTGTTCAACAAATAATTACTGAGTACTTCTCTGAATAGAATATTACTGCAGAACTGGGGATATAACAGTAAAAAGTCACACATGAAAAAGGCCTCCCTTCATGAAACACATTCTAATGGAGAATAGGCAAAGCACATGATAAATAAATTAGAGTATATTGGAAAGTGTTAAGTATTGAAGAGGAAAAATATAAACAGGCAAGGACAGAGACCATTTTAATGAGATGGTGGTGGTGACACTTTAGACTGTCTGTAGGGTAGGCCTCTCATGAAAAGAAGTGACATTTGAATAAAGATTGGGAAGAAGCCAGGAAATTATCCATGAGGGTGTGTATGGAAAGGGCACACAAGTAGATGGAAAGAAGGGAAACGAGCTGAGCATTTTGTGGAAGAGTAAGGAGGCCGGGGTCCTTTACTGGATGCTGTGAGGGGGCGAGAGGTAGAAGATTAAGCCAGAGAGATAAAGGGAATGGCTGATATGGAAGGTCATATGAGGATTCTTGAGAGTCACTGGAGGATTTTAGGCAGAGTAGAGAGCTGATCTGATTTGGGAGGACGACTCTGACTATTGTGATAAGACTAGAATGCAAAAATAAATAATTTATGGTCCTAATGAACTCACACTTCATTTGAAAAGTTGAAAAGGATATGGATTCAGCGTAGTGAGATAAGTTCTATTAGAGTACAGAGGGTTGATAGTAACGGGTAAGACTCCTGCTCACTCCTCAGCCTACTCCAATCTGGCTTCTAGCCCTGTCATTACACTGAGACAATTCTTGAAAGGATTCTGATGACTTTTAGGTTGCCAAGCTCCATGTCCTTCCTCTAGCCTCATCTTACTTGACTTTTCTGCAGCAATTGTAACATTTTATATCGCCCTACTTCTTGAAATACTTTCTTCCCTTGTTGACCATGGCTCTACCTTGTCCATATTTTTTTCTTGTTTCTCTGGGTAGGCACTCACTTTTCAGGCTCACTTTCCTCTCCCTAGTAATTGGGTCTTACAATTTCTGTCCATAGCAGCCACATTAACAACTCCAAAGGGCTCACTCACAACATAGTTCAAGGGACTGGTGGTTTTTTGAAGTTGTATATTGCTGTCTTGAGCTGCCTAAAATGAATAACTCATTTCTGTCTTATTTTTTGTCTCCTTGTTTTGATTTTCTTTACATAAACAATTTTAACCATGCATGAGGCTTCAAATAGGACTTAATTGCAAGTTTATGTTTCCATCCAGGATTCTTTGTTGTGTAACATACTCATATTCAGTTGACTGCTTGACATCTCTGGTTAAGTGTCTTGAATACGCCTCAAGTTTATAATGTCCCAAGGTGAACTCAAGGGCCTCCTTTTGTACAGGGTTCTTCTCCAGTGTTCTCTGGCTTGATGGATAACACTACCACCCATGCATCCTGCTATGCAAGACAGAAACTTAAGTATTCTTCTGGATGCCCCTCACTTGCGTACCCTCCAAATCCAACTCATTATTTATTATCCAATCTATTGATATTTTTCCTCAAGCCATCACCATAGTCCATGTGACCATCGTCTCCTGCCCTTTCTTCCTCCAGGAGTTTTTTCTCCTTACTACAGTCACAGAGATTTTCTAAACTGTTAATTGAGTCATGTCACCAATCACCTACCTGTTTAGAACACTTTAATGGATTTCCTTTTTTATCTTAGAGAAACATGATCATAGTCTTTCAGTTTCCAAATATCCTAACCATTGCCTACTTCCCCAAGCTCCTCTTTCTCTTAGGCTTTCTTCCTCTTTCCACTTTACATTCAAACTGCTACTAGCCTTTTAAAATGTTTTTGAACAGGGCTGTTACGCATATGAGTTGCTCTACCAAAGACGTGGTGCTTCTTTCTTCTATTTCTCATGCAAACATATTAGCTTCTACTTTATTCTAGATTTTAGCATAGTTATTACATCTTCTTCTAACCCTGCCTTCAATTCCCAGGTGAAATAAATTACCCTTTATAAGCTCTCATAGTATATATACCTCTCCTGCAGAGAACTTTTCATTGAGACCTAGACTGCTGCCAAGCACAGTGCAGGTCCTCAAAAATAATTGCTCAATATAAGGCAAGAGGATTTTTTGGCAGGTGGTGCCATGCTCTTATTTAACCAGGATATCAGATGATACCGTCATTTATTTACATATTTTTCTGAAGCAAATAATCACTGAACTACATCAAGTATCGATGACTATCTGGACCTTGAAATTTTAGGCAAAAATATTACTTATAGGGTTTATTTGGGATATTTAATATTTTAATTAGATTTGAAAATATTATGGAGACAAGTTAAAACATAATGTGCTTAGGAGCTTGTTTCGAAGGTTACACAGGTGTTGCTTGTACTCTAATCTCAGAACTCTCAAGTTCTTTTTTTTTTTGAGATGGAGTCTTGCTCTGTCACCCAGGCTGGAGTGCAGTGGTGTGATCTCGGCTCACTGAAACCTCCACCTCCCGTGTTCAAGCGATTCTCCTGTCTCAGCCTCCTGAGTAGCTGGGATTACAGGCACGTGCTACCATGCCCAGCTCTTTTTTGTATTTGTAGTAGAGACAGGGTTTCATCATCTTGGTCAGGCTGGTCTCGAACTCCCGACTTTGTGATCCACTCACCGTGACCTCCCAAAGTGCTGGGATTATAGGCATGAGACACCACTCCCGGCTAGAACTACCAAGTTCTAACTGTGATTCTAGACAAAAATTTCCATGCTTCACTTTCTCCTTCTACAAAGTTTCAGTGAATGTTAAAAAGTGAAAATACACAAATAAAACATAGTTAACATACACCCGACTAGCTCTTCAAAAACATTAGTTCTGTTTTCCTGCACTTCCCACATGTTGATAGAATTTCTCCTTCTCAAGTGTTCTTACCAGTTAAGGCAGTGCTTCTTTGGCTTCGGATACAGCATAACGTTTTTGTCTGTAAAGATCTTCTCTCCCTGAATCTGATAAACTTAAATTTAATAGCATGTACACAAAGTGACATAGATCAAGCAGGAGAAGCTAGACAGGATTCTCCACACCACTGTTGAGGAAAGGAAGGCATAATGCCATCACCTGCAATTAGAAAAGTTGTCTGAGCCATTACAAGGCATTTTCAAGTCTCCCATAACATTTTAGCACCTGTAGGAAAGCTTCTCTTTGTAAGCAAAAGGTTAATAGCTGTGCTTCTCCAGCTGTTTCACGTGGGCCAGATGTCTGAGTAGCCCAAACTACTTAACTGCATATTAGTGGCACATAAACTGCAGGCTGCCGCTTGTCAGAGAGTTGTTAATTTCCATAGAATGTTGCACTGAAAGTCATTACTATGTGAATTACAACAAATTTGTTAAGGAGGTTATGGTAAGCATTGGTACAAGGATTAGTGCGTTTGAAAAAAAAATAGAAGGTTCATCCTCTACGTGATCTGAGCGACTCTCTAAGGTCTTAGTCACACACACACATGCCCCATGCTTTATTTTGTGTCTGAGTTTTAGCTTCCACAGGTTGCCAGTATCCATGTATTGTGTGTGGCCAAGACATCCTATCAAAACTGAATTGTATAAAATGTCAAAAATCTTATGAAACTTGTTAGATGTTTATGCTTATTGAGGATATTTTGTTATGATAGTCAACCATAATATGGAGTTCTATAACTTAAAAATAACGATCAGTGCATGTACTGAATTCAAACTAAGCTTCAGATTCAGTACTCAGTTTTCTAAGTGTTTATCTCTTGTAGGATAGGGTCTGCAAGGTGAATCTATGGGTCACATCTCACATATGGCCCATTCTCACACACACCATCTCATGTAATCCTGGTAATGTTTGCAAAAGGCCATTGTCGTCGTCGTCGTCTTCTTCTTCTTCTTCTTCTTCTTCTTCTTCTTCTTCTTCTTCTTCTTCTTCTTCTTTCTTCTTCTTCTTCTTGTTCTTCTTCTTCCTCTTCCTCTGCTTTCTTCTTCTTCTTCCTCTTCCTCTTCTTCTTCTTCTTCTTCTATCTTCTTCTTCCTCTTTTTTTTTCTGAAGGTGGAACAGACCTAGAAGCTGGAGTTCAGTGTTTGTTGGTGACACAGGATTTTAACTTCACATTTATGACTTCACAGTCGCTGATATTAGTGTTGATTTTTTTGTGGATTAGTATAGAGTATTTTTCTACAACTACTGATATCAGACAATTGCCAGAATGAGGATTTTGTTGGCAGGGCTAGCAAGGAGGAAGGGGAGCATTTCAAAGCTGTGTCCAGCTGAATGAGACTGCCTAGGGCTTAAGGGGGCAGCCTCACTCAGGGAGGTTCTAATGATCAGTCCCTTCTCCTTGACCAATGTGTGTGTGCATTTGCCCCAATAAACAGTCCTGGTCATTTTGACCGAAGATATTTTTGAATTAGTCTTATATGCTATCTACATAAATTGATGCTATGTAACCACTACATACAATGGAGTACTATTCAGCCATAAAAAAAGAATGAGATCTTGTCATTTGAAACAAGATAAATGAAACTAGAGGTCATTATGTTAAGTGAAAAACCTATAATTTTAAAACAGAATTGTTCTTTTAATGAGACTTAAGGAATATTAATTTTATTTTTAAAATTTCACAGGGAGAGGAGAGCTAAAGTAAGTGTGTGTGTGTGTGTGTGTGTATGCATACAAACATAGGTGGAAGATTTGCTAATGGCAGATAATTATTTTTCCTTAATTACCTCACTTAGTTATTTTATTTAAACATTGAAACAATTTTGCTAAGTCGGTATTATCTACATTTTATAGAAACATTTAGAAAATGTGAATACCATGCCTGGGGTTGAAAATAGAGCATTTTGTTTTGCTTTCTTTCACCTTCTTCACTTTGCTTCTTAAAGGATATAATCTTCTTTTTAATCAATTGTGGTATAACATATATATTTTAATTATAATAGAAATGTTTATTTCATATGTTGTGATCATAAAAACTTGGAAAATAAAAATAGAAACAAATTCAAATTACGATTTGTAGTTTCTTTTTTTTAACATGTCATATAGCTTATTGCTTATTTCTGAAAAAAAAATTGTCTTGGAACCTTCCAAGTTGCTGCCCACTCTGAAATGTTTTACTCTATACAGCCTTTGTTTGGGGCATGTAACTTTCTTTCTTTTTTTATTATTATACTTTAAGTTCCAGGGTACATGTGCACAATGTGCAGGTTTGTTACGTGTGTATACATGTGCCATGTTGGTGTGCTGCACCCATTAACTCGTCATTTACATTAGGTATATCTCCTAATGCTACCCCTCCCGCCTCCCCCAACCCCACAACAGGCCCCGGTGTATGATGTTCCTCTTCCTGTGTCCAAGTGTTCTTATTGTTCAATTCCCACCTATGAGTGAGAACATGCAGTGTCTGCTTTTTTTGTCCTTGCCATAGTTTGCTGAGAATGATGGTTTCCAGCTTCATCCATGTCCCTACAAAGGTCATAAACTCATCATTTTTTATGGCTGCATAGTATTCCATGGTGTACATGCGCCACATTTTCTTAATCCAGTCTATCATTGTTGGACATTTGGGTTGGTTCCAAGTCTTTGCTATTGTGAATAGTGCTGCAATAAACATACGTGTGCATGTGTCTTTATAGCAGCATGATTTATAATCCTTTGGGTATATACCCAGTAATGGGATGGCTGGGTCAAACGGTATTTCTAATTCTAGATCTTTGAGGAATCGCCACACTGTCTTCCATAATGGTTGAACTAGTTCACAGTCCCACCAACAGTGTAAAAGTGTTCCTATTTCTCCACATCCTCTCCAGCACCTGTTTTTTTCCTGACTTGTTAATGATCGCCATTCTAACTTGTGTGAGATGATATCTCATTGTGGTTTTGATTTGTATTTCTCTGTGGTATAATATATCTTAAGAGTCTTGTGTCTGTCATTACAACTTAAATAAACTTATTAGAATTGTAAACTTAAGCATTTACATGTATTTTACCTAGATATTGAAGTATTCAGTCTTTAGAAAAAATGATAAAGAGGGGGAAAACATTAGTACAAAATAAGATATACTAACAAAAGTTTGAAACGATACAAATGAGGCAATTTACCAGTTACCTAAGAATGCACAAATGCATTAAACTAACAGGGATGTGTTTTAATAGCTGTGATATTTTAAGAAGTGCCGATACAGCTATTCCATTTCTTATTCAAGTATCTCTAAGGCACTTCTAGGTACACATAACTGGGAGAAAATTTTAAAAACCAACCAAACAAAAGAAAACTTTTCCTATCTGTTCCAAACACACATGACAGACAGATTAAAATCTATTTTATGTTAAAAATATAATTGCCTTTAAAAAGGAGAGAGGAAATATCTGCTAATACCAAAGACAAAGGGTAAATAAATTTAATGCCTATGAGGGGGGGAAGAAGGCAGATTTTCCACAAAGTAACAGCGATTACTTTGACAATAGATTTTATCACTAAAAATAAATAAGGTCAATAAACTATTATCCTTAAAGTATTCAGTTTAGAATCCTTTATGATAGTTATACCATTATACTATGTGGTGGGTGTCAGAGTGAAGGCATTTAAGAAATATAAAGACTATAAAAGCTTATTATCCACCCATCTGGAAAGGACCACTAAGGTTGTAGCTGAGGAAACAATACTGTAGTTTAAAAAAGTAAGGTTCAAAATAAAATCTTAACAGCAAAGTGTTGAAACATGCTTTATTAGTTTTTCAATACTGTGGTAATACAAACTACCACACATGTAGTAACTTAAAATTAACCCAGATTTTTTATCTTATAGTTGTGGAGGTCTAAAGTCCAAAATCCTTCTCACTGGGCCAAAGTCCAGGTGTTGGCAGGACTGGCATTTTGGGAATAACCTTGGATAGAATTCTTTTTCTTGCCTGTTTCAGCCTCTCAATTCTACTTGTAATTCTTAGGTTTTTGCTCCTATCTCCATCTTCAAAGCCAGCAGTGGTGCATCTTTTAACCTCCGTGACTTCTGCTTTCATGGCCACATCTCCTTGTCTCACTCTTTTGCCTCCTTCTTTTCTGTATAAGAGCCTTTGGGCCCATGCACATAATTCAGGACAGTCTCTCCATTGAAATATCCTTAATTTAATCACATTTTCAAAGTCTTTTTGCCATGTAAGGTAACACGTTTACAGTTTCCACAGATTAGGGGGACTAATCCAACTTTGGGGGACTACTTATTCTGCCTACCACACATATTGATAGAGCTAAAAAAAAGTACTATACAAAAAAAAAGAACAGTGATCCTGTTTTTTTTTAAAACAGAGCAAGAGAGAGGAACTACATTAGTAATGTTAGTAAATAAACATCAAACTAACTGTAAAGAAAATAAAAGTTAAAATAAAAGTTAAAAAAGTTATTCAAAGTCAAAGTATTAATACACTATTGAGAAAATCAATAGAGCAAAGAGTTGGTCTTTTGAGAAAACAAATATGTTTGATAAACTGCTAGAAAGAATAACCAAGACAAAGCATGTATAATGCACAAATCATCCATATCACAATACGCATACATAAAAAGTTAATAAGAGATTATGAATTGTTATATATGAATCAATTTGGAAACTTAGATGAGATGGATAAAATTTCCCAAAAACTGCAACTTAGTAGAAAATACACCAGAAGAAATATAAGTTCTAAATAGTCCTATATCTATTTAAAAAATGAATACCTAATTAATGAAGAAAACTTTTGTGAGATTAGAACAAACTTGAAGCCCAAACCAGTTAAGACATTATAAGAAAGGAGAATTGCTGACCTGTCTTTCTCATAAGCGTAGATACAAAGAATTCTGGATGGACTAGCTATTTATTTATTTCCAGGGATATATTAATAGGATGATACACCAAAAATAAATTGGTTTTATTCCAGGAACACAAGGTTGGCTCAACATTTAAAAATTGAACAATTTAACTTATCATAGTCGCAAAACAAATGAGAGAATACATCTGATTATTTCAACATTTGCAAAAAGTTCACTTGTTGTAATTTAGTACCCACTCATGACTTGAATGTGTACTTAGAAGGTATAAATAAATGTATAGATAAATTATGAGAACTACTGAGTGAATTTAGTAAGATCATTGTACTCAAGATCGATAAAGAAAAATAATTTTTGTATGTATATTGCCACAAAGAACTATAAAATTTGAAAATCGGATGCCATTTATAATACCATAATATAACTCTAGAAAAAAAACTAAAAAACCCTTAAAAGGTATTAACAAGGAGAACTACAAAATATTACTGACAGAATGTACAAAAGACTTAAATATATAAAGTTATATTCTATGTTAAGCAGTAAAAAACTCAGCGAAATTAAGTTGTGTTTTTCCCTAAATTGATCCATTGGTTTACTACAATCATAATTTAAATCTAAGCTGCATTTTTGGCTGAAAAATTTCAAACTGAATCTAAACTATACTGGGAAATGCAAAAGACCTAGGAAAGGCAAAACACTCTTGAAGAAGAAGGTGGACAATTTATACTTGTGAAGGTGTTGCATTTATTATGATACTCTAGTAAGGAAGACAGTGTAGAATTAGTGTAAAAATACACAAATAGAACAATAAAAGAAAAAAAATAGACTTTCCAACAAATTATGCTGTGTCAATTAAATATTCCTATAGAAAAAATGAATCTTCTATTTTACACCATATGTCGAAATCAATTTTAGGTGAATTGTAAATCTAATATGAATGGCAGAACAATAAAGTCATAAAAGATAATATGTGATCATAGTTTTATAATCTTGGGGTAAGCAAAGTTGTTTTTTTCAAAACTGGACATAAACAATTCTAACCGTAAAGAAAATTATTGATATATTGAATTATGCTAAAAAGACATTCTGCTCATAAAAATATATGATTAAGCCTGTGAGAGTCAAACCACAGGAGAGAGAAGATTTCTGAATTTCTAGCAATACCAAGACAAAGGCATACAAGACAATTTTAAAACTGGGCAAATGCACTTTACAATAAATCTATCAAAACTGCTAGTAAATGTGACAATGTGCTTGGCATCATTAATTATTCTAGAACTATGACCTGATGCTAATGCCTGCATATTAAGAGTGAATACAATTAAAAACAGAAGAAAAAAACTCTTTATTATCAAAATTTCTCATATCTTACTGGTGGGAGTGTAAATTGGTACAGTCCCTCAAAAATCTCTTTTACAGATCCACTAAAGCTAAACATTTGCGTACTGTATAACCCAGCAGTTCCACTGTCAGGTATATGCCCCACAGAATGTTATGCATATGTTCACAAAAATGTATACACAGGAATCTTCATAGGTGCAATGTTCATGTGACTGTAAGTGTAAACAATTCAAGTGTTTATAAACACTAGAACAGATAAAAAATTTTGGTATGTTCATATAATGCAATACTATAAAGCAATGAAAATAGACAAAGAATTGCCATATCCAACAGAATAAGCAGAAATGAATACAGACAACATGATTCCATTTATATCAATTTTATTTATTTATTTTTACTTATTTTTTCTTTTATTTATTTATTTTTTTGAGATGGAGTCTCACTCTATCACCCAGGCTGGAGCGCAGTAGTGCAATCTTGGCTCACTGCAACCTCTGCCACCCAAGTTCAAGCGATTCTCGGGCCTCAACCTCCCGAGTAGCTGGGATTACAGGCACATGCCACCACACCCGGCTAATTTTTGTATTTTTAGTAGAGATGGGGTTTCACCATATTGGCCAGGCTGGTCTCAGACTCTTGACCTCAGGTGATCCACCCAACTTGGCCTCCTAAAGTGCTGGGATTACAGGTGTGAGCCACCACACCCAGCCTCATTTATGTCCATTTTAAATGAAATTATAATTAATCTATAGTTCTAGTAACTTATATGTTTCTTTAATTTCTCTTTCTTATATTGACATTAATAATACCCTTGATTTTTATTAGAACATGCCTACTTTATCTTTTTTTAAAATAACCTTATTTACAACTGACCTATTTAATTTAGGCAGCATATAACTAATTATTTTTGGTTTGGTTTTATTTGATATAATCTGATAATCTTTTTAACTCATTGAGTTGAGTTTAACTCATTTTTATTTTAATTATAATTATAGGTATATTTTGGGTCAGAAGTTAGAAAGTATTTCTCTCTTGTGATAATTAGAATTTGAGCAGAACTTCCATGTTGATATAATATTTCTTGATCAGAGTGGTAATAAAATTTATCGAGATGCACATTTAATATTATGCACGTTTTGAAACATACATAATATGTATGCCAATAAAATATTCAACATTTTCATAAATTAAATGCCTTAATGAGATAAATAATCCAAGAACTGAAGAAACCACTCTAACATACATAGATAATGTGTTGGATGTGATATTATAATTCTAAATAAAATAATATCCTCCCCACATTATAAGCAAAAAAAAAAAAGATAAATTTAAAAGGAAAATATGAAAGAGGTCACATCAAAAGTATTAGAAGAAATAAAGAAGAATGCATATGTGGCATCAAGGTAAATAATATATTATTTAGGAAGACAGCAAAAGAAAAATCACTAACCAGCCGAGTGTGGTGGCTCACGCCTGTAATCCCAGCACTTTGGGAGGCCGAGGTGGGTGGATCACCTGAGGTCTGGAGTTCGAGACCAGCCTGGCCAACATGGTGAAACCCCATCTCTACTAAAAATACATAAAGTAGCCGGGTGTGGTGGCGGGCGCCTGTAATCCCAGCTACTTGGGAGGCTGAGGCAGGAGAATCACTTGAACCCGGGAGGCAGAGGTTGCAGTGGGCTGAGATTGCGCCATTGCACTCCAGCCTGGGTGACATAGTGAGACCCTGTCAAAAAAAAAAAAAAAAGAAAAATCACTAACCATAGAAGAAGTACAGTGCAATCTAACTTCATTGAAATCACAGGCTTTTTTAACAACAACAAGATGCCATAAACATACTTAAAGGAAATAGGATCAATTAGGAAAATATATTTACCATGTATATAATAAGGTTAGAATTTTTGATAGAAATGTAAATTAGTATAAAATTTGAAGGACAAATTTTAAATATCTATTAAAATAGAAAATGAACAGCAAAAAATATATGTATGCATGTGCATGTATGTGTGCATATATATGTGTGTGTGTGTGTTTGTGTTTGTGTGTATATATATTTATATTCTTTAAATATGCTGTACACAGGTACAATGGAATGTTTGTTGGAGCAATATTTGTAAACCTAAAAATACATATGGCCTAAATAGTCTTCAAAACTGCTAATTACTATAATGTTGAATACAATTTAAATTCCTATATATCAGGTGAAAAGAAGAATGTGTCTCAATAGTTACATAGGAATAGACATTACAGTACATTTTGAATGTGGCGTAATATGTCTATAGTGATCTTATTTATATAAATTAAAAATAATCATGCTCAAAAAGTTATACAGATGGTCCCTGACTTAAGATGGTTCCACCTACAGTTTTTCAACTTTACAACGATGCAAGAGGAGGATCTGTATTTGTAAATAGGTTGTACTAAATTTAAACGAATGCTATACAGCCATCCCTGGGAATCTGCCAGGTATTGGTTTCAGAGCACCCCTACCCTATACCAAAATCTATGGATGCTCAAGTTTCTTATATAAAATGGTGCAGTATTTGCATATAACCTATGCACATCCTCCTGTATACTTTATTTTTTGTAGAGAAAAGGTCTTGCTATGTCACCCAGGTTGGTCTTGAACTCCTGGCCTCAAGTGACCCTCCTGCTTTGGTTTCCCAAAGTGATAAGATTACAGGCATGAGCCACCATTCCCCACCTTGTACACTTTAAATCATCTCTAGATTATTTGTAATACCTAATACAATGTGAATGCAATGTTGCTACACTGTATTTTTAAAATTTGTATTTTTAATTGTTGTAATGCTATTTTTTATTATTTTTTCCGAAACTTTCAATCTGCTGTTGGTTGACTTTGGGAATGTGGAACCCATTGATACAGAAGGCCAACTGTGTGTATATAGATATATATACACACACACATACATATATATATATGTGTTTCTCAGAAATGACTCTGTGTGTGTGTGTGTGTGTGTGTGTGTGTGTGTAAAAAGCTATGAAATGCAGTCATAATGCAGGTTGCTTCTGACAGGGCTGAACAGTGGGAAAGGAACAAGGGAGAAGAATGAAACAGGAATGACACAGAGTACGATGCTACATAAAAACTTAAATTAGCTTTTTTTTTTCCTAATTTGAAAATATGAAGCAAATATTTAAGAATTTTGAATGTCTATACTTCTTGAAGGCATGTTTTAACATGTGATAATGTAGTTTTTACTTATAATTTAATTCAATAATTATCAGAGGGATTTTTTTCTGAAATAAATAGGGAAATTTAGGTAGCTGTGAGCATTGAAGAGGTTATTTGGAGAGAAGATATGAAAAAATCAACTCCTGGACCTGGGTAAGGAAAGATAACTTGTGCTGAAACAAAAGTACAGAGAGCGCAGATACACACCCCCCAAGATTTCAGCTTAATCTTACTTATATCATCATCGAGTTGGGAGAAGGAGAAGAAAAAGAGGGGAGGCCTGTGACAATAATTCTTTTATTCATATATTTACTCATCAAAAAATACTTATTGAGAAAGTGCTAGATACCCTGTCCTAGGTATTATCAATTTACTCATGAAAGCTTCATTCTGTCTCAAGGAATTGTGATGATTCCTGTAATAACAGCAAGTGCAAAGTGCTACCAAATGATAGAAGAAATAGTCTATTTGTGGATATTGAAGAAGACCGCACATTCCAGAGGGCTGTTGAAAAGCACAGATGGAAAGAGTGGAAAAAAACTGCAGACTACCCCATACAAAGACACACAGTCATTAAAGGACAGGGACATTTGGTCAGTGAAACCATCTTGTTCTGCTGGAACATAGACAGTCCTTGTGAAAACCAAGAACCAGCAGAATTGAGGCTGAAAATCAGGTGAGGTCTTGTTGCCAACTAACCCTTCATACTGTTCCCAGTTTTATGGGTGATGGGAAGCCACTGGTGCATTTCCAAACTGGAAATGACACAAGGAATTGCTGTTTTCGAAAGAGAATCCAATCAGCTGTGCAAAGGAAGTTCTCAGGAGAGACCAGATATAGAAAGACAAATCTGACTAATACATTTTTTTTTCTTAAAAAAGAGACTAGAAAGGTAAAGGTAAGTGGATGGATAGGAAGAGAGAATTTATGAACAAAAGTAGTATGGTATGGTGAGATTTGATGGCTATTTGGTTATGAGGAGGCAGGGAGAATAAACAAGTGATAATGACTACATTTTTTAGTTTTGGAAAAGCACTTGTGAGTCATTCAGGGATGTTCAGTTGGCAGATGGAAATAGAAAAACCAATTATGAGTCTTCTGCTCATACATTTTAGGAAGTCTGCATTGAAGCTAGTTCTCCTTTTACTCAGTGATCCCATTTGAGCTAATAAGCTTCATAACCACTACTCACTTCATAACCACTACTCACTTCATGTCATGGCTCTGGCCTGTGAAAGGGAGGTTTACCTAATGAAGTAAAAGTTATTCTTCTAAAGTATAGTCACTGTTGATACATTTCTCAGGAACATTCTTTTTCTTTTGACAGCATGCTATGAAATAAAAATTGCGTGCAGACCTGGAGGAATATTAACATATGAAGACATTGGGGGAAGGTTATTGATTGATTTACTGAATGGTCTGATTCAAATGAACTCCTAATATATATAGACCATCTCAGAATTAATCACCTTCTCTACTCTTAGAGTGTTCCTTATCATTCAGGTAGCAATCATTTGAACACCCATCATTTTTAAAAAATGAAAAAGAAAACTGTAACTACCTTGACAACTGGAAGCATGATTTTAAGTAGCTGAAGGAGTTACTGGCTTAAGTTAGAAACAAACCAGATTGGAAACTAGGTATAAAGTAATTAATTTCTTCCATTTTGAGAAGTTGGAAGGTCTCACTGAGCTTTTGTTGGTTACTTATTCATATTGAGAAATTGATTATTTCTTTTGCCTAAAGTCAAAGAGCTCTGAAGAGACCTAGTCAAGATTTGGATGTTTTGAATACAGTCACAATTATGGTCTCAGAAATACTTTAAAACACATTCATCAGTCATGCTCTTATTCAGAATCAGGGCACAAATTTTAAACAATAAAATCCATGTGAACTTAAAAATATGCCTTCGAGTTATTGAACATCTAATTAAATTGCTTATTTCTCATTATGCCTTCTCTAACAATAAATGATTTTCATTCCTGAATCCCAATGGGATTTTCCTGGTCCACTTGTAAGTTGTTTATTTAGATACACAATGTGAATCTATATGTTGATTTATTTTGTAATGGTTCACAGGACTGGGCTACTTTCCTCTGAGTGAGGGTAAAATTAATCAGTAGGAAATGAATATTGTCAGTGTCAATGATTATAAGAGGAAATTATATGTGGGAGCAAGAGAGAATGAAGCAGATTATTTGTGGTTAGGAGTTAATTCAGAGGGATCCATGCATAATCTCCATCTCCGCCAATTTGGCTGTTTTACTCCTGTTGCCATCATGCCAGCATGGGATGCTCAATATCAGAGGCTGGCTGACATCAACTGGATGAAACCATTTGTTGATTGATGGTTTATTGTTTCTTCCATGGTGAATGATTGCTACTGGGAAATAATATGGGATACAAAGATCTTCAAACATTATGCTCACTTCCATATATCTCTCTCCATTCAGATCTCCTTTTCCCCAGTCTCTAATCTTTCTCCCTGCAGGCACCTGTCCCATTGTCCAGTCCGTTGGTCATGGCTCATGAATTCACACATAATTCTAATCCCAGACTATTTCTCTTCCCACACACAATAGATGACCAGTTTTACTGTTTGAAGCTCTGCCCATTGGGAGCAATTTTCTTTACCACTCTATTTTAAGGTCACTCCTGAGAAAGGAGGTAATGCAACTACAGACTATTTTTACCTTGCATCCACATATCTAAGCAAATTATCCATGAGCTAAGCTAGGGGTATTTCCTCCTCCTTCATTTGGTTGTGGATCTCTCATAGGGCCACTGGAGTGATCTCAAGAGAGTTGGCACTGGTGCAGCAGTGAGGAGTGTCACAGGGCTCTGAGATGCTTGCTCATGCAGCTTGCTTGTGCCCTCTTGTCTTGCTTATGCTTAGCCATTGATGTGACTACATACATTCATCTGACACCATGTGCCATATAAGCGATGCTTAATCTTAGGACTCAATCTGGACAGAACCCACTCATGGCAGGGCTGCTTACATCATAGTCTAGATCTCTGAAGAGCCCTTTTCTGTTCTGGGTCACCCTCAAATCTGCCAGCCTTCTGCACGATTAAATTATAGGCCATAGCAATATTCTCGAGTGTAGAAAACGCTGTTTCCAGATCCTGAAGAAGTCTACCAGGTAGAATGATTCCTTCTCTGTGGTGGTAGGTGAGAGATGCAATAATTTGCTTTTTACATTGGCTAAGATGTCCCATCATATACCTAACCTATGTGTCCTAAAAATTATAATGAGATGAGAGGCCCTTGAATCTTAGCAGGATTCATCTCCTTCACTCAAAAGTGCACACATTTACTAAGGTTTCTGACATGTCATTGAAATTGCCTTTCAAAAATTGTAACAGTTAGATAAATCTAACATAGCTGACTCTGTCTTGTTTCTAACCTCGCAAGCAAACTGCCTTTGCCCATCCGTACATGTAGGACAAGCTAACTATGGGAAGAATTTAGTTTATAGTTTAAAGCAAGAATGATAGTAGTCTCTTCCCAAAACTAATCTCCCACTTATTCAGGTACTGAAGTCGCTCCTTGTAAAGCTAATAAAAGGCCATAATTTTAGAATTACAGTAAGATCCTGAATTCTGCTAATGCTAGGCATAGTTAAATAATAACTAGTCATTGTCTCCTAATAGATTTACTGCTCAGGAGTCATGTAGCCAGAGGTCACAAAATTTGTAACTTCCCTAATTGCCCCGAGAGACAGCATTGCTATTGCAAAACCTGACTGGTGTTTGCAATATTTTTTAGAGTTTGCATTCTTTGGGCCAACAGATGCCAACCAGGCTCATGACCCATATCAAAAAACTGACTCAACTGCTCCTGTGACAACCCAGAAACTGACTCAGTGCACGAAGGCAATTTTGATGCCCGTATGATTTCATCCCCAACCAAGCAGCAAATCAAATTCCATAGCCCCTTGCCCACCAAACTGTCCTTAAAAAAAACCTCACCTCCAAGTTCTTAGGGAGGCAGATTTGAGAATTATCTCCCATTCTCCTCACTTGGCTGGCCCTGTGATTATGGAACTCTGGGCTGCAACACCTGCTATGCTCAATGTATTGGCTGTTTTGGAAACAGTGGGCAAGAAGAACCTGTCAGGCTGTTATGTTCCCAGACAGAACTGGGGTCCAGCTGCTTGTTCTCATGGTTCAATCATAAGATGCAAACAGACTGGGCAAGAAGGGAGTTTCTGCAACCAGTTACAGGGAGAAAACCAGAATAACTCAACAGACCAACTCAAAGTTACAAGTTTTTCTCCAGTGCTTATAATACATTCAAACCATATGCCTACGTGTGGGAAAGCACCTACAAACTGAAGTGTTTCACTCTGTCTAATCTTTAACTAGGGTTCAGATCTGGAAATTACTTCAGAGCCTAGGAACAATTATGTAATCTAAAGTGGGTCTTGGTACAAGGTGTGCAAGAATGCCTCCTTTTATTAATTAAACTCTAATGTCTGAGAAAGCCCAGGTGGGGTCTTAATGGACTTGTTTTTACATTCTAACCCTTGTACTAAGGCACCAGTTTCTCCAGTTCTTTAATGCTTAAGTTATACACTCATCAGATTTACACTAAGGTGGTGGTGAAGGATGACTGCCCTGGTTGCTAATGGAGACCTGGCCTGCCACAATTACACTAGTTATTTCTTACTCATTCCTCAGTTAGCATCATATCATTGATGGAGTGGATCATGTGATGTTGAGTGAGATGCATAGATAATCTAGATTTCCTTGGACTATATTTTAACAGAGGTTGGGGGCAGTTAACATAATTGTGGGACAAAACTTGAAACATTTGCTGTCGTTCCTGCCTTGTGAATGTGAATTTTTTCAGAACTGCTTTTTCTGCTAAGAATAGAAAAGAGTGTATTCAATAAATCAATGGCCAATTATAGGTACCTTAGACCAAGCTAATGTGCTTTTGCAAGGATTCCATATTTGGCATGGTGGCTGCAATTGTGGCTACTATTACTTTGTACTTTGTAGTGGCAGCTTAATATCTTCCGTTGGGATCTGTTTGGTTACTGCAGGAATCAAACTGGTAAATCATGGTGTTTGTTGGGACCACCAGCCTATGTCCTTTAGATCCTGAAGGTGCTTCTATTAATACTTTCTGCCATCCATCCCCTGAGAGTCACCAGCTGCCCAATGCAATATTGTTTTAGAAATACCATCTAGATAATGTAACTCTGTGTCCCATCATGCAAGGCTTGGTAATATATTTACTTTTGTGTTTACTTTTCTTTCTAATCCATTATCTATTTCTCAGCCAATATGAGCTTTTTAAAACACAAATGAGATTATTTAATTTGTCTGCTAAAAATCCCTCAATGGCTTTCTACTGCCCTTCCAATAAAATCAGAATCTCTGATTAAAAACTAACAATTCTTATGATTTTTGACCCTGACTAGATTTTTGGCCTTAAAATACATGATCGTCCACCTCTAGCACAAGCCTCCAGTCATAGGATTTTTTGCATCTTAAACACAGCACCTTTCCCATCAGGGCATTTGGACTTGCCTTTCCCTCCGCTAAGAGTGCTTTTCCCAGCACACTGAAGGAGGGCTTGCACTTCATCTTTTTATTTTCAACTCAAATAATACATCTTCATGAGGTCTTACCTGACCACATAGTCCCTGAAAGGTTCACCGAAAAGTCACTGGCATGAGGCACATTGATTAATAGGAGAAGAGACATAAACATTTATTTAACTTCTATACGTGGGAGCCTTAAGAATGAAGACCAGCTTCCCAATGAGTTACAGAAATGTATATACCATCTTGAGGCCACAGTAAAGAATACAGACTCAGAACATGGCCAGAAACTGGTTATATTGGTAAATCAGGCTTAGTGAAAAGACAGGTTATGAGAGAGAGAAAGAAGCTTGACTAGCAAATGTGACCTTGTTATGTAGATGAAGCTTCCCTTAGAATAGAGGGTAAATGTTTCTCTTCATACTTTAAAGGTGTCAGACTCTCCAGTTTCTTCAGGATCTGGAAAAGCACAGGAAAGGGAGGCAGCCTGGCTGCATTGAAGGAAATTCTCTACAGATCCAAATTTTCCCCACAAAAGACAGCTTTGCAGGGCCACTTTTGTTTGCTAGCCAAGTGGCAGCCATTTCAAAATATGTCAAAAAATACATTTTGAGGGTAAGATCATTAAATTTCCTTTACCACCATGATTAAGGTAGCAGCTCCATTTATATTTCCTTCAGCTAGTTTTTCTGCGTATCCACTTGCCTGTTTGTGTGTCCACACTGACTAGAATATGAGGGCAGCAGCAGGAACAACAGCAGGACCTAGGAGTGGTTGTGACTTCTTTTGATCTCAAGGAGGTTCTTCTAAATGTTGATTCTACTGGAATATGACATACCAGTAGACAGATGGACAGACATCTAATCTGCATAGATGGGATTTGGAGTTATTGTAATCTCAAATTAGGAAGTCAGAGAGGTTCTTTATATCCTAATGGGTGAAGCTAGGTATACAAGTTTCATAGATATTTTTGTACGTATCAACTTTGGTTTAAAATTAATCTAGTACTTCTATTTTTAAATAATGATAAATGTATGACATATAGACATGCACTTGCCACCCACAATTAATGAATGTTATATTTTTTCCAAACTTTTTAATGAAGCCCTTTATTCCATATATATGAATAAAGGGCTTCATTAAAATATATATATATAAAATTTTATATATATAATATATATATTTTTTAAAGAAAATAATTCCAGGTATAGTTAGAGCAAATCTCCCTCATGTCTTACAACTAATTTTCTACTTCCCCACGCATAATGGATCTCACAGCATTTTGTTGCATTCCTATACACATTCAAATTTTTAAAAAATATATATATATCCATAATTTCTTGTATTGTTTTGTTTAATAATTTATATAAATGCAGTTACATCAAATATATTATGCTCCAACTTGCTCATCTTAAATAATAGCTTTATATTCTGAGAGAAATCCACGCTGAGCATGTGACTCTATTTAAATCTTACCTGTTGAAAGGGCCCTTATGCGCAGAGACAGACTGTCCCCCTGTAGGTCCTAAGAGGAGTTCAGTAACTGCCCTGATCTCTGAACTCTTGGCAGGTCTCCCAGACTCCCAGTTCTTGTCAGGACGCCCTCCTCCCAATTGTTCTGCCCTGAACGGATTGTGTTTTCTCCACTATCTGCCCTGCAACCAAGCAAGCGTTATCTCCCCATTTTTATCATCACAGAAAGGCCAGCCTTCCAGGACATCTCTAATCCTTCAATTCTAACCCCACATGCATTCAATACATCAACGTTTCTCAATATTTAATGTGCATATTAACTACTTATTTTTTTTTTTTTTGAGTCTCACTCTGTCACCCAGGCTGGAGTACAGTGGTGTGATCTTGGCTCACTGCAACCTCCGCCTCCCGGGTTCAAGTTATTCTCCTGCCTCAACCTCCCGAGTAGCTGGGATCACAGGCGTGTGCCACCATGCCCGGCTGATTTTTGTATTTTTAGTAGAGACGGGGTTTCACCATGTTGGCCAGGCTGGTCTCTAACTCCTGAGCTCAGGTGATCTGCCCGCCTCGGCCTTCCAAACTTCTGGGATTACAGGCATAAGCCACCACACCTGGCCTTGAACTACTTTTTGTCACATGACCTTCTCCCTCTTCAAGTCCAGCAACAGAGAATGCTCCTCACTTTAGTTTCCTCTTGTGCTTAAAGTCTCTGTCAACAGGACAAACTTGTCCATATTGACGACTCACCTGATTGCGTCAGGGTCGCTAGAGGAGGATTTCATTATCTTAAGATTAACTTGGGAGGCTGAGGCAGGAGAATCGCTTGAACCCGGGAGGTGGAGGTTGCAGTGAACTGAGATCGGGCCACTGCACTTTAGCCTGGGAGACAGAGGGAGACTCTGTCTCAAGAAAAAAAAAAAAAAAGAATAACTCGGTGAGAGGTGGCCAAGATGGCTTATTAGAAGCAGCTAGTGTGTGTGGCTCTCACAGAGAGGACGGGAAAGGGCGAGTAAATACAGCACTTCAACTGAAACATCAATCTACTCGCATTGGGAATAATCAAGGGAACAACTCAACCCACAGAGAATGGAGAAGAGCAAGGCAGGACACTGGACCACCTGGGAGTGACACAGAGCAAGAAGAACCTCCCCTGCCCAGGGAAGCAGTGAGTGGATGTGTGACCCTGGGAAGCCATGCTTTTCTGGTGAGTCTTTGCAGCCCTCCAGTCAGGAGATCCCCTTGTGAACCCACTCCACCAGGGCCTTCAGTGTGACACACAGAGCTGCCGTGGAGTCTCGGCAAAGCAGCCACTCAGGCATATGCAAACAGCAGGAAGCCTTAGATGCTCAGGCTTTCTGGGCTTCTGGGCAAAAGTAGCTGCAACTCTAGCAAAGCAGGAGGGTAGATCCCTGTACATATCCCTAGGAAAGGGGCTGAATCCAGAAGGCCTAGCAGTGACAGTCTGCATGTTCCACTTCCACGGGACCTTGCAGGATAAGACCCATTGGATTGGAATTCCAACCAGTCACCAGTAGCAGCGTTACACCTCCCTGAGACAGAGCTTCCAAGAGGAGGGGCAGGCCACCATTTTTGCTATGTGGGTGACTTAGTCATTCCAGGCTTCAAGCTTTGGAGAGTTCAAGCCAACTAGGGGTGGAAAGGATCCCACAGCACAGCACAGCTGCTCTTAAAAGTGTGGCCACATTGCTTGTTTAAGCAAGTCCAAGATCCCGTTACTCCTCACAGGGTGGGACCTTGCAACTGGGGTCTCCAGCCACCTTCTACAGGTGTATTTGGGCTGGCAACGGGCTTGTAACTTCCTGGGAAGGAGCTTCCAGAGTGAGGGGCAGGCCACCATCTTTGCCATTTTGCAGCCTTCACTGGTGGTAATCTCCAGGTAATGGAAAATCCAAGGCAACTAGGGATTGGAGCTGACCTGCAGCATACTACAGCAACCCTATAAAAAAGATGTCAGACTGTTACGTGGGTGCCCATTCCCATATCTTCTCACCAGGTGCATCCTCCAGGCCTGAGCCTCCAGCCACCCTCTGCCAGAGCTATCAACTCCCTAGGACAGTGCCATCAGGAGCAAGTGAAATCCTCTCTGTCACTGCCTCTGCAGTCGAACTGCCTTTCCTAGTCTCAGACTGATGAAGGATTGAAGACCATAAGTGCCTTATGCACACCTCCAACAAGGTGCAGTCAACCCAAGGAGAGGAGGCCAGTTCATCACCCACGGGTCCCCCACATACCCCACTGCTCATTACCAGACTGGGAACCCCTGGCTTGGGCCCACAGCACAGGCCCTCCATCCGGGGCTGATTGCACTGAGTGATTGCTGACCTTAAATCTCTCTGGGGTGGAGTTCCCAGGAGAAAAGCAAAAGACTCGCTGCCATAACCAGTACTAAGTTCTCTTCCTTTACTGACTCTAAGTTGGGAAGGAACATAAACACTGAGATTGCCACAGAGTGGCAGTGGACAGCCCAGGCATGCCAAGCTGGTATCTACAGCAGCACTCAAGGGGGAGAGGAACCCATACTTTCAGGACATTGAGAGGCAACATGGCTACAACTGAAGGAAACAGAGCAAGAGTCTATCAGCTGGCAAGTATGCCTGAGTGACACCTACTAAATCACACCCCAAAGCTTCAACACCAAAAATACCTTGCTAACACGCCCCCCTCTGAAACCAGAGACAAGGAGTCAGCTTCAAATAAAGACCCCGCACAAAGCCTTTACCCAGTGAGAATATCCGGCAAAGTCTATTGACTGTACTCAATCTATACTGCAGTTAAAGGAACACACACATGCAGAGATGAGAAAGAACCAATGCAAGAACTCTGGTAACCCAAATGGCCAGTATTCTATGTCCTCCAAATGACCACACCATTTCTCCAACAAGAGTTCTTAACTAGGCTGAACTGGTTGAAATGACAGAAATAGAATTCAGAATATGGATAGGAACAAAGCTCAATGAAATTCAGGAGGATGGCAGAAGCCAATGTAAGGAAACTAAGAATCACAATAAAGTGATGCAGGAGCTAAAGGATGAAATAGCGGGTGGAAAAACAAACAAACACAACACCCAATGGGTCTGTCAGAGCTGAATAACTCAATACAAGAATTTCACAATGCAATCAAGTATTAACAGCAGAATAAACCAAGCTGAGGAAAGAATCTCAGAACTTGAAGACTTGCTCTCTGAAATAAGACAGACAAAAATAAAGAAAAAGTTTATAAAATGTGATAAACAAAACCTTTCAGAAGTATGGCATTATGTAAAGAGGCCAAGTCTATGAGTCATTGGCATACTTAAAAGGGATGGGGAGAAAGTAAACAACTTGGAAAACATATTTCAGGGTATCATCCACGAAAACTTTCCCTATCTTGCCAGAGTCCAACAGTCAAATTCAGGAAATACAGAGAATGCCTGTAAGATTCTACATGAGAAGGTCATCCCAAGGTACATAATTGTCAGATTTTCCAAGGTCAAAATGAAAGAAAGAATGTTAAAGGAAACTAGAGAGAAAGGTCAGTTTACCTAAAAAGAGAAACCCATCAGCCTAATAGTAGATCTATAAGCTGAAACTTTGTAAGCCAAAAGAGATTGGGAACCTATGTTAAACATTCTAAAAAAAAAAAAAAAAAAAAAATTCAACCAGAAATTTTATATCCAGCTAAATTAAGCTTTCTACGTGAAAAAGAAATAAGGTCTTTTTCAGATAAGCAAATATTGAGGAAGTTCATTACCTCCAGACCTGCCTTAAAAGAGATCTTGAAAGGCGGAAAGGAGCACTAAATATAGAAAGGAAAGACCACTAGCAGCTAACACAAAACCACTGAAACACACAGATCAGTGTCACTATAAAGCAACCACACAAACAAACCAATACAATAACCAGCTAACAACATAATGACACAATTAAACCCACACACATCAGTACTAACCTTGAATTTAAACAAGCTAAATTCCTTCACTTAAAAGGCACAGAGTGACAAGCTGTATAAAAAAGCAAGACCCAATGGTATACTGTCTTCAAGAGACCCGTCTCACATGCAATGACACCCATAGGCTCAAAATAAAGGGATGGAGAAAAATCTACCAAGCAACTGGAAAACAGAAAAAAAAGCAGCAGTGAGAATCCATATTTCAGACAGAACAGATACAGATTTCAAACCAAAAAAAAGCGGGCATTACATAATGGTAAAGGGTTCAAATCAAGAAGAAAACCTAACTATCCTAAATATACATACACCCAACACAGGAACACCAAGATTCATAATGAAGCAAGTTCTTAGAGATGTACAAAGAGACATAAACCTCCATACAACAATAGTGGGAGACTTTGACACTCCACTGACAGTACTAAATCATCAACATAGAAAATTAACAAGATATTCAGGGCCTAAACTTAGCACTGGATCAAATGGATCTGATTGACATCTACAGAACTGCACCCTAAAACAACAGAATATTCATTCTTCTCATTGCCACATGGCACATACTCTAAAATTGACCACACAAACGAACACAAAACAATCCTCAGCAAATGCAAAATAATCAAAATCATACCAAGCACATTCTTGGACCACAGCACAATAAAAATAGAAGTCAATACTAAGAAATCTCTCAAAACCATGCAATTACACGCAAATTAAACAACATTCTCCTGAATGACTTTGCGTAAATATTGAAATCAAGGCAGAAATCAAGAAATTCTTTGAAACTAATAGAACAAGGGTACAACATGCTAGAATTTCGGGGACACAGTGAAGGTGGTGTTAAGAGGGAAATTTATAGCACTAAGTTCCCACATCAAAAAGTTAGAAAAATCTCAGATTAACAACCTAACACCATAACTGAAAGAATTACAGAAGCAAGAGCAAATCATGCTAGCAGAAGACAAGAAATAACCAAAATCAGAACTGAACTGAAGAAAATCAAGACATGAAAAACCACTCAAAAGATCAACAAATTCAGGAGTTAGTTTTTGGAAAAAATTAATAAGATAGATAGGCTGCTAGCTAGAAGAAAAAAAGAAGAAAAGAGAGAAGATGCAAAAAAAAATACAATTAGAAATAATGAAGAGAATATTACCACTGATCTCACAGAAATAAAAATAACCATCAGAAACTACTACGTGCACTTCTATGCACACAAACTAGAAAACCTAGAGGAGATGGATGAATTTCTGGAGACACACCATCACAAGACTGAACCAGAAGAAATTGATTCAGAGAACAGACCAATAATGAACTCCAAAAATAAATGAGTAATAAATAGCCTACCAACCAAAAAAAGAAAAGTCCAGTATCTGATGGATTCATATTCATAGCCAAATTCTACCAGATATACAAAGAAGAGCTGTATCATTTGCACAGAAACTATTCCAAAAATTTGAAGAGGAGGGATTCCTCCCTAACTAATTCTATGAAGCCGATATCATTCTGATACAAAACCTGGCAGAGACACAAGAAAAAAAGAAAACTTCAGGCCAATATGTTCAATGAACATTGATGCAAAAATTCTCAACAAAAGACCTGCAAACCAAATCCAGCAGCACATCCAATAGCTAATCCACTACGATCAAGTAGGCTTCATCACCAGAATGCAAAGTTGGTTCAACATACAAAAATCAATTAATTTGATTCATCATATAAACAGAACTAAAGACAAAAACCACATGATATCTCAATAGATGCAAAAAAGGCTTTTGATAAAATTCAAAACTTTTTCATATTAAAAACCCTCAATAAACTAGGAATTGAAGGTGCATTAGTCAGGGTTCTCTAGAGGTACGGAACTAATAGGAGAGGAGTATATATGAAGGGGAGTTTATTAAAGAGCATTGACTTACACTATCACAAGGTGAAGGCCTACAATAGGCTGTCTGCAAGCTGCAAGCAAGGAAGCCAGTCTGAGTACCAAATGTAAAAGGTAGGGAAGTCAACAGTGCTGCCTTCAGTCTGTGACTTAAGGCCTGAGAGCCTCTGGCAAATCACTGGTGTAAGTCCATGGGTCCAAAAGCTGAAGAACTTGGAGTTTGATGTTCAACAGCAGGAAGCATCCAGCACAGGACCAAGATGAAAGCCAGGAGACTCAGCAAGTCTAGTCCTTTCACATTCTTTCACCTGCTTTTTTTTCTAGCCATGCTGGCATCTCATTAGATGATACCCACCCAAATTGAGGGTAGGTCTTCCTCTACCAGTCCCCTGACTCAAAATGTTAATCTCCTTTGACAACGCCTTCACAGACACACCCAGGAACAATACTTTGAATCTTTTAATCCAATCAAGTTGACATTCAATATTAACCATCACAGAATGATATACCTCAAAATGATAAGAGCCATATATGACAAACCCACAGTCAACATTATAATAGATTGGCAAATCCTGGAAGCATTCCATCGAAAACCAGCACAAGACAAGTATGCCTTCTCTCACTACTCCTATTCAACATATTATTGTAAATTCTAGCCAGAGCAATCAGGCAAGAGAAAGAAATAAAGAACATTCAAATAGGAAGAGAAGAAGTCAAACTATCTGGTTGCAGATGACATAATTCTATATCTAGAAAACCACATAGTCTTGGCCCAAAAGCTCCTTCAGCTGATAAACAATCTCAGCAAAGTTTCAAGAAGCAAAATCAATGGACAAAAAATCACTAGCATTCCTATACACCAACAACAGCCAAGCCAAGAACCAAATTAGAAAGGCGATCTCATTCACAAATGCCACCGAAAGAATAAAATATCTAGGAATAGAGCTATCCAAGAAGATAAAATATCTCTACAATAAAAATTATAAAACACTGCCCAAATAAATCAGAGAAGATATAAACAAATAGAAACACATCCCATGCTCATGGATATGAAGTAATAATATCATTAAAATGGCCATACTGCCAAAAGCAATTTACAGATTAAATGATATTCCTATCAAACTACTGATGAAATTCTTCACAGACTTAGAAAAAACTATTTTAAAATCCACAGATCCTAAAAAGAGCTCAAATAGCCAAGCAATCCCGAGCAAAAAGAAAAAAGCTGGAGGCATAATGTTACCCAAATTCAATCTATGCTATAGGGGTACAGTAGCCAAAACAGCATGATACTGCTGTTACAGAAACAGGCACATAGACTAAGGGAACAGAATACAGAGCCCCCAAATTAAGGCCACACACCTGTGACCATCTGATCTTTGACAGAGATGACAAAAAATAAGGATTGGGGAAAAGACTCCCTATTTAATAAATGGTGCTGGGATAACTGGCTAGCCATATACAGAAGATTGAAGCTGAACCCCTTCCTTAAACCATATGCAAAAATCGACTCAAGGTGGATTAAAGACCTCAATGTAAAACTCCAAACTGTAAAAATCCTAAAAGACAACCTAGCCAACACCATCATGGACACAGAAATGGGCAAAGATTTCATGACAAGGACACCAAAAGCAATTGCAACAAAAGCAGAAATTGACAAATGAGATCGAATTAAGCTTAAGAACTTCTGCACAGCAAAAGAAACTATCAACAATATAAACAGATAGTCTACAGAATGGGAAAAATATTTGCAAACTATGCATCTGACAAAGGTCTAATACCCAGAATCTATAATGTACATAAACAAATTTACAAAAGAAAAAAACACATTAAAAAGTGAGCAAAGGACATGAACAGACACTTTTCAAAAGAAGACATACATGCAGCCAGCAAACAGGAAAATTTCAGTATTACTGATTGTTAGAGAAATGCAAATCAAAACCACAATGAGATGCCATCTCACACCATTCAGAATGGTGATTATTAAAAAGTCAAAAACAAGAGATTCTGGCGAGGTTGCAGAGAAAAAGGCACACTTTTACACTGTTGGTGGAAGTATAAATTAGTTCAACAGTTGCGGAAAGCAGTGTGGTAATTCCTAAAATACCTAAAAACAGAAATACTTTTCGACCCAGCAATCCCATTACAGGGTATATACCCAAAGGAACATAAGTTTTTCTATGTTCCTACCCATATATGACTGTGGGTTTGTCATATATGGCTCTTATCATTTTGAGGTATATCATTCTGTGATGGTTAATATTGAATGTCAAATTGATTGGATTAAAAGATTCAAAGTATTGTTCCTGGGTGTGTCTGTGAAGGCGTTGTCAAAGGAGATTAACATTTTGAGTCAGGGGACTGGTAGAGGAAACATGCACACATATGTTTATTGCAACACTATTCACAATAGCAAGGACATGGAATCAACCTAAATGCCCATCAATGGTAGAGTGAATTTTAAAAATGCGGTGCATGTGCATGATGGAATACTATGCAGACATAAAAAACAATAAGATTATGTCTTTTACATTGTTGATGGAAGTGTAAATTAGTTCGATTGTGGAAAGCAGCATGGATTCCTAAAAGAGCTAAAGTACAGAACAACCATTTGACCCAGCAATCCCATTACTGGAAATATACTCAGAAGCATATAAATTATTCTATTGTAAAGAACACGCGTGCAAATGTTCATTGCAGCACTATTCAGGAGAGCAAAGATATGAAATCAACCTATGCCCATCAATGACAGATTGGATAAAGAAAATGTGGTACATATACACTATAGAACAGTAGACAGCCATAAAAAACAAGATCATGTCTTTTGCAGGAACATGGAAGGAGCTGAAGGCCTATTCTTAGCAATCTAATGCAAGAACAGAAAACCAAATACCACATTATCACTTACAAGTGGGAGCTAAATTATAAAATCCTATGAACCCAAAAATGAAACAACAGACAGTAGGGTCTTCTTGAGGGTGGCGGCTAGGAGGCTAGAGAGGAGCAGCAAAGGTAAGTATTGGGTACTGGGCTTAATACCTGGATGATTAAATAATCTGTAAAACAAATGCCTGTAACATGAGTTTACCTCCATAACAAAGCTTCACATGTACCCCGAACCAAAAATAAAAGTTTTTAAAAAAGAATAACTCATTTGTGGTCTAATTATATCTTCAAAATCCCTTCACAACAACACCTAGATTAGTGTTTGACTGAATAACTGGGAGAAGGTGTGTGTATAGCAAGTGCTGGGAATTACGGGGTCTATCTTAGAATTTTGCTAGCACACCTTCTGAGTCAAAGGTGGGTTCCCATTAGAGTAGAAATCAGCACTGCTTCTGAAATTTCCCCGAATTGAAACTATGGGCGAACTATACAAGAAAGATCTTGGAGGACTTACTTTTACCCTATCGTTCACTAAATGTTTATTGTCCACATTATATTTGCTGAGCACGATTCTATTCATGAAAGACATGGTGCTGAATAAGGTGATCACATTCAAGAAATTCAGAGAGTTTAGTCTTTAGTGAATAAGAGGAGTGTAGGAATATAGAGTCTAATAGAGTACATGTTTTAAAGTTACTTACAAATTTATCTCAATTATATATATATGTGTGTATACATATAATTGAGTATATATATATATATATATATATATATATATATATATATATACTCAGTGATAAGTGCTATGAAGGGAAACCTGCGTACAGAAAATGATGATGTAGTGGGAAGTATTTTAAATGAGCTATTGACAGAAGGCCTCTCTGAGGAAGTAATATCAGAGCCTAAACCTTTAAGAAGTGAAGGAGTAAACCAGAAATTGCTTCCAGTACCTCTGTAAAAGCCCAAAGCTGTAATAAGCTCAGGCTTCATAAAGATAACAAGGAGGCTGATGCAGATACAATTAAAATGAGTGAAAGATGAGTAGTGTAAAATGAGGTAGGAAGAAGGAGACTAAAGCCAGATAATGTAAAAACCTGCTACTAATAGACGTCAGTCATTGTCCAAGCAAAATAAAGGTATTTTCAACATTCAAAAATAACAAGAGATCATGGTCGCTAACAAAGAGGCTGATGCAGACAGAATTAAATTGAATGAAAGATGAGTAGCGTAAAATGAGGTAGGAGAAGGAGATCATGGCAGATGGGAGGCAGGATAGATCGCAGCTCCAACTCGGATGGACAGAGCAATGGGCAGAGGCCTACATCGTGAATTTTAGCTCCGAGATTGATTGCAAGAATGAACCAGAAATCCAGAGAGGACCCACAGACCCTCTGAAGGAAGGGGACTTCTCTTGCAGCACCCAGGAGACACCCAAATACTGTGAGTGTCCCAGCTGCAGAAGTGGGGAAATGAGATCCTCCTCTCCCAAACACACACCCCCACTGGGGAAACTGAAGGTTTGCTTGTTGGAGAAGTTTCTGACCTTAACTGGAGCTGAGTCAATCTAGAGAGTCCAGTGAAATACAGGGGAAAAAGAAGCAGCAGGAAAGGCCCTGGGAGCTCACTGGGTTCCCAGGCAGTCCATTCCTGCCTGGCACCACAGGGATCCTTGGGAGGGTGGCCAGAGGGGCAGAGGAAAATGCCACAGGAAGAAGGAAGTCTCTGGCTAAATTTTGAAACAGTTCTAGCTAGGCAAGAGGCCTCTTGGCCAGAATTCCAGGGAGGGTGTAAATCTGGTGTGCAGACTCTATAGGCAGGGGAAGAACCAAGACCTTTTCTTTCACAGCTGGGAGGTGGGTGGCCTGGGGCAAGTTCTCAAGCCCTGCTCTCCAACTGCCTGGAAACAGATTTGGGGCTGTTCAGATGTGTATGGTGGGAGTAAGACCGTCCCTTCAGGTTGCGTGGGAGCTGGGTAAGGCCTGTGACTGCTGGCTTTCCCCCACTTCCCTGACAACCTGCATGACTCAGCAGAGACAGCCATAATCCTCCTAGGTACATAACTCTATTAACCTGGGAATATCACCCCCATCCTCCACAGCAGCCACAGCAAGACCTGCCCAAGGAGAGTCTGAGCTCAGGCACGCCTAGCCACACCCTCAGCCGCACCCCCGCCTGATGGTCCTTCCCCAACCACCCTGGTAGAGGAGGACAAAGGGCATAGTCTTGGGAGTTCTAGGGCCTTGCCCACTGCTGGTTCCTCTCCATACTACCACAGCTGATGCTCCCTGGAAAGAACCACCTCCTGGTAGGAGGTCAACCAGCACAAAAATAGAGCATTAAATCACCAAAGCTAAGAACCCTCACAGAGTCCATTTCACCCCCCTGGCACCTCCAGTGGAACAGGTGCTGGTATCCATGGCTAAGAGACCCATAGATGGTTCACATTACAGGGCTCTGTGCAGACAACCCCCAGTACCAGTTCGGAGCTGGGTAGACTTGCTGAATGGCTAGACCCAAAAGAGAGATAACAATCACCGGAGCTCAGCTCACAGAAAGTGACAGTAATAGGAAAATGGGGAGAGTACAACATCAAGAGAACACCCTGTGGGACAAAAGAATCTGAACAACAGCCTCCAGCCCTAGACCTTCCCTCTGACACAGGCTACCCGAATGAGAAGGAACCAGAAAACTAACTCTAGTAATATGACAAAACAAGGCTTTTTAACACCCTTCAAAAATTATACTAGTTCACCAGCAATGGATCCAAACCAAGAAGAAATCCCTGATTTACCTGAAAAAGAATTCAGGAGGATAGTCATTAGGCTAATCAGGGAGGCACCAGAGAAAGGCTAAGCCCAATGCAAGGAAATCCAAAAACTGATACAAGAAGTGAAGGGAGAAATACTGAAGGAAATAGATAACATAAAGAAAAAAAATCAAAACTTCAGGAAACATTAGACACATTTATGGAATTGCAAAATGCTGGAAAGTCTCAACAATAGAACTGAACAAGTAGAAGAAAGAAATTCAGAGCTTAAAGACAAGATCTTCAAATTAACCCAATGCAACAAAGACAAAGAGAAAAGAATAAGAAAATATGAACAAAGCCTCCAAGAAGTCTAGGATTATGTTAAATGACCAATCTTAAGAATAATTGATCTTCCTGAAGAAGAAGAGAATTCCTAAAGCTTGGAAAACACATTTAGGGGAATAATTGAGTAAAACTTCCCCAGCCTTGCTAGAGACCTAGACATCCAAACACAAGAAGCACAAAGAACGTGTTGGAAATTCATTGCAAAAAGATCATTGCCTAGGCACATTGTCATCAGATTATCTAAAGGCTTTACATGCATATGGACACCAAAAGCAAGCAGGGGTAGCTATTCTTATATCAGACAAAACAAACTTTAAAGCAACAGCAGTTAAAGAGACAAAGAGGGACATTATACAGTGGCAAAAGGCCTTGTCCAACAGGAAGATATCACAATCCTAAACACATATGCACCTAACTCTGGAGCTCCCAAATTTATAAAACAATTACTAACGGACAAGAAATGAGATAGACAGCAACACAATAATAGTGGGGTACTTCAATACTCCACTGACAGCACTAGACATGTCATCAAGACAGAAAGTCAACAAAGAAACAATGGATTTAAACTATACCTTGGAATAAATGAACTTAACAGATAGATACAGAATATTTCATCCAACAACCACAGACTACACATTCTATTCAACAGCACATGGAACTTTCTTTAAGATAGACTATTGATAGGCCATAAAACAAGCCTCAATGAATTTAAGAAAATTGAAATTATTTCAAGCACTCTCTCAGACCACAGTGGAATAAAACTGAAAATCAACTCTAAAAGGAACCTTCAAAACCATGCAAATATGGGGAAATAAATAACCTGCTACTGAAAGAACGTTGGGTCAAAAACAAAGTCACGATGAAAATTAAAAAAATTCTTCAAACTGAACAAAAATAGTGACACAGCCAATCAAAATCTCTGGGATACAGCAAGGGTGGTGCTACGAGGAAAGTTCATAGCCCTAAACGCCTACATCAAAAAGACTGAAAGAGCACAAACTGACATTCCAAGGTCACACCTCAAGGAATTAGAGAAACAAGAACAAACCAAATCAAAACTCAGCAGAAGAAAGGAAATAAACAAGATCAGAGCAGAACTAAATGAAATTGAAATAGAAAACCACTACTAAAAAAAAAAAAAAAAAGAAAAGAAACAAAAAGCTGGTTCTTTTAAAAGATGAATAAAATTGGAAGGACATTACCAAGATTAACCAAGAAAAGAAGAGAGACAACCCAAATAACCTCATTAAGAAACAAAATGAGAGATATTACAAGGGAGTGACACCACTGAAATACTATGAACATAAACTAGAAGAGATGAGTAAATTCCTAGAAAGACACAACCCACCTAGTTTAAATCAGGAACAATTAGATATCCTGAACAGACCAATAACAAGCATTGAGATTAGAATGGTAATTAAAAAATTATGGTAAATAAAAAATTACCAACAAAAGAAGTCCAGGACCAGAAGGATTCACAGCAGAATTCTAGCAGACATTCAAAGAAAAATTGGTACCAATATTTTTGAAACTATTCCACAAGGTAGAGAAAGAAGGAACCCTCGCTAATTCATTCCATGAAGCCAACATTACCCCAATACCAAAACCAGGAAATGACATAACCAAAAAGGAAAACTACAGACCGATATCCTTGATGAACGTAGATGTTAAAATCCTTAACCAAATACTAGCTAACCAAATCCAACAACATATCAAAAAGATAATAGGTTTCATAGGTAAAAGCCCTATTTATATTTAGGGTAAAGAGGGACACGGAGACTATGACATCCCTTCCCAGTGTAAGAGTTGCAGTAACAAAGTGTTTCTCAGTGGAGGATAATTCTTCTCAGCAGAACATTGTCAGCTTCTGGAGGGCCAGTGGCATGGCAGCAGGGCTAAGAAGCTGGAGTGAAAGCACTAGATACTCTACTTCCTGAGCAGTGGTAGACTATTCCCTCCAGAATTTCAGAAAAAACAAAAAATAGGGACACTTTGAGGAGAAAGCTAATTTCTGATAACAGCATCATAGACTTACACTGACGTAGTTGAGTTACAAATGTAAAATGATTGGCAAAATGTTTAGCACACAGGATGCAACATGTGGTACTTTCCTTCCCTCTCTTTTACAGTGAAATTTTCATCTAAATAAGTAAGTAAATAGATTAGTGGTCTCCACTTTGGCTCCTGTGTTCAGCTACAATTTCTATTTAGAATAGGTAGACACTTTTATCTGATTGGTGTAATAACTTGGCTAAAGCTGTGGTGTGTTGGTCATGCAGAATAGATTATCCAGGATGCCGAAGGAATGGAGCTTTGTATTTGGGGCTTTGCTGACTGCCTGATTATTCTACAGACCAATGAAGAGTCTCTGCATCCACAGCTATTACACTGCCTCCTGAAGAGGAGGCCAAATATCTTATAAATTACAAGATTCAAAATATTATTCAAAATAATCCCACTTGTCTTCAAATACACATTTCCTCCAAAAATTAAAACACACAGAAAGAAAATGCAAAACTCCACAAAATTTAAGAAACACTCCAGGCCATTATTTCAACTTCGCCGTGAACAATTCAGGGAAATGACAACCCAGGTGGTATTTTCCATTTGACTAACTTATGTTTTAGTACTTGGCACTTGTGTGTCTACTCCCATAACAAGCAACTATGTGGTGATTAAAAATTAAATGTTTTGCCTTGTTTGAAGAGCTGCTGTTCAGAGTATTGCATTGGAAAGCACTTACCTGAAAGGAGAGCTTATGTTCGGTTAGTGGTGGAGAGCAGAGTGATTTCCATTTGCTCTGTGCATGTCACTGGAGAGGTTCTAAACTGTAAATGCTCACTGTCCATTTATGGGGTTTATGTATGCAATTTCTGCAGAAATCGTCTTTGTAAATGGGAATGAAAATTATCCTTGCACTTATTCCACAGCCTTTTCTCATCTCCAGCAAGTGAAAATGAGCCTTTGGGTCTCAAAATATCTCCTGTGTGTTTGATTTTGTTGGGCAGATTTGAAATGATCCTCCAGCTCCAAAGTTGGTAAAAACAGAATGGTTTTCTTCTTATTAACTGAGCAACTGATATCCTTAAAAATGATGTCTGTATATTTCTTATTATATGACACAAATTCCAGGGAAAGACCACGGGAATTGTAGTCAGGCATAACAACCTTTTTTCTCTCTCTGCTGTTTACTGGCTGGATAATACAGGGTAAATTATTTAAATTCTCTGAACCTAAATTTTCTCATATATAAAGTGAAATTGAAAATATTTTTCCCAAATTTCTGCTTCCAGAAAATGTGGTCCACTAACCTAAAACTTGAGAGCATGGTAGTGTATATAAAACAAAATTCTAAGCCTGACAACCAACTGATTGGACCCTTTCTCTCAGTCAAGAGCGTTCCAAAATTAACCTGAAAAATCAGTTAATGTCATAATGTGAAGGGGGAATCAGACACGCCTTATACTCTCCATCCTTTGGAATTCAAGCACAGCTGACCAGTATCAGCATTAAAACAGAGATCTTAAGACTAACAAAACAGACTATTTGTAGCAATAAGATACACAATTCCAACCGAACTCTAGTATAGCATCATACGACAGATAGCAGGCCCTGAAAGAAATCAAAGTATTTCACCCCAAAATATATCTTACTAAGTCTTTTCAGGAAAGTCAGGCACCTTTTAAGGTCTGATAAAAAGACATTTACCATTTACCATCCATTGTCTCTGAAGTCTTCTCCCTAGAGGCTTCACCTGTATAACAAGAGCCTTGGTTTCCACAACCCTCCTTATCTTAACCCTAAGCATTTCTTTCTGATGACTTCAACTCTTCAAACAAAACTTAACTCTTTCAACCAACTGCCAATTGGGAAAACTTTGAATCCACCTATGACTTGGAAGCCAACCTGCCTCCTTTAAGATGTGTCACCTTTCTAAACCAAACCAATGTACACATTACATGTATTGATTGATGTCTGCCTGTAACTTCTGCCCCCCATCCCTTAATGTACAAAATCAATCTGTGACCTTACTTCCTTGAGCACATGTTCTCAGGACCTCCTGAGGCTATGGTGTGGGCATTTCCTCAACTTTAGCAAAATAAACTTTCAAAATTGATGGACACTTGCCTGAGATACATTTTTGTTTAAAGCACAAAGAGGAGATAGAAAAAGAGAGATGAGAGTAATGAATGTAAAATCTGGAAGAAAATATTGTGGAGACAGAAAATGATTGAGTCCCATTGAGGGGAAAGCATCTGTCTTGAGCAAAAAAGATCCTGACAGATGGTCAGAGAATATGTTGGGAGACACTTTTCATTGTGACTTTTTTCTCCCCAAAATTTTCCATAATAAGCCATTTCTCATCCCTTGACCCAACATGGTTGGTCTCTGGAACAGGAGCACTGTTCACATGCTGCTCAAGAATGGTGGTGGTAACAGCAGAGCAGCTCTTGAGACTGGTTGGTGGAAAATAAGTATCAATGAGGGTATGCAGGACAGCTCATCTCTAAAAATTACTTTGCCTGCATAAAACATAACTCCAAGAGCTAGAGGATTACTCTTTGGTTCTGGTTTTTATGGCAGCTTCATTACGTAGCCATGATTGATTAAGTGATTGGCCACTGGTAATCAACTTAATTTCCAGCCTCTTTCTCCTTTCCTGAGGTTGGAGGGTGGGGCTGAAAGTACCAACTCACTAATCACACGGTTCCCCTGGCCACCAGCCCCTTCATCCTTAGAGATTTTCCAAACGTCACCTTATTAACATAAACTCAAGTGTAATAGAATTGGGCTTGTTATGAATAATAAAAGACCCTCCTTTAAACTTTATAATTTTGAAGCTATTTCAGGAATGGGAGAAAAAACAATTATTCTTTGAAAAAAGGTATTCCTCTTATTCCTATAACTCAGGAATTTGCAAGAGTTTTACAAGTTCTGTGATGGGAACCAGGGACAAAGACCAAATATCTGTTTCTTATATCACAAGTTTTCAAAAACCAATTAATACATTATTTATTCATTTATTCATGTATAGATAGATGGTTACTGTCAAAAATAAACACTTTGTGTTTATAGGTAATGCAGCAATTACAATATATAGGGCACGAATGAAGCTTCACAGGTGTCAAGACTCGAAATCTTATAGACTAAGTTCTTTGGCCAGAATGCAATACAATTGGAAATCAGTGATAAAAGAGCCACTTCAAATTTTTATTTTAGACAATTAAGTAAGAAATCAAAGAGATTTTGAAAAGTATTAGAATATTATGAGCTGTTATATGATACTATATTTGAAAACTTAGCTGAAATGGTAAATTCCTATAGAAACATGAAATTTCAAAAATCGTTGATAAAGTAAAGAGCATAAAACATTCAGTATGTGTTAAAGTAATGGAAATGGTCATCAGAAGAGCAACAAATAAGTTCTACAAACTTTCACAGAATAGCTATTTATTAACTTACAAAAGTTGTTCCAGGACAAAAAAATAAAGCTTTCCCAGCTCATTTTATGAAGCAAGGGTAATCTTTATTCCAATATACATAAGGTTTCTAAAAAGCCATTCTTGAGGGTGTGTGGCCAATATGCTGCTTGTTCAAGATTAACTGAGGGATTAGCAAAGAAAGCTCAGAAATATAATCATGTATTTGTAGCAGATATGCTAAGTGACAGAACTGGAATGCCCAGTTAGTAGGGAATATGTAAAGGATAAAGGCCACTAAATGGAGAAAAGTTACGTTCAATTTCTTTCATTCAATATATAAATGTTAACTCCAGAGTGCTTAAAAACCTTAAACACTATCAAGCTAAAGTAAGAAAATGTAGAATATCATTGAGCCCTGGCGTAAGGATGGGGGAAAGAGATAGTATACCAGATTCTCAAACAAAAGACTATAAAAAAAGAGTTAATGGATTGTATTACGGAAATATTAAATATTTCATTAAAGAAGGAAAGTATAGGTGATGTTAGCAAACATAGGGCAGATTGAAATGAGGGATTTGCAGCAACTAAAACCAATTAAAAGCCAATCTGTTAAATATGGAAGAAATTCTACAAATCCATAAGAAGAACACAAGGAAATACAGAGAACAAACCTAAATATCTAGAATTATATGAAAAGATACTCATCCTCACCAATAGAAAACTGCGATATTGCCTTATACATATTAGGAGATGCATCTTAGGAAAAAATAGAGCTTTGAATTATACCAAGCATTGTTATGGATGGAGTGGTGTGTGTGGCAGTGACCAGAATGGATGCAAACTGATAAGGTTGATCTGGAGAGCAGCTGACAGAAGTTACATTGCATATGTGTACACCCTGTTACCAACAAGCCCATTCCTAGGTTTATATTCCCAAGAAGTTAATGAAAAATCATGTGTGAAGCTCATTCTTTTTATCACTGTTTGTGATAGCTACTGGTTGTAGCTATCTCTACATTTATGTATCTCTAAATACATAAAATATGATTGATGTATTCAGTGTGGCAAGCACTTAGGAGCAGTCAATTAGGTGTACCTGTGACCACATGAAGATTACTTAATGCTACCACGTTACACGCACATACAAATAGGCTCCATGGCACAATGTCATTTACATATACTAAAACACATACAAAAACCCAACACTCTTTTTATAAGGTTATATACAAATCCAAAGACATGTAACAAACACATTAGATTGGGTGTCTGTGTTGGAACATAGAACAGGATTGGGGGTCAGGAAAAGCAAAAAGAAAATAAAAGAGAATGAGGTCTTCCATGAACTAATGATAATTATGTGCCATAAACTGGAAGTTATACTTAATTAAACTCTATAGCTGAGACCAAATAGAAAGAAAAAAGTGTGCAGCAGCAAGGAAATGTTTAAGTTAACAATGCTCAACATATTTGTGCATCTCTGCAGTTTAGAAAATTGAAATTTTGAAGGGATTGGTTAATACCATATTCATTTGCTTTTTGTTTGGTTACTTTTTATCTCAGTTCCTCCTTAAGGAGAAGAGCTTAATCCTTGCTGTGAATTTCTTTTGTATTATTTGGGCAAAATCTTCAAGTGTCTTAATAAATATATGATCTTTCTTTAGTACCGGATGGGTGGGAGGTTTTTTTCTCTTTCTCATATTCAGCTCCATGTTCTTTCCAGCAGATGCTGCTATCAGAGCGTGATCCTCAGTTTTCATAAAAATGCACACACTTACAACAAAAATTGACCACACTTTGGCAGCTTATGTATTAAGTGTTCCTACCACACTGCGATGTATCAGTGGGCAAACACTGCATTAAATGAGCTATAGCAAAGCAATCCAGAAGAGAACTATGTGGTCATTAGAATGATGGAAATAACTTTAACAAGACGGTGACTGCAACAATATGAGTGGAAACAATGCCCAAACAACAATATTCCACGTATAGTATTTATAGTAAAAATACGTTTGAAAGAAAATATGAAACACGTTGGTAATGATTTTTCACTGTGGTGAGAAGATTGGTCCTGGCTGTAACAGAAACCATCAGTACCATCATCCCCACAGCCCTCCAACCCTTCCCTGTGCTTCGCAGTTTCCAGCTGCCAGGGTCGGCATCTTTGTGCCTGAGGGCTTTGGAAAGCCTCTCTGCTGATGTGCCCATACACCAAGGAATTGACACCTCCTGGGGGCAGCCCTCAACAGAGACCCATGGGAGTTCATGTATAACACCAACAGAAAAACAATGCAACATAAAAAATTGTGCTGTGACAAATTAATGATTCCCATCAGTGTGACTGACAGAGTTTAAAAATGTTTACAATATGACTTTCTGACTTCCTCAGGTGGTGTCAATTCCTAAGACAAACACCTTGTAATTCATTACAAATGCAAATATGTCAAACATTGTTCTTTGAAAATAAATAAATAAAAATTGATATGGTATTAAAATACTGCTGTTTTTCCTGTCTGATACATAAAGAAAATGTAATGTGAATACTTATAGTTTCCAAGAGTATGTGGAAATTGACATTCACATATACTTTGGTACGTAAGTAAATTTATAGCAAAATAATTTAAAATATGAACAACTATTGGTATGTTTATTGTGGCATTATTTGTAATATCAAATTAGAAACAAAGTAAATGTCCAACAACTAAGGTTTTAAAAAATGTGTTACAGTTGCACAACAATGTACTTAATGCCATTGAGCTGTGCACTTAAAAATCGTTAAAATGGTAAATTTTGTTAGGTATATTTTATCACAATAAAACATGTATTATAGTGCACCTAACAAAGAAATGAGTTATTAAAGATGATATCGCAAAGCATTTTATCAATGGAGAAATGTATTTCTATGTGTGTGAATCATGCTATAAAAATGTGCTTAATATTTACATTGTATATTATTTATGTTATATATATGTAAATGCATATCCATTTATATTTATAGACATTGAAAAAGGTTACATTTTAACATACACTTCATGTAATTATAGTTCTTCACACATTTTTCTTTTGCTTATTTAATTTTTTTCAATATTTCTCTAATAAGCCAATCTTACTTAAGTTAAATGAAAATGACCCTGTGATCTCAACACTTTGGGAGGCCAAGGTGGGTGAATCACTTGAGTCCAGGAGTTTGAGACCAGCTTGGGCAACATGGCGAAACCCCACCTCTACGAAAAATAAAAAAAATTAGCTGAGTGTGGTGGTCCAAGTCTGAGCTACTGAGGAGGCTGAAGTAGGAGGATTGCTTGAGCCTAGGAGGTAGAGGTTGAACAATGAGCCAAGATGATGGCACTGCACTCCAGCCTGAGTGAAAGAGACAGGCCCTGGTTTATTGATTTTTTTTTTTTTTTAAGAAAATGACCTTGATGTGGAAACATTTGGAATAACTTCACAAATATGTTCTTGGGTGTCTAATCCAAACCCGAGAATCAATAATGCTTATAAAATGGGAGAAATAGGGCGAAAATTTATTTTTCTTAAATTTTTCTTTCTCATTTCTCTGATTCAAACTTTTTGACCTACTTTTTTTTATGAATAAGAAGCAATTGATTTAAAATACCTTAATTTTATCTCATTTCTTAATTACAAGGAAAACATAGGCTGATTTGTCCATTTTTATTTAAAGTCATTCTCAGAAGGCTTTCTGTGCTTCACATTTAAGTCACTTTTTACCTGATAATATTATTTATGACTATGTTTTCTTCTATTGGGTTGTAAGTTTTATGAAAACTGCATTCTGGCTAATTTATTTAATGTATTTCCCACAGTGTCCAACTAAATGTGTGTTTGTACATAATAGATTCTTAGTATATTTGAGGGATAACAAATGGCAGTAAATTAACCTTTTCTTTTTCTACCGTTTTTTTCCATTTTTTTAAAAAAACATATGGGGCCTTAATGGGTTCCTCCCTTGTGTGTTTCTGTTCCTTTCACTCAAGCTCCCTCCTCTCCTCTATTAGAACCATTTTCAGGTATTTTTCCTCTCTTAGGGAACATGTAACATTCAATGGTTAAGATTTATGGAAATGTGCCCCCCAATATGGCTACATGCCCATTTTGTATGGTGTGAAGACCATAATTTTATAAGCTAGCCATTCCATTATTGGACTGCCAAAGCTATTAATATGTTCTTTCTAACACGTGAGCTGCATTTTTTTCCCCCATGAATCTAGCCATTGAATCCAGCTCTGCCCCTACTGAAACGGGGAAAGGGTATGGTCTCTCATCTACATGGCACTCTATGGTTGAAGAGCATGACCTGGGTTCCTCAGAGGCTCCTTTACTGGGCTAGGTGGCCCTGGGTTCTCACATAGCCCAGTTTTCTGGACCTTGCACTGTGATGGCTGTTCATGACCACACTGTTGGTTAGCCATGGTGCTCCCAAGACAGGGCACAGTGCTCCTGATTTAACTAGCCGCAAACAGAAGACAGGGGGGCTTTGCCATTTTAGAGATTATAATCCTATCATAATCATCTAAGTGCTTTGGCTTTATTTCAGCAAGTGTGGCCATTGCTCTGTTATGCAGATCTTATGCCTCTTTGTCCTGTTTCTTGATGTCCATTTATATTCTGAGTGTGTGTTCTCCAGCCCTGCAAGCTTGTGCTGCTGACTTCATAGGTAAGAATTCCATATTTTGTTTTTTTAACCCATTTGTTTTCACCCAGGTTATGCTTTATAAACATTAATTGATAATAAAACTTGAAAGTTAATTTTCTCTCTCTACGAATTTCCCCCACCCTAGCACTCCTGAATCATTGTGGCATCAGAACAGAGCTGGCATGGTTTCTATGGCACAGAAAACACTGTGGGAAAAGGGTCTATGCAAGACTTCGGGATGGACACTGCAGAAGTTAGGGAACCAAAAGACCACATGTTAAAACTTGCTCACAAAATATCACCACTTGGCAGTCAGAGAGAAGGGCCAATGCCAGTCTGAGGCACCGACTTGAGGTATAGCTTTATGTTAGCACAAAATTAATGCTGATTAACTTTATATTATAATTAATTCTTCAGTACATTATCTACTCTAATCTTCTCAACCACTTAGTAAGAAAATTTTGTTTATTTTCCCTATTCTACATTTCAGGAAAATAAGTATTGGAAAACTACGTACTTCCCCAAAGGATACTCTCAAGTTTTGGCAAAAAAGACGTCTTTCTTCTTTGCCCCATTGTCCTGTCTCTGTCCTTAGGGAAAGAAACATGAAGAAATGCTCCCTGGCCTTTTAACTGTTCTTGTGGTCACAGCTCCCAAAGAGAGTAAGGACTCCTAATCTGTGTGGACAGAGCCTAAATTTCTGGGTGATGTTTCACTAGGCTGCAGAAAAAGCAGGTGCCCAACCTCCACGTTCACTTCCTGCGTGTGTCTCTCCCCAGGCTTCTTGCAGTTTTGGGCTCCATGAGAAAAGCCAGAATGGGGGCCCCATCTGTGCAGAGTGCAGCCAAATGGGCACTCTCTGCTCCAGATTCCAGACCTGCTGGGACAAGGTCTCTGACTAACATGTCCACTGGCCGTTTGTCTAGGAAACAGTTTGTGTATCTACTAGGTTGGTGCAAAAGTAACTGCAGTTTTTGCCATTTAAAGTAATGGCAAAACCATTATGTAGTAATGGCATTACTTTAAATGGCAAAAACCGCAATCACTTTTGCACCAACTTATAGCTCTTCTAGATTCAAGGGTGACAAGTAGAATGCTTTACATTGATTCCTGAACCTTAGCCTTGAGTACTGATGGGAAGAGATCTGCTCCAGATGGCCATGGTGTTGTAATCAAGGTCTGGCCCAAGTACTAAGAGAAAGTAGGGTTTTGTTTTTGTTTTTGTTTTTGTTTTTGTTTGTATTTTCCAGTTTCTCTTTGGCTGTTGTGCTCATGTCCAGGCATAGGTAATGTCTGAGCGAGTACAATTTCCTCTCTGTAAAACTGTAAAGGAGTGAGTAGTAGGTTTCTTGTCCCAAAGCCACTGCCTTATATTCTTAACATTAACCTTATACTCCAGGTGCCAGCCTGTCCCAGGTATAGAGGCATGGGGCTTAGTTGATTCATGCAGGAAGAAATCCTAGGTAGTTTCTTGGAAATCTTCTTAGCTTTAATTAATCCAGGGAAAATCTCCATGGATACTAAGGACTTTTCTTATCCTCTGTCTTAGGACACACATGTGTGGCTTAAGTTCTGTCTAGTTTCCCCTACTGGGGATTTTTTTTTCAACTATCATAGGCATTAAGTCGGAAAGGACCCCTGATACACATACTGATTAATAAGAGAATAACAGACATTCATTAGCATATTATTTCATATATATGGGAGACACCCAGAGAATGAGTAGTTCTCAAAGAGGTGGCTTTGAATGTCAGCTTATAGAGCATCTTCGACAAAGTGTTCTTTGTTGGTGAGGAGTAAATTTATAGAGAAGTGACAAGAAAAAGGAAAGGGACCTGGAGTTTCCAGCCAGGGTAACTTGTGGGAAGGCAAATAACTGATAGATAAAGTCTGGTTAGCAAATGTTGTCAACAAAGATTCCTCTCCAGATGGTAAGAATCTAAAGCTGTCTTCAGTAGTTAACCTTTGTTCTCCCCAAGGGAGGTCAGGATACCCTTTACCTTTGTAAATCTGTGTCTTGTTTTTAGGCAAACACAGGGAGGGCAGAGAGTTTCTTGTATCTGCTTCAACTTGCCTTCAGCTCAACCCTTCATATTTCAGGGAGGTATATTCGGCTGCCCCTCTGCCATACTCCAGCATTCCTCTGCTTTTCTCTCCAATGTACTGCGCCTTTCTTTTCCATCCTATCCTCACATTTTGATGTAGTGTGTGTTGCCCCAGGCCAGGTAGCAGAAACATCCCCTGTGCAATCTCTCCTTACTCTCGTCAAGCTACACAAGCTTCCCTCTGTGAAATGACCCTCTCCTCCTGCATTTTATTTCATGTTGCACTTTCTGCTGGGCAGAAACCAATTTTGAGCCTGCTCCTGAGAGCTGGGTGAAGCCCTCCCTAACACTATGGGTGCATCCCAGTTCCATGGGTGCCCATGAGCTTGTGATACTGTATTCTGTTTATTGGTTTACCTCTGTCTCTACAGCATTACACTAGGAGTTTCTTAATTATTCCACCCTTTATTCATTCAATATATATTGTGTTGAGCATGCCCCATGTGCTAAGAGCCATGGCAAGGTCCCAGAGTAAAAAGGATCAAAACAAACAAAAGAATAAAACATGGTTACTGCCCTCAAGTAATTCACAATGTAATGGAAAATCCAGATTAGTGGACACACACACTGCGGCGATGGTTCAAGAGTCAGCTAATGTCTGTGAATCCCTGGAAGAGATGCGGTTTATCTGGATGAGAAGTGAGGAGACTCAGACTCTAGCAGATCACTTTACCTGGTGCCCTGAAAGGTTAGCAGTTACTCTCCAGAGGCAGCAGGCCAGGGATAGAAAGGGGTGGGGGGTAGGAACAGGAACCACGCACACACTGAGGAATGAGGCTGAAATAGCAGTGCAATGTCTTTGTGGCTGGTCAAAGCACAGGAAATTGGAAGCAATTCAGTGTGGTGGGAGAAGAGAGTATGGGGGGAGGGGCTGGGAGTTGAGGACATGTGGATTGGAGACAGAGGCTCAATTCAGCTATTCGTCTTTGCATCTACTCTATCACTCCACAAGGCATAGGCTCTCTTTTCTCAGTCTCTCTCTCTCTCTTTTTCTCTTTCTCTCAGCCGTTATTTTCTAATGAGCAAATGAATGAAGAATGAAGTAGACATTCCAAGGCTGCCTCCAAATGCCTCTTAGTAACATAAATATGTATGGATGATGGCTGTTGAAATCACCAGGAAAAAATATGAACATTACTGTTTAAGTCTCATTATTCCTTAAGTGCCTGTGTGTGTTTGCTTAATTACTTTGAATGGAAGCATATTTTAACATTGCTATGACATCTCCTACGGAATAAATGAGCTAAGAAAGAGACTTAAGCTGTAGACCACAAATGGCCCTTATATCATGTGAAGTTATTAATACCTGCCCTTGTTCATTGATTATTTAAGTAATTTATTTCCATTTGGGACATTTTACCTCAGGTATTCTAGTCTGTGCTAAAAGCTGCAGGAAAGTGCACCTGTCCGGCCTGCTTGGTGTGATGCACCGTTCTTGCACATATCTGTCCCAAGCTCTGGGGTCACTGGCACCCATTAGGTTCTAGAAAAACTGTAGGAAGGAGCCCAGTGAGCCTGGGAATAGGCCAGTGGGGAAGTACGAAGAATGAGAAGCACAGGGGAGAATTAGGGACGCACTGGAGAGTTTCTGCCACTGAATTGGACAAAATATTTGAGTTGTGTCAGAAAATCAAAATTGAACAAAAAATTTTGAGAGGCACTTACTCTGTTTTTACCCCTGGGCTAAACAAAGACATGTTTAGATATAAGAATATATTATAGGTAGATAGATAGACAGTCCCTGGCATTGTGGAACTTAGGGTTTACTTAAAGATAATTACTTCAGGCAGTATTGGAAATCATAGTGGTCAATGAAGATAGTAGATCTTTACTATGTGTTTTATCAAACTGCTCTTATTCATTCATTTCATAACATCGTAATAGCTCTCACGGAAAACAAATTTAGTGGGAATAAAATTGTTAGATAGTTAGGCAGACATGAGCAGGGCAGGAGAGGTGCCTTCCAACCCAGGAATGTCAAGTGACCATCAGGTGATGGTCAGGCAGTTGTTAAACTGTCTCTCTAAAATAAAAATTGGTCACAGCCAGTGCTAAGGAAAGTCTGTCTCCCAAAAGATAGAAAGTACTTGAAGTTGGTGATCTGCTGCTTCCTGATAAGATCTCAGGAGTTGGGCAAGTGTGTTCAGACATGTGCACTAAGAGGCAAAATGGCAGTTTAACTGGTATATGACCTTCCTCTAGGAACACTTGGCTGGTAAAGGAAGAACGCCTCAAGTGAGCATGCCCACAACATCAGTAAACCACTGGGCATGCGGCCCCTCCCACATGCTGGCAGGCCACTGAACATGAGGATAGCCCCTCCCAAGGAAAAATCAAGGGAGGAGAAATGCAAACACTGGAACCAAGCCAATGTGTAAAACCACAAGTCAAGGGCCAAACAGCACACTTAGATCTCTTAAATGTCCACTTGGCCCCCTTCCAAGTATACTTCCTTTCGTTCCTGTCTAAAACTTGCCTCAGTCTCTCTCTCTGCCCTATGCCTCTCACCTGAAATCTTTCCTCCAAGGAGGGAAGAATCAAGTTGCTGCAGATCCGCCAGATTTGCTGCTGCTAACACAATGAACTTTGTGAAGATGAGGGAGGAAAGAGATTTGAGAACTATGCTCTGATTTTTTTTATCTTGCCCAAATTCCTATTTAAGGGTCCTAGGGGGGTCATGCCCTACAAATCTTAAGTTCTCATCCTATGGGTTTTATTTAACTCTATATATTTTGACTTACTTTCCAACCTGACTCTGGCCATAAATTACAAGACAAGGAAGAAAAATAAAAATATTTTACCATGAAACATATTTCTTTGCCATATTTTGAAATGGCCCTGCAAAGCTGTTCTTTGTGGAGGAAAATGTTTCATCTGTAAAGAATCTCTATTAACATAGCTAGATCTTTTTCTTTCAGATGCTTCCAATCCTAAAGAAACCTCTTTAAGATTAACTAAGATTTGAATAGGAAACAATTTGCCATCTATTGTCTCTAAAGGCAGCCACAATAAGACTTCAAAAAACTTTGGCCTCCACAGTCTTTTATCTTACCCTGAACATTCCCTTTCTAAGGATCCCAGGTCTTTAGACAAACTCAACCAATTGTCAACCAGAAAATGTTTGAATTCACCTATAGCTGAGAAGCCTCCCCCAACTCCCCTACCCAGTTTTGAGTTGTCCTGCCTTTCTAGAACAAACAAATGTATTTTTTAAGGTATTTGATTTATATCTCATGCCTTTCTAAAATGTATAAACCAAGCTGCGCCCCGACAACCTTGGACACATGTTCTCAGGACCTCCTGAGGGCTGTGTCACGGACCATGGTCACTCATATTTTGCTCAGAATAAATCTCTTCAAATATTTTACAGAGTTCGACTCTTTTTGTTGACAGAATAACCTGAAGAATTGGACCACACTTAATGAGAAGCCGAATGTTTGGAAAGATTATCGATTTGTAGTTGACGTTTGTTTAATTCTAGGGCAGTATCCCACATAAAATAGAGAGAAGGATAATTTTCATGATTATCCTTAAGCTTAATAAGATCACACATGCAAAGTGATAGGAAAATTGTTGTTGTTATTTCAATCAATGTAGCTATTATACTTATGTCACTCAATAGAGAGAAACTGCATGCTTATGAAAGGTCATATAGTAGCTCATGGGAAGAACTTGAGCTGAAACCCAGTTCCTCTGACTCATATTCAAATTATCTTTCTAGGAAATCACACAATATACTCAGTTCTCTTTAAAAACACCAGAGTCCCCATCTTGTGCTCAGAATGTTCTCTTACACTCCCTTTGCTTCCTCTTTTCTACTAGGTGAAATAACAGCATCACTGGACGCAAGAAGGAAACCCTTACCCCAACCCCACTGAAATGATTTAGATGTCCAGGTAAAGTGTGGCCTCCCTAAAACGTGTTTCCCAAGGGTGACTGAAATAGCACCATTGAAAATTCAGCACTCTGGTTTCAGTGTTGACTTTTTCCTCTCTTTTCAAAGTTGTCTTTTGCTGTGAAACATAAATGCTGGTCACTTCATCAACACTTTATCATAAAGATTATTGAATTCATTCAAGTGACTGAGCCCTTAGGAATCCTTCCTGCCTTCAGGGAACACTCTGACATTTGGATAAATGTCTCACATTAAAGTAAGTAAATAAACCAGACACCATTTCACACTAGATCCTAGTGAGAAAAAGAAAGATTCCAATCAAAGGGACAAAATGGAAATGACCTCTCCCAACTTTTCATATGTGTAGATTCAGCTGGGGTAATCGAAACAATGGTTTTATCATCATGTTCCTTCCTTCCAGTTCAGGCCTGATAGGAATATCTAAAGACCTCTGTGGAATCATAGTAAAATGGGCAGATATTGGAGCATGGTAGTAATTATTGATTGAGAAAATATCAATGGCAAATATTACTTTAATAACCAGGTTAGTGAGTCAATCCTTGGGTTGAGACCATAAACCCAAATTCATCTTTGTTTAAATTATAGTATGGCATATTTGTATCATGTTGGAAAAGTCATTTACTTTGGTATAATACACAGATATATTTGGTCTTTGTTCTGAATTCCTGGCACCCAGTTCCTAGAACGCTTGGAATTTCCTGAGTGATAGAAATATCTTTTGTTATTCATAAGGAAGCTGTTTCCATCACACCTGAGTTTATGCTGATATGTGACTTCAGGTGGAGCCTTTAGATAGCCTCAGGATGGGAGTGGTCATCAGAAAGACCAAGTATTTAGGAGACTGGAACTTCTAGCCCTATATGGCCACTGACCTCCAGAAAATAGGGTGAGACAACTGGAGTTTATGCTCTATAAAAAGTCTTGAACAATGAGATTTGGAGACATTTTGGGGTTGGTGAACATGTCAATTTGTTCAGAGGTGGCACATCTAGAGAGGGCATGGGAGCTCTGTGTCACCCACTGTGTTATGCCTTGCCTTATGAATCTATTCCGTTTGGCTGTTTCTGAGTTATATCCTTTAAAATAAGCCAGTACATAGAACTGAAGAAGCAGGAGAGAATCATAGGAACCCCAGATCTATAGTCAGTTGGACAGAAGTATTAAGTGGCCTAGGACTGCAACTGGTGTTGGAAGTGGGGACAGTCCTATGGGATAGAGCCCTTTAATTTGTGGCATCTGATGCTCAGTCCAGGTAGATAGCATCAGAATTAAATTGAATTTTTGGTTACTCAGTTGGTGTCAGAGCACTGGGGAATTTGTTGTTGGTGTGAGAAAACACGTGATACCTTTCAGGGTTTCTCAGTTTATTTGTAAAATGGAAATACTAAAGTCTATTTCTTAGGTTGCTATGTGGATTTCATTAGATATCATAAATGAAGTGCCTTCTATTTTGTCTTTCATAGGGTAGTTTTTTTTTTTAGAAAAAGCTAGGTATTCTTAAAAGATTTTATATAAAACAGTTTTAGTTCCATATCTTATGAGAAATTTTTTATTGCCTAAATAGAGAGGCTCATAGCTCTGCCCCCATAGTTAGGATGTCTCAACCCTTGTCACTGACCTAAGATTCTCCAAGAATTCCAAAGACCCAGCTATACCAGGGAATACAGACCAGCAGCGATCTTTTGTTTGCACAACATTTTTTTGTAATTGAAATTATTTAAAAATGGGTCTATAGTAAGGAGATTCACATCGAAAGCTTTGATGATGTGCATCTTCTGAAAAACTAAAAGGTACTGCAGAGTAGTCTTCATAGTCACGATGCGCTGTGCTGAGGCTGCTGCTTAGAAAGGTGGGGCTTCTTCTCCCTGCTTACCCACGTGTCTGGCTGATCTCTCAGCTCAGCTGCAGGAGCTTGTTGGTCCTGAAGAGTGGTCTGTCTTTATTTGCTGATACTTAAACTTTCCTTCTTGAAAACTGAATCACTGCTATTTGGTGCACATTTTCACCCAGTCTGAGTGCCACCTTACATCTTTCATTCTGCATCTTGAGAATTCTGTTTTACAGTCAGAGGTGACAACTAGATCAGAGCATTGACTGCTCCCAATTTCGCTTTTACAAAAGAGAGCAAAGGAAGTGGTGATGTTAGGTTTGGGGGTGATGATAAAGTCAGAGAGGGGAACTCCCACTGAAGCCCACATTATGAAAAGAGCTGAACCAACTTGTACTCTTGATCTCCCCTTAAAAGCTGGTTTTGTACCTGAATGGAGAGAAGTGCAGATATTAGAGACCTGGCTGATGTCTGGTGCTTCATTGCCCTGAATAGACAGAAAAATGCAGACCCTTGGGAAGCAAAGTGCTTGACAGAGCTGAAAGTGAACAGCAGAGGCTGGGAGGAAGCAGGACCAAACAAATCCAGAAATCCTCCAAGGCTGTAGCCCTAGGCCCAGCAGGTGGTGGTCAGGACAAAGTAGGAGCATGTACAGTGTTGAGATCAGAGTCTTGGGAAAGCACCTGTTACAGGTCAGAGTGAAGGATGATCCCAGAAACAAGTCAGACAAGAGGCAGGTAAGTGAACAAAGTGATCACAAGTCAAGGGAAATGGTGAGTCCATAAGTTTGTCAGTAGCAATTTACTTTAACTACTTCATCTTAGGCCATATTGTGTACATGCGTATATTGGTTTCTTTCAATTGCATGTCAAGGAGATCTGCTCCTTTTTTTTTTTTTTTTTTTTTTGGTACATGTGTTGCTGAAGTGAACACAGATCTGCTAGCTTTTAATCAGAAAATCCACACTCCAGGGCTGGCTACTACAAGTTGTTTTGCTTTCTTGCTTACTAAATACTATCAGAAGCTATATTAATTAAGTATAAGGGTTGATAGATATTAGAAAGGTTGTTGATTAGCAATAATGAGCATTAGAAATGTGCTTACATTTTTGTGCATTTTTGATATTCAATGTGTGTGGATAAGGTAAAACATTTTGAAAACACTTTCTGCTTTTAAAGGAGCAGACATTAAAATCTAGTGTCTATTTCACCATATACCCTTAGCGATAACATGGAAGGTTCGATATGTAAATAATCTTGTGTTGTGCTGTTGCTTTAGAAGGTTATTGGTCACAGTATTCCAAGAGCTGATTTGCTGAAATACATAATGAGAATATTGTAACATTTGGTTTCAAAGAACTTTCCATGCAACACATTTTCAGAACCTCAAAACAGAATAGTGGGATTTTATTAAGGCTGCATGCTTACTTGTAAATTGTGTACATTTGTAGCATAATTCAGTCTTGGGCTTAATTTTATAATTTCCTGGAAGCTAAATAATGAAAGAGTGTTAATTCTCACCTGTCTTCAATTACTGGGCAGCACTGGTGAGATTCTCAAAAGAAATCTATTACCTGTGTGTGACTACAGTACTCAGGAACTGTATGGATAGAGAAGAACAAGAATGACCTGTGGATTAAAAAGACAGAACAGAGGTCCAAAGGGAGTGAGTGAGACGCCAGCAACAGGGACACCTTCTGGCTCAGTAAAAACACTTGTTCTGTGGTGGGGAATGGTTAGGGTTGCACTAGCTGTACCTTCTGTGGGGAATAGGCAACCTTGGGTATGGAAAATCACTGAGACAAGATTCAGGAGACCCAGTTCAGTGCTAGCCCTAATTGGTCATGTGAACTTGGGTAAGACCCTTATCCCCTCTAAGTCTTGGCTTCCTGATGGGTTAGATGAAGAGTTAAACAAAATATTCTTGGCTGGGGTAGCACAGTGTGGTGAAGGCAGTGAGATTTCGGGATCTTTAGTCTCTCTTACAATCTTAGGCTCACTCTGAATATCTAGGGCTTCTTGTGCAAGTTGTTTAATCCATTTAAGCTTTAATTTTTTTATCTATTAAATGCAGGCGATAACACCTATATCAAAAAGGCTATTTTTAGTATTAAGTAAAAGGTGACATGTGAAGTGTTTAAAAAACTGCTTAATAATGTTACCCCATTCCTCTCATCTTTCCCTTTACACTCACACATTCTACAATTCTATGAATTAAGGGGAAATGATTGATGGAAATTTGTGGCACAGGCAGAGATGGAATGGGGATGTTATTTCCTCAGTATTGGGCTTGAGTGATAGTAAACGATGAAGATAAAGTTCACTTTTGAAGTGGAATGGTTAAAGTACCATTGAGGGAATACATGTTTAACCTAATAAACTGGAGACCCATTTTGTAGTTGTATTCTACCCCATGGGAAGTGCAAGAGACACAGCACACCAAAAACTAGGAAAGCTCTACGATTACTAGTCGGGACTCTGGATCCAACTGGAAACATCACTGTGTGATGGATCAGAATTTGAAGCATGAGGAGAATCTGGGCTAGGCGAGCACAGAAATCATGCCTACACCACCAGTGGGAAGAGGAAACTCTGTCTCTCTGTATGTATATATGTTTGTGTGTATGTTTTTGTGTATGTATGTATATACATGCATATATATTATGTGTATATATAACATATATTTAGTAGATTTAAAAATTATGAAATTATGATAAAATTGTGGCTTCAGTCATCAACAATTCTTTGTTAAGTCATTAATGAATGACTTTTTTTTTTTTTTTTGAGACAGTCTCACTCTGTTGCCCAGGCTGGAGTGCAGTGGCATGATCTCGGCTCACTGGAATCTCTGCCTCCCGGGTTCAAGTGATTTTCCTGTCTCAGCCTCCCAGATAGCTGAGATTACAGGAGCCCACTACTATGCTCAGCTAATTTTTGTGTTTTTAGTAGAGATGGGGTTTCACCATGTTAGCCAGGCTGGCCTTGAACTCCTGACCTCAGATGATGCATCCGCCTCAGCCTCCCAAAGTGCTGGGATTACAGACGTGAGCCTTCGTACCTTGCCTGAACAAATTTTCTTTTATAAAAAATTGGGTTGCTCCATTCCTTATTTGACATTTTATTTTAAAAAGTGATTTATTTATAATTATAAACTTAAGCAATATAGAGGATGCAAGGAAAAAAAACTGAAAAAGCAGAAATGAATCCCAATCTAATGAAGGGGAATTAGTCACCGTTAGTATTTGATAAACATGTAGATGGACATGTGGATGCAGAGATAGACCTGGAGGCAGATTGGCAGAAAGATAGATAATTAACTAGAGGTGTCTGAAGATTGGAGTTGGGAGGGGTATCATGGACTTGTCCTGGAACAAGTCTCTTTAGGTGACTCACCCAGGGGATCAGTGTGTCTCACAATATTGTTCTTTAAGTCACTAGTTCTCTCTGTTAGGATCTTATGACATCTGCTTTCTTATTTTTCCTCTTCCCAATTTCATTTCCAACAGTTTCTTAGCCAGAAGGTAGGCTGATAATAAGACAATGACAAGTGAGAGTGCTTCCTCCTTCACCTCCACCTGTTTTGAAAAGGAGTCTTGTATGTGGACATTCCCCTCTTTTCCTTGGTACCCCTCACCCCTCCTTGCGGCATCACATGGCTATTTGAGCACCATGAACCTCCCTTTCAGGGAGATCTAAATCCTGCCTAAGGTCTGAGTTAAGACTGCCTGTCTTTCAGCCTCCTACCTCACTTGTCCTCAATATAACTGTATTTGGCAAATATTCTTCCAAGTGTGAAATTTGGAGTTGGGGCATATTCTTGTTAGTGATGAAGGTGGAACTTTCTTCTTGATATTTTCTTGCTGCTTTTATAGATTTTAGCAAGTTTTTTGGAATGAGACATCAAAAAAGAATGGCTTTATTCAATGTTCTTGAGCCAGAAATCTCCTACCTGTGAAGATTCTGGTACTCAGATTTAATACAATCAAGTGTCTCTTGAAATTTTATGTCTTAGCATGCCTTTTATTTTTATTTTTGGGTGTGCTATACCTTATTTCAGCACTACTAATAGAAAAAAAAACCAACTATATAGACAAGAATAATCAAGAAAAATACCTCAAGGGCCAATGTGAAAAGATTTTTAGTATTTTATAATTTATAACATTTTATAATTTAATTTTTCTAAGTAGTAAAATATATTTAAAATCTGTGTATTTTTAAGAGGAAGTTCCAAATGAAAGAAATATGAAACAAACAAAGTTAGACATGGGAAGGAAAATGATCACCCCATTGCTATGTTCATCATGTCTTATTCTCACTATTTTAGGAGTGTCAAGGTGGCGTTTAGGCACCGTGTGACTCCTTTACCGTGAATCACCCTCTGCAACCCCCAGGTGCAGGCTGCTAATTATTCTCTTCAAATTTTCTCCAGGAGTTCCCTGTTTCTCTGTCTTGGATATATATTTGGCTCTGCATGGTAGACCAGGAGCACCAGAACTGAGACATTAAAATCTTTTGAGTTAAATAGTATTAGGAGATTATTTTCACAGGCGCCTTTAAAAATAGATGTATCCAATTACTGTAATTCTAATTTTTCAAATGCTAGTCCTTTTGACAAGTTGCAGCTCTGTTTACCAGCTCTTGTAGGAGTCTCATGATTTCCCCCAAAAGAGCAGCATGAAGCTGAAATTGTAAGTTTATCAAAGCAAATTGCATGCATTTTCCAAAGGCAAATTGCAGACCAAAGCCATTTGTAGATGAATAGAAAACTACATGAAAGAGAACACTCTGCTGTGTTTGCCTACTCATAACTTCAACCCAAATTACCTTTTAAAACACTATTTGGAAATCTATAGAACTTCAAAAGGGCCCATTAATGGATGTGTTGAAAATAGAACCCAACTTCTTCAACTCCAAACACAGAGTTTCACTATTCAACAAGGAAGTTTCCCAGAATAAGGTTTAAGCTTAAGTTCCTGAAGTTCATAGGCTAAAAATATACAAAGTTTACGTTGTAGTTTCTCATCACTGTAAGACTCACCACATATTCAAAAGACCATTAGGAAGTCCTGAATGTATACTGTGTCCTACCCTGAAGAGGGCACAGTTTATTAAAACTATTATCATATATATCTAAACAAACTCTTTTACATAAAAAAGGTAAGTAAAAATATTATGTGGATTAAGGGATAGAGGGTTGAAAGGACTATTTCAACGGCTTTTAACAAACTCAGCAGATTCAAAACTTGAATTCAGGTCTCAACTTATCTTTCAAGAGGAAAATGCTGAAAGTGTACAGCGAGTGTAACTTCGGGTTTCTGTATAATATTTAATGAGATAAATGCCTCCCTCCCTGTAGTGTGGGTTACTCAGCATTTGCCTTGCATTTTTATTCTCCAGCTTATTCTCTTCTGTGTCCAGAAGGCTGATTTCCATAGGGGGCATCAACTGCATTCCCTCCCCAGTTTCAATTTTGCTAGTAAAAAGCATCAGAGGGAGATCAGAGGATGAAAAGTAGAAAGATTAGAGCATTTATTCCTCCCACCCCACCCCAGCTTGAGTTCAGGTCTGACAGTGTCTGCAGCACTGGCACTATGGCCCTGAGGGCCACCTTTTTCCATGTCCAGCTCTTAACTAAGCTCCAGTAACACCAATGCCTCCATTTGTTCCACCAGGCCTAGGAGTGGCAAAGGCTCTTCACCCTTGCTAGTCCCTAGGTGTCTACATATCCCTTGTAGGTTGTTACCTCTTACCACGCCTTGGTAAACACTCCCCTCATTAAGAAGCTTCTTTGAAAAATTCCAACTAACTGAGCATGCCATGTGTTTTAGGCTGGGGTCCTGACACATACAAATTTGTGTATCTAATTTTAAAAGCTTATTTCACCTCCTGCTCTTGCATGCAATTATAGCGCATAATCTTGTGGTTAGAGATAAGCAAACACGCTGAAACTAAAATGCAAATGCACCCTGGAATACTGTAACTTAAAAGCTGCCACCAAAATAATTCTACAGCAGACAAGTCCATCCTGCACTTAGGAGATGAGTCTACGTATGCACACAGGTGCTTTTCTTAGCAAGAACTTCTTCTTATGTGGGTAACTCTAGGCCTTCTCTCTGGTGTGGAGTCTCTGTCTTGTTTGGTGGTCCTGATCGTTTCACTTATCATACCTCCTGCTGAACCTTTCCAGGCAAGGCAGTGATTCAGGAAAGACCGCTGACAGTGTAGAAAGTACACGGTTTTGTTTCTGCTGGCCAGCTAGCGGGGAATCCTGGTATTCAGAAGGGGAATCAATTCTTTCTTTTTGATTTAGGGATATGTTTGGCAGTTATTAATTAACATGTGTGAGAGATCCTGAGAATTTCAAACATTTATTTTTTAAAGGAGTCTAAGTTTAAACTTAACTTCATTATATAAAACTTCCTTCTCCTTCCTCAACCTCACTTCTTTGAATTATTTTACTTTAGAAATGGCAAGTTTTCTCAAAGATTAATGCAAAGCTCATGTCAAAATAGAGCTCTCTCTCTCTCAATTTTATTTCTACTATTTTAACTATTTCATCTATTTATTTATTTTTTTATAGTTTTCGTGGTCCATTAGTTCCATGATTTAATTTACTATTTTACTTTAAAAGATTTTCCCTTGCCAGTCAAGTAGTATTCCATAGAATACATGAGAGAATACATTTTTGAAGAAAACTGGTAAACAACCAATTAAAACTCTTTATGGATTTTCTTCCACATATAAATTACTATTCTATACATGAAATAATAAAAATAAGCTTTGGAATGAAAGTATATAAAAATGTCAATAGAAATTCTAAGTATGGGGTAATCAGCCTTGAGGTAATTGATAGTTGCCTATACTTACATGATTTGTAATCTGTCAATCATTTATTCAACAAATATTTTCCACAGCTCCTATACACAAAGCATTTTAAGGGTAGTATTAAAAACAAAGTACTTTCCCTTCCCTAAAAATCTTTATAATTTATTTCAGAAGAAGAGAAAGGTACTTTTTTTTTGGCAGACGGGGACAGAGTCTCTCTGTGTTGTCTAGGCTGGAGTGCAGTGGTACAACCTCAGCTCACTGCAACCTCTGCCTCCCAGGTTCAAGCAATTCTCCTGCCTCAGCCTCCTGAGTAGCTCGCACTACAGGTGCCCACCACTACGCCTGGCTAATTTTTGTATTTTTAGTAGAGACGGGGTTTCACCGTATTTGCCAGGCTGGTCTCGAACTCCTGACCTCAGGTGATCTGCCTGACTCAGCTTCCCAAAATGCTGGGATTACAGGTATGAGCCACCTTGCCCAGCCTCGAAGAAAGGTACTTTTTAAGGAAGTGCAACGATAGTGGCAAATAAGAGTTCCAAGCAGAATGAAGCCTCTTCCTGGTAGTGGGAACTGGGGCTTCTGGTCTCAGCCATTGATCAATTATCACTGACAGGAACCATGAGACCTGTGCAAATGAATGACTGTGTACAGTTCTAGTCATTGATCTGATCCTCAAAAAAAGATGTGATAAATGTGGATTAATTGAATAAGGGATTGTGTGTGTGTATGAGTATGTGTGTGTGGAAGGGAGTGTAAAGTATGCAACTACTTTGCTATTTGAAGATAGATTAAAATCACCTCCATCTCTTCCTTCAGCATAGAAAGACAAAACGTGGGAGAAGTGTGAATGCAAGTCTATTCACCAGTTTCTAGGATTTGCTCTCCGGGTTTGGTGGGTTAGGATGGGGATCAAAATTTCAAAGAAATATTGCACAGCCAAGAAAATAAAAGTCTAGTATACCTATTCAGTTGCTAGGCAGTTACTAATAGGTTGTTGATAATTCAACTACTGGTACGCTTAGGTAGGCTGAAATGCAATTAATTTGAAGAATTACGCAGAAAAAATCCTGGATGAGAGACCTAGAAGTGATTAAGGAAATAAGAGTGGCTCAGGCACTTCTCTAACCATTCATCAACTGTGTAATGGAACACAAGCAATGCTTTTCCTCAACCTTTAACAGAGTGGACTGCTGGGAAGATGCATTATGACACAGATCCAGGAAAGCATCATCTCTGAGTCTTTCTGCCTCTTTGTGTTGGTTGGGAGAGGCTAAAAGAGGTTTCTGAAGAGGAATGACCAGTGTTAGAAGAAGTGTAGCATGTGTGCTACCATTTCAGGGCATTATAGCAGAGAACTCAGAAAGGCCAGAATCTTGTACCAAACTGTAACCACCTCTTTTCCAGGTGAGACAGCCAGCAAAGAAAGACACATGAAGCAAATGGAGCCACACGTGATGATCATACTGATCTCTGCTAAATCAAGCTACAGCACACAGGAGTCCCAAAGCTTGCTGGGCCTTCTCTCACCTGCATGTTCACTCTTATTAAATTATGATGAGCCCTCTGACAAACTGTCATATTTGAAGGACCTTTTACCAGAGAAGAGGAGGGGGAGGAAGAGAGAAATCAAAAAAGATAAGCAAAAGGGCTGGGCTTGCTGTGTGATCACAGATAAAATACCAAACAGTTAAATAATGCTGGAGGGTGACCTCTTATGTGACCCAATCAGAGATTTGACATTTATCTCCTGAATGTGACATCCCATCTCATCAAGGATTTGGGACAGTGGGGATGAGGAGACACGTTCTCTCTCCCTTTCCTTGCTCAGCCTTGTTCTCTCTGTTTACTCTTTGGGCTTCAGTGCACTTTTGTGGCCAAGCCCAGTTTGTGGCCTGCCCCTTGCATGGCCATCTCTGCAGTATCAGTGAAAACTCAACAGCCCCTCTGTGTGGCCACACTTTTTTTCTTTTCTAAAAACAATGAGATACTTATATCCACCCCATGCAAATTCCTCCAGGATATTGCTCTTGAGTCATCCTTGAGAAATTTCCGTCTTGAAACATGTCTATCTCCATGTTGGGAAATTTAATTAGTACTCCTATTGTAGGGATTAGGGAAAGCACAACTACACTTTTCATCAGCTTCAATGATTTCACCAAAGGGCATTTATTTACTTAGTTATACCAGCTGTTTGTTCACCAGATACCGTCTCCTTTGACCCTATGTGCACACAAACCCACGCACAGCGGATGTTGACTATGAGAACTGATAATATCACACCCATTTTAGATACATCATTGAGGCAAAAAGGGACATTTATGGGAGATATTTTTCTTTTTGTTGTGGAAATTCTGACAATCTCATTTTATTTTCTCATTCAAATTATTAAATGATTCTCTCTCTCTCTCTCTCTGCTTACATAGGGGTCATCATTTGTTCTTTTAATCCATTTCAAGAGCATGTCCCCTTTTGCCGTATTCAGGGATGATTGCCCCCTACCTGAACCCCATCTTGCTCCAACAAACAAGTCATATAATCAGAGATCGCACTCTTAGTCAAAAGTCTGACCAGTTAAAGAATTAATTGCCTGCGCCAGGGAGTATGGAAAGCAAAAAAGAAACTCTGTTATGATTTCTATAGATGGAAGGAGAAATGCACTATTTGAATGATAGAGTTTAATTGTCATTATCTAGAAAAGATACTTCATTTAAACTTCTCCTTTACTTAAAATAAACACCTCAATGCTCACATTCCTGCCTGGAACATTTTTAGCAATAACTGCTGGTTGTCAATGACAACAATCATATTTAATTGTTCATCCTGACATGCTCCAGCACTCTATTAAGCACAGATTACTATAGATTGAATAAATGAATAGCAAAGATGCTGGCCAAGAGCTCTGAACGTATCAGTGGAAATAATGAATTGCATCATCCTTCCATGAAAATGCAGGAAGGGCCAACACAGGTCAAGAGCTTGTTAGAGTTTCAGGTTGTCCATTTTGACTGAATTAAAAAGAAAGCAAGTTTATTATGGATTATACATGTAAGCAGGGAGAGGATGAAGGTCAAATTTCTTGATTAGGTATTATTTAGCTATTTTACCATATCTCAAAGTTATAATTCAGAAATGAAATGAAGTGTATCTTGTTTCTTATATGAATTTTTAAAAGGTACACAGTAGATAGTCTTACTGAATTTTAGTTTAATTGCACTTTCATCTCAATATTATTATTTTATCAAGCCAGATAAGTAAATAATATCCTTTCATCAGGTATCAGAGCACAGTTGTAATATAAATGGGATTAGCATAATGAATGCCTTTGGAGAAAATTATAAAATGTCCTTTCATGCACATACAGTTTTATAAACATGACTTTCCTTTGTTTTAATTCAATCTCTGATGGAAATGCACAAATTTTAAAATTCTGGGAAGAACAAACTTATCTGATCATTTTTAAGTAATTGATAGATCACAGTAGAATTATGTTTTTCTTTTAAGTGATGAGGATAGAAAATTTGAGTTGTTTAATTAGACATGTGACTGAACCCAGACGTAAGGGGATCACTTTGGTGCCCTGGAAAGTACTTTGTACTGAATGGGGAAGTCCAGATATCATATTCTGGTGTTGGGCTAAATACTAATTACAAAACCATCAGACAAAATTATTGTTATTATTATTTTGCAGCAAGTGACTGTTAACATTGAATGTGTGTTATCAACTTAAAAGTCTATTCTTTCTTGAAAATATGTGTCATAAATATTTTCTCCTCAAAGAATAAACACACCTTTTATAAATGAGTTGATTTATTACTGAACTATCTATTTATGACAGCATGCTTCTTCCATTTATCCAATAATTATTTGGTTAACAATCACATTTCATAGGCTTAATGTTTTATAATTGTTTTGGTAAACCTCCTGAATATCTCTATGTGTACAGAAAGCAGGGAATGGGCATTTTAAGGGGCTGAGATTTGCAAACTGTCCTTTAGAAAATTTGTAACAATGTACCCAGCCCAATAATAAACAAGAATGTCTTTCCATTGACTATACCAAATTTCTACTTTCCTTTAAAGTTTGGCAAAATTATAAGAAATATTAAATTATTATTATTTATTTATCATTTGTTGTACTGATAAATAACCAATCCATCCAATAACAAATAATTTATCCAAATTATAAAATATTAATTATTATTTATCATTTATTAATAAATTATTTATTCAATAATAAATAACTCATCCATGTTATATATCATGTGTTATTTATTTTAATAATGAATAATAAATAATATTTAGTATTTATTATTTGATTATTTAATTTTTAAATAAATGAGTTTGCATTTTTAAATATATTTATTGACAATTTGTCAAGTTCTCTTGCTAATTTCCTTGCCTTCTTATTCCTAGTTAGACTTGCATGCTATTTGTGTTGCAAATATTTCTCAGTTGGTCAATTTTCCTTTCTTTTTATTATAGTCAATGCAAACTTACTACAAAAGTAGTAATTTTAAGGTTTCTCTGGCACCAGAATAAATGCATGCTAACCAATAATAAATGATACAGTATAATTTTAAAGTCCACACATTGTGTGGGAGCCAAATGGAACACTGTCTTCACAATGTGGGGCACAGTCTTTGTGAGGACAACTCCTCTATGCCCAGCTTCAATTATGTAGATTTTTGAGAGTGTCAGAAGTCTGAAGTAGGATCAGTGGATAGGATTCTATGGTCTTATTATTATTTTAATTATCTGGTGTTCCAAAAAGTGTTTCCTGAAAGTTAAACAATGAGAGTTGGTTTCCTTCCACTTTACTAAGTGGTGTTTTATTTTTTCCTTCTTAGACTATATGTATGATCTGTAATTATGCATGAGGTCAAATTGATGAGGGCTAGCCAAATATGCTAAAATGTCAGTCTGAGAATTTTAAGTGTAACTCTAGCAGAAAATAAGAGCAAACTTGTCCTACTAATACTGACTACCCTGGAGGACACCTGTACTTTAATGTCTAATGAATTGTTTTTCATTGAGTCAATTTTTTTTACATCAATGTTCATTGAATATTTATTCTGCATCAAACCCTGTATTCAGCCCTGGTTGGTTAAAGATTATCTATTTACTTATCTTCTATGTATCTATCTATCTATCTATTATCTATCTGTCTGTCTATCTATCTATCTATCTATCTATCTATCTATCTATCATCTATCTATTCACCTATCATCTATCTATCCATTTATCTATAACCATCTATCTATCTATATCTGTCTATGTCTATCCATCTGTCATCTATCTATCTATCATCTATCTATTGTCTCTATTCATTATTCATCTATCTACCCTATCTATCTATCTATTAGCTACATATTTAGCTAGCTGGCATCTATCTATATGTCTCTATCATCTATCTTGATATAGATATACAGATAGAGATACAGTTTTTTCCTCAGGAAAGTCAGTGTTAAATAAGGCTCTCAACTGAGCATAAGGATGAGGACAGGTAAACGATAGGGGAATCTAATTCAAATGAGTAGTTCAGGGAAGGCTTCTTCAGGAAGGGGATCATTAACACTAAAACTTGAAGGGCACATGCACTTATGTGTTATGTGGATAAATTACCAGGGGAAGTACTGGAGAGAACTAGAGAGAAAGAAGCAAGATTCAACATGGTTTTTTAAAAAAGCGTGATGTTAAAAAAAAAAATTTACAGGAAATTACCCTAAGTCAGTCAGTGTTTCTTAAGGCTGAGCATTAAGAGAAATAATTCTTGGGGATGTTAAAAGCTCAGATGTGTGGGAACTATCTTAGGCCTGTTGAAAAGAAACTTAATGAGGCCACAACAGGTCTGAAGCAGTGGCAATCTTGAAAAAAAACACAGAAAAAGACAGAGACTGAAGACCAATGCAAGCAATTCTAATTCCAGACCCAAAGAAATGAGATAATAATTATAATTTCTAAATAAAGTCAACTTTCTACTAATGTACAGAAAGAGAAACCCAGGGCAATATTTAAAGTGAAGAAATGAAAAAAAGATAACATATCTGTAAAACTGTGCATCTATAACTTAATTTTGTAAGAATAAATACTGCTTTTACTAGTAACTTAAAGAAAAAGGTTGTGATTTAGACAAATAATAAGGAAGAAGTAAATTGAATTCAGTTAGTGACCGATTAGAAATATCAAGTTTCTTGACTCAAACACCCTATTTATTTTTCTAAGTTAGAGTAAGGCTTAGAAAACAGCAAGTATGGTCTTAAAAATTATTAGCAAAACTCAGAAGTTCTCCCTCAAATCAGGAATTCCTCTCTCTCTTTCTTACTCACATGCATGCACACACACGAGCAGATTCTAATCACAGTGAAAAATACCAAGATCGATAAATATGCTATTCAGATATAAGAAACTTTAATATTTTATAATATTTGCCCTATATTTTTAAAGGAATAATAGGGTTATAGTTAAAACCTGTTTTGCATTACCATCTCAGTCTTACTTCTTTCACTTCTTCCCTTTGCAAAAAATGTCATTTTACTGAACATTAAATATTTAGATCTAGGTCATTTCCTTTAAATGCTGTCTGAACATTTACGTATGAATGTATTACAATTTATATACCCATTCCTCTAATAATAGAAATTTAATATTATTCCCAGTTTTCGATATTACAAAACATTGCAATAAATATCAATATTTGTATCTCTTTGTGGAGGTTATCAAAGTTCCCCTTTAGCGTTCCTATTTAGAAATGGGAGTTCTAAGTTGCAACAGATACTGGTGTTACTAAATCTCATCCTTTTCCTCTATTTTTTAGTTCATGTTTCTGCCCCCACTTGTACCTAATCACACTCACCAAAAGGGTGGTAGGTGTGGCTGGGTTTCTTGCCTGTCACTGTGTGATGGTTTGAAGCAGCTAATCCTTTCAAAAGCTAAATGGAATGCAAAGACTTAGCCCTATTTTAGAGATAAAGAAGGCTAAGTTAGAACACACCAAGTATGTTTTTTAGATATCATCAAGCAAATGGAATATCCATTATTGTAACTGAAAAGTCTGGGCTGTTTCAACTGAGTTCAAAAGCCACAGTAAAACATCAATTTAGAAGCAAGCTGTTAGAGAAAATATGCCTGTGAATGTGTATGTCTGTGTGTGTTTGTGTATAAAAATATATGATGTAGCTTATAACACAAATAAGTCAGCCTCCTACCCACTACACATGTGTGCACGTGTACACACAGACACACAGAAAAACATGCATTGTATCAGGGCTATTTGCAGACCACCTATAATATTGGATTATAAATTACTGCCTTTAATAACATAGTTTTGCCGGCAGCTTGGTAGGAAGTCCCCAGTAAGAATTAATTTGAAGGATATAGTTGCAACGTCTTTCTACTTTCCAAATATTTCCCTTGTATACTTCAACAGTGCCTGGTATTTCAACATTAGTGATTTATTCACTTGTTTTCAGGCACTGAAATCTCCAAAGGTCCTACTTTCAAAATAAAATTTTAAAATTTATAGAAGAAATGTATTATGCCACTAAGATCAGAATGATTGAATAGATCTAAAGCATTTATAACCATTTCCCTTTCAGGGGTGTCCAAGGGAGATAATAGAGTCATAGATTCTTAGTTCTGTTTCTGGTTGGGCCAGCGAAATACCTTCCTCATCCCTTTTCTGCTTGTCACTAGAGACAGAAACTAAAAGCCATGGCTCAGGCTGCCAAAAGCTTAAAACAAAACAACAATAACAATAAAATAAGGCAGGTTGGACAAGCTTGTGGGATGGTGAGGGTGTAACAAGTCCTGGAGAAGGTATGTTCCAATAGACAGCAGGCAAGAGTAGATGGGAGAGGGCTTCCCACAGTGGCTCACCTAGAACACATCTCTAAATGTCTTCTTTAAACACCATTTCCTTTCCCCAGCATAGCTGATAAACTCTCTCTATATTCTCACCCATCGAGGCCTCTTTTTATCACACTTCATTTCCTTCCTTATTCTAACTCTCTGTGCCCTCAGGTTCTGAGCTACTCCTGCCATGGGCAGCCCCTCCACACCCTCAACCTCAACAAGGCTCATGTGATTCTCTCTTCATTCCAGGGCAATATTTCTCAATCTTGGCATGATTGCCAGTTTGAGCAGATTAATTCTTTGTTGTAGAGGCAATCTTGCGCATTATAGGATGCTTGCTAGCATCCTTGGCCTCTAGTAATTAGATGTCAGTAGGATCTCCCCAGTTGTGACAACCAAAAATGTCCCTAGACATGGTCAAATGTGCCCTGGGGGACAAACAATTGAGAACCACTTTTCTGGATATAATCTCTATCTCATTACACTGGTAATTGCAATGCAGAGTAGTGTCAAACATAAATAATGAGATTCAGAAACTATGTGAAGTATAGTGTTTATCTGAGTGCAAAGCTTGAAGATGACCACCTGGAAAACACATACTCTAAAACAATGGGTCTTCGTTCCTAAGTGGATAAGTCAAGGTTTCATTTATATAGGGAGAGTTGCAACATTTTCCATACAAGGTCAGTGCATAGGTTATGGCAACTTGATAAGTTACAGATTGCCATAATAAAAGGAAGATTGCCTTGACATTCCATGAGGAGGGGTGATGATCTGAGTGGGGTCTTATCTCTGCTGCCACAAGGCCTTTCTTAATCATTTATAGGAAGGGGAAGAAGTTCCAGCTGCACACTATGTGACTCATGCCACATAGCCAGAATCCTCTCTGGGTTCAAAATGCCTTAAAGTTCCAACAGTTTCAAGTTTGAATTATTTAATTTTACAGTAGAAAAAGATGTCAGGAAGAGTACTGAGAAAGTATCTAACCCAGAATAAAGAGTTCGGAGAGGGATCCCTAAAGGATGTCAGAAATGTCAACGCATATGGTTGGGAAAGAGTTTTCTAGGTTGAGATACATCACATACGGAAGCCTGCTGATAAATGATAATGAAACATCAGGGGAAATATTAAGTAATTCAGAGTACCAGCAGGGAAGTGGTGAAATACTGCTGGAGGAGGTGGGTGAAAGGAACAGGATGAAGAGTGTTGTGTACTAAGATGAGTTTGACCTTCTCCTGAGGTCAAGAGGGGACCACCGAAGCATTTTAAACACACAAATAGTTTCATTTTAGTAAAGTTCTTCTGGTAGCCTGTGGAAATCAAAGTCAACAAACATAGAGACTATTAGGAGACTATTATACATCTTAGATAACATTCGTGTAATGTTTAGGGCAATGTGGTCATTGACTAGGTCAACTAGGTAAATCTTAGTGTCATCCTCTTTCTACATCATAATTTCAACAAAGCCATGGCTGTTGGCGATTCAAAAAGGAAATATCATTGTCACATAGTGAGTCCGGAAAGAAGGTAAAACATGCTCATGAGCTCTTACTCATATTTTTCATTGTATTTTTTTAGAATTTAATTTTTACTTATTATTTTCTCAATCTATAAAATTTGAAATTCTCACAAGCCTTAGCATGTAAACTCTGTTACTGTCTTCACACCTTTGGGAGATCTCATCCAGTCTCAGGGCCATAAATATAACCTATATTTTGTTAACTTTAATTTACATCTCTAGCTTGAATTCCCCCACTTAATTCCCAAAAACAACTCAACATATCAACTTAGATGCTTAATAGGGACCCCTCACAATCTATCAGTAAATTCTGAAAGCACTATAATTAATAGACATATACCTATACCTAACTCTCTCTCTCTCTCTCTCACACACACACAAATGGTTAGTTTCCAACATTATTTCTTCTTACTTTTTCTCTAAAACTGGTTACAGTGTGAGTTTCCATTTTATAATCAATCTTTACTCAGCTAACACTAGCTATTGCGCTTTATAGTTAAACATTAGACTGGCCGTTATGGCTTACTATTATGAGAATCAATGTTTTATTTGACACTTTGTGCCTCAAAGCTGCTTATTATTAAATTGTGGCAGCACTATTACTTCCCAAATGTGTTGGCCTCAACCTAATCCCCAAATCCTTGTAGGCACATGTCCATGGGCATGTTATTAACTGAAAGTACTTACTCACACAGCCTTACCAACTTTAAAAAAACAAGGAAAATCTGAAGGAAAAAAAAGTCATGTAATATTAATAGCACATATTGTATTATAAATTATTCTGTAACAAATAAGCAAATGTAAAAATGATGCTGTATTCACCCCCCAACTTAATCTTGTGTAGTGGCATACTGTGAAATAGCATATCTCATTTCCCAGTCTAATGAGTTATTGTAAATACTGTTTGGTCAAAATTACATGTGTATAAAACCTTAGGTCTCGTGTTTCTTGATATTTCTGTGTTTGAAGTCTGTGGTAACTTGTCATGGCAGCCTGAACTGACTAAGAGAGGACCCATTCTGATGCTATCAAATATTAACAAATAATTGAGATCCTGCTCCACTGAAGACTTCTTTGTCCTCAATTGTAGATGGAGGGAATGGGCTGTTAATAGAAATGATTGTAAGAAAGTCCAAAGTGGTTTGGTATGGTACATTTAATAATTTAAATCTGATTATGCTATTTTCCCTTTTGGTTTAACATGTATCAAACAAACAAAAAGTCATGTCCTGGTCATATGGTGCCTTAGATTTAGGGAAAAAAATAAAAATAGAAAATAAAAGAGAGGAAAAGAGATACCTCAATCCTTTCATCCCACTGTGCTTAACTGAAAGAACTGCATTTGATAACTTTACTTTGCTATCGTTTAGGAGACTCTCCTTAATTTGATTCTGTTCAACTTATCCAGATGCTATTTAACACATGTCTTCTGTAGAAGCTGTCTTACTTCCCACACTCCCTCCCACTTTTATACATTAGTCAAACCATTACCTCATCCCTGAAATGACCTCTCTCCCTGAATGCCTAAGTTTACCTACTCCTCAAGACCTCCTCCTATTTTATTTATATTATGCTTTTACTTTTTAATTCATGATGTTCAGTGTGAAAAAGTTGTAAGATTAAAAACATTAATTTCCATTTTAAGGAATTTATAGTATTCTAATCGGTAAAACACTTTCAATACAAACTGATATATTATACAAACAATAATATAGCCTTATACATGTATACTATTAGTATTCTAATTGGTTAAGCACACTTTCAATATAAACTAATGTATTAACATAGCTTATACATGTAATATATATATAAAATGTATAAGGCTATGTTATAATTATTAATACTATATTAAATGTATTAAGCAAACATAAAATAGCCTTATATGAGTAAAAAGTAGAAGCGTCTGGAGGGAATAGGTGAAATTCAGAGAGGAATGTTTAACAATTTTGTAGAATGGGAAATTAGGAGATTGGGAGGAGAAGTTCAGGAAGAATTCACATAACTGCAATGATCCTCCCTTCTGATACTCTTATCTGCCCTATCATTTGTGACATCTTATACATTGGACCCGCCATTTTCTCTGTGTACTTTATCTTTGTAATGAGATTGTGAATTCATGTGAAGAGCAGACATGAGTTACCTATTTTCTCTATTTGACAGAATGCGCTGCAGAGTTCCTATCATTTTTCTTTTCTTTTCTTTTTTTTGAGATGGAGTCTTGCTCTGTCACCCAGGCTGTAGTGAGGTTCCGCGATCTCGGATCACTGCAACCTCAACCTCCCGGGCTCAAGAGATTCTCCTGCCTTAGCCTCCCAAGTACCTGGGATTACAGACACGTGCCACAACAACAGGTTAATTTTTGCACTTGGAGTAGTGGTGGGGTTTCACCACATTGGCCAGGCTGGTCTCGAAATCCTGACCTCAAGTGATCTGCCCATCTTGGCCTCTCAAAGTACTGGGATTACAGGTGTAAGCCACCACGCCTGGTCCCATTTTGTTAAAGTTTTGACATTTTCTGAAATCTGGGGTCTTGACACTAATCCATTTTCAGCAATTGAAATAAAAAAATTACTTGATGACAGGGAAGGCAATAAATATTATTAACCAAAGTATTCTTCTAATGCACTAGAAAATGATGGGAAGGGCAGAGAATAGTCTCAAAAACTTTTATCAACTAGAACTGTGTGATGCAAATGCTCAGCTTCATATTTGCCTCAAATGAAGCTGAGCTATTCTCTTTGCTTTCCCATGTAGGGAGCTGGACTTGGACTACCCACAGCCTTTGGTCGGCTGATGGCTGTTTAATCACAAACAAAGAGATTCCAGGACAAGTAACAATAGCTTTTGTTTAAAAAGGACTTCATATGTCACAAAATTCATTATCACCTGTGCATTGGTTAGCTCAGGCTTCCATAACAAAATACTTCAGACTGTGTGGATTAAACAACAGATCTTATTTTATCATCGTTCTGGAGGCTGTATATCCAAGATTAGCCTGCCAGAGTGGTAAGGGTCTGGTAAGGGCCCTCTTCCTGGCTTGCAGATGGTCAACTTATCACTGTGTCCTCAGATGGCCTTTTCTCTGTGTGCACACAGAAAAGAGAGAGAGAGGGTGAGATAGACAGAGAGTTAGATCTCTGGTTTCTATTCTCATAAGAACACTTAATTACTCTCTTATGGTTTCCATTTCTAAATACAGCCACACTGGGAGTTAGGGCTTCCCTATGTGACTTTTGGGGAGACACAGACATTCAATCTATAACAACCCGTTACCACCTGGAATCCTCAGATTAGTAAAGAAGGAAGGACAAGAATTAATATAACCATTTGCCAATGAAGCACTGAATATCAGGGAGCTTACAGATTGTTCCAAATCATAGAAGCAGCAAATCTTAGAATTTTTGAAACCAGAAGTTGTGTGCAAGTGTTTCTTCCCCATGTTTCTGTCCATTACTGATGTTGGTGCCAACTTGGAGTTCAATGCAGAAGTCTTGTGGAATATGAGGGTAGGAAAGCTGGGTTATGTGCATTTTAGAATGAAAATGTGAACCATCTAGAATTTTATCTTTATCTTGGCTTTTAAAAAAAAGAATTTTCCAGATGCACTTAATGCTCTAGGAGGTAGGCAGAGGATTAGAAAAGAAGAATAAGACAAAGTTGAATGATAATGAGCTTCAGGGCATCAGAATAAGACCTCTGGATCTGAATGTTTGTTATAGGATACTTTTTAGAAAAAAAATGTGTTATTTTAAACCATGTTGTTTGTCATAGTGAAAGGATTATTTATATTCATTACTTGTTAACATTGGTCTTTTAACGTTTTTGTAGCTTCCTGTAAGCATTCATGAACAACAAAAATGTTTTCTTTTAAGAGAGTAAGAAACAAAAAGGACATGCCTATAATTCTTATTTTGAAATAAGATAAAATTACTTAGATACAAGGAGATATTTTGGGAGAAGATGTCTTTTACTACTTAATAAAATTTACTTTCTTCCTCAAAGATAAGAAAACAACAGTAATAGGAACCAGAACAAAACAACCTTCTTGATTTCTAAGAAATTGAATTAATTTTCCCTTCAATGATAATCTTTTTCATCCCCTTCTTTTTTTTTTTTCTTTTTTTTCTTTTTTTTTTAACAAGACCTAGCATCAGCTTTGGTAGAGCAACTGACTAAGGAGGTACACACCTTTCTTTGAAGTTAGGACCTTCTGGCTTTCCCTAGGTCATGAAGACATGTCATTTTGCCCAGCACCTACTTCACCTGGCTCAGAAGGAGGCCAATGCACACACTCTGAGTGCTTATCTCACTTTCCCTCCATTCTGCATATTCAGGCACTGTTCTTAGCAACACAGCCTTTTCCACAAGGAGAGTTGCAACACATTTTTCTCAGGAGGAGGGAGAGGGAAGTCGACTTTCCTACTACTTGCTTAAAATACTCAATTGCTCCCCAGTGCTCATGGGATCAGATACCCACTTTGTAAACTTCTCCAGGAGGTTCTGTGGGGGCCTGCCTTCTCTCCCTCCCCAGCCTCCATTTCATCGCTTCCCTATTCACATTATATGCCCTACCTCAGCAAAAGCCAGGCTGTTTCTTGACTTTTTGCTGGCTGCTTTGTGTTTTTGTTTTTGTTTTGGTAAAAACACATAATGTCAAATTTACCATCTTAGCAATTTCTAAGTGCACAGTACAGTATTGTTAACTATATGCACATCGTTGTGCAACAAATCTATAAAAATTCCATCTTGCAACACTGATATGATCTGGCTGGGCCCTCACCCAAATCTCATATTGAATTCCCATGTGTTGTGGGGTGAAACTGGTGGGAGGTAATTGAATCATGGGGGCAGGTCTTTCCCATGCTGTTCTCATGATAGTGAATATGTCTCATGAGATCTGATGGTTTTAAAAATAGGAGTCTCCCTGCACAAGCGCTCTTTTCTTGCCTGCTGCCAATGTGAGATGTGCCTTTCACTTTCCACCATCATTATGAGGCCTCCCCAGCCATGTGGAACTGTAAGTCCAATAAACCTCTTCCTTTTGTAAATTGCCCAGTCTCGGGTATGTCTTTATCAGCATCATGAAAACAGACTAATACAAACACTAAAATTCTATGCCCATTGAGCATCAAATTTCCTTTTCACCCTTTGCTATCCCCTGGCAACCATCATTCTATTTTCTGTTTCTAAGAGCTTGACTACTTTAGATACTTAAGTATCTCATATGAGTAGGATTATGCAGTATTTGTCTTTTAGTGAATGGCTTATTTCACTTAGCCTAAGGTCTTCAATATTTATCCACATTATAGCATATGACAGGATTTCCTTCTTTTTCAAATGTAAAAAATATTTAATTACATGTATATAACATATACCACAATTTGCTTATCTATTCATCCATCTATGAACATTTAGGTTGCTTCCACCTCTTGGCTAGTGTGAATAATGTTTCCATGAAGATGGTATGCAAATATATCTTTGAGACTTTGTTGTCAACTATCTTGGATAAATACCCAGAAGTGGGATTGCTGAATCATATGGTAGTTCTATTTTCAATTTTTGGAAAACCTCCATACAATTTTTTTATAGCAGCTGTACCATTTTGCATTCCTACAACAGCATGCAAATGTTCCAGTTTCTCCACATCCTTGCTAACACTCTTTGTCTTTTGTTTCTGAAAATAGCCACCCAGACAAGTGTGAAGTGGTATCTCATGGTTTTAGTAGCATTTCCCTGGTGATTAATAACATGGAGCATCTTTTTATGTATTTCTTCACCATTTGCATGTCTTTATGGAGAAATGTCTATTCAAAGACAAAAAACAAAAAACAAACAAACAAAAACAAAAAAACACACTAAATTAATTAATTAATTAATTAATTAAAAAATTAGCCAGGTATGCTGGCATGTACCTTGGGAGGCATGCTGATGTATACCTAATCTTCTCGGGAGGCTGAGGTAGAAGAATCCCTTGAGCCTGGGAGTTTGATGCTCCAGTGAGCTATGATAATGCCACTGCACTCCAGTCGTGGGTGACAGAGCAAGTTCCTGTCACAAAAAGAAAAACAAAAACTTTAAAAAACTTATATACTTTGTTATTTTTAATTTTAAAATAATTCTATAGCTTTTTTTGTGTATGTGGTTACCTTGGAGCTTACACAAATATCTTATTGTATTACAGTCTATTTAAAGCCGATAGAAACTTATATTCAATTATGTAGTAAGACTACACTTCAATTTTCTCCCATACACTTTGTTATTTTTATCATGATTTATATTTATTCATATTATGTACCTTTCAACATATTTTTAGTTATAGTTATTTTAATACATTTTTCTTTTAACTTTTATACAAGTATTAGAGCAATTTACAATGATTACAGTAACAGTATTATGTACTTGTCTACATATTTACCTTTGCCAACGAGTTTTATATTTTCGTATACTATTGTGTTGCTATTTTGCATCCTTTCATTTCAACCTTAAGGACTCCCTTTTGCGTTTCTTTTAAGGCAGGTTTTGTGATGATGAACTCCTTCAGCTTTTGTTTTTCTGTGAAAGTCTCTATCTTCCCTTTTTGTTTTAAAGAAGAGTTTTTCCAGATGTAGTATTCTTGATTATCAGTTTCATTTTTTTCTTTCAGCACTTTGAATATATTATTTTACTCCTTCCAACCCAAAAAGTTTCTGCTGAAATGTCTATTTATAGTCTCATGGAAGTTCCTTGTATATGACAAGTCACTCTTTTTCTCTTGCCGCTTTCAGAATTCTTACTTTGTCTTTTACATTTGACAATTTGATTATAATGTGTTTCGATGTGCATGTATTCATCTTATTTCGTGTCTCTGGGCTTCTGGGACCTGGAACTTACTTCTACAGATTTGATAAGTTTTAGTCATTATTACATTAAGTCACTTTTCTGGTTCTTTGTTTCTTCTTTTTCTGGGACTTCAGAATGTGTGTGTTGGTCAACTTGATGGTGTCCCATAATTCCTGTAAGTTTTCTTCACTCTTTTGCAGTCTTTTTGTCTTTATGCTCCTCTAAATTATTTCCAGTGATCTGTCATTGGATTTGCTAATCCTTTCTTTTGCTTGGTCTAGTCTGCTGTGGAACCTCTCTAGTAAATTTTTCAGTGTACGTTGTTCAGCCCATGATTTCTGTTTGGTACTTTTTAAGATTTCCCATCTCGTTGTTGAAATTCTCACTATATTTTTGTGTCCTTGATGAGCATCTTGTAATTATTTTTAATTATCTATTGGATAAATCATGTAAGGTTGGTTTCTGTATGTTTATCTTGTTCCTTTGTTTAGAACATTTTTACCTGATTCTTCATTTTTTCTTGACCCTCTATGTTGGTTTCTGTATATTAACAAAGCAAGCACCTCTCCCAGTCTTCATGGACTGGTTTTATAAAAGAGAACACTTTCACCAACAAATACAGCCAAAAATAATGGTGGCCTATAATAATTCTTTCCCTCCTGAGGAGGAATTAGGCAGCTGTGATTTTTGTCCATTTATTCTGTGTTGAGCCAGAGAGAGGGTAGCTATGGTCTACAAGCCCAAAACACCATTTTCATACTTCTCTGAGCAGCTTGACTGTGCTGGGCCTGCTTAAGTCAGCACTGGTTAGAAATGCTAGTTATTTTGGCATCCATGGAGAAAAGTTAGGGTGCTGGACACATGGATAAATTCTTTCCTTTCCTATGGAGAATCTTTCAGCTTGTTTTTTAAAACCTACTTGCTATGTGCTGAGCAAGGGGTATAATCACTGGCATCTACCAGGCTAAACTGTTGCCAACATTCTCCCCTGGGTGGTTGGACTGTGCCAGACCCATCACAGCCCCAATATTCATAGGACAGCAACCAGTTTGCTGAGAGCCCCCTTGCAGAAGTGGAGTGCTGAACACACAAACCAATCTCTTCTCTCCCTTGGGTGAAGCTAGAAGGAAGGGCATATGTTCTTGATCCAATGGCACTGTGCAAGGGAGGGATTTCTGGTTAGAAAGTATCCTGAATTTCCCTACTAGCTTCGACAAATCTGGTTAAGCTTTCTTCTGAGGTGCAGGAGTCTTTTAATTCGTTTGTGATTACTCACAGAGTGGGCTGATTTTTGAATTGTTGCTTAATCAGTGTGTTTGTGGGAGAAAATAGGAAGTCCAGGTCTTCCTATTCTGCCACTGTGCTGATGTCACCTTTTGCTTTTGTCTTGGTAACCAAAAAGAAAATACCTATAGAACATAAACATTATAAAAAAAAAAAAAAAGAAAAAAAAGAAAAGGTGACATCAGCAAGATGGCCGAATCAGAAGTCCTGGACCCTATCTCTTTTCTTCTGGGACTTTTATAATGGATATACTTGTTTACTTGGTGGGATAATATAAGTTTTTTATTCTTTCTGTCTTTATTGTTTTTCCTTCTGATCCCCTTGGTCAATAAGTTCAAATAACTTGTCTTTGAGTTCACTGATTCTTCTAATAAATGAAGAGTGTTTTTGAAACTCTCTAGTAAAGTTTTCAATTAAGTTGTTCTATTCTTCAGCTTCAGAATTTCAGTTTGAATCTTTTTTGTAGTTTCTAACTCCTTATTGATACTCTCATTCTGTTCATGCTTTGTTTGGTTGTCCGTCTATTTATCTTGTAGCTCATTAAGATTCTTTAAGATATTTTGAATTATTTTTTTAGAAAATTCACAGAGCTCTCATTCTTTAAATATTAATTTTTAGAGATATTTTTTCTTTTGATTGAGCCTTATTTCCCTGTTTCTTCATATGCTTTTTTTGGCCAGGATTTACTTATTTGGAAAAAAAGATCTAAAATTCTCAGGCCATAAGGACTGGCTTCATGCAGGGGAAGATCTTTACTAATTATTCTAGTCAGAGATTCTTTGGGCCTCTCAAATCTTTTCTAAAAATGTGTCTTCTCTGTGCTTGTTTGTGTAATTTCCTAATTACAATGGTATATAGGATTTTAAGAAAATCTCATAATTTCTTGCTCCTTCCACTGTCTGTCTGTGCTGCTGCTGGTTCTCTGGTGTTGCAACAAACCACTCCTTTGTTCTCAGTGGCTCTCAGGCATCCAATCTATTGCAGCTCATCATCAATGCTCTTCACCAGGTGAAACAGAAACCAGTTCCATAGACAGCTTCACTGAAAAGTCAGAAAATTTTATGTACACTCACACTCCACTCTTCTATTTCCCTCTCAAGGAAAAATTTGTGAGTTGGGCATGTTCTCCTGATTGCACTAATTGTGCTGGCTTGGTGGGAGGGCTGTTAGTGAAATGCAGCAGGTTTTCTTACTCATTTCAATATAGCTATTGTTTGCTCTGGGGTATTGTGACTTCTTAATTATTTCCAGAGTTCTCATAAAGACTTTTTGAACATATATTATTGTTAAATTTGTATCTCTGTTGGATAATGACTCTGGGGTTCTTAATCTACTATCTTGCTGATGTAACCCTTTTCAAAACTTCAGACTTTTAAAACACTTTTTATTGTGATAAATTGGAGACATTGTATCATTTACAGTGCATAAAAATTTAGAACAACCCATAATTATTCTCTGTTTTAGTATCTTCCCTTTCAATATTTTTCCATGCTTTTTATAATGTTGCTATTATAATGAACAAGCTTTATTTAACATTATATTCTAAGCACTCACCGTAAAATTATAAACTACTCATAGAATTATTTTAGAAGTTTTATGAATTCTGCTCTGAGAGCATTCACCTACATATATATATATATATATACAACTTTTTGCTGTTATCAATAATAGCTAATATTATTGCTAATGATACGATTCTATACCTAAAAATCTCTAAAGACTTCACCAAAAGGCTCCTAGGCCTGATGAACCATCTCAATGAAGTTTTGGGCTACCAAATTAATGTACAAAAATTAGTAGCATTTGCATACACCAGTAAGGTTCAAGCTGAAAGTCAAATCGATAACGCAAACACATTTACAATAGCCAGAAAAAAATAAAATATCTAGGAGCATATCTAGCCAAGGAGGTGAGACCTCTCAAAGACAACCACAAAACACTGCTGAAGGAAATCATAGATGACGATATCATTAAAATATCTACACTGCCCAATCTATACTTTCAATGTTATATGTACCAAATTACCAATGTTATTTTTTAAAAAAGAATTAGAAAAAAGCATTCTAAAATTTATATGGACTCCCAAAAGAGCCTGAATAAGAAAAGCAATCCTTAGCAAAAAAAAAACAAAGCTGAAGGCATCACATTGCCCAACTTCAAAATATACTATAAGGCCATAGTAATCAAAACAGCATGGTACTGTTAATAAACTAGACACATAGACCAATGAAACAGAATAGAGAATTCAGAAATAAAGCAGCACACCTAGAACCAACTGACCTGTGACAAAATGGGCAAAAATAAGCAATGAGGAAATGACTCCCTATTCAATAAATGATGCTGGGAAAACTGGCTAACCATTTGTGGAAGAATGAAACTAGACCACTCCCTCTCACTATATACAAAAAATAACTCAAGATATATTAAAGACTTAAATATAAGACCTCAAACTATAACAATTATTGAAGAACACCTACAAAATACTCTCTCAAGTATCAGCATAGGCAAAGAGTTTATGACTAAGTCCTCAAAAGCAATAGCAACCAAAACAAAAACTGATAATTGGGACCTAGTTAAACTAAAGAGCTTCTGAACAGCAAAAGAAACTATCAACAGAGTAAAAAGGCACCCTACAGAATGGGACAACATATTTGCAAACTATGAATGTATAAAGGACTAATATGCAGAATCTATAAAGAACTTAAATAAATCAACAAGAGAAAAAGAAAGTACACCATTAAAAAGTGGGCAAAAAGTATAAAAAGTATTCTCAAAAGAAGACATAAAAGTGGCCAACAGACATATAAAAAATGCTCAACATCACTAATTAGAGAAATGCAAATCAAAACCACAATGAGAATAATACCTCACACCAAGTGACACGCACAATCAGGATGGCTATCATTAAAAAGTGAAAAAATAACAGATGATGGCAAGGTTGCAGAGCAAAGGGAATGCTTATACATAGTTGGTGGGAATTTAAATGACTTCGGTCCCTGTAGAAAGCAGTTTAGGGATTTCTCAAAAAACTAAAAATAGTACTACAATTTGACCCAGCAATCCCTTTACTGGTTATGTAAGTGGAAAATAAATTGTCCTGTCAGAAAGACACTTGCTCTTACATGTTTATTGCAGCACTATTCAGAATAGCAAAGACAAGGAATCACTGGATAAAGTAAATGTGGTACATATACACCATGGAATACAATGCAACTATGAAAAATAATAAAATCATGTCTTTTGCAGCAACACAGCTATAACTGGAGGCCATTATCCTAAGCAAATTAACACAGAAAGACAAAACCAAATATTGCATATTATCACTTATAATTGGGAGCTAAACTTTGCCTACACATGGACATAAGGATGGCAACAACAGTCACTCGGGACTTCTAAAGGTAGGAGGTAGGTGGGGAGAAGAGTTGAAAAACTTCCTATTGAATGACAAGATCAGTAGAAGTCCAAACCTCAGCATCACACAATATACTCCATAACAAACCTACACATGTGCCCCCTGAGTCTGAAGTAAAAAAATTAAAAACTAATATTTGTATAACAGTATCTCTGTGTTAACATCTACCAAGAATTCTGTCTTTTATCTCATATTCCTATATGTGGAAGATTTCATCCATCCAAGAGTGGTAAGCAATTGAAATATGATCATGTTTACATAGAAAAACTAGCATATTTAAGATATTTTTAGCTTAAAAGAGCAGAACGTCCTGGTCTTTTGAAAGCCCTGCAAGATAATTTCAAGAAGATGTATCAGCACATTTTAAAAAGATAGACCATCTAGGACAGATTTTGAGATCTCAACAAGGTCACTAATTCTTTATTACACAGTATCGCTAACTAGTAAGGTTGCCAAAATGGAAATATCAATACGAACATCCATAATCAGTAACAAAAAATAATTGAGTTGATTGTGGAGCTTTTCATTGAAGTCAGAATACTGGAATTATGATAAACTAATCGACTATAGATAAAAATTATCCATCTATCTATTTTGTGTACGTAGAGTTCTGATGCTTGTAAATTCTTCAAGGGAGCAAAATGGACATATTCACAAGAAATATAAAAGAATATTTCCTCTATTAAAGAAAAGTTTTGACATTTCTCCCTGTACTATATTTACAAAGCAAATGCAAATTATTAAGGATTAAAAAAAGTTTTAAAATAGAAACTACTATCATATGAGTGTATATTAAATCCTTTGCTACAAAAGAGAATATGCATATTCTAAAACAGATTGGAAGATTAAAATATTTACCACTGTAGAAAGCAAATTTAGATTTAGGGAAGTAGAGATCTTATTGACCGAAATTATTGTAGTAGGAAGAATGTTTCAACTACAGGATCTGAAAATGTCCAAAAGTCACACAGAAAAAAACTCTTCTTTTATATGGAGGGGTAAAGTAGCCTAGAAAGAATAAGGTATGGGGCAGTGGTTGAGCATGTCATGATCTACAGTTATTCAACGAATGATTTATCTGAAGCTCAGCCTGCTCTTGACAGGGGTTGTTAAGGAGAAGTTGTTTCATATTACCTTGCCCAAGAGTGGTCCAAAGTTGAGGAACTTGAAGGAAGGAATGAAGCTTAACTTAAAGGGTGATAAAGTCAAAATAACAATCACATTTCATATCGATCAGTGGGGCAAAAATCTCAGGAACCCTTGATAAGACAAAAAATGGGAATTTGATGGGTCTATATCTGGCTTTTTTCTGTGTAAACAGGGGACTCTCATTAAATTTAATGAAGTCCCACAGGAAAATATGCTTCTTTGCAGTAAGCTGTTACCAAGGAAACAAAGGTTTGGGGGATAAAGTTCCTTAAACTTTGCAATTTTCCAGGATTATACAGTTGGAGTAAATTTCAACATTGTCACTAAAAAAAAATCCTTGTCTAGACCTATGTTTTGAAGCATTTTCTCTATGTTATTCTCCAGTATTTCATAGTTTCAGATCCTAAATTTAAGTCCTTAATCTATTTGAGTTGATTTTTGCATGTGGTGAGAGAGAGAGAGAGAGATCTAGTTTCCTTCTTTGTCACGTGGATATCAAGTTTTCCCAGAACAATTTATTGGGGAGACAGCTTTTTCTCCAGTAGATATTCTTGGTGCTTTTGTTGACAATTAGTTCATGGTAAATATCTGGATTTATTTCTGGGTTCTTTATTTTGCTCCACTGGTCTATGTATTCGTTTTTATGCCAGTATTATGCTGTGTTAGTTACTATAGCTTTGTACTATGTTTTTAAGTCAGATAGTGTGATTCCTTTAGCTTTGTTCTTTTTGCTCAAGGCTGTTGTGGCTATGTGGGTTTTTTTCAAACTAAAAGCTTCTGTAAAGCAAATAAAACAATCAAGAGTGAAGAGACAACATATAGAATGAGAGAAAATATAAACAAATAATATGTTTTATAAGAGATCTATATCCAAAATATATAAGGAACTTCTATAATGCAACAATAAAAAACAAGCAACCCAGTTCAAAAAATAAAAATAAAATAAAGAACTTGAATAGACATCTATTAAGAGATACAAAAGATATACAAATAGACAATAAGCCCATGAAAAGATGCTCAACATCATTAATCATTAGGAAAATGCATATCAAAACCACAGTGAGATACCACTTCACTACCATTAGAATGATGATATGGGTTGGCTCTGTGTCCCCACCTAAATCTCATGTTGAATGTAATTTCCAGTGTTGGAGGAGGGGCCTGGTGAGAGGTGATTGAATCATGGGAGTGAACTTCCCCCTTGCTGTTCTCATGATAGAGTTCTCACAAGATGTGTTTTTTTTTTTAAATGTGTTGCACCTCCTGCCACCCCTACCCTGCTGGCCATATAAAGATGTACTGGCTGCCTCTTTACTTTCCACCATGATTGTAAGTTTCCTGAGGCCTCCCCAGAAGCAGAAACCTGTTCAGCCCATAGAACTGTAAGCCGATTGAATCTCTTTCCTCTATAAATTACTCTGTCTCAGGTAGTTCTTTCTAGCAATGTAAGAATGAACTAATACAGATGACTATTACAAAAACAAAAGCAAAAGTAAAACAGAAGTAATAAGCGTTAGCAAGGATGCGGAGAAATTGGAATTCTTGCACATTGCTGGTGAGAATGTAAAATGGCATAGCCACTGTGAAAAACAGCATGGCAATTCCAAAAAACAACAAAAAAACAAAACAAAAAAATTATCGTAACCATATGATCCAGTAATTCCACTTCTGGGTGGCAGGTTCTAGTTTCAATCACCTCTTACCTAAGGGCAAGGGCACTATGCATTCCTGACAACATATGTGAGCATCCTCTTCCCTGTCCAGCAGCACATTCTCTTGGTTATATCTTTCCTAGATCTATTCTGATCCTAATTCTCTCCACTAAGTCACTTCATAGAGGAGAGAAATAACAAGTATTCCATAGGCCAACTCCATTACTACAGGACAGAATTTTTCATTCTGGACTTCACCAGGCCTGCCTGTCTTCAGCACAGTGCTCAGCCTGAAATGAAGGCCTCAACAGATATTGGTATACCCATGTTCATTGTTTACAATAGCCAAAAGTTGGAAGCAGCCCATATGTCTACTAATGGATTAGTGGGTAAACATAACGTGGTACATAAATATAGATGGACTACTATTCAGCTTTAAAAGGAAGGAAATTCAGACACATACTACAATATGGATAAACATTATGCTAAATGAAACAAACCAGTCACAAAAGGACAAATACTGCATGATTCAAACCCATATGTGATATTCAATGTAGTCAAATTTATAGAGAGAAAAGTAGAATGGTATTTGCCAGGAGCTGGGTGATAGGGAGAAACAGAGAGTTAATGTGAGTAGTTTAAGCTTTGCAAGACTAAAATGTTCTGTGGGTTGATGATGGTAATGGTTTCACAGCAATGTGAAAGTACTTAATGCTGGTGAAATGGCTAAAATAGTAAATTTTATATTATGTATATTTTACCATAAGTTGGACAAAATAAATTTTTTTTTGAAAACCAAAACTGACAAATTTTTTTCATGTTTGATTGGGGGAAAAAGATACAAATAGTACCTTTATTATATAAGAAAGGAGATATAAATTTAAATACTGTGGAATTTTTAAAACATGAAAGATTATCATATAAAATGACATTACAACATTTGAAAATACAGGTGAAACAGATAAAGAAAAATGATTAAAATTCACTTAAGAATGTATGAAAGCTCTGAGTAGGCTAATATGCTTTAGAGAATTGAATATGTAGTAAACATCACTAAGTAAAGAAAAAACCTGCATAGGTTTGTGAGTAAATTAAAAATTTAAAGCAAAGAAAGCAAATATATTGACAAAAATGCTTTCAGCACACAAATAAGTTCTTATTATAAAACATTTTATAAACCTAAAAATACTTTTTCATTAAACATATTTTCTAGCTCAGTTTACAAGTCTCGCATTTTTATAAAAAAATGAACAAAAGTAGCACACAAAATGTAACTGTGAGGTTAATTTGTTTTAAAGGGTTATAATGAAGAAATTATATGATAATATCAAGACACACCCAAGCTATTATTAATAAATTCTCATTAAAATATAAAAATCAAAAAGAGACTGCTGGCAAGATGGCCAAAAAGGAACAGCTCTGGCAGCTCCAGCGAGACCAATGCAGATGGCAGGTGATTGCTGCGTTTCCAACTGAGGTAACCTATTCATCTCATTGGAACTTGTTAGGCAGTGGGTGCAGCACACGGAAGGCAAGCAGAAGCAGGGTGGGGCATTGCCTCATCTAGGAAGTGCAAAGAGAGGGAGGCATCCCTCCCCCAGCCAAGAGAAGCCATGAGGGACTGTGCTATTCAGCCCAGATACTATGCTTTTCCCACAGTATTTACCACAGACCAGGAGATTCCCTCATGTGCCTACACCATCAGGGCCCTGGGTTTCAAGCACAGAACTGGAAAACTGTTTGGGCTGACACTGAGCTAGCTGCAGGTTTTTATTATTATTGTTGTTATTTTTTCATAACCCAGTGGTGCCTGGAACCTCAGTGAGACAGAATCATTTATTCCCGTGGAAAGGGGACTGAAGCTAGGGAGCCAAGTGGTCTCACTCAGGGGGTCCCACTCCCAAAAAGCCCAGCAAGCTAAGAACCACTGGCTTGAAATTCTCACAGGAAGCACAGCAGTCTGAAGTTGACCTGGGATGATCGAGCTTGGTTGGGGGAGAGGTTTCTGCCATTATGGAGGCTTGAGTAGGTGGTTTTCCCCTGACAGGACTAAAAAGGCCTGGAAGCTCAGACTGGGCAGAATTCAACATGGTGTGGCAAAGCGGCTATGGCCAGACTGCCTCTCTAGATTCCTCTTCACTTGGCAAGACATCTCTGAAAGAAAGGCAGCAGCTCCAATCAGGGGCCTATAGATACCACTCCCATCTCACTGGGACAGAGCGCCTGGGGGAAGGGGTGGCTGTAGGCACAACTTCAGTGGACTTAAATGTTCCTGCCTGCTGACTCTGAAGAGAGCAGCAGATCCTGACAAGGAGGGTTTTTCTCAGTACAGCGTTTGAGCTCTACTAAGGGACAGACTTCCTTCTCAATTGGGTCCCTGACCGCCAAACCTCCTGACTGGAAGAGACCTCCCAACAGGGGTTGTCAGAGACTTCATACAGGAGAGCTCTGGCTGGCATCAGCCTTTGCGTCAAAGCTTCCAGAGGAAGGAGCAGGCAGCAATCTTTGCTGTTCTGCAGCCTCCACCACTGGTGATATCCAGGCAAATAGGGTCTGGAGTGGACCTCCAGCAAACTGCAGCAGACCTGCAGAAGAGGGGCCTGACTGTTAGAAGGAAAACAAACAAACAGAAAGCAATAAAATCAACATCAACAAAAGAACCCCCAAAAAGAAACCCCATCCAATGGTCTTCAGCCTCAAATACCAAAGGTAGATAAATCCATGAAGATGAGGAAAAATCACTGGAAAAATGCTGAAAATTTAAAGAACCAGAATACCTGTTTTCGTCCAAATGATTGCAACTCCTCTCCAGCAAGGGCACAAAACTGGACAAGAAATATTTTGATTAATTGACAGAAGTAGGCTTCTGAGCTAAAGGAGCATGTTCTAACCCAATGCAAGGAAGCTAAGAACCTTGACAAAAGTTACAGGAACTGCTAACTAGAATAACCAGTTTAGAGAACAAAATAAATGACCTGATGGAGCTGAAAAACACAGCACAAGAACTTCCTGAAGCATACACAAGTATTAATAGCCAAAATGATCAAGCAGAAGAAAAGATTTCAGGGATTGAAGATCAACTTAATAAAATAAGGAGTGAAGACAAGATTAGAGAAAAAAGATTGAAAAGGAACAAACAAAGCCTCCAAGAAATATGGGACTATGTAAAAAGACTAAACCTACGATAGATTGGGGTCCCTGAAAGTGAGAAGAAGAATGGAACCAAGTTGGAAAACGCACTTCAGGATATTATCCAGAACTTCCCCAACCTAGCAAGAAAGGCCAACATTTAAATTCAGGAAATTCAGAGAACACCACTAAGATACTCCTCGAGAAAAGCAACCTCAAGACACATAATCATCAGATTCTTCAAGGTTGAAACAAAGGAAAAAATGTTAAGGGCAGTCAGAGAGAAAGGTCAGGTTACCTACAAAGAGAAGCCAGTCAGACTAATAGTGGATCTCTCTGCAGAAACCCTACAAGACAGAAGAGAGTGGGAACCAATATTCAATATTCTTAAAGAATTTTCAACCCAGAATTTCATATCAAGCCAACTAAGTTTCCTAAGTGAAGGAGAAATAAAATTCTTTACAGACAAGCAAACGGTGAAGGATTTTGTCACCACCAGGCCTGTCTTACAAGAGCTCTTGAAGGAGCACTAAATATGGAAAGGAAAAACTGGTACCAGCAACTGCAGAAAAAACAAAAAACAAACAAACAGAACACCAAAATATAAAGACCAATGACACTATGAAGAAACTGCATCAACTAACAGGCAAAATAACAAGCTAGCATCATAATGACAGGATCAAATTCACACATAACAATATTAACCTTAAATGTAAATGGGCTAAATGCCCCAATTAAAATACACAGACTAGCAAATTAGATAAAGAATCAAGAACCATCGGTGTGCTGTATTCAGGAGACCCATCTCACATGCAAAGACATACATAAGCTCAAAATAAAGGGATGGAGGAATATTTACCAAGCAAATGGAAAGCAAAAAAAAAAAAAAAAAAAAGCAGGGGTTGCAATCCTAGTCTCTGATAAAACAGACTTTAAACCAACAAAGATCAAAAAACACAAAGAAGGGCATTACATAATGGTAAAGGGATCAATGAAACTAGAAGTGCTAACTATCCTAAACATATATTCACCCATTACAGTAGGATCCAGATTCATAAAACAAGGTCTTAGAGACCTACAAAGAGACTTAGACTTCCACACAATAAAAGTGGGAGACTTTAACACCCCACTGTCAATATTAGACAAATCAACGAGACAGAAAATTAACAAGGATATTCAGGAATTGAACTCAGTTCTGGACCAAGCAGACCTAATAGACTTCTACAGAAGTCTTCACCCCATATCAACATAATATACCTTCTTCCTGCACCAAATCACACTATTCTAATATTGACCACATAATTGGAAGTAAAACACTCCTCTGCAAATGCAAAAAGAACAGAAATCACATCAAGCAGCCTCTCAGACCACAGTGCAATCAAATTAGAACTCAGTATTAAGAAACACACTCAAAACCACACAACTACATGGAAATTGAGCAACTTGCTCCTGAATGACTACTGGGTAAATAACAAAATTAAGGCAGGAATAACAAATTTTTTGAAACCAATGAGAACAAAGAGACAATGTACCATAATCTCTGGGACACAGCTAAAGCAATATTAAGAGGGAAATTTATAGCACTAAACACCCACATCAGAAAGTGAGAAAGATCTAAAATTGACACCCTAACATCACAATTAAAACAACTAGAGAAGCAAGAGCAAACAAATTCGAAAGCTAGCAGAAGACACGAAATAATTAAGATCAGAGCAGAACTGAAAGAGATAGAGACACGAAAAACTGTTAAAATAGATCAGTGAATCCAGGAGCTGGGTTTTTGAAAAGATTAACAAAATAGATAGACTGCTGGCCAGACTTATAAGGAATAAAAGAGAGAAGAATCAAATAGACACAATAAAAAATGATAAAGGAGAGATCACCAATGATCCCACAGAAATACAAACTACTATCAGAGAATACTATAAACACCTCTACACAAATAAACTAGAAAATCTAAAAGAAATCGATAAATTTCTGGACATACACACCCTCCCAAGACTAAACTAGGAAGAGGTCATATTCCTGAAAAGACCAATAACATGTTCTGAAATTGAGGCAGTAATTAATAGCCGATTATAAAAAAAAAGCCCAGGACCAGATGAATTCACAGCAGAAATCTACCTGAATTATAAAGAAGAGCTGGTACCATTCCTTCTGAAACTATTACAAACAATAGAAAAAGAAGGACTCATCCATAACTCATTTTATGAGGCCAGTATCATCCTGATTCCAAAACTGGGCAGAAACTTCATACAAATATCCCTGATGAACATCAGTGCGAAAATCCTCAATAAATTACTGGCAAACAGAATCCAGCAGCACATCAAAGAGCTTATCCACCATGATTAAGACAGTTTCATCCCTGGGATGCAAGGCTGGTTCAACATATGCAAATTGGTAAACGTAATCCATCACTTAACACAACCAATGACAAAAACCACATGATTTTCTCAATATATGCAGAAAAGGCCTTCAATAAAATTCAACATTCCTTCATGCTAAAAACTCTCGATAAACTAGGTATTGATGGAACACATCTCAAAATAATAAGAGCTACTTATGACAAACCCATAGCCAATGCCATACTGCATGGACAAAAGCTGGAAGCATTTCCTTTGAAAACCGGCACAAGATAAGGATGCCCTCTCTCACCACTCCTATTCAACATAGCATTGGAAATTCTGGCCACAGCCATCAGGCAAGAGAAAGAAATAAAGGGTATTCAAATAGGAAGAGAGGAAGTGAAATTGTTTCTGTTTGTAGACAACATGAATGTATATTTAGAAAATTCCATTGTCTCAGCCCCAAAGTTCCTTAAGCTGATAAACAATTGCAGCAAAGTCTCAGGATACAAAACCAATGTGCCAAAATCACAAGTAATCCTATACACCACTAATAGACAAGCAGAGAGCAAAATCATGAGTGAACTCCTGTTCATAATTGCTTCAAAGAAAATAAAATATCTAGGAATACAACTTACAAGAGATGTGAAGGACCTCTTCAAGGAGAACTATGAGCCACTGCTCAAGGAAATAAGAGAGGACACAAACAAATGGAAAAAAAGTTCCATGCTTATGTGTAGGAAGAATCAATATTGTGAAAAGTATAAGTAATTTATAGGTTCAATGTTATTCCCATCAAGCTACCATTGATTTTCTTGACAGAACTAGAAAAATCTACTTCAAATTTCATATGGAACCAAATAAGAGCCCATATAGCCAAGAAAATCCTAAGCAAAAATAACAAGCTGGAGGCATCACGCTACCTGATTTTAAACTATACTACAAGGCTACAGTAACCAAAACAGCATGATACTGGTACCAAAACAGAGATATAGACCAATGGAACAGAATAGAGGCCTCAGAAATAACACCAGACATCTACAACCATCTGATCTTTGACAAACCTAACAAAAACAAGGAATGGGGAAAGGATTCTCTATTTAATAAGTCATTCTAGGAAAACTGGCTAGCCATATGCAGAAACCAGAAACTGGACCCTTTCCTTATACCTTATACAAAAATTAACTCAAGATGGATTAAAGACTTAAATGTAAAACCTAACACTATAAAAACCCTAGAAGAAAACCTAGGCAATACCATTCAGGACATAGGCACGGACAAAGACTTCATGAACAAAACACCAAAAGCAATTGCAACAAAATCCAAAATTGACAAATGTGATTTAATTAAATTAAAGAGCTTTGCTCAGCAAAAGAAACTATGATCAGAGTGAAGAGGCAACCTACAGAATGAAAGAAAATTTTTGCAATCTATCCCTCTGACAAAGGTCTAATATCCTGAATCTACAAGGAACTAAAACAAATTTACAAGAAAAAAACAAACAAGCCCATCAAAAAGTGAGCAAAGTATATGAACAGACACTTCTCAAAGAAAGACATTTATATGGCCAAGCAAACATGAAAAAAAGCTCACCATCACTGGTCGTTAGAGAAATGCAGACCAAATCCACAGTGAGATACCATCTCACACCAGTTAAAATGACAATCATTAAAAAGTCTGGAAACAACAGATGCTGGCAAGGATGAGGAGAAATAGGAATGCCTTTACACTGTTGGTGGGAGTGTAAATTAGTTCAACTATTGTGAGAGACAGTGTTGCAATTCCTCAAGGATCCAGAAGCAGAAATACCATTTGATCCAACAATCACATTACTGGGTATATACCAAAGGATTATAAATCATTCTACTATAAAGACACGTACACATGTATGTTTACTGAAGCACTATTTACAATAGCAAAGACTTGGAACCAACAAAATGCCCATCAATGATAGACTGGATAAAGAAAATGTGGCACACATACACCATGGAATACTATGCAGCCATGAAAAACTGAGTTCATGTCCTTTGCAGGGACTTGGATGAAGTGGGAAACCATCATCCTCAGCAAACTAACACAGGAATAGAAAACCAAACACCACATGTTCTTACTCGTAAGTGGGAGTTGATCAATGAGAACACACGGACACAGGGAGGGTAATATCACACACTGGGGCCTGTCAGGGGGTGAAGAACAAAGGGATGGAGAGCATTAGGACAAATGCCTAATGCATGTGGGGCTTAAAACCTAGATGACAGGTTGATAGGTGCAGCACACCACCACGACACATGTATATGTATGTAACAAACTTGCACATTCAGCACATGTATCCCAGAACTTAAAGTAAAATTAAAAAAATTAAAAATAAGAAAGCAAAAAACAAAAAGATACTCACTGTTATATTTTTAAATATGAATGAAAAATATAACATTCTCTAATTGCAAGGGTTGTTTATCATGTATCATTTTAATGACTTAACAAGATTAGCATCCCATTTAGAATTAAGAATAAGAAAGAATATTGAAGAAGATAGGAAAAGTTATTTGCAGATGATACGAATGTCTATTCAAACAAATCTAGGAGGATCTTCATGTTATTAAAATTAATAATTTGTTTCAGCAACGTGGCCAAAATATAAGAATAAAAACGTAAAAAGCAATGTATGTTTTAAAGTCTGATCAGAAACCAATTTGAATTTTTTTCTTGAGGTACATTTGCAGTAGAAACAGAGATATTAAATATCTAGGAATTATTTATAGATGAGATAGCTGTACATATAGATATAGACATATACATACACAGAATAAAAGCTTTTCACTTTAAGACTTCAATGTCCTTTAAAAGAACAAAAATATGTCTAGTTTCAGACTTTTCTGAAATACAAAATGTTATAAGACAGAAAAGCAATTTGTAATGGTGTTTACAAGATCAGATTTTTACTGAAAATTTTAATATAACACTTACTTATTATTAAAATAATTTAATGACCTCTTCAAAAATATACATGGCTATTGCCTAAGCCATACACTCTTCTACCTTTAAAAAATCACTTAAAAACATACTCCAACCAGTTGAAAGTTGAATCCAGTTAATTTCTCAAAGACTGCTTAGTTAATTTATATAATTATTTGCCTTTGAAATTTTCTTAATATCTTTTTAGAATGTTTATGTAAACACTTACAATCCAAACGGAAGTAGTAGTACACTTAAAACACCTGAAGCAAGTTCAGTGATGCAATTATACATGAGAATGCTTAGAAAATTCCATTCAAAATCCTCAGTGCAAGTTAATCCTCCGGAATTTGTACAAAGATAAAATTAGCACTATCACACTAATGATGTACAAAAAATATTTCCTTTCTTTGGAGTCATATGACTAGCTACATTTTATTTGCATTTACTATTAATAAATGACGGTTCTTCTGCTCAGCATGGTTAATTGACTGGATGCACAGTACTCATCCCCTGTTATCAGTACAGAAGTGAGGATAAATGAAAAGGAAGGAAGGGAGGGAATTAGCCAAAGTGATGAATGACACATGAATCCAAGGGGAATTGGAACCTGATGATGGCTTTGATACCTACCTAGGAAGAGGGCACTTGACTTTAGGTTCCATGGCTTTGGGTAGCTATAACTGAGTTATATTCGTAAGGTTAGAAGTCACAAAGTTCTACCTCATCTCTGAAACAAGTTCTGAGAAAAAAGTCTACCAAACAGCACTAGGAAGTCCCAGGAATACTTTCCAACTCCCAGGAACGATGGCTGGAAATTGTATCACACACAAAATATCAGGAGCCCAGGCCTACAGCTTTCACACTTATAAAGTAAATTTATACTATTGGCATGGTGAATGAATATCAAGATAATTAATGTCCACATTTTTTGCTCACATTGCTTCTTAATCTTCCTCTTTCCTCCTAAAATTACATTAAAATTGTTCTGCAACTGGGAAACCAGAAGGCTGAATCATTTTTGGAACAACAGCAAGCATGCCCACTACAGGCCAGGCACATCAAGGAACCTCACTGGGGGAACTCACAGGAATAAAATTATAAATCAAAGGAAAACACAAAACATTATAACACCTTTTAAAAATATTCAATAAAAATTGTACCTTATAACTGAAGATAAAACCACTTAGGCAATTTTAAATAAGTGTATTTAAAGTGCTCAATGATACAGTGGAAGGATATGAAATTACGAAGAAAAGAACAGTGTGAAAAAAAAGTCAACCAGAAAAAGAAATTTTTTTCAAATAAATGCAAATAAAATTATAGACATTGAAAATATAATCACTCAAATTAAAAAAATCTCAGTGGATGGATTAATATCTAAGAAAGAATTAGTAGATTTGAAGAGAGATCTGAGGCAATCACCCAGAATTAACACAGAGGAATATTTAGAGATGAAAGATACTGATAAGAATTTAGGAGATGGGAAAGATAAGTAGAAAATAACCATCATGCATAAAGTAGGGTTTCCAGGAACATACTATTATCAATAATGAGGAAATAACATTTGAAAACAAAATGCTTTCAAATTTTCTAAAATTGCAGTGTCATATAGGAGGAAGTCTCTGGGTCCTGATAAGCTAATTCCACATCTTGGCTATCAAATGATGGTACAGAACTTGAAAAGCAATGAAAGACCTCTTAAAAGCTTCTTAAAAGAAAACACCATACATAAAAGGAAGAAGAAAATGTGATTCACATTTTTCAGCAACAATGTATAAGAGAAGACATTGAAACATCAGCCTCAAAGTTCTGACGGGAAAAAAAAAATACCCGACCCATGACTCTATATCTAATGGAAACTATATTAAACACTGTGTCTACAATAGGAATATTTTCAGAAATAGGAATGAAAGAAAATTTACTAATCGGATGCTTTACAAAATGTAAATTGACTTGACTCACATGTCTTAAACATCTCCCAATTTTAATAAAAATTAAGTAAATCTAAATTCTTAATTAAGTTTTCATAATTTATTGTGTCCTAGATGGCTGGTTAATTTAAGTTTAAGAAATCTTTATTTATCAACTATCAAATATCAAGGAGTGTACAGCATACAAAGAAGGGATTAAAAAACCATATGAGTTTAATGCCCTGAAAGAAGACCACTACAAATAACAGCTAAATTTTTTGTTGGCTTAACTATGTATGCCAGGCACTTAGAGTTACATTTACTTTAGAGTTATGCATAAAACTTTCTTGAGGTAGCTATTATTTTACAGATAATGAAACTGAAGTTGAAAGTGGTTAAAAACTTGTATAAAGCTGTTAAGAATAGAGACAGAATTCTAAAATTCTAAGTAATTTTCCCTCATGCTGTTTTCCATTATAATTCATTGTTTTTTCATGATGCTTTGAATTTATAAGTTATTTATGAAAGTTTAAGCCTTCATTCATATGATGACCCTGATAATATAGAGAAATAGAAGAGTTCTCTAATTCATTGATGTGGAAAATACAAGAAAAAGCAATAAGGAGTTTTACCAAAGTCACAGTGGGCCTCCTATAAAGTTGGAATAAAAATTCATATTTCAAGAAATTCCCATATGGGAGCTTATTTTTACAGTAGACCAGAGTGGTACCTTAGAATTAAGAGCACCCGTTGCTCACCTGTGTGCATTGCACAACTCTTAGCATCATTGTGCCTTGACTTGGCCACTTGTAGAGGCTCAGTTTGAAAGAATACATGAATGGACCAGTCATCCCGTCACCAACGTTTCTTTCTTTTTCTTTTTTTTTTCTGTACTCGAGTTGCTTAAATTTTCTTTTATATATATATATATATATTTTTTTTATTATACTTTAAGTTCTAAGGTACATGTGCACAATGTGCAGGTTTGTTACCTATGTATACATGTGCCATGTTGGTGTGCTGCACCCATTAACTCATCATTTACATTAGGCATATCTCCTAATGCTATCCCTCCCTCAACCCTCCTCCCCACAACAGGCCCCAGTGTGTGATGTTCCCCTTCCTGTGTCCAAGTGTTCTCATTGTTCAATTCCCACCTATGAGTGAGAACATGCGGTGTTTGCTTTTTTGTCCTTGCGATAGCTTGCTGAGAATGGTGGTTTCCAGCTTCATCCATGTCCTTACAAAGGACATGAACTCATCATTTTTTATGGCTGCATAGTATTCCATGGTGTATATGTGCCACATTTCTTAATCCATTCTATCATTGATGGACATTTGGATTGGTTCCAAGTTTTGCTATTGTGAGTAGTGCTGCAATAAACATACATGTGCATGTGTCTTTATAGCAACATGATTTATATTCCTTTGGGTGTACACCCAATAATGGGATGGCTGGATCAAATGGTATTTCTAGTTCTAGATCCCTGAGGAATTGCCACACTGTCTTCCACAATGGTTGAACTAGTTTACAGTCCCACCAATGGTGTAAAAGTGTTCCTATTTCTCCACATCCTCTTCAGCACCTGTTGTTTCCTGACTTTTTAATGATTTCCATTCTAACTGGTGTGAGATGATATCTCATTGTGGTTTTGATTTGCATTTCTCTGATGGCCAGTGATGATGAGCATTTTTTCATGTGTCTGTTGGCTGCATAAATGTCTTCTTTTGAGAAGTGTCTGTTCATATCCTTTGCCCACTTTTTGATTTTTTTTTTTCTTGTAAGTTTGTCTGGGTTCTTTGTAGATTCTGGATATTAGCCCTTTGTCAGATAAGTAGATTTCAAAAATTTTCTCCCATTCTGTAGGTTGCCTGTTCACTCTGATGGTAGTTTCTTTTGCTGTGCAGAAGCTCTTTAGTTTATTTAGATCCCATTTGTCAATTTTGTCTTTTGCTGCCATTGCTTTTGGTGTTTTAGACATGAAGTCCTTGCCCATGCCTATGCCCTGAATGGTAATGCCTAAGTTTTCTTCTAGGGTTTTTATGGTTTTAGGTCTAACGTTTACATCCTTAATCCATCTTGAATTGATTTTTGTATAAGGTGTAAGGAAGGGATCCAGTTTCAGCTTTCTATATTAGGAAAAGAGGAAGTCAAATTGTCCCTGTTTGCCGACGACATGATTGTATATCTAGAAAACCCCATTGTCTCAGCCCAAAATCTCCTTAAGCTAATAAGCAACTTCAGCAACGTCTCAGGATACAAAATCAATGTACAAAAATCACAAGCATTCTTATACACCAACAACAGACAAACAGAGAGCCAAATCATGAGTGAACTCCCATTCACAATTGCTTCAAAGAGAATAAAATACCTAGGAATCCAACTTACAAGGGATGTGAAGGACCTCTTCAAGGAGAACTACAAACCACTGCTCAAGGAAATAAAAGAGGATACAAACAAATGGAAGAACATTCCATGCTCACGGGTAGGAAGAATCAATATCGTGAAAATGGCCATACTGCCCAAGGTAATTTACAGATTCAATGCCATCCCCATCAAGCTACCAATGCCTTTCTTCACAGAATTGGAAAAAACTACTTTAAAGTTCATATGGAACCAAAAAAGAGCCCGCATCGCCAAGTCAATCCTAAGCCAAAAGAACAAAGCTGGAGGCATCACACTACCTGACTTCAAACTATACTACAAAGCTACAGTAACCAAAACAGCATGGTACTGGTACCAAAACAGAGATATAGATCAATGGAACAGAACAGAGCCCTCAGAAATAATGCCGCATATCTACAACTATCTGATCTTTGACAAACCTGAGAAAAACAAGCAATGGGGAAAGGATTCCCTATTTAATAAATGGTGCTGGGAAAACTGGCTAGCCATATGTAGAAAGCTGAAACTGCAAAGACAAAAGCCACATGATTATCTCAATAGATGCAGAAAAAGCCTTTGACAAAATTCAACAACGCTTCATGCTAAAAACTCTCAATAAATTAGGTATTGATGGGACGTATTTCAAAATAATAAGAGCTATCTATGACAAACCCACAGCCAATATCATACTGAATGGGCAAAAACTGGAAGCATTCCCTTTGAAAACTGGCACAGGACAGGGATGCCCTCTCTCACCACTCCTATTCAACATAGTGTTGGAAGTTCTGGCCAGGGCAATTTGGCAGGAGAAGGAAATAAAGGGTATTCAATTAGGTTTTTAAAATATTTTTGAGACTTGTTGTGTGGTCCAACGTGTCATCAGTCCTGGAGAACGTTCTGTGTGCTGATGAAAAGACTGTGTGTTCTTCAGCTGTTGGGTGAAATGTTCTGTAAATGTCTGATGGGTCAATTTGGTCTATGGTGCACTTTAAATCCAATGTTTCTTTGTTGACTTTTTGTCTCGATAGATGATCTGTCCAATGCTAAAAGTAAGCTATTTAAGCCCCCAACTATTATTGTATTGGAACCTATCTCTGCTTTTATATCTAGTAATATTTGCCTTATATATCTTGGTGTCCTGTTATTGGGTGCATATAAAGTAATATTGTTACATTCTCTTACTGAATCAATCTCTTTATCATTATATAATGTTCTTTTTTGTCTCTTTTTATAGTTTTGAACTTAAAGTCTATTTCATCTCATGTAAGTCTAGCTATTTGGGCTCACCTTTGAATTACGTTTGTGTGGATTGTCTTTTTCCATTCCTTCCGTTTTAGTCTATGTGTGTCTTTACAGAGGAAATGAGCTTCTTGTAGACAGCATTTAGTTGAGAAATCCAAGGCAATGAGATATCATCTCGCTTGAGTTAAAAATGTCTATTTTCAAAAAGAAAAAAATAGCAAATACTGGCAAATATGTGGAAAAAGGGAACTCCAATTTGCTGTTGGTAGGAAGGTAAATGAGTACAGCTATTATGGAGAACAGTATGGGAGTTCCTCAAAAAACTACAGGTAGAACCACTATATGATCCAGCAATCCCACTACAGGGTACATATCTAAAGGAAAAGAAAACAGTAGATAAAAGGGTTACTTGCACCCTCGTGTGTACTGCAGCATTATTCACAAGAGCAAAAATATGGAATCACCATAAGTGTTCATCAAAAGACAAATGATGCAAAATGTGGTATATATACACAATTGAATATTATTCAGCCATAAAAAGAATGAAATCTTGAAATTTGCGGCAACGTAAATGAGCATGGAAGACATTATATTAGGTGAAGTAAGACAAACAGAAAGACAAATACCACATTTTCTCACTCATATGTAGGAACTAAAAAATTAATGTTATAGTAGAGTGTTGAATAGTGGTTACCAGAGGGTAAGATGGACAGGAGAGATGGAGAAATAAGGAGAGGTTAGGTAATGGGTAAAATATTACAGTTAGACAAGAGAAATAAGTTCGAGTGTTCTACACCACAGTAGGATGACTATAGTTAACAGTAATTTACTATATATTTTCAAATAGCTAGAAGAAAGAATTTTGAATATTTGCAACATAAAGAAAGGTTAAGTATTTAAGGTCATAGGTATGATAATAGCCCTGATTTGATTATTAAATATTATATGTATTAAAATATCACAATATACCCATAAATATGTACAATTATTATGCATCAATTAAGAAAAGAAGGAAAAATCTAAGGGAAAACAAAATTGAGGTGGTAAATAATATATTAAATTTTTTGTGTATATAATTTTAAAGGAAAATGATTTCAGGGTGTGTATACATAAAATATCACTTGGTATACTTTAAATGTGTGCAGTTTATGTATGTCAATTACACCTCAATAAATCTGTCAAAAATGTGTGACCATAATAATCTAAGCCAAAATTGTAGATGAAGACCATGCAGCAGTAGAATTGGGTGGAGAAGTCGAGAAGGAGAACAAATTATTGGGAAAGAGAAGACATAAATAACATAGACATCAATATAAGTATGAAAGAAATAATAAAGCATGAATTTAATTAATATAACCAACAGTTAAATGAAAATGAAAGATTATTTTCAAAACAGTAGAAGAAAATTTGATATGCACATTGGAATATAAGAAAGGAGGGGAAAGAAAAACTATAACAAAGCAAAAAAGAATAAACACAGATTAAAATGGCAAATTAAAATAATAATATTAGCTATAATAAATATAAATGACAGATAGAAAAAGAAAACAGGATCAGGCAGAAGGGCTCCAGAGGAGGACTAATCTCCCACAGAATTCCAGAAACACCTGCTGTCAGCAATGAGTCTTTGTAGGGTGCTCAGGTAGCCAATCAGACAGTTCTTTCTTTCATATAATTGCACCACACGGCTGGCACCCCATCTCTGATCACACCTGGGGAGGTGCATAGTGAGCTGACAGTACAGACTGAGGCCAGAGATCTGGTGCACCACACTGCCAAAATCCCAGTCCGTTTCCCAGACCCATCCTCTGGAGCTTGGTGTTGTCTTCTGCTGGCATCTGTGCTATACCACATGTAGGTCATTAGGGCAATAACATGGCTATTGCTGTTTCTGTCTCTGAGATTCCAAGAAATGTGAATCAATACCTGGTTATTACACTTTGTTTGCGCCATGACATCTCTAATAGAAATATGTAAAGTGAAAAGTTAGTAAAAAGAGATTAATATTTCAGTAATAGGATGAACTAGCAATTCTAAATGATTCTCCACCAGTAGAAAAACTGTATGTACTGGGTAAATAATTACAGCCAAGGTTTTAAATGAATCATTGGCTTCACAAGAAGGTATGATAAATCTCTAAGATTTAGAGGTGAAAAGGAAGAATAAATTAAGGAAGAGTGAACATAAATTCAGAAGAAAATATTGCCCTGGGAATCTATTGCAGGGATTGGACCAGATTGTTAGAGTAGCTCTATCCACATTGGACAGATATAGTCACACTTCCTTACACATCTGCCATCTCCATGAGGGGAACAGGCCCTGACTAGCCTGCTGTTCCAAAGAGGATGAGAGATGCATAGGACACCCTTGGATATGATCTGGAGCTTGGCGTCAAGCCAAGCAGACCAGCCTAGATCAGCTTCTCACTTGGTCCATTTTTGTCTTCTCAGGTTTATCCCAATAAATTTTTTGCATGTAATTGTCTGAGAGCCTCAATAAGTCTAGATCAGCCAACCCCAAGACACATGCTTTTTGATTCAAGCCACTGAGTTTTGGAGTGGTTTGTCACATATCTTTATTGTGGCAATTGCTAACCAATATGTTACTTTTAAAACTGTAGCTGGAGTCTCTTGGTAGCAACTATGTTTACAGGATTTGATTGAGAAGTAATCATCCTTGCTTCTCAAGAACTAGAATATGAGTTGTGGAGACATGAGGTGCTTCTCAGTTTGGGATGTAGAAAGAAAGAACTGTGATCTGGTGGAAGCAAAGCAGAAAAGGCAGCAGAGAGGGAGCCTTCAGGAGGGTGTTAAGCCTGTCAGTGTGTGATGGGTAATACTTGTGCTATGGACTGAGCGTTTGTGTCCCTATAATTCACATGTGGAAGCCTAAACCCCCAGTGTGGCTATATTTTGAGATGGGACCTCTAAGGAAGTAATTAAGGTTAAATGAGGCCATATGAGAGGGACTCTGATTCAATAGGATAAAAAGAGATATCAGAGAGTTCATTCTCTCTCTCTTCATGAACATGCACTGAGGAAAGGCCATGAGAGGACACAACAAGAGCGGGGCCATCTACAAACCAGGAAGAGAGCCTCACCAGAAAATGAATTGTCCAGAGCATGGTTCTTCAACTTCTAGCATCCAGAACTGTGAATGGATCTATTTCTCTTGTTTAAGCCACCCACTCTGGGTATTTTCTTATGGCAGCTTGAACTGACTGAGACAATGGGGATCTACTCAGTTCTCTGCTTCAGCTTCAACTTACTCACAGCTACAGAGAATAGTGCTGCTTTAGGCTCACAGCCTCTCCCAGGATATTACCTTCTGTCACTGATATGGTTTGGCTGTATCCCCACCCAAATCTCATCTTGAATTATAACTCCCACATGTTATGGGAGAAACCCAGTGGGAGGTGATTTATTATGGGGGCAGGTCTTTCCTGCACTGTTCTGATGATAGGGAATGAGTCTCAAATGATCTGATGGTTTTAAAAATGGAAATTTCCCTGCACGAGCTCTCTTTTTGCCTGCTGCCATCCATGTAAGACATGACTTGCCCCTCCTTGCCTTCTGCCATGATTGTGAGGCTTCCCCAGTCATGTGGAACTGTAAGTCCATTAAACCCTGTTTTGTGAATTGCCCAGTCTCTGGGGTCTTTATCAGCAGTGTGAAAATGCACTAATACAGTGTATTGGTACCAGTAGAGTAGGGTGCTGCTAAAAAATACTCTAAAATGTGGAAACGACTTTGGAACTGGGTAACAGGCAGAGGTTGGAACAGTTTGGAGGGGTCAGTAGAAGACAGGAAACTCCAGGAAAGTTTGGAATTTCCTACAGACTTTTTAAATAGCCTTGACAAAAATGCTGATAGTTATATGAACAAGAAGATCCAGGCTGAGGTAATTTCAGATGGAGAAGAGAAACTTGTTGGGAACTGGAGCAAAGGTGACTCTGGCTATGTTTTAGCAAAGAGACTGGCAGTATTTTGCCCCTGCCCTAGAGATTTGCAGAACTTTGAACTTGAGAGAGATGATTTAGGGTACCTGGAGGAAGAAATTTCTAAGTAGCGAAGCATTCAAGAGGTAAGTTGGGTGCTGTTAAAAGCATTGCATTTTAAAAGGAAAACTTAGCATTAAAGTTTGGAAAATGTGCAGCCTAATGATGTAGTAAAAAAGAAAAACCCATTTTCTTAGGAAAAATTTAAACTGGCTGCAGAATTTTGCATAAGTAACAAGGAGTGGAATGTTAATCCCCAAGACCGTGGGGAAAATGTCCACAGGGCATGTCAAGAGACCTTTGCTGCAGCCCCTCCCATTACAGACCCAAAAGCTTAAGAGGAAAAAATGGTGGGCCAGGCCCAGAGTCCCCATGCTGTGTGCAGGCTAGGGACTTGGTACCCTGCATCCCAGCCACTCCAGCCACTGCTAAAAGGGGCCAAGGTACATCTTGGCCCATGGTTTCAGAGAGTGCAAGCCCCAAAACTTGGCAGCTTCCATGTGGTGTTGAGCCTGCAGATGCACAGAAGTTAAGAACTGAGGTTTGGGAACCTCTGCTTAGATTTCAGAGGATGTATGGAAATGCCTGGATGTCCAGGAATAAATTTGCTGCAGGGGTGGGGCTCTCATGGAGAACCTCTGCTAGGGCAGTGAAGAAGGGAAATGTGAGATCGGCCCCCGACACAGAGTCCCTACTGGGCACCCCCTAATGAAGCTGTGAGAAGACAGCCACTGTCCTCCAGATCCCAGAATGGTAGATCCACTGATAGCTTGCGCTGTGTGCCTGGAAAAGCTGTAGACCCTCAATGCCAGCCTGTGAAAGCAGCCAGAAGGGAGGCTGTACCATGGTAAGCCACAGGGGTGGAGTTGCCCAAGACCATGGGAACCCACCTCTTGCATCAGTGTGAACTGAATGTGAGACATGGAATCAAAGGAGATTATGTTGGAGCTTTAAGGTTTGACTGCCCTGCTGGATTTTGGACATGCATTTGGCCTAGAGCCCCTTTGTTCTGGCCAATTTCTCCCATTTGAAATGGATGTATTTACTCAATGCATTTACCCCCATTGTATCTAGGAAGTAACTAACTTGCTTTTGATTTTACGGGCTCATAGGCAGAAGGGCCTTGGCTTGTCTCAGGTAAGAGGTTGAAATGTGGACTTTTGAGTTAATGCTGAAATGAGTTAAGACTTTGGAGGACTGTTAAGAAGGCAAGATTAGTTTTGAAATGTGAGGACATGAGATTTGAGAGGGGCCTGGGGTGGAATAATATGGTTTGGCTGTGTCCTCACCCAAATCTCCTCTTGAAGTGTAACTTCTACAGTTCCCATGTGTCATAGAAGGAACCCAGTGGAAAGTGATCGAATTATGGGGGCGGGTGTTCCCTACACTGTTCTTCTGTTAGAGAATGAGTCTCACAATATCTGATGGTTTTAAAAATGGGAGTTTTCCTGCAAAAGCTCTCTCTCTTTGTCTGCTGCCATCCATGTAAGATGTGACTGGCTCCTCTTTGCCTTCCACCATTATTGTGAGGCTACCCCAGCCACGTGGAAATGTAAGTTCATTAAATCTCTTTTTTTTTTTCATAAATTACCCAGTCTCAGGTATGTCTTTATCAGCAGTGTGAAATGGACTAATACAGCCACAGAAAATTATCTTATACAAGAATGTGTCTTTTCTCAGGGTGTGGCTTATAGTCAAGAATATCAAAGACCCCGGCCTTTCCTGCAAATTGGAACAAGGCTAAACAGTATCCAAGGTGTAGAGCTCCCTATAGAATCAGCAGAGCTTGCATTTGCAAGTGTATTAATAGATCAGCTTCTCCTTCTGCCCAATCTTGCCTTCCTCACTTTTTATTTCAGAAGGACATTTACTAGTACAATTTCTGCATCTACTTCTTAGTCTCAGAATTTGTTTCCAGAGAACCCAATCACAGGCAGAGTTTTTGAGTGATTTTCTGCATTGCACTTTCATTCCAATAGTTCTGTTGTACCCTCTCATTAAATAATGGAAGCGTCTGACTACTGTATATTCAAGGGCAAAGGATCATCCCGTGTTTTGCTTGAAGTGGTACAAAGAAAAACAGAAAACACTTGAGCTTTGCAAGACTTCTGCCTCAGAAAGAAGTAGGTAGACAAGTGTAAGCTGGGATGAATTTAAGATATGGAACCATTTACTAGGCAACCTGGGGGTGACTGAGGAGATTAACTTGTGGTCAAAAACAAGGATTCTTTCAGTAACAGTTGATGAGCACTTGGGCAATTGTAATTTGACACAAAGGAAATCAAGACTTCCAAGGCCAGTAAATTATGACATCCACAGGATATCTTTATTTATATCCATACATTTGCAAAATTGAGATTTTTCTGCATATAAAACCTTATGCATTGCTTTATTTAACTTCTAAAAATATTTTAGGTTATAAAATAATTTTCAGAGTATAGCTTTTGATGATTGCATAATTTTCCATGCTGGAGATATACTGTAAATTATTTACCCTACTTCTCTATTTTTTGATATTTATATGGTTTTATTTTTTTCTATTATAAATAATACTGAGTTGACTATCATTACACATAAATCTTAATGTGTATTTCTGATTACTTTCTTGGGATAAACCTATCGAAGTGGATTTAATGACTATTTTCAGTAATAAAAAGAAAGATTATTTTGAAAGCTTGTGATACATATTGCAGAACCTTGATCTGTAAGTGTGAAATATGCACTCCTTCCAGCCTTTCAATCAGTATATGTTTATTGACTTGTACGATGTAAGCAGAACTCTTTTTAGATGTTAGAGAAAAGAAACAGGTAGAGTCTTGTTCTCAGGGTTTTCATGTTCAATACAACACAACACAAAGTTTTGTGTATGTGTATACATAATGTGCAATTGCCTATGTAAGTCCTCATTATTTTATCAACTGTAGCAGGCATGATTTAAAGTATTTTTTTTAATTTTCTGGCATGCTAACAACAAAAAGTTTATCAAGGAAACATCATTTTCTTGCAAAGCAAGGACAGTATATTTGATATGAGCTTTTTACCCTGCTCTGATAAGAACATAGAAGATATGTTGCTATTGAACTTTCTTCTCCACATATATTTTTAGTTACTTTTTATTTCATATTCTGCAGTTACACTTCCTATACTTCAGCATCAGTTTATATTCAACTACATCTCAAACTTGAAATCCTTACACTTCCTTCAGAATCTTCTTACAAATTCCTTTCCTGTCTTTCTAAGTTATATGTACCCTCCAGGTTTTCACCTCATAAAAGGGTAAAGAAAAAAAAAATAGAAAGCAACATCTTTTGTTTTTACAGCATAAGGAGTTCAGCTCCTGGCAGTTCTTCTGCCAGCATAACAGTTGATGAACACTGGACAGCCTGTTTCAAGTGAGATGTAAAAGAATCAAGACTGTATCTTAACTGTTGTATCTGATTCTTTTAATAATTTTCACCCAAGTGAAGGGCATGTTTGCAGCAGTTATTTGCATGAGCCGCATCATCAGCACCCCGAACATTAGCATCCTGGGCATTACTGAAGACTCTTGGTCCTTTCCCTGACGAACGATGGTGCATGGCATGATCTACTTTTTCTATAAAGCCTGGAATGACATAGCTGTGGCAAACACTCTAGGAGGAAAATATAAATGTCCTTCTTTTCTGATATTCTCATTTTCATCGAGTAATAAAGGAAGTGGAAAGGTAGAAGATACATGCAAAATCATAAAAGTAATTCTAATTCACAAGATAATCTATCATTTTCAAGCAAGTGGAATATAAATACTGTAGGTTTTAGAGATATTTAGCCCCAAATAAAACCACAGGTCTACACATGAGTCACTGTAGCACTTTAACCTCTCTGGGCTCTATTTCCTTCTCTTTAAAATGCACAGAGGGTTTTTGTGAAATCAGTTTAGATTATGCATATGCCATTTCTAAAATAGTGCCTTCTCTACTGTAGTTGTTGAATAAAAAAGTAACAATATTAGAGAAACAATTTTAGATTTTTCTTTCAGTAAATAAGCTTACAAATAAAATATCTACTTTGGCTTTTATGATAAACTTTGGTTTGAAATTATCTGAAAAGAAATCCTTAGTGTTCTCATGTACTACTCTTATTCCTGTCCATGACCGTTTTGAACAGTGAAAGAGGTCAATATTTTCTAAAGAGCCTATGTTTTGACGACTGTATATTTGCTTGGCAATGTTTTATGAAATAAATAATTAGTAATGGTTTTAGCTATATTTTAGGTACTCACTACAATACTTTTTTTGTTCTACATTTTTCTAAATACCAAATAAAGAATTAGAAAATCATTCAATTATAGGATGTGACCTTATCTTGCTGATTACACCAAATCCAAAGTCAATTTTAGCCTCTCTTTCAGAGGTTGTAAATAGAAACCCAAATTGGATAACACATTTCCCCTTCAAGACAAACAGGTGGAGCCCATCATTGAAAGTAAATTATCAGGTGAGGACTCAAGGGACCCGGGCCAGTTCAGATTCTGTCCAGTCATTAAACTTTTTAGATCTCACTGTCTTCATTTGTCAAAGGCAGATAGCGACCCTGACTTCACTGATACACAGAGTTATCATGAAGGCTGCCTGGTACAATGGGCAGAAATATGCTCTAACAAAGAGATGTAAATGCAGTATGTATAGCATTGAGACTTCTTAGAAGGGAGCTCGCTGCTGCCAATGCTCTGCTATGAGTTGCCTCAGGTTGTACAATTCCTGGTGAAGGCCTAGAATTTAAGCCATTGAATAGGAGGATTATTTGGGAACGATATAAAATTGGAGATAGGTTAATCTAGGGTCAAATATAGGTGAGAAGCAAGGAAATAATACTGTGGTAAGAAAATAGATTAAGCAGAGAAAGATTCTATGATTCTGACTGAAATAAGCATTGCTAACTATAACTGGTTTTTGTGCCCCTTGGAGCATGAGGTTTTGAAGAGCTCATTGTGTTGGACTGCCTCTTTGGAGAAACCATCAATGGACCTTCAATCTCATCAATGGAAATTTTACCCAAAAACACAACCTTGATGCTTCAGAAGAGAGGAGGAGGGAAGGATCATGTGCCCATGAGTTTTACCCCTTTGATACGCAGTAGAGTATTGTTTGGCTTACAAAGTATTTGGGGGAAGATATGAGCAAGTAAGAATATAAGTGCCTCATCTCTCAGATAGATATGATTTGAGGCATTAGTTGACATCCTACAGAAGAAATATTTTTTAAAAAGTCCAGCTTCAACTACTGGACCCATCATTTATCAGCTATTTGACTTTGGGAAAGCAACTTATTTTTCTAAACTTTATCTCTGAAATGAAATTAAGGATACTGTATTTGTTATGGTTCTCCAGATAAACAGCAGATAGATAGATAGATAGAAAGATAGATAGATAGATAGATAGATAGATAGATTGATAGATAGATAGATAGATGAGCAGGAGAGATTTTAAGGAATAGGTTGAAAAGATTACAGAGGCTGACAAGTCTGAAATTTATAGGCCAAACTGGCAGCCTGAAAATTCAGGTAAGAGTTGATATTGATGTCATAGTTTTTAGTGCGAAATTTGTAGGGCAGGTCAGCAGGTTGGAAACTCAGGTGAGATTTCTGTGTTATAGTCTTGAAACAGAATTTCTTATTTTTCATGAAACCTGAGTTTTTGAACTGAAGGCCTTCAATTGATTGGATGAGGCCCACCCTGCAGCAGATGTTGCAGGGTAATCTGGCCTATTAAAACTCAGCTGACCATAGTATTAATCACATCCAACAATACCTGTATAGCAACATCGACACCAGTGTTTGATCGTACAACTGAGCATCATAGTCTAGCCAAGTTGACACATAGAGTCAAACATCACAGATACTTACCTGTGGTTCAGTGGGATAATGGTCTGAACACTTAGCAAGGAAGTTGAGATGATTTCCTGTGTCAGCATTTTATTTAAGTGGCTGAGGGTGTGGGAGTGGCAGGGGATATATTTCAAATATATCAAGCCTAAAATATCTTCTTGTTGACTAGATAGGAATATGTGTTACTTTAATACATACAACTTTACTTTATCTTAAAGATATTGATGATTCAGGTCAAGGACCCAGCAAAAACAATGTTGTGTAGAAAGAAAGAGCACAAAATTTGAGTGTGTGAGAACTGGGTTTGAATCTAAGTTATATCCTCTCTATCACTTTGGGAAATCTACTCTTGTCTTCAATTTCCTTATCTGTCAAATGAATTTAATAACACCACTTCTTTGAGTTTGGGGGATGTGTGAAACACATGAAACATAGAGTTTCTCAGAAAATGTAGTCTAATATTTGTAATGATCTTTTTTCTTCATTTACTGTTTTTTCAACCTGCTGAGTAGAAGCTCATTTTTCCATCTGAGAAATACATTTTCAAATTCCACAACTTTCTTGTCATTTATGGTTACTAAAATCAGTTGAGGTAGTTTATAAATCCAATCCCATATCAATTGTAAAATCTTTGTCTCCTTCTTTATTGGACAAAACTGAGGGTCAGAGACTTGGAATGGAGTTTGTGCATGGCTTTTTCTTTCGCTTCTTTTTCTTCCCACTTTTGGATCTTGTTTCTTCAAGTTTGGGACAAGTGAAGATCTATCATGAGATGGTAATGGTCATATGCCTCTTGGGCTGCTTCTGTGATGCAGAAGTGCTCCTGGCCTGTTCCTGATGTTCCCTGATATGTGAGGCAATCTGCAGATATGTTGGTTTCTGTATGGTGTGTATGCTTTTCTTGGAGAGGTGTCCAGATTTCCACAGCATGCCTCTTATTGATGACCCACTTTTAGAGACAAATGTGTTTCTTTATTGGTTGCCCCCATCAAAAATCCATACCTCCAACCTCTTTCTAGCTGCAGACACTGAGGCTATTGAGGTATTCTTCCTTCCATATCTTCTGGGAGCTTTAGGGATGTGGAGTGGGGAGATGCATTTTTTCATACTGGTTAGGGCTACTCTTGCAATTCTGCCATATTCAGATAACATGTGGCAGAAACAGGCAGACCTCTTTAATTACATTCCAAGGGGCACAGGCACCAAGTTCCCCAGGAACTCTTTCACCCTGCAGTGCTCCTGTGGAAGCAATAAGAGGGTAGCCCGGCAGATGTGTAATGCAATGAACATGACCTGGTAAGCCAAAATTCAAGCTCTCTTTCTTTCAGGAATATCCACCTGACTTGCTTAAAGCTCTCATCCCCACCATTCCTTGTCTTCGGGGATGTGATGGTGATGGAAGGGAATCACAGGGCAAGAGCATAGGGAAAGTATTTTGCACTATGAGTATTCTATTCCCTAAAAGAAAGAAGATGTTTAAAAATTACCTCTGTATTTCCCCTCTTTCGTTCTTTAGCCATCCATCCTATACTCCAGGATGACAAGTTATCCAGTGCCCTGGGAGCTGTATCTGACCCCATTTGATGGTCACTCTCTTCTGAATACAGGCTTTAATTGTCAATTACAAGGCAACTAAAAAAAGTTTCATTCCATATCCTAATACAGTAGCTATTATTATTATCAGCAGGAACAGTAGCTCCTTTATTCACACTGAGCTCGTAGCACTCTGTTTTTCTCCTTTATGACCATTGTATAATGGATGCTTTCTGGATGGTGGCATATTGGGCCGTAAATACTGTAACTTCCTCCTACATAGATTACCAGTTAGAGCTCCTTTACAATCATTTTATGGTTTTAAATATAGCGCCATACTTGCTTCAAGATCTTGTTTCCTGTTTCACAAAGAGCGATTGGTCTTCCTCGTGCTGAGAAAAAATAACATTTGAAATGCAGAATCCAGCCTGTTCCCCAGGGCTGGCTTTCCACCAGGTTCCTGTGGGGAGGTCAAGCAGGTATTTCAGCAGGGCAGTGTCATGTTGCTCCATATCCTGGCCACATCTCCCTTTAGACTCCACATCCCAATATCTGCTGTTCAATTCCCTGGGTAATTAATTACCCTACAGGAGCCAATAGAATCCTGTATAAGCTGGTGGGATTCCATTGTATGAGATGAAATGCAGCACTGCCTTGGGGGGTGCTCTTTTCATTAGGCCCATGCTATTCTGTCTTAGTTGAACACAATCTATAGGTATCTCTTAATTAGAACCCCAAAAGCACTGACAGTGACGTCCTTTGGATAGGCCTGTAGTAAGTGAACTAAGCGGTGTCCACCTGAGGCCAAACATAATCTCCCCTCTCCTTCAAGGTAAACTTCTATAAAATAGAAAACAAAGAAACTGGATTTTGATGAATCTGAAATGAATCCCTCTTCATATATTTATTACTCGTATATAGGAGGTTTTCTTTTATACTTTTTGAGGATTCCCCAAAACAAAACTGCACTTGTATAGCTAGGAGGACTAGGGAACAATGCAGACGTGGGAGAAAGGGTGAGTTCTTGTGACCCAGAACTGGGTTTGAAGCAGCAACTTCCGTTCAATCAAGCATGCCTCTCAGCATTGCAGGTGCCAAGTTGCCATTCTCTCTCTTTCCTTCCATGCGCTCAGGTTTCCCAGCTCTCGACTGCTTTTTTTCTGACACCTTTTTTTATTTCTTCCTCTCCACAGGTCTCTCAGTTTTGCTGATAAAGATATTTCACTCTACCCCAGTTTCTTTATTTTGCATTCCGCATCTATTCCTTAAAACTGTTTTCTGAAGTGGCAAATACTTTTGTTTTTGAGGATGAAGATTTTGGTTTTTTTCATGCTCACTAAAGTAAAGCAGATCTTGTTGCCAGGATTCTCCCTCCTCTGAAGACAGTGGGTTATAACAAGTGACAAATATTTTCTTCCTGTCTCATAGTAATATTCAAAATAAGAGATTTATTGTGTCTACTCAGTGTGAGGCAAGACAGTTTATAATTTACCATTTATTTGAGTTGTGTGCAGAAACCTACGTTAACTCACACCATATTTCTTATTTATTTGATTGATATTTCAGCACCCCTTGTAGATTGATGCCTCCAGCAGATACTCAGAAGTTCAGCTCATTACTATGTGTCTGGGCCACTCTGACCCTGAGCTCTACTTAGCCTACTCATCTCTACGCATAGTGCTCAGAGCAAATAAAAATGGATTTGACCATTACAGAAGTCTCAGATCAATGCAAAGACACAGTTTTTACTCTGAGCTTGGCTCTCTTCTACTTTTACTTGGTTTTTAGCCTTGATTTCATTTGTGGTTGGTCCTGAGGTTGCTCCTCAGATTTCATGAAACAGTTTAACTTCCTAGTTTGGACCCCAAGATCCCCTTAAGACACTCTCTATAGTAAAGTCCATGGGGGCAGAAATCATAGATTGGAATCATAGGTCAGCCACTTGCTAGCTTTGCGATCTTGGGAGATTCACCTGGCATCTCAGAGTCAGGCTTCTCATCAGTAAAATTGGGGCAATTTAGAGACATTTGTTACAAGGATTAAATTAGAGAAGCAGTTAAATTGCTTTAGCACAATATGAGTAACATGGCAATGTTTAATACATATTATTTGCAATTATAATTTCATCAGTTTATTAGTAAAATTATATCTCATTATTGCCATTTCTAGCAATCACCCAGTCTTTCTCATCACTGGGCTCTCACCCAGGCATTTGCAGTCCTGGAATCCATGGAAAAGCTCACCCTCATCCCTGGTGACAGGCATGTTGGACAGCTACTTTCCAGCATATTATCACTTGAGAACTATCACTTGAGAGTCCCCTGCTCAGAAAGATCTCTTCAGATGCCATTTTGCATTAACTGTCAGAGGCTTTATAATCCTTAAAACAGTCTTGCTACATGCTATGAGATATATTTTAGACATATTTTCTCATTTGATACATACAAACTGTGTAAGATTTTGTTTTCATACTATAAAGAAACCAAACTTCAATAGGATTAAATAACATATCTATGGGTTATGGAACTAGTATTAAAATCTGTTCGTGATAACTCCCTAGACATGGTGCTACCATTATAGCATGAGCTATAGTGAGTGAAGATTTAGGCTGGAGAGTGGTGGGGCAGAGGCTGCAATATGCTTCACTTAAGGGTCCTCGGAACGAGTCAGGACCAAGTAAACAGCTTGGCTGAAGCTCAGGCTTTCTTGTAGATGGAGAATTTTTTTAAGGAGAAGTGCATTTCATGAATTTTCAAGCAGAAGCAATATATGTAGGCAGTACGAAGCATTTCTTAAGGACCCAAAGCAAGTGGATGAGAATTGGAGATTGATCCATCATACACTAGCTGGTTTGGTCTTAGGACATTGCTTAGACTCTCAAAAACTCAGTATCATAAATAAAATTAGGAAAATAGTAGTACTTATCCCATAAGAATATTTTGAGAATTAAATGAGTTAACAAATATAAATCATTTAGTACATTATCTGGTGCATAGTAAGCACCGAAGCTATTGTCATTTAGCTCTCATTAATTCAAGACACAAATATAAAGCTTAAGCATATAATAATGTCTTGAGAGATACGACATTTGACTATAACTATCATTTTGAAGTTGTCATACCAAGGATAAATACAGCAGACCCTGGAACAACATAGATTTGGGCTGTGCAGGTCCATTTACACAAAGATTTTCTTCCACGTCTGCCACCTTGAGACAGCAGTGCCAACCCCTCCTCTTTCTCCTTCCCCTCACCCTACTCAATGTGAAGAGGATGACGACCTTTATGATGGTACACTTCCACTTAATAAATAATAAATATATTTTCTCTTCCTTATGATTTTCTTAATAACATTTTCTTTTCTCTATATTATTATAAGAAAACAGTGTGTAATACACATAACATAAAACTTATGTTTTAATTTACTGTTGAAATTATTGGTAGTTAATGGTGGGGCAAGTTAGTGTCCAACCCCAATGTTGTTCCAGGGACAACTGTGTTTGATGTAATATAATGTTTTTGTCTTAAGAGCTCATTAGAAATTATCTTTTTTCACTTTCCAATTGGAAAGTATTTTTTTAAATCTCATGACAATATATGAATTTGTCAGTTTGAGCTCTGTTTCCAGAAAATGAGCATCTTTGATTTTATGATATTTGAAATTATTGCTCTGTGTGTGCACATATATACATGTAATTTATAACTAAATGACCTTCTTTTGTTTTCATTTGTGTGTATCCCTTTGCTAGGGCTGCTGTAACAAAGTACCACACACTGGGTGGATTAAGCAAGAGCAACATAGTGTTTCACAGTTCTGGGGGCTGGGAGTCTGAGATCAAGAAGTTGGCAGGGCCATGCTTCCTGTGAAGGACCTAGGGCAGGAACTGTTCCAGGCCTCTCTCCTAGCTTCTTCTGGTGGTTTCCTGGCAATCTTTAATATTCCCTGGCTTGTAGATGCATCACCCCAATCTCTGCTTTCATGTTTTTGAGGTATTCTTCCTTTGTGCATGCTTGTTTCCAAATTTCCTCTTCTTCTCAGGGCACCAGTCATATTAGGGTAGGGGCCACCACACTCCAGGATGACCTCATTTTAACTAATTCCATTCCAACAACCCTATTGTCAAATAAAGTCACTTTCTGTGGCACTTGGGATTAGAACTTCAATATATGAATTTTCAGGGTGTGGGGACACCATTCGACTCATGCACATGATCTTCATTTATTTCACATCTATACATTATATATAATTATTTATTTTATGTATGTTATATATCATATGTATATATCACATGCATACATGCATTTCCTTACCATCACATTACAGTCTACTAGATTATGTCCTTAAGTGTCATGCTTTTGCCTTTATTCATTAATAATTATATCCCCAGTTTGTCAGTACTCAGTGCTGTATCTGTCACACTGTACCAATGCAGCAAATGTTGTTGTGAATACACAAAATTCTAGAGAAAATAGAAAGGGTGACAAATAGTTATGAATAGGTATGGGAACGAATGGGTATAAGGATTGTGTAGAAAGATGTGGGGAATAAATACTCACACCTGCCTAGTTTGGGCAATTGTACCTAAAGACAACAATTCTGCTGGCTTCTCTGTGACTGGTAGGGTAAGCCCTAAGCACATGTTCCTGCAGTGTAAGGGGGATATTGGGGAAGGCCTCCGGTTTCAAATTCCCTTTGCTTTATGCTCTGCAAGTTAGCGCACATCAGTTCACTAGTTTGAATGAGATTCCAAGCAGCCTTCTGACAGCTTCCCAGTTAGGGTCAGTCCCTTTTGGATCCTATCAATGATGGCTACTCCATGGTACCTGGAGAGGGCTTGCTCTGAACCACTCAATCAACCACCATGTGTCACACTACCCTCATTGACAAATCCACTCTCATTCCATATTTGGGATTATACAATTTTAGGAATTCTTATTCCTCTCTTTGTAAAGTCAAAGATTTATTTATAAATTATCTGCAAAGCATTCCTCAGCAAGCATGTCCTTTTTGCAATGCTGTAGCATAACCTACTCGGTCAAGTTCAATTTAACATTTTGTGCCATCATTTTCTTAGCTTGAAAATGTCAGCCATTTTCTACACAAACTTGGCATTCTTCTGGTTCAACACTTCTGTGAGCTTAAGGCAATTACTGCAGCTGTGTTACTTTATTCAAATGTAGCATACAACTCAAGCCAAAGATGTTCCTGGTGGACAAGGTCTCCTATGACACTTTACCTATAAATTATCATATTCTTCACTTACAAACCTTACACTTATATTACTATTTTAAAGTACTAAATATTTTCAAATCCTATTTTTTAAATAAACCCAAAGACAGGACTATAAAATGCTATGGAAAGGGAGAAAAGAACACTTAATAACAAGCAGATGTCCTCACTGTATCCTATTCTCTTGGTATTTCCTTTTACATATGTCATCTTATTTATTCATTAAAACAACCATGCAGGCTGGGTGCAGTGGCTCACGCCTGTAATCCCAGCACTTTGGGAGGCTGAGGTGGGTGGATCACAATGTCAGTAGTTCGAGACCAGCCTGGCCAACATGGTGAAACCCCATCTCTTCTAAAAATACAAAAATTACCCGGACCCGGTGGCATATGCCTGTAATCCCAGCTACTTGGAAGGCTGAGGCAGGAGAATCTCTTAAACCCAGGAGGTGGAGGTTGTGGTGAGCCGAGATTGTGCCATTGCACTTCACCCTGGGTGACAGAGTGTGACTCTGTCAAAAAAAAAAAAAAAAGCAAATTAAGTGTTACAGAGCAAGAAATTGAGTATCAGATAGGACAAAATTAATGTCCCTTGGATTCACAACTACAGGGCAGAGATGGGATTAAAATCCACAAGCAAAAGCCATCTAAGCTTCGTTGCATTATACCACAGTTAGGAGTATTTCATTCTGAGTTTGAATGGAATATGGTAAATATTGTTAAACACAGGTAATACATGAACGATCTGCAATTTTAGAGGACGTTTTAATAAACTACCTAAGGACCTACAGCCCTACAGCCAGGCCGTGGTAGACTCAAGGCCAATATTTGCCTACCAATTAAAATAAAATCAATTCAATGTGTATTGTTAATAGCTCAAAATTTCCATTTAACACAGCTTTTACTATTCATATATAAAGGTGAAATTGTGTTTGATAAAATTGTCTTTATATCTCTTAATAGAAAGATGATTTGTTTTTCCTATTATAGCTAGTGCTGAAATCAGGCCTATTAACAAAAATGAGCTGCAGTCACAGTTTTAGTAAATAATACACTCTCTTGAATGTACTTTGAGAGGAAATATATTTGGAAAACAGCCCTTTATCATTTCTGACATGATGTAAACATGTCACCACTCTCAACTTGTGCACTTGGCTCCAATTTCTGAGAGCATTTCATTCTTTTTTTAAAAATTGGTTACATAAAAGTAAAGTACCTTGATTTATGCTTGGTTTAATTAGAGAGAAAATGAAAGAGGCAGATTGACAAGGAAAGAAAGTTATTGGAGTAGCTGGACCAGGAGGGGCAGATGCCACATTTGCTTGAGGCCACTGGGGAGAATGAACCCCCAACTCAGGTCTAAGCAGTACTTTTTCCATTTGTAGGAAAAAAAAAACAAAGGAGCAAACCAAAAGTTAGCAAGTTGTGAGGGACTCTCTGGGCTCTGAGATTGGAAGTAGGTTGCAGCAGGAAGGAACTCGCTAAGCGCCCTAGTCTCTGCATGTATTTGGGACACACATCTCCCTTCTTGGTTAGAACATTGCTATCTCAGCTGACTCTTCTATCTGCTTTTCCCTTGAATTCTAAACTTTGTGTTTCTGGCGTTTATATGTAGTAGTTAAAATAATGAGGTCGAAGCCAGTGTTCTGCTGCAAATCTTGACTATCCTACTTCCAAGCTTTATGAGCTTTGGTAAGTCACTTCGCACCTCTAAGCACTAGTTTCTTCATCAGTAAAATGGGCGTAATAATGGCTACCTACTCATGACTTAGTACATTAAGATACTGACAAACTTCATTTGTAGCAATTGTTAAAGATATTTCTAATGACAACATAATGCCTGCTGCAGTGAAAATTCAAGATGAATCCCTCAGCTGAGTGCTGTGCTGCTGAGGAAGATCACACAGCCATCCTAAGTAGCTTCCTAGAAAAGTGTAATATAAGCCAAAACTGGCACTCAGTATCATCAGGATATCTTCTGTGTTTTTCTAGAAAAATCAGTTTATATTCTCAAAATAAATACTGTATTATGACTGTCTTCACAAAACTGCTGTACTACTCCTCCTGGCTCTACTCTCAAGTATGACATTGTTCAAATGATATTGAGAGAATAGAAATCCATACACACTATCTTTCTCATTTTCCTGTTACCAACTGGTAAGTCTCCCTGCTCCTCAGCCTTTCTTTCTTAATCCCTACTACAAAATAGGAATTGTTCATTCCCCTATCAAAGGTCAGTTTTTCCATCAAGGGCCTGTGTCTCACACCTTCCTGCTCTGTTGGGTTATCCTCTTTCTCCTGAAACATATGCATGCATATTTCTGTTGGATAATTTTCAATAGGACAAAGACATGCTCTGGTACCATTAATATTTAAAATGAAAAACTCCAGTGTGGTATCCAGGAGAAAAGTAAATAAATAATAAATAAAATTTTAAAAAACACAAAACAACCCATTCTCTTTTTCCTTCATTCCCATTTGATTACTGTTTTATGTTTTTGCTTTAAATTCAGAGAAATTTTTTCCAAAGAGGTTTAATCTTCCTGCTATCCATTCCCTACTAAACCAATTCCAACAGTCTTCTTCTTGCCTCACTCCATTTGTTCGTTTATGTAGCGAATGAACAGGCTAAATCTATGCTAGGCTTTAGAGCTGCAATAGTAAGCGAGACACCGATTCTTCATGGCAATTATATAGTCTAGAATTAAAAAGGATTTTAAAAAGTGATCACATATAATCTTTTATTATAGAAGATATTTACAGGACAGAAACCATTAATAAATATAGATAGTGACCGAGGTTCACCTGGAGAAGACTGTAGGGCCTGTGGGAAAAGCTCACTGGAATCCTTCTGGCACAGGGAAGTGAAGTTCTGGGTTTGGTTCCAGGTCTCTGTGGAACGTAGGGACAGACACTTTAGGTAATGTGGATCTTTTCAAAAACAGAAAATATTAACAGTTTAATAAAAAAGAGGACCTAGTCAAGAGCAGAAGAAACAGTATTCAAGGAAGGGCAAATGAGCATATGCCAAGACCTGATGGAGGAAAGTTTGAACGATCAGGAATTATGACCAAGACACTTAATAATAATTTGGAATGGAAGAGTGAAGACAAAAAATTAGTTGAGAATATTTAATGCTTTCTTTTTTTAAGAAATAGTCCTACTTATTAGGCTTTCTGCTGTGGTGGTGAAAGCAGAGATGGAGGTGTATACCTGGAAGAGATTTCATTTTTCTAGATAATTATAGAAGCTAAATCATGAGCTCATCACTCTAGTTTTTTGTATGTTTGAAAATTTTCATAATTCTTAAAAATTATTTTGTACAAAATCATCATGTAAATTTTGAAATACCTCTGAGATATCCAAGAGGAAACATCTCATAGAAGCACTATGTATATTCACTAATGTTTCACGGTGATACAATGATGAGAGACTTACATTTGTAAATTATATTTACTGGAATGTTTTCGATCACCTCGGGAGGTTGTGTTGGGAGAAGAGAGACAAGTAAAGCAAGACTGAATTCTGAGGAATACTGTACAGACATTCTGCAAAGAAGACTCTGGGTTAAAACAGCTGGTGAGGTCAGAGGAAACAGATATACGTGTGTTTATGAATAAAGACAGGAGAAGAAGGTGCTTTAAAAAGAAAGCACATTTCAGCAGTGTTGACTTTTGCAATGAGGTTATGATGAAGCTGAAAAATACGCACTGAGTCAGTCACCATCGTTGTCTTGGGGACTCCATGTTAAAAAAATTCTTTTGGTCAGGGTAGTAACACTCCCTTTGCCTGGCTTAGAATTTAGTTCATCGCTTCTTTACTGTTCCAAATGTCCACATTTGCAGATGAATATGAGGTTATAGCAATTCTTCCATAGTAAGATAAGACCAATATCATTGCTCTCTTCTATAGCTACATAAAGTGTAGGTACCAGGGCCCTAACTTGAGTATAAGTTGTGAAGAATATGAAAACTGAGGTCCACATAGATAAACCCGAATGGCCTATGGGAAAAGCCCATGAAACCTCCTGGCACAGAAAAGTGAGGTTTCCAGGTTAAGTTCCAGATTTTTGTTGAAAATAATGACAATTTTTATTGTCTTTGTTGAAGATAAGTCCAGTAGAGGAAATTCTACTCAGGCTGTCTCATAGTAAGTGATTCTAGCACAGAAAATAGCACAGTGCCTAGCTCACAGAATATGATCAATAAAAAATATGTAGTGACTGATGCTTGCTGGTAATTAATCCTCAGTTGCAATTAAAACACACAACAACTTCATCAAGTATTTACCCATCGTAATTTTTTGGGCCTGGAAATGGAGACTTTTGAGAGGCTAATGACACATCCAACATCTCATAGTTACTAGCAGATTTCATGTTCTAAACAAATTGTTCTGACCTGTCAGGCAACAAGGAGGTAGTAAATTAGCCTTAAGATCATTATGTTACTTGAGTGTCATACATGTACTGGTATATTTCTCATTGTATTGAAGTTTGTTTCTTTTTTTTCTTCATCTCCAAATGTCCTCTGATTGCTATTGTTTCCGTAGCTGAGTCACGCCTGAGACATCTCACTGACTTTCTTTCCTAACTACTTGATAGTCTAATGAAAGGAAAGAGAGGGAGGTGAAGAAATAGAATAAGATAAATTAGTAACTTCTGGACAATTCTGGAAAACTGAAACTATAGGATTAATGTTCAGAGCGAAGTACAATAAATGGACCATAAGTCAAATATTTCATAATAATTCTGTAGAAAGTGACATTTGAAAACTCAAATTGTACAAAACCAAATCTTTCCTTCATGATGGCAAAGGGATGGGTCACACCTTAAATTTCTTCCCAGTCTCCATGCTATAGCCACACTCTATGGGGAAAAATAGCCGGGGGGGGCGGGGGTCATTCCATTACTTGAAATGAAAGACACCATTCTAAAGAAATTTCAAATTTCTTTACATTATTAATACATTATTAACCCTATACATGTTTAGCAATATCTTTCTCAAAGTTAGTAAAAGGAATGCACCATTATTTTGTGAGAGGGGCTGTGGAAAACAGTTCTTGCTTATTGGACATATCTGATGGGGAGAGGTCAGAGGTGTTAATGTAACCAGAGCATGTGCTTCTCTTATACAGTGGGATCCACGAGGGGGATAGATGACTGGTTGTCTGGTGAATGCAGTGTTACTTTTATTAGGCCATAAAAAGGAAAGTTTCAAGGCCAACTAATTGTATTGTTTGTCATAGCAGTGTCCCTGTAAAAGGAGCATATTTTCCAACCTCGGCCTGGGAAGATGCAACATGAACTGTCACTAAAATTAAGGAAACATCTCTAAATCAAACTAATTTAGACTAAATTTAGACTACATTTAGTCATCAGGTAGTTTATGGTGACCCCATTCTCTGCATGTGCTGAAAAACTATGGCTGTCCATCTCTCATAGCCTGGGCAGGTTTGCACAAAATGTATTTGTGCTAGAAATCCAGAAAAACAAACTACCACACACCAGCATAAAAATTGAAGCTCAGAAAAGTGAATTGAAGTCCTCAGAGCATCAGTTTTCTTACTGGTTGTATCCATTTTCTGGACTTGCCATAAAAGTTGCCACAAACTTGGTGGCTTAAAATCAGAGGAATGTGTCGTCTTAATGGTTTTTGAGGCCAGAAGTCCAAAATCAAAGTGTCATCAGAGTCACACTCTCTCCGAAGGCTCTAGGGGAGAATCCTTCCTTGCTCCTCTTGGCTTTGGGTGGCTCCTGAGAGTCCTCAGCTGTGACAGCCTCACTCCAGTCTATGCCTCCATTTTCACGTGTCCCTCTTTCCTGTGTCTGTGTGTCCACTCCTATTCTTATAAGGACTCCATTTATTAAATTTAGGGGCCACCCTAAATCTAGAGTGATTTCATTTCAAGATATTTAACTAATTAAATTTGCAAAGACCCTATTTCCAAATAAGGTCAGGTTCTCAGGTTCTGAGTGAACATGTATTTTGGGACTATTCAATCCACTACACCCGTAGATTGAGCTGGCAGTTCTTAACTTATAAGACTTATTGTGACTGAATAACTTTTCTGTAAAGTATTTGGTAGCTAATAGGTGATCAACAAATTCTTTGTTTTTAAGAATACCACTATAGTTATCTTTAATCCTGACCATGACTGTCTGAATATTCTCATTTTCTTAAATATATTAGTATGTTCAATTCTTACACTGGTCTAGGCATTCATTATGGAAGCAACCTGCTATATGTAAATAAGCATGATTTTAATCCTATCTAGTAGGCTGTGTGTTATAAATGATCCCTAGAAACATAGACATTCCGTTGTGGGAGCACGGAAAAGGGAGTGATGATTTCTGAGAAGATATGACTTGTAACTTTCCAATAACACTTTTCTAGAAGGGTCTCATGTTAAAATAAATAAATGTCAAACTAAACTAAGAGACAGCACTATAATGTACTAATTGGCTCCCAGATTAGGGCTCTTAACCATCAGGCTATTCTGCCTCCCAAATTAAAATTGGTAGCGGGACATGAATTTATTGTTTGAAATGAGCACAGGTTAAGTAAAATGAGAACTATGGAAAAACAATGACAGGAAGAACGGGAGAATTATACTTTGCTAACAGTAATAGTAAATAGTGAACATTTATTGTAAATAAGTTTAACAATACGCATTTAAGACAAATTTAAGAGCTTATATTTTTTGACCAGTAATTCCTTATTTAAGAATCTAACTTTGGAAATCATACAGGATTTGTAGAACCTTTTTACAGAAAGATACTCATTCTGGAAATATTTTTAACACTGAGATTTGGAAACAATATAATGCCCAACCTCAAAGGATTAATAAATTAAATTGTGATATTATCCTCAATTGAATACTATGTGGTCATTATAATTCATGTTTCAAAAGAGTATAATAAAATAGGAGAGTCCTGGGCTTTTACTCTGAGTGATGTTGGAAGCCATTGAAGGTGGAGGAGAAAGAAATGAGAAGAACGTTTCCAAACAATGAAGATGTCCAGCCAGTCATTGACAAAAATGTTCTGTTAATCATGGTGGATGGGAAGTAGGACTAGATTGCAGCTCTGTATAGATCAGTGTGCAGAGGCTCGCATTGTGAATTTTAGCTCCAGGTTGACTGCAAGAACAAGCCAGCAATCCCGAGAGTACCCACAGACTCTCTGAAGGAAGCGAACTGTTTCTGCAGTACCCAAGAGACACCACAAATACTGTCAGTGCCCCGACGCTGGAAGTGGTAAAGGGAGACCCCCCTCTCTGGAACACACAGCCCCACTGGAGAAACTGAAGGTCTCTTTGTGGGAGAAGTTTCCTACCTTCTCTGGAGTTGAATCCATTTAGAGAGCTGAGCAAAATACAGGGTTTGAGGAAGCAGTAGAAAGGCCCTGGGAGCTCACTGGGTGCCCAAACAGGCCATTCCTGCTTGGCACCACAGGGATCCATTGTGAGGGTGGCCAGAGGAGCAGGTGTTGAAACTCCACAGGAAGAAAGAAATCTATAGTTGAACTTTGTAACAATTTGAACAGGGCGAGAAGCCTCCTGGCCAGAACTCATGGGAGGGCACAAATCTGTTGTGCAGACTCCACAGGCAGGGGAAGAACCAAGCCCTTTTTTTCCATAGTTGAGAGGCAGGTAGCCTGAGGCAAGTTTTCAAGCCCATCTTGCCCACCACCTGGAAACAGGCTCCATGAGAACTGCTCTTTGGTTTGCATGGGAGCTGGGTGAGGCCTATGACTGCCGGCTTTCCCCCACTTCCCTGACAACCTGCATGACTCAGCAGAGGCAGCATAATCCTCCTATGTACACAACTCCATTAACCTGGGCATCTCACCCCTATCCCCCACAACAGCCACAGAAAGACCCACACAAGGAGAGTCAGAGCTCAGACACACCTAGCCCCACCCCCAACTAATGGCCCCTCCCTATCCACCGTGGTAACCGAAGACAAAGGGCATATAACCTTGGGAGTTCTAGGACCCCCAACCCCCACCACTGGTCCCTATACATACTACTACAGCTGATACTCCCTGGAGCTGATTCCTCCTGGCAGGAGGCCAACCATCACAAAACTAGAGCATTAAAGCTAAGAACCCTCACGGAGTCCATTGCACTCCCCACCACCTCCACTGGAACAGGAACTGGTATCCATGGCTGAGAGACCAATAGACGGTTCACATCACAGTACTCCGTGCAGACAACCCCCAGTGCCAGCCCGGAGCTGAGTAGAGTCACTAGGTGGCTAGACCCAGAAAAGAGACAACAAACACTGCAATTTAGCTCACAGGAAGCCACATCTATAGGAAAAAGGGGAGAGTACTACAACAAGTAAACACACCCATGGGACAAAAGAATCTGAACAACAGCCTTCAGCCCTAGAACTTCCCTCTGATAGAGCCTACCCAAGTGAGAAGGAACCAGAAAACCAACCCTGGTAATATGAGAAAACATACCTCTTTAACAGCCCCCAAAATCACCCTAATTCACCAGCAATGGAGACAAACCAAGAAGAAATCCCTGATTAACCTGAAAAAGAATTTAGGAGGTTAGTTATTAAGCTAATCAGGGAGGCACCAGAGAAGCGCAAAGCTCAATGCAAGAGAATCCAAAAAATGATATAAAAGTGAAGGGAAAAATATTCAAGGAAATAGATAGCTTAAAGCAAAAACAATAAAAAATTCAGGACACTCTGAACACACTTTCAGAAATGCAAAATGCTCTGGAAAATCTCAGCAATATAATTGAACAAGTAGAAGAAAGAAATTCATAGCTCAAAAAGAAGGTCTTCAAATTAACCCAATCCAAGAAAGACAAAGAAAAAATAATAAGAAAATATGAAAAAAGCCTCCAAGAAGTCTGGGATTATGTTAAATGACCAAAACTAAGAATAATTGGTGTTCCTGAGGAAGAAGGTAAGACTAAGGAAAGAATCTTAAGAGCTGTGAGGCAGGAGCACCAGGTAACCTATAAAGGAAAACCTATCAGATTAGCAGCAGATTTTTCAACAGAAACCCTGCAAGCTAGAAGGGATTGGGGCCCTATCTTCAGCCTCCTCAAACAAAACACTATTCAGCCAAGAATTTTGTATCCAATGAAACTATACATCACATATGAAGGAAAGATACAGTCTTTTTCAGACTAACAAATGCTGAGAGAATTCACCATTACCAAGCCACCACTACAATAACTGCTAAAAGGAACCCTAAATCTTGAAACAAATCCTGGAAACACTCAAAACAGAATATTTTTAAGGAATAAATCACACAGGATCTATTACAAAAATACTAGCTAAAAAGCAAAAAAAAAAAAACCAAAATACACAGGAAACAAAGAGTATGATGAATGCAATAGTACCTCGCATTTCAATACTAACATTGAATGTATATGGCATAAATGCTCCACTTAGATATATAACCGCAGAATGGAAAAGAACTTACCAACCAATCATCTGCTGCCCTCAGGAGACTCACCTAACACGTAAGGATTCACATAAACCTAAGTACAGGGGTGGAAAGAGGCATTTCATGCAAATGGACACCAAAAGCTAGCAGGGGTAGCTATTCTTATATCAGACAAATCAAACTTTAAAGCAACAGCAGTTAAAAGAGACAAAGAAGGACATTAAAGGCCTTGTCCAAAAGGAAAATATCACAATCCTAAACATATATGCACCTAACACTGGAGCTTTCAAATTTATAAAACAATTACTAATAGACCTAAGAAATGAGATAGACAGCAACATAGACACCAATAGTGGAGGATTTCAATACTCCACTGACAACACTAGACAATTCATCAAGACAGAAGGCCAAAAAAGAAACAATGGATTTACACTATGCCATGGAACAAATGGACTTAACAGATATGTACAGAACATTTCATCCAACAACTGCAGAATACACATTCTATTCAATAGCACATGGAACTTTCTCCAAGATTCACCATATGATAGGCCATAAAACAAGCCTCAATAAATGTAAGAAAATTGAAATTATATCAAGCACCCTTTCAGACTACAGTGGAATAAAACCGGGAATCAACTCTAAAAGGAATCTTCAAAACCATACAAATACATGGAAATTAAATAACCTGCTCCTGAATGAGCACTGAGTCAAAAACAAAATCAAGATGGAAATTTAAAAATTCTTCAACGTGAATGGCAATAATGACACAACCTATCAAAACCTCTGGGATACAGAAAAGGCAGTGCTAAGAGGAAAGTTTATAACCGTAAATGCCTACATCAAAAGGTCTATAAGAGGGCCAGGTTCGGTGGCTCATGCCTGTGATTGCAGCACTTTGGGAGGCCGAGGTGGGTGGATCACCTGAGGTCAGGAGTTCAAGACGAGCCTGACCAATATTGAGAAACTCCGTCTCTACTAAATATACAAAAAATTAGCCAGGCCTGGTGGCACATGCCTGTAATCCCAGCTACTCGGGAGGCTGAAGCAGGAGAATCTCTTGAACCCAGGAGGCGGAAGTTGAGGTGAGCTGAGATTGCGCCATTGTACTCCAGCCTGGGCAACAAGATTAAAAAAAAAAAAAAAAGTCTGAAAGAGAACAAACACACAATCTAAGGTCACACCACAAGGAATTAGAGAAATAATAACAAATCAAACCCAAACCCAGCAGAAGAAAGGAAATAACCAGGATCAGAGCAGAACTAAATGAAATGGACACACACACACAAATATAGAAGGTAAATGAAACAAAATGCTGGTTCTTTGAAAAGATAAATAAAACTGATAGACCATTAGCAAGATTAACCAATAAACGAAGGCAGAAAGTCCAAATAACCTCAATAAGAAACCAAACAGGAGACATTACAACTGACGTCACTGAAATACAGGATATCATTCAAGGCTACTATGAACACCTTTATGCATATAAACTAGAAAACCTAGAAGAGATGGATAAATTTCTGGAAAAATACAACCTTCCTAGCTTAAATCGGGAAGAATTAGATACCCTTAACAGACCAATAACAAGCAGCGAGATTGAAATAGTAATTTAAAAAATACAAACAACAACAACAAAAAAAGTCCAGGACCAGACGGATTCCCAGCAGAATTCTACCAGATATTCAAAGAAGAATTGGTACCAATCCTTTGACACTACTTTACAAAATACAAAAAGAAGGAACCCTCCCTAATTCTTTCTATGAAGCTAGCATCACCCTAATACCAAAACCAGGAAAGGACGTAATCAAAAAAGAAAACTACAGACCAATATTCTTGATGAACCTACATGCTAAAATCCTTAACATTATGCTAGCTAACTGAATCCAACAACATATCAAAAAGATAATTCACCATGATCAAGTGGGTTTTATACCAGGGATGCAGGGATGGTTTAACATATGCAAGTCAATAAATGTGATGCACCACACAAACAGAATTAAATACAAAAATCACGTGACCATCTCAATAGCTGTAGAAAAAACATTCAACAAAATCCAGCATCCCTTTAATATTAAAACTCTCTCCCAGCTACTCGGGAGGCTGAGACAGGAGAATCTCTTGAACCCGGGAGGCGGAGGTTGCAGTGAGCTGAGATTGCACCATTGCATTCCAGCCTGGGTGACAAAAGCTAGACTTTATCTAAAAAAAAAAAAAAAAAAAAAAAAAAACCAGCTCTCAGCAAAATCGGCATACCAGGGACATATCTTAATGTAATAAAAGCCATCTATGATAAACCCACAGCCAACATAATGCTGAATGTGGAAAAGTTGAAAGCATTCCCTCTGAGAAGCAGAGCAAGAAAAGGATGCCTACTGTCACCACTCCTCTTCAACATAGTGCTGGAATTGCTAGCCAGTTCAATCAGACAAGAGAAAGAAATAAAGGGCATCAAAATTGGTAAAGAAGAAGTCAAACTGTCACTATTTTCTGATGATATGATTGTTTACCTTGAAAACCCTAAAGACTCCTCCAGAACACTCCTAGAACTGATAAAGGAATTCAGCAAAGTTTCTGGATACAAGATTAATGTACATAAATCAGTAGCTCTTCTATACACCAAGAGCAACCAAGCAGAGAATCAAATCAATAACTCAACGCTGTTTATAATACCTGCGAAAACAAAAATAAAATACTTAAAAGTATACCTAACCGAGGAGCCTAAAGACCTCTACATGGAAAACTGCAAAACACTGCTGAAAGAAATCATAGACGACATAAACAAATAGAAACACATCCCGTGCTCATAGATTTGTAGAAGCAGTATTTTGAAAATGACCATACTGCCAAAAGCAATCTACAAATTAAATGGAATGCCCATCAAAATACCACCATCATTCTTCACAGAATTAGAATAAACAATTCTAAAATTCATATGAAACCAAAAAAGAGCCCAAATAGCCAAAGCAAGACTAAGCAAAAAGCACAAATCTGGAGGCATCACACTACCTGATTTCAAATTCTACTATAAGGCCGTAGTCACCAAAACAGCATGGTACTGGTATAAAAATAGGCACATAGACCAATGGAACAGAATAGAGAACCCAGAAATAAATCCAAATACTTACTGCCAACTGAATTTTGACAAAGCAAACAAAAATATAAAGTAGGGAAAGGACACCCTTTTCAACAAATGATGCTGGGATAATTGGCAAGCCACAGGTAGGAGAATGAATCTGGATTCTCATCTCTCACCTTATACAAAAAGCAACTCAAGATGGATTAAGGACTTAAATCTAAGACATGAAACTATAAAAATTAGAAACCAAACCCTTTAGACATTGGCTTAGGCAAGGATTTCATGACCAAGAACCCAAAAGCAAATGCAATAAAAACAAAGATAAATAGCTGGGACCTAATTACACTAAAGAGTTTTTCATGGCAAAAGGAACAGTCAGCAGAGTAAACACACAACCCACAGAGTGGGAGAAAATCTTCACAGTCTATACACCTGACAAAGGACTAATATCCAGAATCTACAACAAACTCAAATCAGTAAGAAAAAAACAATCCCATCAAAAAGTGGGCTAAGGACACGAATAGACAATTCCCAAAAGAAGATATACAAATGGCCAACAAACATATGAAAAAATGTTCAATGTCACCAATGATCAGGGAAACAAAAATGAAAACCACAATGCGATACCACCTTACTCCTGCAAGAATGGCCATAATAAAAAAAATAAAAAAACAGGAGATGTTGGCATAGATGCAGTGATCAGGGAATGCTTCTATACTGCTGGTGGGAATATAAACTAGTACAGACACTATGGAAAACACTGTGGAGATTTCTTAAAGAATTAAAAGTAGAACTACCATTTGATCCAGCAATCCCACTACTGGGTATCTACCCAGAGGAAAAGAAGTCATTATGCGAAAAAGATGCTTGCACAAGCATGCACAATTCACAGTTGCAAAATTGTGAAACCAACCCAAATGCCCACCAATCAACGAGTGGGTAAAGAAACTGTGATGTATATATATATATAAAATATATATGTATAAACTGTGATATATATATAAAGAAATATATATGATGGAATATATATATACATATATATATATATGATGGAATATGGTGAATATGATGGAATACTACTCACCCATAAAAAGGAATGAATTAACAGCATTTGCAGTGACCTGGATGAGATTGGAGACTATGATTCTAAGTGAAGTAACTCAGGAATGGAAAAGCAGACACTGTATATTCTCACTGATATATAGGAGCTATGCTATGAGGATGCAAAGGCATAAGAATAATACAATGGACTTTGCGGATTTGAGGGGAAGAATTGGGGGGAGGTGAGGGATAAAAGACTAGAAATATGGTGCAGTGTGTATGGCTTGGGTGATGGGTGCACCAAAATCTCACAAATTACCACTAAAGAACTTACTCATGTAACGAAATACCACCTGTACCCCAATAATTTATGGAAAAATAAATAAATAAAATAGGAAAAATTACTTTCACTCTCAACTATGTGTAGCTTAGATTGAGTGTCCCTAGAAGACCCTGAGACAAGAATTTGTGCAAGTTGTTTATTTGAGAAATGATAGTAACAAGCACAGTAAGAGAGGCAAAGAAGTGAGACAGACAAGGGAAAGATGCCACTAAAAAATGGTTTAAAAAAACCCCATAAAACAAAACAACCCCCCCAAAAAAGGCTATGTTTTTTCCCAAAAATATATCATGTTTATTGAGGTATAACATACAGGGTTAAATAAAGGGTTTTAGTCCCATATACACAGTCACATAACCACAATCAAGATGTAGTATAATTTCTTCACTTATCAAAATGTCCCACATTCTTGCTCCTGATAGTCAATCCCCCACTCCCTGGAGAACACTGATCTGTTCTTTGTCCCTCTATTCTTGCCTTTTCCAGAAAGACATATATATGGAATTATACAGTAGCCTTTTGAGTCTGGCTTCTTCACTTAATAAAATGCATTTAATATTGAACAATGTTGTCGCATGAATCATGTTTTCTTTTTTAATTTTTAAATTGTTGAGCAATATTCCCTTGCATGAATGCACTACCACAGCAGTTGCCATTCATCAGCTGAAGGACAGTTAGGTTGTTTCCAGTTCTTGGTGATTATGAACACAGCTGCTATAAACATTCATATGGACATAAGTTTTCTTTTCTCTTGAGTAACTAACTAGGAATAGTATTGCCAGGACATATGGTGGGCATATGCCTAAACTTATCAGAAACTGCTCAGTGGGCAACTGGGACTCACTCCTCCTGGAGACTTCTTGTAGACTGCACAAAACTATGCTTCACAGTTTTTCCATTCAAGGGACCAGGAAGCTGGGGGATTCATTTGTCCTCCAACTCTGCCATTAGTTGAAGGTTGCTCTCAAGAGTATTAACCCTAGAGCATCTATGGCCCATCTGGTACAGAATATGCATGTTCTAAAGGACATAGTAAAACCTAGGTTAGAAGTTGAAGCTGTTTTCAGTAGGAAGCCTTGGGGTTGATATGCACAGAATGTTGAGGCCTGCCAGCACCTTCTACATCATGTGGGGAAACATGTTGCCATTCAAATTCTAGTAATAATTATTTTTGTGGGGGTGTAAGGCTTTAACAGGAACATGACTTTCCCTTGTCTCAGAATCCTCAAATATAAGAAATCTTATGTTAGTATATTTTGTAAATAATCACAATAATACTGATTATTACCGTGAGAGAGTTTATGAAGCACTTACTATCAGGGAACTATCATTATCTCTGTTTGCCCAGGGTGATATTGCTAGGAGATAGTGAAGCCACTATTCAGTTAAGCAGCCTGGTTTCAGAAAAGGTACTTCTAACCACTATGTTATACTATATAATCCTGTTATAACTTAGGTTATGAGAATTTCTACAAATAAAAAAAAGAGAATAAACAAGAGTTTGTATATAGGTCACTGAACTGTTCATATATAATAAAATAGTAAACAAAATGTAATGTTCTACAAAATACTGTGCTTGTGTGGTGGGTTGTAGGGATTTTGCTTCTGTTTCCTTGTTTTGGATAAATTTAATTTAAAGATCATGTGTTTGTCTATGGAAAAATATTGAAATTTTACTTTTTTAATGTAAAGAATGTGTGTTTTTTAATTAAAAAATTTAAATGGACTATTAATAAATTATAATTATATATATTTATGAGGTACACATATGTACAATTATAATTTATTGTATATATCATGTTCACTTATACATATGAGGCTAAGACATATGTATACAAAGTGGAATGATCGACTCAAGCTGGTTAACATATCCATCACTTCAGATACTATTAAATGATGGTGGGAAGAGGTCAAAATAACATGGGGAAAACTGAAAACTGAATCCTGATTCTGCAGTTAAGAAGCAGTTGTAATGGTGAGATGTCAACTGCCAAGAGACAAAGGCAGAGAAGTATTAAACTCTCTGGGTGCTGTGTTCTTTAAGAGCATCTGTCTTTGCTGGAAAGATTGATTCTGGCTTGCAGGCAGTCATTACCACAGTGTCCAACATCAAAAAGCCTCCTTGCTCTACCCCCAGCAGTTCATCGATTCTGGACAACCCTGGGTGGTCTTGGACTCTTACCAGCATCTGCTTAGCCTCGAAGCCCCTCCAAATCTCACTTTGCCTCCACAGGCCACATTAAGTTCAAATTAACGAATTCCTCTAGGCAGAACTTTTTCAAAGAGTTGAAGCCAAAATAAAAGTTAATGAATTCCAGCAAAGGCAAAAGACCTCTGGATAGATGTTTTGCCCTTTTTATTCATTGAACTCATGCAGTTTTTATTTTCTCAGTTTTCTCTGTGTAAAACTCTCTGTTCCACCAATGTTTCCAAAATTAATTTTGACCTTCTGGCAACATTTTAATTTCACATGCCCCAGTAGATTCTCTTTATTCAACAACTTATTTCATATATTCATTATTCCTTTTAGAAAATAGCAGTATCGTGCTCAACATAAGTATTCATTATATGCCTAATTACACTGAGAACTGTGCACAGAGACAAGAGCCTGGTGCAGAGGAAGGAGCACTTGTCTGAGGGGAGCCGACCCAGCCTCATGCAGGGCGGCGAGGCTGAAGTGTAACCCTGAGGACAGGGGGCGAGGCAGGAGCTGAGGACAGAGAGCTGACTTGGGACGAGGTTGCTCAATGCCCTGGGTAACATGTGAAGGAGTTTAGATTTTATTCCTGAGCGTGGAAGAAAACCATCTCCTCCTCTAATTTTAAACCTTCTTGAGGGCAGGGCATGTGTAATTCTGAATATCTCTTAGTATCTTCTAGTAAGTGTTGAGGACAAGTTATCATTAATAGCAACTACTTATATATTGTGGCTCAGCACCTTCCAAATACCCTAACAACACCATCCCCAAATCTTCACAAAACACTAAAAGTTGCTATCATTTAATTGAATGTATGGATACTCAAAAATAAGACTCAGAGTAGATGAGTTGCAACTGCTTTGTTGAGTATCTAACGTGAAAGATGTAGAGAGAAGCAAGACCATTTTATGAAATTGTCACTGTCCCATAATAGATTAGAGTAGGTTCTAACTCCAGCTTTTCCCTTCTCCATGCTTGTGACTTTTGACAAATCAGTTTTTTACATATCAATGGGCATTTGTTAAAAATCTCCTGAGATTGAGGCATGATGCTTGGTTCTACGATGGAGAGGCAACAAAAACAGTCTTTACTCTCAAGGGGCTCATGGTCTTGTAGTAGAATTAAAATTTACAAGCAAGTAATAGTAAATCAATGTGAAAACTACATTAATAAATGTATACAATTTATTAAGGGACAAATTAACTCTACAGGGTTTTATAATAAGCTGACATGAAAATGACTAATGGTTTGCCAGGCAGAGGAGAATGAGACAGACATTCCAAAAAAGAAAGAATATCCACAAATCCATGGATGTCCAAGTGTGAGAAGACTGGTCCGCCCAGATCATGTGGGCACTTATAGCCTTCAATCACTGTCTTCACCTCCAGTCTACAGATGTGTGGCTGTTAAAATGGGTTCCTGGGAACCCCAGACGTCCTGCCAGTGTTGCAAACATAACCCTGTGAGGCCCAGCATTTGCAAGACCAGCAAAGAGAGGTGATAAGCAGACAAAATCCAGGCCTCTCATCATATTAACTGTGTGACATTGGGTAAGGGTCCAAATCTCTCTGTGCCTCAGTTTCCACCATATGTGCCATTGGGAAAATAAGAGTAACTATATCACTAGGTTGTTGAGGAGATAAATTATTTGAATATATGTAATGTTTTTGGAACAAGGCCTGGTGTAGAGTAAATTTCATGTAAGTGTTAGCTAATTTTATGATGCTAATCACACTTTAAACAGAAGGAATCTTCTTTACCTATTTTATACCTTCAGCTTTCATATAAGATATATTTTGAAAAAGTGTTTGCACAAAATCTTTCTAAAAAATTTTAATATAACCCCTATAGGTCCATTCTTTCAACAAATATGTAATGAGTATCTTTTTGTTCCAGGCAATGTGCTCGGGATAGGGCAGCAACACATTTAACAAATACTTCTGCCATCATGGGCTTTCTTCTGAATGGGGTAAATTAAAAAGTTATATATATATATATGTGTGTGTGTGTGTGTGTGTGAGAGAGAGAGAGAGACATTATATTGTGTTAAAATATCTGAGAAAAATAATAAAAATGTTGGAGAAATAATGCTGTGAGTGGGGTGTTCAACACCAAGTAGGGCTGATAGAGAAGGCCTTGGTAGAAGGTGATGTCTGGGAGAAGTCACGAAGCAGGTGAGGGAAGGAGTTAGTAGATTCCTGGGCATGGTGGGAGCAGGCCCTGTGTGTTGAGGAGCTGCCAGAAGGCCAAGGAAAGCAGGAACGAATGACATGAAGAAGCATCAGGGAGGGAGGGACCGGTAGCCAAAGGTGAGAGGCTATACAGATTGAGGTAACATTGGTAACTTGGAAGACTCAGGGTTTTATTCCTTGAAGATGGGGAAGATGGGAAATTACAGGAGGGTTTGGAGCAGAAGCATGACATGGGTGATTAAGGTTTTATGCAAATACTAGGCTGTGAGTGGTTGGTGGGAGCATAGGGGTATCCCAAAGGCTAGGAAATAAGTTACTCAGCAATTCACAGAAGAGACCATGGTGGTTTTGATGAGAGTGGTAGCAATAGGAGTAGTGAGAAGTGGTGAAATTCTTGGTAAAATTTCCAAAGGTTATATAAGGTTGTATATAGTGAGACTGTGGCAGAGTGTATCCATTAAAATCTTTTTTGTTGTTGTTGTTGAGACAGAATCTCGCTCTGTCACCCAGCCTGGAGTGCAGTGCTGCAATCCCGGCTCACTGCAACCTCTGCCTCGCGGGTTCAAGCGATTCTCCTGCCTCAGCCTCCTGAGTAGCTGGGATTACAGGCGTGTGCCACCACGCCCGGCTAATTTTTGTATTTTTAGTAGAGATGGAGTTTCACCATGTTGGCCAGGTTGGTCTCGAACTCCTGGCCTCAGGGGAGCTGCCCACCTCTGCCTCCCAAAGTGCTGGGATTACAGGCGTAAGCCACCAAGCCCAGCCTAAAATCATTTTTAACTGATGCCTTTGGCGCTTCCATTTCTGGGAAATTGTTCAGTAGGTTCCTGATTACCTAGTCAAGAAAGGGTTATGGGAGCAGAGCAGGGTCTGGCTCTTATTCCAAGCACAGGTGCAGCCCAATGGTTTTCCTGTCTTTAGACAAGAATGCTTAGTAATTCCCTTGCTTAAATTGTTCCTCCATCTCTGTCATTGAATAGAATCTGACCCTGAGTAATGTGACTTAATGAGGGCAGTTTGACTGTGCATTCAAAGAACCACTAAATATATGTTTACTTTATATTTAGTCTCAGCCATTATGCATAATTATATTTAAAAGGGCACTGAATAGATAAGTTACAAGCCACAACAGGTGTGACTGGAGAAACACAGAGAACGCACATAAAATCTGGGAGAGAGAGCAGGTTACATAAATTTCCCATCAGGGCAGAGAAATATAAGGTATATTTGAACTTTGAAGCCAATCAGTGTGCAACCAGGTAATTACAGGCAGCCTACACCAGGATGGGAGATGCTGGAGTGTGAGCTTGGGAATGCCCCCATAACTCATTCATCTTCAAAGTGCCCTTGGGGGCCCGGCCTCACCAGCCAGGAAATCCAGGATCGTCAGTTGGAATTATATCAACATCTGAGAGGCCATGGAGGGAATGAACCTCATTTACCATGATTAAAGCAGATGAACTGCAGGTTTAGCTCTTCTCCATTAAATTCCTGTTAAACTTGAGAACTTCCACAGGCATTATCTTATTAATAGGCAGGACAGTCATTAACAGGTGATGAAAGGAGGGAAGAAATGACTGTGAAATTTCTGAGAATTTAAGAATGTCTGCTTCATGTACAGTTAAGAAAGAAACTAACATTCAACATTTTTATCAGGAATTTGCATGCATTATTTCATTCATTTCTCATATCAAATCTGTTCTTTATTGGCATCAATCTAAATAAGGATACTGACGGAAAATTAATATAAAAATTATTTTAGGCCCACGTTGAGGATTGAAGCCTGGGAAATACCTGGAAATGGCTTCATTCAGCCTTCGTTACAAGCAGGTTTTTAGAAGTGAAAGGGAATAAAGAATGTGCTGATACAAAGTTTTTTGTTAGGAATTTTCAATGGTTTACAGAAATAACATTGATTAGTGATTGGCTATACATTTTAGAGCTCTGGGTTATGAGTTATGGTGTCCAGCGTATGGCATTGTTAGGTTAATTTATGGCTACTTGTCATCAAGTAATCCAGAGCCCACCCAGCAAGTGGCTTCAAAAGGTGATTACTTAGCTCAAGGTTGGGGTGGTGGGGAATGAGACCTCACTGCTGTCTCACCTTAATGGCCCTTTTCAGATTGCTCAGATAATAGTTTCTTCTCTTTCTCATAAATAAAGGAAGAGAGACTGAAAGAATCTTAGTAATTTTCTAGAGGTGGTATTTTCTAGATTCAGAATGAACTACACAAATATTGAGTCCCCTGTTATTTCCACACTATCATTTGTCCTCCAAAAGGTGAAATGCATTGTCTGACATCATATTTTAGTGACAGAGCCTGTCCTTGTACCAAGGTCTCTTGTGGTTTTCTCTATAGTCTCATGCCAGCTGCCTAGCTATGGGCCCACAGAATCAAAGCCTGGAGAGTTCCTATGAAGACCTAGATAACCAGGTTTCAACATAGCTCTGTCTCTGGAGTGAGTGGTGAAGGAAGGAGGGGAGCAGACCACGTAGCCGACTTCTCTATTTGCATTTTTTACTTATTGTTTTGTAGTGCAAGCATCAAACACTGGAAGCGGCTGAGCATTTTTCTCTAAGTATGGCGAAAGCTTGCCTTTTTTCAGGTCTTCTTCTTCTTTCTCATTAAATCACTTTGGTCTCACACAACAAAATAGTCTTCAGGGATGGCCTTAGGCAAAGCTGTAAAATCTATCCTCTGTTCCCAGAACTTCTCCTTGTTTGTCCTCTCTCTCATTCTGTGAATCTCTCATCCTCTTCTGATACTTAGGAAATTTCTCTCATACAAGCTCAAAAAAGGATCCAGATCATTGTATGCATGAAAACAAGGCCTCATTTGCAATTCAAAGGGCAGGCCAACTGTGATTATGCCTCTTATGTGTTGTGAATCCAATGAAGAATTTTAATAAAAGTTCTAAATTGAGGCATAGCCACATTCTAAAAGCAATGGAGAATGATTTGTGGGACATGAAAACGTGTCACCCTTTACCATTGCTTTCTTTAACGTTATTCAGTTAAGTCTTAATTCTCAAGTTTCTATATTTGATTTTTTTCAAATTATGCTCCAACCTATAGACTAAATGGACTCTCTGTGGCTGAGATGCTCAAGGTAAAGCAGAACCAGGCAGCCACAGCAGGATGAGGGGGTCATCATGCATACTGTGCGCTCGGAAAATGTTGCAAAAATGTCACAAGACATCCCTTCCTGCAATCAAGCCAAACTGAAATAGGCTACAGCTGGAAATTCCCAAACAGACCAACAATTGTCCACCAAGAGTCAGCCAACAAAGAGAGACCTGTGGTTTTACACTTACAGGTCATCCATTCAAGGCTCTGTTCCTCACTCCCCCAGGCCCCTTCCTCGGCCTTTCGCTTTTTACCTTTATAATCTCTAACTCTCCAACCCTTCCTGGGAGTGCACTTTCACTTTATCCCAAAGGCTACTCGTCTCCAATCTATAGGTCACTGTCAGAAAATAAAGCCCCTTTCTGCCTCTGTAGATCTCATCTTTTGTTAATAGCTTTAATATTCTAAAAAGAAGATTCACAAACACCTAGACCCGTGGCTGAACTAAGTTTAAAAGACGATTGATTGAGTGTTGTTTTCTGGATCCAGTTGAAGTGTGTTACTCACCTACTGAGCTAGTAAGAATTCCCCTAGGAAGAACAGTAAAAATGAAGAAAACCTGAGCTCCAGAGTCAACGTAGCTGTGATAGGCTCAATAATAGCCCCTCCACAGTTGTCCACGTTTGAATACTAAAAACCTGTGAGCATATTACCTGACATGGCCAAAGAGGCTTTGCAGATTTGATTAAGTTAAAGATCTTGAAGTGGGGAGAAAATCCTAGATTATGTGGATGAGCCCAGTGTAATTACAAGAGTCCTTATAAGAGGAAAGCAGAAGAGTCAGATCCTGAGAAAGGGAGAGGTGACGACAGAGGCAAAGATCAAAGAATCAGAGAGACAGACGTTTCAGATGTCATGCTGCTGGCTTTGAAATTGGAAGAAAGGTTTGCAAGCTAATACGTGCAGCCTCTAGAAAAGACAAGGGAACACTTTTTTCCCTAGAGCCTCCAGAAAGAAGGCTACTCCACTGATACCCTGATTTTAGGACTTCTGACCTCCAGAGCTGTAAAAGAATAAATCTACGTTGTTTTAAGTGACTATATTTGTGATCATTTGCTACAGGAGCAGTAAGAAACTAATACAGTGGTCGGTGAAGATGATCTTCCCTAGTAATGGTTAGTATTTGAGGCAATTAGACTTTGTAGAGTTGCAGCTGTTGTAGGGGAATATTATAAGATCGTGTTAGAAAATACTTCAGGAGAATAAGGTGAAAATGCCCACGGCGTGTACCAGCAGGCTCCAAAGCCTTTGAAAACAGAAATGGTAGCAGTAAACAAACGGCACTTCTTGGAGTAAATATTAGCGTTCTATTAAGGGCCTTAAGATTGTAAATTGTCACATTCCACCAAAATGCTCTTTTTTCTCCTTCTCTTTTTAAAGGTTTGTCCAATAGAACATAAAACTGTGACGCTTGAAGATAAACGTGACCTTGACCAGCCCTGAGGTGAGCAGTGATTTCTTTCAGGTGTCAATCCTCAGCAAATGCAAGAGAAATATTAACCTGTGGCAAAATGTGTGCTGGTGTGAAAGAGAGAATGATGTTTCCTGAAGAATCTAACATTTTTTCTCCATGTGTAGAATTCAATCAGGCTTATGATGAGCAAAAAATGAAATAGTTCCCTTCTCTCTGTAGAAGAAGGTGATGATTTTTTTTTTTTGACTTACAGTGCATGCAACCCAGATTTAAATCCAGGAAGAAACAAAATTTTGTGTTCTATAAAACATTTTGGAAAAAGAAAAGTGCTACTGTAGGTAACATGCACAGTGGTGTCCTGGGACCCCCAGGTCAAATCCTTTGCATCCACTCCTGTGTTTTGCCACGCCCTCACTCCATCAAAAGTCTGCCACCACCATCCTCCTAAATGCTGTAAATGAAAGTAGCATAGGGTGCCAAGACTCCCAAGATACTCTCCTTTACTTGTCCAATCATTATCCCAATTCCAGCTAAATTCCTTAACGGGCATAACTGCCTAAGTCAAATTTAAATGTAAAAACTTACATGTGGCCAGTGGCATTTTATCGGACAGCACTGATCTAAACAAATATCTGGGATTGGTTTTCTCACCTTGTTCACTGGGTTGGAGGAGATGGTGAAGAACAGCCTCAAATCTCCCAGGACGGACATTATTTTCAGAAAGGGGGCAGATGGAGGGGGAAGGAACAGCTCGTCTATCATTCTTTCTCTCCTACAGTAATTATGCCAAGATACAAAGTTATAATTTCTTAGAGTTCAACAGGAGTCCAAAGACTCCTGGTCTTTCTTTGTGTGAGCCAGTTGATTTGCATCCTTTCCAGGCTACATAAACACAGAAGCCCACAGGGCAATCCAGCTGTGTGTATTACCTGAGCCGTGGGGAGGGATGCTGTGTGATCACCATTACCTGTGAGAAACTTGCCTTACTATCTTCTTCCTACTGTTTTTGCTGTACTTACCCAGCAGTTGCCAATTAGATGGGCCTCACAAGAGTAAAAATCGTCAGGTCAACTGTGGTTACAACAAGAATCCTTGCATGGAGATGCCATAATTTTAGACGCACCTATCATGGTGGAGGAAAGGTGACCTTTGGGATGATTGTGTCTCACTGCTTTACAGTTGGGAAAGCAGGTCAAAAGACAATAAATTACTTGTCCAAGATCCCATGGTAAGATTGTTCCAGAAGCACATACATAAGCTGTCTGTACTACACCTATCCTGAAATTGTGCTCTCTCTGCAAGGCCATTTTCTCTAGCAATTTGCAAGAACTGTAGGAATGTTCTTGCTCAAATATGAAGCATGGACGTTCTTTTTATTGCCCTCAAAATAAAATTTTTCTTTATATCTTCTGTTACTACCACTGAACAAATGTTTTCCACCTACTCCCAAAGTAAAGGAAGATAAAAAGAGAAGTTAGAAATAATTGCATTACAACTACCACTATTATGACTACTATCATTTCCGCTAATGCTACATGAGAAATTCTTTCTATAAAGTACATTATTTAATTATATTAACAGCCCTATGTGGTAGGTATTGTTATCCCCAATAGTCCCCCAAAAGAAGCAAAGAAACAGAAAAATTAAGTAATTTATATAAGTTCCCAGAGCAGGTAAGTAGTGATGTTGGGGTTTGATCCCTAAGGTAAGTATTCCCAAAGCTCGTTATTTTCCAATAATGTGTTTGAATATGTTAAATACCTTCACTTCAGATCTCTCCCTTCTTTCCCATCCTCATTCTAATTTTGTAGAGTATTGGTCCGTCTTTGAATATATAGAAAAACAGTTCTTATTAATATTTTACTAAATGTAATCAACTGATGCTATGTATTTCCAGTTTCAAATGAGTTGAACATAATTCCTTTAAAAAGAGTGGCTTGAAAAGAGTATCAGAATGAGTCAAGTGACCTGCATTTCTCTTCCGAGCTCTATTCCAAACAAATCACAAGCAACAATAGGTTGTTTTTGTACAATTTCAGAATTTGTCAATATCTGTGGTCTCAGTTGAATGTTTCTGGAAGCCGAATCAGACACACAGCAATCAAAATCACCAGGGAATGCTTTTTCAGCATTTTATACCTGCATTCTCCAATCCTCTAATCCCCAAGTAACTACAGAACATCAAGGACAGTGTTGGTGTGGAATGTGACATGCACATTTTTAAACCAGTCTCTAAGGAATTCTAATTTACACCCTTAACCCCTGGAAAAGATAATCTTCGAGATTTTTAAAAGCCTATTTTAATAGACTTGTGAGCACTTCAAGCTCTAAGTCAGAAGATAAAATAATATATAGAATAAGTGAGCCTTTACAAAGCTCATTTTTACCAAATTACTGTTCACTTTACCAAGTTACCCTACTGATATATTTAGATGAGCCATTACACATTCATGCCTCTGCTCCTCTCTGACTAGTCACCTGTGCCAGGTGCACTCACAGGTTTTATTGAAGACTTGGAAGTGCTATATGAAATTCTGAAATGTTCTCAAAGTGCCTGTAAAATGTTTTCTTTTTCCTGAAAGCAAAGATTTGTAGAAAGGTCACTTAACTGTTTTCTTACAGAAAGTTGATATTCATGAATCCATACCAGTTCTGGATGAAATAAACATCTTGACTGTCCTATTGAGAAGACATGATATTGGGGTGAAGTCCAAGGCATGTCTTCAGTTTTGGCTTTATATTTAAAGTTATAAACCGCACTCAAAACAGAACAAAATATGTATATGTATTTGAGAAGTTGTAAATGTAGTACAAAGAATAATAATAATGAAAACAAAAAGCACTTTAGGCTCTAATTCAACATTCGTGGCATAGTTTATAACAGTGAAAATTGAAAACATATTAAATGCTGAACAGAAGATAAGAAAACTGTGGTAAATCCACTAGATGGAATATTATATAGCCATACACATTACAGTTATTACTTCTGTATAATAATATAAAATATCTTATATCATAATAGTAAGCAATAAAAACATGAGAAAAAATTTTATTTACCACTTAAATAAAATTAGCTTGAATTACATGTATGAAAAAAGATCACTTAATTATGGAAAATAACATAACTAACAGGAACATAATCTTAAGGATGAGTGTTTTGAATTGGTTCTGGAGTTTCTGGAATTGATTCTCTAAATTAATTAGATTTAAAGTCACCAATGACTCTATTTCCAGCAGTGAAGAGAGCACTGATAGTCTATAATGTGATACAGCAATAGAGATGGGCAAAGCATCACCATTGGCTACTCCTAATCAGATAGCTATGAGAGGCCAGGTTCTGGGTGACCATATATATAATACTTTCTAATCTTTTTGTCAAACTGACAGCTGTAATGATATTCACTAGTTGCTCCTAATTTTGCTAGAGGAAGGAAAAGAAGAGCTCAGGGGTTCAAATTCCCAACTCAAGAATTATATAAATGACCTGAAAATTTCTAAGTCTTCCCTGCAGGAAATCTTTATCTTCTATAGCTGCAGATCTGAGATTGCTCAAAAATCAAACCCAGAATCTCATCCTGTGAGAGGCTGAATTATAATACCAGTTGAATTTCCAACCTCACGGGGTGTTTATTGTTAAACTAGGGCATTGATTTGCAAGGAATGGGATCCTGAGAGTTGGAATGAAGAAATAAGAGAAGGCCCTGATGAGATTGGGGACACTGATTTCCTCAACTCTGATAAGTCTTCTTTGCCAGCAAAAGCTGTTATTCCATCCCCATCTGAGTAGATCAACCTGGCTTTGCCTAAGGAAACTGTAATGGCCTCCCCTGAGGCAGTTGCTATGCAAATTGTAGACCTATAAGTATACTCAAGTCCCAGCAGGCCCCTAAAGGTGAGGTACAGAATGTGACCCATGAGGAGGTGTGCCATTCTCCAAAACAAACAAACAAACAAACAAACAAACAAACAAACACCTTGATCTTTTTCAATATATATAGACAGAAATTTTAGGAATATATGTGGGAATGAATATTTATGTAAAATGGCAGAAGAAACATAAATTTGGACAAAACAGACTTATATTGACATGAGTCCACTAATTAGAGATTCTTATTTAAATGTTGCAGTTTGGAGAATTAGAAGGGGACTCTAACAGTTAGTTGAAGTGGTAAACTATATTATGGCCCAAAAGGTGGTCCACCGTGAATAAACCAGAATGACATTCTAGTTTAAGTGTTGCAGTTTGGAGAATTAGAAGTGGGCTCTAACAGTTAGTTCAACTGGTAAACTAAATTATAGCTCAAAAGGTGGTCCACTGTGAATGAACCAGGTGGTACCCCTGACTGTTCATTTTACGTGGAAGGAGAAATAGCCAGACATGTATTATATATTGCTTCATGGCCATGACCAATGGTTTGCCTGCATGGTAAAGTACTTGGAAGAAACATGATTGGAAATGCTGGACCTGATTTGGTATACTGCAAAGGAAGACAGTGAAGGCTTAGGGAGATGGGAATGTTAGTTTTTTCACTTACAACCTACTCACCCACATCGGGAGGGTCCAGCAGACATAGCTTTCATCAATACTGTGAGAAATACATTTGTGAGGGAGCCTTAGCCTCCTTGAACAGCTCTGTGATCGCTCTCCTCTACTGACTAGAACTAACAGTGGAAACTGATGTCACTGATATGGGAAGCCTAAATGCAGTGAGAACAATTGCATCTAGGAGTGTCAGGGGTCAAGTGGCAGCACTCAACCAACAAAAGGTGGGCATCGTTGCTGTAATGGACAGCAGGGATCAACTCTCCAGCTCTATGTCATAGTAGGGTTAGCAGGGATCTTGGTCACCTTTCTCTTTCAGAATACATCACACTGTTTCACTACATTGATGACATTAGGCGGATTGTACCTCGTGAGCAAGAAGTAGCAACTACACTAGACATACTGGCATTACTTGGAGATATTGTGGGTTCCGTTCTAGACCAACATATAAAAGCAAATATTTCAATAAAAGGAGTCACACAAATTTTTGGGTTTCCCAGTGCATATAAAAATTATATTTACTCTTTATCATCATCTATTAAATATGTAATAGCATTATGTCTAAAAAACATACATACCTAATGAAAAAATATTTCATTCCTAAAACATGTCCAAAGTCACAAAGTGAGCACATGCTTTTAGAGAAATGACATTGATAGACTTGCCTGATGCAGGGTTGCCACAACTCTTGTATTTGTAAAAAGCACAGTATTTTTCAAGGTGCAATAAAGTACAGCACAATAAGATAAAGTATGCCTGTACTGGTAAGACATTTGCATGTTAGAGGTTCGTACATAAATTCAGAGGCCTTTCCAAATCAGCAAAATTTCTAGGACTTCAGTTGTATGGAGTATGTTAAGAGATCCCTTCTAAGGTGAAGGTTAAGTTGTTGTATCACTCAGTAAAGACCCTAGACTATCAAACCCAGATGAGTAATATATTGACTCCAAAATTCAGAAAGGCCCATAATAATGACTAGTGGGACTCTTTGAATTTTGGAGTCAATATATTTCTCATCTGGGTGTGATATTCTAGGATCTTAACTGAGTGACTTGAAAATCTGCTAGTTTTCAGTGGGTCCCAGAAGAAGAGAAGTCTATACAATAGATTTAGGTTGCCATGCAAGCTGCTCTGCCCTTGGGTCATATGATGCAGTAGATCCAATGGTGTTTGAAGTAACAGTGGCATATATGGATGCCATTTGGTGTCATTTACAGGCCCCTATAGGTAAGTTTTATAGCAAAGTCCTGCCATCCTCTGCAGATAAATACTCTCCTTTTGAGAAACAGCTTTACCCTGTTATTGGAGCTTAGTTGAGACTGAATACTTAACTATGGGCAACCAAGTTACCATGTGACCTGAGCTTCCCATCATGAAGTGGATATTTTCTGAGCCACCAAACCTTAAAGTTGGGTATGCACAACTGCACTCCATCATCAAATGGAAGTGGTATAGACCAGATGGGACTCAAGCAAGCCCTGAAGGCACAAGTAACTTACATGAAGAAATGGCTCAAATACCCATGGTTTCTAATCCTGCTATGCTGCCCCTTCTCTCTCCTAGCCAGCACCCATGGCTTCATGGGGAGCTCCCTAAATTTAGGTGACAGAGGAAGTGAGAATGCATGCCTTGTTTACAGATGGTTCTGCACAATATGCAGGCACCATCTGGAAGTGGACAGCTGTAACACTACAGTCCTCTTCTGAAATATCCCTGAAGGGCAATGGTGAAGGGAAATCCTCTGAGAAGGTAGAACTTTGAGCAATATACCTGGTTGTTAATTTTGCTTGGAAGGAGAAATGGCCAAACATGTGATTATATATTGATGCATGGTCATGGCCAATGGCTTGACTGCATGGTAAAGGATTTGGAGGGAACATGATTGAAAAATAGGTGATAGAGAAATTTGGAAAAGAGGTATATGAATATACCTCTCTGAATGGGCAAAAACGTGAAGATATTTGGGTCCAGTGTGAATGCTCATCAAAGGGTGACCTCAGCAGAGGAGTATTTTTATCATCAAATGGATAGAGTGAATCATTCTGTGGATACCAGTCAGCCTCTTTTCATTGTCATTAAACCAATCCACCCCTGTCGTTACTCAAAAAGCTCATGAAAAAAGTGGCCATGGTGACAGAAATGGAGGTTACGCATGAGTTCGGCAACAGGCACTTCTACTTACCAAGGCCAACCTGACCCCAGCTGTTGACAAGTGCCCAACCTGCCAGCAGCAGAGACCTACACTAAGTTCCCAGTATGGCACCATTCCCCACAATTATAGGTCAGCTACTTGGTGGCAGGTTACTTACATTGGACTACTTACATTATTGAAAGGGCAGCATTTTGTCCTTTCTAGAATAAAAGCTTTCTCTGCATGCCAATTTCTTTTGTTTGCTTGCAATGCTTATTCACAGTGCCCTGGTGGTTACTATTATTAACTTTATTCTCTAAACAAAGAACATAAGGTACAGAGGGTATAAATCAGCTGCCCTTTGCTACCTGGATATGGATAGCAATTTTTTCCTTTCTTGTCAACTCTTCAGCATCTCTCATTAATCTGTCTCCTCATGCAAGAACAGCACTCTTTTCAATTTTGAAAGTTTATATTGTGTTTAATATCACCTAGGATTAATCTTCCCTCATTACTCTTATTTTTCATAACTTTTCAAGCCATTCTTGTAGGGTTTTAGGATCCTGTAAGCATTTTGAAAACAAATTTTACTTCAGAAACATATTGGAAATGTACTGCAGAAGCATAAATTTGTATGTTAATAGAGATCATTTAAATAGTTTTCTTCTTTAAATACAATAAGGCTTCCCATTTGATGATGTCTTTGTTTTTGTGTGCCTATGATCATCAATATCATTTTCAATACCGACCCTGTTTCAGTGCAGACCTCGTAGATAATTCATGTTGTTTCCCACTACCTCCTTCTCACTGATACTCATGATGTGAATGTGGTTTTTTTCTCCCATTATTTCTTTTAACCACTTAATAAGAAAGTTATTAATTTCTATATGTTTCATATATAGCAACTGTCCTGAGTTTTTTGATCATTTGAATAAATTTGCTCATTTGAATCTAGCAGGTGTTTCACGTATAAGGATATATCTCTGCAAATGATGACTATTCTGCCATTGTTTTCTAATTTTTGTATTTCTGTTTTGTGTGATAGCATTTACTTGCAACTGCAGGACCAGGTGAAATAATAGTGGTGATAATGAAAACCCTTGTCTTCTTCCTGCCTCTAATGAGAATAATTTTAATTCCTCCTTGTAAAGCCTGAGGGGAGCGTTTGAGTTTGACATATTAAATGTTTATTCACACACATGCATGTGTGGATAAAGAAGGGACAGTAATATCTACCTCATGGGGTGTTGTGAAGATTAAGAGACATAATGTATGGAAAGCACTTAGAACAGTGCCTACCTCGTAGCAAACTCTTTACAATGATGAATTTCTATGTTCATATGCAAGAGCTATCCAGCTGTTTACTCTGTAAAACCGCAGCCATAAATGGGTGAGTTAATACACACAAGACATTTGGAATGGTTCCTGGAACATAGTAAGGGCTCAAGAAATGTCTAAGCCATTAATATACTGCATTATTAAGGCATTTTGTCAAGAACTGATGCTGATTTTTATCAAAAGGTTATGCTGAGGTTTTTCTACTTTTGATCCATCAGTCAAATGAATTGGTCTGGAATATTTTCTAGTGTTAATTCGTTTGCTTTCGTGGAATTAGCTCGTCTTGCACTTACATTAAATCAGCTGCCAGAGTTTGCAACTATTTCGTTTACAAAATTTTTAAATTAATACTGAAATAAAAATTTGATCTTAGTTTTTTTTAGTTGAGCTTTAGTAGGAACAGTTCGCTAACTTCACAGAAATTATTGGAATCTTTTCCTAAATAGAAAAATAATACAATGCAAGAGTATAAATAAATTATATATGTATATATCTAATATTTGGCTCCCTAAGTATTTAGAAAATCAATATCTTCCTTAAAGAGTTAGTGAAAATCCCCTGTGAAACACCCTGGCCTGCTTATTGTTTTTTGTCTTATTTTATTCTTTGGTAGAAGTAGCTTTTGACACTTTTAATGATTTTAATTATTTTACTTGCTTTATTTGACAGTTTAGGTTTCTACCTCTTTAGGTTCCCTGCCTCATCTGGAGTTAGTTTTAATAGTTTATATATTCCATAATGAGCATACATTGTATTCTTTTCAGTTTATTTCTATGGAGTTGAACAAAGTGATGTCTTGTGAATACAATATTTTCATCTGTATCTTCATTACCTTCCTCCCATAAATTTGTATTGTTTTATTTCACTTTGCTTTTTATTTTTTCATTAACTTTGGTTAAATTAGGTAATGGTTTATTTTCCCAGAGTTTTATGTATTTTTTTCTTTTATTTTTAATTTATCAGTATTATCTCCTTCATTATAACTTATATATTTTGTTTTTCCTTTTCCTGATTTTTTTGGATGGGGTGGTATGGAAACCAGTAGTTTGCATTCTTTTCTATTTACTAAGTATAAGACTAGCCATGTTTCTCTGAATATTTTCACTGAACCACTGATTTTAGTTGCATACTATTTTATGCTAATTTATTTTTGCATTTTCTGTAATTTTAGTTTTAATTTTCTCTTTGATCAAAACTTGCTTACAAAAGAGTTTTCATTTATCGATTGGTTAATTTTTTAATATTTAAATTATAAATAAGTTTTTTATTAACATATCTCACGGCAGATAAATCAGATAATGTTTTCTGTATTATTTCTGCTTTTAATTGTTTTTGCTTACAGTGCTTTTATTTTTGCAAATGTTTCAGACATCCATGAAAAGAATATATATTCTATGATTTTAGTCTTAGTGGTTGCTATGTACATAGTTAAATGTGCCTTAATAATTAGTTTAATTATAACGATCTTAAGTGTTTTATTAATTAGTTTTTTTTTAAGTTTTTTTCTTGTTCTATACTAAATCACTCACAAGCTGTGAAGGATGAATTGAAGTCCCCCTCTACTAAAAGAATTCTATTTCTATTTGGTTTTCTTGCCATGTTACTCATTCCTCTCTTAGGTTATGTTATTGTGGTTACTGATTTTTTTTTAAGTTTAATATTCAATTTGGATTATCCTTGCTTGCTTAATATATTGCCTTTCTTGGTCTCATTTAATTCTTTATGTCCTGAAATATTTTTAAAACACCTTTATTGAGATATAATTAATATACAAAGAACTGTGCATATTTAAAGTATACAATTTACAAAAAAATTAATTAAAGGAATTCAAATAGAAAATAAATAAATAAAATTATACCTGTTTGCAGATGTCATGATTCTATAACCAGAAAACTAAAAACACCACACATGGACATGAAAAGTGTTTGAGAGAATACATAAATACAGTTAAGTTTTGGGTTACACAGTAAACATATAAGAATTAGTGACATTACACTAACAACAAGCCATCTGAAAAATAAATTGAGAAAACAATCCCATTTATAGTAGCATAAAATAGAGTCAAATACTTAAAAGTAAACCAAAGATATAAAATACTTCCATACTGAAACATACAGAACACTGATGAAAGAGATTAGAGGAGACACAAACAAATGGAGAAACAATTTTGTGTTAATGGATTGGAAGACTTAATATTGTTAAAATGCCCATACTACTCCAAATATTCTAGATATTCAATTCTATCTCCACCAATCCCAAATGCTTTATCTATAGCAAAAGAAAACACAATTTTAAAATTTATACGGAACCACAAAAGTCCTAGAATAGCCAAAACAATCTTTGGGAAAACCAATAAAGCTGGAGACATTACACTTCCTGATTTCAGAATATATTACAAAGCTGCAGTGATTAAAACAATATAATACTGGCATTAGGACAGACATTTAGATCAATGGAAGAGAATAGAAAGTTACAGAAATAAACCCACATATATATGGCCAACTGATCTTTGACAAGGCTGCCGTCAATATACAGTGCTGGGGAAACTAGATATCAACATGCAAATAAAAAAATCTGACTTTTTAATATTGAAATGCCCTTTCTTTTTTTGTTTCCCTTTAGAAACAAAAAGATTTTCTATCATTTTCCTTTCAATCTTTCTTAAACATTTTGCTTATATTTTTTGAAAGAATATTTGAGTTTTGATTTTGTGACCCAATCTTTTTATTTAAACTATTAATTGTCACTGATTAGCACTTTTTCTTCTCTGGTTTGTAGATAGTTTTGAGTGTGATAACATTATATTAATTAAAGCTATTCTTTCTGATTTTGGAGCATTTATTTTGTTTTATCTTTTACTGTGCTGTCTGTGATGGTTTTGCCAGGGGAGTTTGCATATACTGAGCTAATTATTACCTTTATGACAATGAGTTTGTATGTATCACATTTGTCTCTCTTTCTTTACACATTTTCTAATATATACTTGCCAGAGATAATAGAAAAACACATGTCACCACTTTGCCTGCTTCTACCTTTGAAACTCTTCATCTCTAAATTTTAGATGATTATGTTTTTTCTGTATGTTTAGGCTTATGCCCTTATGTACTCAATTATTTTATTTCTTTAAAGTAAATTTTTTGACCCCTGGCTATAAAATATGGGGAAATCTCATAAAATCTTACACCTTCTCTTTCCCATCATACTCCCATTAGTTATACAATTTTTATCGCATCAGAGTTTATAATTTTCACATTTATATTGAAGACATAATGCTGCATTTGTTTCAGCTTTTATTCTTGAGTTAAATGGCATCAACCCTCAGCACTGGCCCTTCATGACAATTTCTCCAACCATCTCTCTTTTTTTTTGTTCAAGTTTATTCCATCATTGTTTCCTTAAGAAGGCGTCATTTAAAATATTTTCTCTGTTCTTGGAAATTCTAAACAATGCAACAATGTGTGTCTGTCATTTTCATTCTCAAACTACTATATGCCTTGTATAAAATTCTTGGGACACTTCTGCTCACTAAGGAATTTAGGCACTCTTCTAGTGTTTTCCAGCAGTGCTGCAAAAGTTAGATTAAAATATTCTTTATTTAATTTAATGTTCAGTAACTTTATTAGGATATGTTTCAGGGTTAATCATTATGTGTCATGTTTTCCAGGTCTCAATATACTTAGTGATATCTAAAAACAAGATTTTTTAATATCTGAGAAAAACATTGAATTACACCTTAATTTCCTTTGTTTCTTTTCTCCTCTTCAGAAATAACTATTTTCCTTCAAAAACAAGTATTACAAGAATCTGTCTTCTATAGCTATTATTATAATTTCAGTTCAGATCATATCTTTTCAGTTCTTTTATAGCATATTTTTCCTTTTGCTTATTTTCTTTTATTAATTAATTAATTAATTTTTTTTGACAGAGTCTTGCTCTGTCAACCAGGCTGGAGTGCAGTGGCTCAATCTTGGCTTACTGCAACCTCTGCCTCCCCAGTTCAAGTGATTCTCATGCCTCAGCCTCCCGAACAACTGGGAATAAGGCAGGTGTGTGCCACCAAGCCCGGCTAATATTTTGGGTTTTTAGTTGAGATGGGATTTTGCTATGTTGGCCAGGCTGGTCTTGAACTCCTGGCCTCAAGTGATGCAACCATCTCTGCCTCCCAAAGTGCTGGGATTAGAGGCATGAGACACTGCAGCAGGCCATTTATTTTCTTTTTTTTAGAAACAAAGTCTCATTTTGTCACCCGGACTGGAGTACAGTGGCGTGATCATAGTCCACTGCAGCCTGAGATCAAGTGATCCTGTCACCTTGGCCTTCGAAAATACTAGAACTACAGGCATGAGCCATCTTTGCTTACTTTTCTTAATCCCGTGCTCCATATAGCATCCTCTGTTTTTCTGTAACGTTTATTTCCCCTCATATTGTTTCCAAGGTTACCTTTATTTTTGCATTTTGTATTGATCTTATTTTTATTTCACCTTTTTTTTGGTTCTGCCACTCATATTTCAAGTCCTTGTTTCGCTTCACCATTTCCCTCCTTAAATGTTGTTTGTCAGCTTTGACTCATTGGTTTTTTTTGGGAGATTACTCCATTGATGTTTTTCTTTTTCCTTTTATTTTATGGTAATGGCAACAGTTTTTATCTATTCAATGGGAACATTTTTTGGGGGAAGTGTGTGTGTGTGTAAATTATAATATATTTTTATAGACCCAGTGCTAATTTTTTTTTTTTCATTTTGAATCAGGTGATTTTTAGTCAGGCTAACAGATTTTTATTCTCTATGCAAGGGAGTCCTTAGTTAACTGAGTAATATGGCTGTAGGCTCATCACATCCACTGTGTTCTCACTCCCCCAACACCTTACCCAAAGGCGGCTTGCTGTAGGTCCAAGTTGAGTGTATGCTGCCTCCTATGCCCCTACCTCCTGTGCTTATTGTTGGTACCAAACAGGTTCCCTGGAAGCTCTCACTTTCATTCTCATTCTTTCAAAATGAGCTTTTTAAGTGTGGCTCCTGAACGTGGTCCATTGACTTTGTCTTCTACAAAGATGTGCTTTCTACAGACTCTGGACCACCTGGGTGGCCGTGACAGCACTTTCATCTTGTTCTTCACTGAATTACATATCTTGTGTTTTCTAGTTTTATGAAAAAGTGGCTTTACACTGTTGCTTTCATTTTTTTTCTATTGTTTCTATATCATATCTGTGAGAGAATTAGGGAAAACTGACTTTAGAGTTTTAAAATCAGGTGGCCTGTTATTCTTGTAACTATGTTACCGTAATCATATTTCAAAAAATTGGCATTTCCAAAATGATAATTAAACAAATATTTTTTCCATGAATTTAGCAATGTAATAGCTTCATGGAGATTTGGAGGCAATAAGTGGCTCACTTCTTTGAAAACTTACCTTACACCTTGTCATGTGTAGTGTGCCAATTTTTATAAGAGTGGGAGAAAGAATCAACTGCAAATAAATAAAAAGAATAAAGAGAAGACATCAGGTAATCATGAAACACCTCCTACCAACTTTATAAAATTAATCAGGAAAGAAGGAAGGACAAGAAACAAAACTGAACACAGCTTGCAGCACATTCAGCATTGATCACCAGGTCAGCTGCTCTCCGACCTACTTCCTCATAGTTGTTTCATGCCTCTTGCCTCAGAATCACATAGACCATGTTACAAGATTATAGTTCTTAACTGCTCTACAGATAACAACTTGAACATTATGAGATGGTAAGTTTTCTATTTGAGATATTCTTGCATGTCCTGCATACTGATGAAACTACTGACATTAGCTGGTCTGAAGGACCCCACAAGAAGCTGACCAAGGAATGCAGTTTACATATTCTGATAATTTTATCTCCCTTACCCCAACCAATCAATGATCTGAATTCTCCAGCCCTTCATTATCCATGAACCCCTTTAAAAACTCCAGCTACAAACTCCTTGGGGAGATGGATTTGAGGGTCTTCTCCCATCTCTTTGCTTGGTGCCCTGTGACCATTAAACTCTTTCTCCGCTGCAAACCCTTCTGGGTCAGTATAATTGGTTTGTTACTGCATATCGGACATATGAACTTGTTGATCCTGTAAGAAATTATGGCAAGCCTAGTCAGGAGCAGTTTGTGGGCATTTGCCTAAGGCTCAGTGTTCTGTCATTATTGGGATGGACCCAGGGATAAGCCCAAATGGCCACTTAGCTCCAGTGAACTAGACTGTCTCTGCTGCCTTGCCTATCAATGGGGCACATAAGTCACTTGTGCATAGAAACAGTTTCTGGTTGTGAAAAACATTGTTGGTAAGTTTTATTTGTGCAACTGGCACCCCCTTTGTCTTCTCCCTATTTCCTGGCCTCCTTGGATGTCTTGTGACCTCTCCTGAGGTCTTGTGAACTCCTTGGATGTTCTGATGTCTCATGTCTCTTCTGATGTCTTGTGGCCTCCTTGGAGGTCTTGTGGATTCTCCTGGGTTTTTGACGACCCTCTTTAGTAATAGGAAGGGCCTTATTTGAGGGAATTTCTCTTAAATTAAAAGGATTAAAAAGGGCAGTGCTTGGGAGAAATACTCTTGATTTCTGAAATTTGGAAATTGAGTTTGGAAGTCCTTTTGTTTGTCTTTGTCCTGTTATGTATGTTTGTATGTGAAAGAGATCCCTGAAAGAATTGGTAGTGAAGCTCGGCAGGCCTAACTCGGGGTTACCATCCACTTTTCCACTTTGCCTCAAGACCACCTGCTGAACTCCTGGTTGGAGGTCATTCCCCCCGACCTTGAGTAGGTCAAAGGTGCCAAGGCTAGCTGAGGCAAATGTGAGCCTTGCTAGGTCACCCATGGGTACTAAGTAGAGTGATTAGTGTGTACATTTTGTTGTGCATGCATTATTTAGGCCAGAATGAAAAATGTTCATTTGGTTTCTCCAAGCAGCCCACCGGGCTTTATGCAAAATTGGGAAGACAAGAGAGATCTTTATTAGGTAGTGCAATAGGTAACTTACCCACTAAGGGCACGAACTCCTGTGAAAAAACTATGGAAAAGTGCAAAGGCATGCCAGGTTTTCTAGGATTCCAGTTGGTTATAAACCATGGCTCAGTCTTGTGCACATTTGAAATTGATGGGCAAATTACAGTAAAGTAAAAATTCAGAGCTCAAATGAGTTTATCTGAAAACATAAAATTAAAAGTTCTCTGTCTGTCTTTATTTTCTTTTCTGCCTGCTTTGTATCTTTCATAAACCACTGAGTTTGTATTGCTATCTCATGACTAGAATTTCAAAGCAAAACCTATAGCATCTTTGTATTGTCTGTATGTGCATTTAGATAAATTTATATGTATGCACATGTATTGTGTTATATATCATGTTCATATGGTACTAAACTGGCTTATAATTAAAAGAACACTCATAAATAAAGTTCAAATATTTTTCAAGTTCATGTGACTTAAATCATTAATTAAAAAGCTGGCTTTAAAATTATTGATAAAATAAAAATAGAAATGTCTCCAGAATTGTCAGCATATATTTTTGTCTGGGCTTACTGATGATTTTATATGTTCCTCTTCTAGATATTTTAAGGTATCAGATTTTGGCACAAAGGTTATAAGACTATAAACCCATCCAAAAACAGAATGGTCTTCGTTGGTGTAATTTTTTGACAAATAAGACTAATTTAATGTTTTTTGTTCAATGAAAACAGCTAAATCATCTAAGTTATTGGCAAAAGTACTCATAAGTTTAAGTTTCTTACTTAGGTGAACTAACACAGGCTATAAAAATGTCAAACAGAAATAAATTTAAATGATGACTAGCTTTGTCTAATATCTCAGTTATCATAACTAATCTAGATAAACTGCTAAAAATAAATGAGTAAATATGAATGGGCTAAATACTTAAAGGTAAACTTTTTGTTTGTTTAAAATCTTAAAATTATTTTGAATGCTTGTTAGATATCTGGGTAATTTTCAGTTAAGAAACAGTTACGATATAGGGAAACAAGTTTCTAAACATTGTTAAATCATTTCAACTATAAAACACTAACATCTAACAAACAGTTCAGGATTTCTTGCTTCCTAGGTTTTCACTAAAACTTAAGGTTACCTGAAATAAGATTTCTAGTAAATATATAGTTCTGCATGTAAAACGTGTCAAAAAAGATGTGTTTCTCATTAGAAAAAAAATTAAAAAAATATAAAGTTGGGTTTTTATTAAGAAAAAGAATAATTTTGTCTAATTCAGAAGTTATCTGAAGATTGATTCAAATTATGAACTTGAAAAGATTATGAAACAAGGTAAAAAGGCCAGTAAGTAGAGGAGAAATATGTAAAAACAATTACAAATATAAAAATATATTTTTCATAAGGAGGGTTATAAAAACAAAGATAATACTTTTATATGAAAAAATATTTTGTGTGATATATTTTTGTTCTAAAATAAAATGACTAGTTATTTAGAAAAAAAAAGAAAGTTCAGACATGTCATAGATGGCCTGTATAAGTTGTGACAAGACTCATGAAAGGGAATTTATGAAAGAAATTTAGTATTTGATTAGGTTGACTATAATTGAAAATATTATTCATAATAGTCCTTCTAAAGATTGGTTATCCTCTGATAAAACAAGATTTCCTTAAGGTATGAATTTACTCTAAATAAAATTACAAGAGGTGGCTGGGCACAGTGGCTCACGCCTGTAATCCCAGCACTTTGGGAGGCTGAGGCGGGAGGATCACGAGGTCAGGAGATCAGGACCATCTTGGCTAACATGGTGAAACCCCGTCTCTACTAAAAATACAAAAAACAAAAAAAAAATTAGCCAGGCGCGATGGCGGGTGCCTGCAGTCCCAGCTACTCGGGAGGCTGAGGCAGGAGAATGGCGTCAACCCGGGAGGCGGAGCTTGCAGTGAGCCGAGATTGCACCACTGCAGTCCAGCCTGGACGAAAGAGCAAGACTCCGTCTCAAAAAAAAAAAAAAAAAAAAAAAAAAATTACAAGAGGTTTACCTTTTAATTGTGTTACCTGTTTCATTTTGAAAACTCAGATTTATATCTCAGAAGTTCGACGTTTGCTGTTTCTCATTGTTTTCACCCTTTTCTCCCTTTGAGAAGGCCAGAGATGAAAACTCTCTTCTTCATTTTTATTTTATTTTACTTTATTTATTTTATTTTATTTTATTTTATTTTATTTTATTTTATATTTTATTTTATTGCCAGCTCCTGTAACATTCTGTCTCTGTTTTTCACTTTACTGCTATGGCCTGACAATAAAATATTTATCTTAAAGCTCTAGAAAAGCAATGTTTTTCTTTAGAATAATTTGATTCTGTATACTTGACTTTTCTTGCTATGTCTGGATTTTTCCATGTAACAGAAAACTTCTCAAGGTGTTACTAGGAGTCATGCATTACTAGTTTTCTAGTTTTTTGTTTCCTCTATAATATAATTTATAACCATAATCCTGGACACATTCTTCCTGTATTGGATTGATTCAAGTGCCCTTTTCATCAGGGTTGACTTTAAGGTTCTCTAAATGGGTTTCCCATAAGGAGAAGCAATCACACTTCACTCTGCAGGTGGTTTTCCTTGGTGTTTTTGATAACAGGCCTAAGAAGCAAGATTTTATATTTTATCAATATAATTCCTATGTTGTTAGTTTTTTGATTACTTAGGAACATTCAGCTTTAAGAAGGAAAGTTTTTACTTCTGTATAACTTTCTGTAGTGCTTTTAAAGTCTTGATTATCACTTTGGTTAAATTAATAACTATTATTTTACAATGACCTGTGATTCTGTTTTGATCAAATGTTTTGGCCTTTTAACATCTTTGATATACATCCTCAAAATCAAATTCTAAATTAAGTCTCTGACTTAGACTTATTGCTGATACTTATCAAAGCTGTAAAAACTGATCCCTGCAAGATTTTAGCATCTTTTTACAGCTTCCAGTCAAACCATGAACTCCAGCATCACCAACTCCAGCCTGATAATTACATGTACTGAAAGAGATATCCATTGAAAGACTCCCTCGACCCCCCCTTTAAAGGGACTTTCATCAGGTGCTATTAATTAATCCTTGTACTGTTAAGTTAAAGGGTTTTGATTCCTGGGTGCACATATCTCATCTGAAAAAGGCACCAACTCCTACTAATTCTTAAAATATTGATACTATTATCTGACACCATACTCAGGTTAACAAAAGCCTTGTCTTCAGACCCAGAAGAAAGGTAGCATGAAAATGATCTGCTTTTGTGAGACATAAGACTAGAAATTAAAACTATTCAATCTCTCTAGGCTCAGTGACTACTGCAGGAGAGATGGGCATGTGAGATTGTAAGGGCCTGTTTTGAGGGATACAATTAGTTCAGATGCTCCAAATCAAGGATGGCACAGAGTTACCTAAACAGCCAACAAGTTGAGGAATTTTGCCACTCTGAATTCCTTAACTCAAAAGGGTTTAACCAAATGCTTATGTTTCGTATTGCTAAATGGCTACAAGTCAGTATCTAAGACCAGAATTCATTTCTATAACCTTACTTTTTGGCTCTTATATGCTGAAAAGGTTTTTTAAGCATTATTGAGTGTCTGCCCACTTCCATTCCCATCTGGCCCAGAATGTTTAATTGACTACATGTCTTTTGACTGAAAGTCATTTGGCCATAGGGGTCTCACCAAGGGACAAGATGGACCCAAAGCAGGTGACCACACCAACCTGACAATGATATGGCACAAAATAAAAAGCTTTGCAATCCATGCTGCTTCTGGCATATCTTGACCAAAAATACTGAACCCAGAACTTTTTGGGGAAATAGATTTGAGAGTCTCCTCCCATCTCTTCACTTGGCACCCTATGATCACGGAACTCTTTCCTGCTGCAAATCCTGCTAACTCAGTGTAATTGATCAGTGGGCAAACAAACCTGTTGGTCCTATAATAGTCAAAGTCCTGTGATGCAAATAAACCTTAATGGAGAGACAGGGTTAGTTTGTGTTTGGTGGTTTAAGAGGTTGTCATCAAAGAGTGAGTAATTAAGATGGGCATTGAATGCTAAGAGAGAGGCATTTATGTGCAGTTGTTGGGGAGGAACATTCTAAAAATAAGGCCCAGCAAGTGCAAAGTCCCAACTTTGGAAAGATAAAAGCTACTTGTTTTATGGGATAAAAGAAAAGGAAAAAAATACACATAATGAGAGAGATCTGCAGGAACCAGGTAGAGTCAAGTTGTGTAGGCCTGAGTCAAGGACTTGGGCTTCATTAAAGATTTTTGAGAAAAGAAAAACACTTCTTACAATGAAATCAGATGACTTCAACTGATATTCTTAATGATATACTGTATATAAAAATATAGACATTCTTGATTGGTCAGGTACTAATAAAATGTTTTCCACACATACAGTTTTGTGAATTTCAGTTACAACTGAAAACCTGTGGATTCCCCTGACCTCACGTGCTCTTCCATCTAGAGAGTCTGAATTGTAAAGGAGAGGTCCAAAACCAGCATTGATGAAGACCTAAATGACCTATCACTCATGAAGGCTTAGGTCTATTGTCAAAGGCTGACACTCTAGCCTGATGGAGTGCTTCCTTGAAACAGGTTCTTACAAACATTGTCTGATTTAATTTTCACAACAATCCATTTGAAATAGGTTTAAATTGCTTCTATTTTACAGTTGAAGAAACACACTTTAAAAGGTTTAAGGAATTTTCCTGAGGTTACTCAGCTAGTAAGTGGTAGAGACCAAAAAAAGAACTTGGGTCTGTTCATTGCCCAGCCTGGGCTCTCCCGCAAAGCCTGCCACCCACAAGGCTTGAGATGGAGAGAATCTGGGGTAGGAAATACCTTTCTGTTTTTTTCAAAACCACTCCCTGTTGGCAGAACTCTCCTTAAGCTACGCAAGAGGGTTGTCCGGTTAAGCCATTTATCTTTCTCTATCAGAGAGCAGGCTCTCTTTTCTCATAGCTGTGTAGTCTTAGCAGTCAGAATTGATAACAGCTGCTGGACACCTGAGCTGTATTATTTTGCCAGGAGATAACAGAGTGAATGACTTGTAGCAGACTCAGAACACTGATGAGTTCAAGGCCCACAGTAGAGATTGTGAAATGTAATTCCCAGATAATTCAAGGGGAAGAGAAGCTAAACAAATCTCGGTTTCACTCTTCGAATTTGTACTCTGAGAACAAATTGAGAAATCTGAGAAGAAAAGTCGTCATATTTGAAGTGCTTCAGAGAAATTTTTGTCTTCTTTTTCCTTTACTCTTTGGGGCTTGAATACCAACAAGACTCATTTTTGAAATTAGAATTTCTCTTCCATAGGGAGTGAGATTTAACTTAAGATAAAATTTGATGCTTCCTTCAGAGAGAGCAAATGTCTTAGATACAGGTCAGGGAAGCTTTTGCTGGCCACTCATGTGCATGGATCTCATTCTTCTGCTTTGCCTTTTTAGTAAATGGGTGGCGGGAATGTAGGGGTTTTTTGATAATTGAAACGAGGTGTTTCCTTTCTTGCAAAGTGCTAAATGCATTAAGTACTTTTGCAAAGGAGATAGTACGTGCCTCAATTTAGACAGAAATTTTACTTTAAAGAAGTTAATTCGTGATGAAATGAGGGTCTATCATGTGCCATGTGTTGAAACTTAGGGATGAGTCAGATGCTGGTCCTGCTCTCACCAGGTTCACCTTCACCTTGGGAGACAGACGTGTAGCCAAGTAACTCCAGTGTGCAATGAGTGAGGCTCCATACACTTTCTTGAATTTTTAGGAGTCCCCTCCTATCTTTCATCATTACTCCATCTTGTTAGAAAGGAGGCATAGCTGAATATCATTTTAGAAGAGAGACTTGCCAGTGGATGTATGACGATTTATATGGAGTTACTAAGGGGTTCTTAGTGGGCTTTTGAGACAGATCTGAAGGTAAATTCTAATGCTTCTGCTTCTTGTCCCTGGCACCTTGCATATAGTTCATATTTGACTCCTCAGGGAGATGAGAAGGGATTAAAGGGAAGAACACAGACTTTGTGACTAGTTCCAGCACAGTAGCCGCCAGTACTCTTAGTTATGTGGCTGTCTAGAACTGACTTTGCTTATTACATCAGGCACTTCTGTGACTTTCTCAGGGACCCCATACTAGGAAATTCCAGTGGCAGGTCCTGTGATATGGGTGATGTTTTCTCCTAGAAGGCCACATAATGATTCTGTACCCCAACCCCTGCTATAACCCATTCTGAAGTGGCCCCATTCTAAGAGCCTCACCAGGTAGCTCTTACAGGTGAAGTTCATTTGGACTTGCATCAAAGCTGGAACTTTCCTACATGCCTCACATCAGGTTCACCCTTTTCACGGCTGTTAGTAGAAGTCAATTTAAGTCTTAATCCAACCCCTTATCTCTCTGTCATGTCATGGGCAGTCAATAGTTACAGTCTAAATTTTGCAGTTTTTAGCTCACTGGTTAATAAAGACATCACATTAGGCTGGGTGCAATGGCTCATGCCTGTAATCCCAGCACTTTGGGAGGCCGAGGTGGGTGGATCACCTGAGGTCAGGAGTTCGAGACCAGACTGACCGACATGGAGAAACCCTGTCTCTACTAAAAAAAAAAAAAAAAAAAATATATATATATATATATAAATTAGCTGGGTGTGGTGGCTCATGCCCATAATCCTAGCTACTTGGGAGGCTGAGGCAGGAGAATGGCTTGAACCTGGGAAGTGGAGGTTGCGGTGAGCCGAGATCGTGCCATTGCACTCCTGCCTGGGCAACAAGAGTGAAACTCTATCTCAAAAAAAAAAAAAAAAAAAAAATGACATCACATCAGATGTAAAAGACTCAAGACACATTCAATATGTGTAGGATCACAAAACAAACACAACAACAATAACAACAACAGCAAAATACAGAGTCTATTAAAGACAAAACAGCAGAAACAAAGTGAAAAATACATACATATGCAGTATGGAAAAGATCAATGAAAAGCCCAGAGAGTAATAAATATTATTTTCCAGGCAGTTTTGGCTCCACAGGACATGCATCAATGTCCGGAGATGTTTTTGGTTGTCACAACTGAAAGGGAATTTGCTCCTGGTATCTAATAGGTAAAAGCCAGAGATGCTGCTAAACATCTAATACACAGGACACATCTCCCATCCACCTACTCACCCACCCACAACAAATAATTACCCTGACCCAAATGTCAATCATGCTTAGGGGAAAAACCCTAGTGTAGAGGAATTTAATAAGAACATGAGTGAATAAAACAATGCAATAATAAAATGACAAAACAAGAGAACGAAGAACGGGTAATAGGGAGATAAGGAGGAACATTAAGAATCCCTACAATAACATTGCTAGAATAAAATAGACCTGGTTGAAAAACAGATGCCTACTTTCATCATTTTATTTTATTTGAGACAGAGTCTCACTCTGTCTCTCAGGCTGGAGTGCTGTGGTGCTATTCTAGCTCACTGCAGCCTCAACCTCCTGGTCTCAAATGATTTTTTATTTTTAAGGTTGGATGTGATTGGACATGATCGCACATTGATTTTCCCACCTGCATCACCACCACTAACTTGGAAACATGAGTCTTGTCATTTTTCTCAAGGACTCACTTCTACAAATTTCTGAGTGAGGCCTTGGGAACAAATCCAGTCCCTCAGGACACTAGGTCTGGGACCCCCAAACTTTCCCTGACTCTCTAACAAGTCAAGGGAAAAAAATAATACAATATTAAGGGTTAAACTACTTTTCATTCCCAATAGGAAATGTTATTTTTCTCATCTTGTGGCTATTGGGGTTTTGAGCACCAGCAAGGGACACTTAATAAGTTGTAGATGCATCATGTGAAGGGGCAGTAATAATTATTTCATCTGAAATAAACCAGAGTGGGCATGTGTCTGCTCATAGATGGAAAAGTATGCATTTTGCACTTGGGTAACAGTTGGCAACTCTGACTAGAAAACCTTTTTTGACTATGGCAAGCATCCTTCTTACTTGGAGGAAAAATTTATGCAAAAGACCTGGCAAAGTTCCTGGAACATATAGTGTGCCTGATCAATGAACATATTACTTTCTCACCTTAAACAAGTTTACTGTATTTCATTATTTAAGAAAAAGCGGGCCGGGTGCAATGGCTCACGCCTGTAATCCCAGCACTTTGGGAGGCCAAGTTGGGCGGATCACTTAAGGTCAGGAGTTCAAGACCAGTTTGGCCAACATGGTGAAACCCCGCCTCTACTAAAAATACAAAAATTAGTTGGGTGTGGTGGCACACACCTGTAACTTGGGAGGCTGAGGCATGAGAATCACTTGAACTTGGGAGGTGGAGGTTGCAGTGAGCCAAGATCACACCACTCACTGCACTCCAGCCTGGGCTACAGAGTGAGACGCCATATTCAAAAAAAAAAAAAAAAAAAAAAAAAGAGAGAGAGAAAGAAAAGACTCATATTCAAATCTTGTCTTACTTAATATACTTTTCCTAAGTGTACACTCAACTCCTAACTCTTTAATAAGACTAGATCTCTTTAAAGAAGATAAACAAACAGCAAAGCAATATGTATGCAGTTAATCCTCAGGAAAGGATAAGATAGGAAGTAAATGGAAATGATATCTTGAAGCAAATCCTTCTTAGACTCCTTCGCTGCCTCTCAGAAGAATGCTAAAGTGTGACATTTTTTCTGATCACACTTAATTTATATTGCATCACTATTGGTGTAGCCATTCTTTAATTGAATTTATTTAGTCTCTTCTTCTTGCACTTTGATAGGCGAAAATAATACAGCGGGGACCAAACTGCAGTTGTTTATTCAAGGCACTTAAGGGGCAAATAAGTTGATAATTATAGTATTGTTTGATAATGATAAATTATGCTTAATGAAAAATGCAAATTAAGTATAATGATAAATTATGCTTAAATACAGATGAGCACATAGGGAGAGTTCCCACAAATTATTGGGCCACAGAAACTAACATTTTCCGGAGAAATATACATCTTGTGGAGGCCTGAAGGGTGAATAGGAGTTGTCAGGAGGCAAAAGAGGAAAAACCCATGGAGAGGAAGGATTAACATGTTCAAAAGTCCAGCAGTAAGTAAGAGCATAGTACGGCTTTCCAGTGTTTCTTTATGCAAATGTAAACAGATACACATATACCCTTCTTACCTACTCAAAAGATAGTGAACTATGCACACTCCTTTTAGCCTTGCTTTATTCAAATAACAATATATTTTGCAGACCTTCCCATGTAGGTACTTAACTTTCCAGCTGCTTATGATTTTAATGAGTACAGCGGAATTAAACCAGACTCAACTGATGGTCACTTGGATGATTTCTTGCAATAATCTTGCAAAAATGTTGCTATGAATAAAATTGAAATAGTTTCCTAGCTTGTCATTTGTCTTTTACATATGTTTTGGGGCCTAGGCATAAAGGTGTTTATTTATACATAGTAAAAAAATACTTTATTTTATGGCTTGAAATGCCTCATTTGTTAGATATAAAATTCTTATAATATCTGAATCTATTTCTAAACTTTCTTTCTCATTTCCTTCGTTTGACTTTCTATTCATTTGCCAGCACTACAAGGTGAAATTCTTGAGTGTTTATAGTATATTTAATATCTTTTAAGGCTATATCTCCTTATTGCCTTTTTACTTTTAGTGTTATTATGGTCATATTGTTCATTTTTTTTACATAAGATTTAGAATCAGCATATCTAATCCTGAAGTAAATCCTGATTATTTTCAATGGCTTAATGTTAATTTATATTACAGAGAGAGAATTGACATCTTTATGAGACTGAGTCATTCTTTTGAAAACATGTTATATATTTCTACTTGTCATGTCTATTTTTGTGTTCCTTGAGGACTTCTAAAAAAGTTTCTGCATAAAGTTGTTCTTTGCACATATCTTGTTATGTTTATTCCTATGCTTGTTTTTGTCTCTTATTAAAAGTGAAGTCTTCTTTTTCATTATGTCTCCTTTTAGATTTTTTTTTTAATATGAGGGCCATTGATTCTTCTTTATTAGTTCTATATCCTGCTATCTCATTGTTTTTAGTAGTTGTTAAAATTTTTACAAACTCTCTAAGGCCTGGTAAGACAGTTACATCATCTACAAACTATGTGTGAGGGTGTTTTAACCTCCTTCCTACCACTTTTAAACGAATATATTTTACTCTTCTGATACATTGCTAGTGCCTTTAGCAGAAAAGTTTGATAATAATTGTGAAAGCTGAGAGAGTGTCTTGTTCTTGACTTTAATAATTGACTATGTCACAAAGTATGTCCCTGCATTAATCTAGATTTGTGTATGTGTGTGTGTGTATACACAAGCAGTCACATGTAAGTATGTATGTAATCATTCATTTCCATCATGTTGCATTTGTTGTTGTTGTTGTTGGATGAAGAATGTAGCTGAAAGTTGTCAAGTACCTTTCAATTTCTGTAGAGATGCTCATATAATTTCTATAATTAAGTAAAATAACATAATTAATTATATTAATATATTTGTTAATAGTGAATCATTCTTGAATTCTTAGCATGAGGTTACATAAAAGAGATGAGTCTTGCAGTTTTGTTTTTCTGCAATCATTATTTTTGGAATCAATATTTCGTCATTACAATAATTCAGAAATGGCCCTTTTGTCCTCTAATCTCTGGAACAGTTTAACTAGTATGGGAATTGTGGTTTGTTCAGTAGGATTCTCCTATGAAACCATGTATTTTTGATATTACCTTAGCAGTACACCATTGTCAGAGTTTTCTCCATTTTTCGTGGAAATTAATCTATTTTCGTTTCTATTCCTATGAAGTCAGATTTTGGTAAATAATATTTTGTCAAAATAGTTTACATTTCATTTAGTTTTCTATTTATTTGCCTTGAGTTTACCAAAACGAAACTTTCTAACTTAAAAAAAAAGTTGTTATTTTTATATCAGTGATTGTTTTCCCCTTATCATAACCGTGTTTGTTTCTTTTGTGTTTTTTCTCTTTTTTTCTCAGGTAATTTAATCTTTTATCAATTTTGGAGTTCTTCAAAGAAGTAATTTGTTTATTTATTGCTGAATTTTAGCTTGAAGTATTCTTTCTTTTCTTTTCCATTAATTGGTTATTTTTCAACCTTTTGTTCTAATTTTTAGTTTGATGCTTAATTTGTTAACTTTTATTATTTTTTGTATATTTTATGAAGATTTAAAACAATATTTCACTTGAGTATTTGTTTTGCTGCATCTTGATTCTGAACTATAGTGTTTTCACTATTACTGTTTTCCAGAAATTTTGCAATTTTGATTTGTATTTCTCTTTTTACCTAAAAGTTGCTGATAACAGACTAAGTTTTTCATGACGATCAAATATTAGGTTTATATGTATAATATAAACATCAGGATTTTAAACACATGAGAAAACTTACTCTCTGCATAGCAGAGAATAAATCAGAGGGGACCAGGCTGTAGAACCCTCTTTGTATGTGAAATATGCTTATGTTCAAAGATAAAGTTTAGGTTGCCTGAGATTGAGCAGTAGTTTGGGCAACAACAATAAAACAAGCAGATGGATTTGAGATATATAAAGGGAGTATAATAAACTTTTCATGGTGATTCATTAAAAGTGCTACCTGAAGCTGAGGAAAGAGTTAAGGCCAACAAAGTTCAGACATGGGCAACTCCATGGGTGGTAGAGCTACTTACTGAGGCAGGAACTGATGGACCAAGAACAGGTTTGGAAAGAAAGACATGAAGAGGTGTGAGAGTTTGGATTTTAGATCCTGAGAAGCATACAAGCAATGGTGTTATCAAAGCAGTTGGATATATAAAAGACTGTATGGTGAGAGACAAATTGTGAAGTCATTAGTACTGAGGTGATAATTTCATATATAGAAACAGCTGATGGAAGAAGTTTAAAGTAACAAGAAAAAAAGCATTGAAAAGGGAATCCTGAGTGCTCCAGGCATTTATGGGACAAGCAGAAGAAGGGTAATCTTTGATAGATGATGAGAAGGAGCCAGTCTGTCATCCCACTGAATTGTGGCTGCCTTGAGGAAAACATAGAATCTGAATTATGGAAGACTGCTGAAAAAGTATTAATTGCACATAAATGAATGCATGGGCAAAGCAATTTTCCAAAACTGATACAGATTATTAAAACTATTATACTCATTTAATTCTAGAAAACTGCATCATGAAATAAGTGGTGGTTGAGCTGGCACTTCTAGGAATGGACAAACCTCTGTGTAGAACCCATGGCTCCATCACTGGAGTCCGTATTCAGCAGTAAAACAGCCTCTCTCAGTCATGCTTGCTGTGAGTTACACCCAGCCAGCAGGATCATCTTGACAGCTAGCTATTTAACTAAGTTATCAGTAAGCAGGTAATAGTCCCTCAGTTCAGTCAAAACAGTCAAATTAGTTGTACCTGTAGACATAGCCTTTCTTTGCCAACATTTATGACACGGACAGGAATGAATTAGGAAATAGAACAATAGCTCCCTGTATGTGAAAGATGTGTCGTCTGTCTAAAGAGAAAACACATTGTGTTTATTGAGTGGGAATTGTCATGGAAGCTTTGCATAGCTTTAAAAAAAAAAACACAATATGCTAACTTCATTCCAGTGATTGAAGCACACAATTTTGGAAGGTTTTATGGAAAGAAAGAGGAAAAATAAATAGAGAAGCTGAAGTCCGAAATAAATGTGTGAGTCAGCCCTCATCCAAATACAATTATTACCTTCACGCTTTGCCCTGTTTTGTTTGACCTAGGAAAATATATTCAATGGGATTTCAAAGAAAAATCAAATAATTTTTTTTTCAAACACTGTGGCAAAAACCCATCTGGCCAAAATTTTACATAATTGCATTCTCAATGCAACCCAAATACATATTTTTAAAAAAGCGGCCAGGTGCAGTGGCTTTCACATGTAATCCTAACACTTTGGGAGGCCAAGGCGGGCAGATCATGAGCTCAAGAGATCAAGACCATCCTGGCCAACATGTTGAAACCCCGTCTCTACTAAATATACAAAAAGTAGCTGGGCATGGTGGTGTGCGCCTGTAGTCCCAGCTACTTGGGAGGCTGAGGCGGGAGAATCATTTGACCCTGGAGACGCAGGTTGCAGTGAACTGAAATCGCGCCGCTGCACTCCAGCCTGGCTACAGAGTGACCCTCTGTCTCAAAAAAAAAAAAAAAAGAAGCAAAAAAAAAAAAAAAAAGAAAACAATCGATTATATACACACAATGCTGTGTTCTTAGGAATCCACTGTCCTATTCTCTGTCAGTGAAAATAAAAACACAAACACAAAAGCACTCTACCCATTTAAAGCTGCCTGATTATTTCCCCTCTGACAAACTGCTGCCCCTTTGAGATAGCTGTTAAATCTCATGGCCTTTATCTTTTGACATTTTATCATATTTTGCCTAAGGAGATTTATAGAATTGTGCTATGATTTTGTGCCATGCTTTAACTGTAATGTTGTGCTGTGGTTTGGCTCCAACACTTGATTTCCTCCTATGTCTCTTCTATGCATGAACTCAGGCTGTTCTGCACATTAAAAGGGCCCAGTTATTTATTGGATGAGTAACTGTTGCTTTCTTCCTCTCCTCCCTCTCTCTCTTCCTTCCCGCCCTACTTTCTGTATACTTATCTCTAAACAAATGGTTTATGGATCTCTGCCCACCCCTCTGCATGGGTGACTTCCACGGGCAGGGACCGTGCAGTACTTTGGTCTTCCTGCCATGTTTCCCAATTAAATCTGTGACTTTTTCTTTCCCTTGGTGCCATCCAGGGCTGCAGTCAGTTAACTAAAATTCAGGACCAGCGTGTGGTGGACTGCTTCGTTTATAGACATGGGGAATTCAATCTCAAAGTACAGTTTCAGTTTTAATTGCTAATATTAAGTGGTTTTTGAATTTCTAATGAGTACCTAATTAGAGCAAATGTTTTCCTTACTAACAAGTAATTATAGCATTCCAAACACGTTTACTTTAATTAAACAAAACTGGTTGACTAATTACGAATGGCAAGGCAGGACACAGCGGATTTCTATCTTCAAGGAACTCCAGCAGACATTCTTGTGTGGGTAACTACACATTAAAGCTCACTTTTGGGTGCTCTCAGGGCGGCTCCTGATAGTACCAGTTACGCAAAGCGAAGTTGTTCAACTGGAGGCTCAGTGCCTCCTCCATGTAATAGAGACATCTCCGTGGGGTTCTTCTCAACTCTTTTCAAAATTTCCCCATTGAACGAAAACAAATTATGCCTGAGTGCATGTGGTGGTTGCCTGAAACAGCTGTCAGAATGTAAAGAGTTTTTAAAGACTCAAGTTTAATTTAAAAATTATATACCATTTGCATTATATGCAATAATAACCTGTTTTAATTCTAGTTTTTAAAGAAACATTTTCCTCAACCCCTCAATCCTCCCAAAGATAACAAACATTCAACTGGAGCTTACTGACCTCCTAGCTATAGTTGTGGTTTGAGAGCAGGAATTTCGGCGACTGAATGCAAAATCCATTCTTTTAAAGCTATGGTATATGCCTGTGGGGTATACTCCAAAGTATGGATTCTGTTTGGCCATCAGTATTGTGGATGGCTATACTTCAGTTTCCTCTTATTGATGTTACATATTGAACTACTGCTGAAATTTGGAATTAGACTCTGAAATGTTACTATTGGCCTTTATGCAGTATCTGGCAACTGTGAAAACAGATAATTAGGTATTTGTTCACACTTGTCTCTTTGAATGAAGCTGTCATTGTAGTCTGAGTAGGGAGTCACTTAAAGGAAATGTACTCCTAACCCTTTGAAGAGGCCAATCATGGTACACAAACCACATGAGTCACCAAAGCTGATATGGACACATCCATCTGTATGTGCTTGGGTAAAAAGTTCATCCGGGAGAGATGTGACTGAGGAAAGATGATCATGAAAAGCAGTTGTGAGAGAATGCTTCTGGGGAAAATGGATTTCTCAAGTCCTGAGGCCAGGTTCACAACTTAGTAAGAAAAAGAGAATATTCACACACAGGAATTGACTTGCATGATGGCATTGAGCGGAACTGGTTATGGTGTAGGTCAACAAGTAGGAGGAACAAAATAGTACGGAAGATGAAAATCAAAGATGAAAATGGAAGAGAGGTAGAACATAGAGCTTAACAGAGCCCAGGCCTAAAATTTGAGGTTGTACAAAACCATGCCTGAGTGTTTCATTGTGTTACTTAACACATGCCCGTCCATGCATTCTATGAGTATTTCACTGCCCTTTTTCAGGTGCTGGTCATGTAGGGATAATGACATATTCATAAACGGGTGTAATATGAGGTAAGAAACGACCTGCCTTATAAAAGAGAAGCAGGCAAATGCAATAGGTGTTCAGAGATCCCAGCCTGGCCTTGCTTCTCAGCTTCTTTGCCTGCTCAATTCTGTTCTGTGACTCTCCTCAGAGTGGGTTCATGCTGATTGTTTTCACTAGTCCTGCTTCGCCTTTTCCCTTAAAATCCACATCACCAACTCAGAGTGTTAGAATCTTTTTTTTTTTTTTTTTGAGATGGAGTCTGGCTCTGTCACCCAGGCTGGAGTGCTGTGGTGCGAACTCTGCTCACTGCAAGCTCCGCCTCCCAGGGTCACACCATTCTCCTGCCTCAGCCTCCCGAGTAGCTGGGACTACAGGTGCATGCCACCATGCGTGGCTAATTTTTTGTATTTTTGGTAGAGACGGGGTTTCACCATGTTAGCCAGGATGGTCTAGATCTTCTGACCTCGTGATCCTCCCACGTTGGCCTCCCAAAGTGCTGGGATTACAGGCGTGAGCCCCTTGTCAGGCAGTGTTGGAATCTTACCCCAGTGAAATACAATAGTGACCCATGGGCCCTGAACACTCACATGTGCTTAGCACTGTTCTAAGGGCTTTTTAGATATTAATGAATCCAATTTGACCAAGGGTGAACAGCTACTACACCAAAGAGCTAGTATCTGACCCAAAGAGGCTCATTTCCTAGCCGAAGTCTAAAAACAAACAAACAAACAAACAAAAACTCCATAGTATCTATTTGATGCCTCCTTTGTTATCATGAAGTATCTCTGATTTATCCATATGGAGGGGTCTCTGTCTCCTCTGAACTCACAAAGCATTCTTTATGCCTCTCATCAAATACCTTTCTCACTATCATTCTACATTTGGGGAGGGGGCTCTTGGAAGTATGACTCATGGAGTTTTCATTGTTTTAAATACATTTTGAACTTTTGAAGATGTTTTAGCAGAAAATTTTAGAGTAATATCAATAAATATTTGTAATGGAATGATTGATCCTATATCTAACATACAAAGAAAATGCCTAAATAGTCTCAGATTCTCATTTTAATGTTTTTTAATTTTATATTTTTATATTTTTGTTGGTCCTTGGAATGATAGGACTTAGGGATTTTTTTCCTTGGCTGATCTTGCTTTGAAGGCAAAGTTATAAAAATATACTTTGAATGATTTGTGATTAATTTATTTTAGTATAACTTTTTTCTTTTCTTTTCTTTTTTTTTTTAATAAACAGAGGCTAAGCAAATCTTTGGAGATTTTCTCTAGTTCCCTCTTAGTTCTCTTCTGTGGTCCTCTCCAATGTCCTAGCGTTTGCTATTTACTTGGCTAGAGCCTCCAGTCTGGTATCTGATCCAGGCCTGCCTTTCCTAAAAGGCCCTACTATGCTTAGCTCTTTTTAAAAAGCCAGCTTTAAAGCTTTTATTAGTATTCTAACAGATAAATTTATACTTAAGTATTAATAATTGCCCACTTCTCATTATTATTATTATTGTTGCAATTGTTATCTCAGACAGTTAGGAATAATGTTTGGAATGGCAATAATGGTATTCTTTAGTTAGAGATAGTACTCCTGCTTGATACTTAAAGTGCCTCATAAAATTCAAAGGAAATCAGACATCCAATTTCTTACTTTAGTCGATGTAACTATTGTTCACTTAAAACACTCATGAGTTCTTTTCATGAGTCCTAACTCAGAGGAAACTTCCTAGAGCTCATTAAAACTTTAGGCTCTGTTTAGGTGACCTATAGGCTGTGTTGGCATATAATGATTTTGTCTTTTGAGCTCCAAAGATATACCATTAATCTAATGTTATCAAGATTTGAAAAATGGATTTATAAAAAGTAAACACAGCTGAGCGCAGTGGCTCACACCTATAATCCCAGCACTTTGGGAGGCCAAGGTGGGTGGATCATGAGGTCAGGAGTTTGAGACCAGCCTGTCCAACATGGTGAAACCCCGTCTCTACTAAAAATAGAAAAATTAGCCGGGGGTGATGGTGGCCGCCTGTAATCTCAGCTACTTGGGAAGCTGAGGCAGAGAACTGCTTGAACCCAGGAGGCAGAGGTTTCAGTGAGCTGAGATCACGCCTCTGCACTCCAGCCTGGGTGACAGAGCGAGACTCTGTCTGAAAAAAAAAAAAAAAAGTAACCACAAGGGTATTATTCTCCTGAAGAATCCTTTGCTTTCTGATATGATAACATTTGCTTATCAGAATTCAGTTTCTGGTATGATGGAATAAATTACAAAGTCACTGGACAAATTAGAGGGTAAATTCTTAAAAATGTGAATTGCAAGGTGTAGATTTCAAGTAGCACAGAACCCAGATGAATTTCATCCACTACCTGCATTATAATCAGGAACAGAAAAATGGAGTTTACTTTAACACTATGTTACTTGAGTGCAAAATCCCAGCTCCACAAAACTCTGATGTCCTGAAATTTGTTCACATGCCTTAGTTGAGCTAATTACTAGAATGAGTTTGGGCAAGTTACTTTCCCCTCAGCAGGCTTCACTTTTCCTCACTGTAAAATGAAAGTGTGGGTCTGTGAATCTCTGAGATACTTCCGATTTTGTGCATTAGTGATTCCAAGTGAGATTTCCTTCAGCTAGCATGCCATTAAATGCTACATTTTTATTTGCTTTCTGATTTCCCTCTTTTCATTTATGAAAAGAGCTCACAAAACCTTTTTCCTGTCTATTTGCTCTTGGAAAATTATGGGCTCTTGGAAGTTTTCAATTTAAATTATATTTACTTTTCATTCTCACTCCGTCAGAGGCATGTGCATATGAAAATGTTTGTCTTCCATCCATACCCTACTGACTCATTAGGAACAATCAGAGTGAGCTGTTCTTTTTCCCCTGCTAATAATAACAAAGGAACCAAACATATATAGATGAGATTGTATCTTCAAAGGAAATTTACGTCGGATTTGATATTTATTTTCACAATTATATTCTGACGTAGAAAGCGTCAACACCAATTTCCCAAATGAGAAACTCTATTATAGAATTGAAATGGGAGCTACTCTGCAAAACCCCTAGGTGCCATGGGTACAATCAACCATGGTTATGTGCCTTCCCCACAGCCATTTACCCTTACCCTGTCAAAAGAAAAACTGTTGTTTTCCTATGTACTCAAAATACTTCTGACACCAAACATGTGGGTTTTCTAACCAAGCAATTTTCCATTTCTCTGTGGACACCAACCGAGTGTTCTACAATTTAACTAAATTCTGAAACTAACTCCCTGGAGTCAGTGTGGGCCTACAGTTTAAGTGCTCATTCCCACAAGGCTGCCCACCACTTCAGATACCAATTGCAAGGCCCAGATTGTTACCTGTAATTCTCATAAACTGGCTATAAATATGAGGCTCCTCTAACCCCTTATTGTTTGATAGTTGGCTATAAACACTCACAAAACCCAAGAAATGGCTTATTTAGGTTTACTGGCTTACTATAAAGGATACAGACAAACAATCAAACGAAAGAGATGCACAGATCAAGATGTAGGGTGCAGCACAGAGCTTTTATCCCTCTCCCAGTGTGCACTCTCTCAGCACTGACGTGTTCATCAACCTAGGAGCCCTCTGAACTCCATTGTTTGGGTTTTCTTTTGAGGTGTCATGACATAGGCAAGATTGGTTAAATCACTGGCCTTGTGATTGAGCTCAATCTCCAGCCGCTCTTCCCTTCCTGAGGGAGGTTAGAGGTGGGGCTGAAAATTTCAATCCTCTGATTACATGGTTGGTTCCTCTGGCAACCACGCCTCATTTTCCAAGAGCCATCTCAATCTCAGGTATGTTTGAAAAGGACTTATTATGAAAAACAATAGACGCTTCCCTCACACTGATCACTCAGGAAATTCCAAGAGTTTTAGGAACTTGTGTCAGGTACCAGGGACAAAGACCAAATATGTATTTCTTATTATGTCATACCTTGCCCGCATACACCCTCACACACAAACACACAATTCACACATGTACAGAATGAAAAGGCAAAGAGTAACATCTTTATATCTGTGTAAGTCAATTAGTTTAGGATGATTGCAAAAGTTAAAACATTCCATAGAACAGGAACATAGTGAAAGCTCAACAAATATAATAATTGAGCCTGCTTTCTCACCTATAAATTATGATAGACACTACCTTGAAATGGTTGTAAGAACTATACATGTAAGATTATTTAATACTTGATGCCCAGTGGCGTCTCAGGGGATGATAGCCTCTCTTTCTCTTTCTCTTTCTCTTTCTCTCCCTTCCCTTCCCTTCCCTTCCCTTCCCTTCCCTTCCCTTCCCTTCCCTTCCCCTCCCCTCCCCTCCCCTCCCCTCCCCTCCCCTCCCCTCCCCTCCCCTCCCCTCCCCTCCCCTCCCCTCCCCTTCCTTTCCTTTCCTTTCCTTCTTTCAGCAATTCCAAACTTGCAGACTGTTAGGAACTTTGGATAATTTCTCCATCTCGAAAGTAAGCTTGTGATATTCCATAAATCACTTAGCTTAGACTTAATTGTGCTGTAAACAAACAAACAAACATATCTGAATGGCTTCCAACAGCAAATGTTTACCTCTTGCCCTCTGTTCATGTCTTCTGTAAGTTTAGCTGAGGTTTGGTATACTCTGTATCCAAGACTCCTGTGAAGAAAAGTCCCCATTTGGGACATACTCGTCTCATAAAACAGGGGAAAAACAGATAATGGCACCATGCAGCTGTTTTTGACATATTTGCTTAGAGGTGGGTAGCATCATTTCTGCTTCACTGTATTGGCCAAAGCAAATCAGATGGCCCCGCCTGCTGCCAAAAGGCTGGAAGAAGTAAGATTGTCACACAAGAGGAGATAGCCAACATTTGGAAATAGTACCACAAACCATCATATTTCTAAACATATTTTAATTGCTCTCATACACATGAATGATTGCAAACTCGGGTTCCTCATTTGCTCATTTGTTTATGCATCACTCACCAGACAGTCATTGAAGAATCGCTGTGTTCTAGATACTGTGTTTTCTGATGTAGGTGATACAGAGAGAAAGAAAACGCAATCTACGTGTAGCTAGAAATTTTTTGTCATTATTTCTTTTTTCAGCTCAAATGAATTCTGATAGAAAATTTTTGGTAGAGAGCAAAAGGAAAAAATACTGTATTGGGGAATGTGTGTGTGAATGTGTGTGTATGTGCATGAATGTGTGTGTGAATGTGCGTGTGAATGTGTGCGAATGTGTGTGTGCATGAATGTGTGTGCGTGTGTGTATGCGTGAATGTGTGTGCGCATGTGTGTGAATGTGTGCGTGTGTGATGAATGTGTGTGACTGTGTGTGACTGTGTGTGAATATGTGTGTGAATGTGTGTGACTGTGTGTGAATGTGTGAATGTGTGTGAACTGTGTGTGAATATGTGTGTGTGAATGTGTGTGAATGCGTGTGTGAGTGTGTGAGTGTGTATGTGTTTGCGTGAATGTGTGTGTAAATGTGTGTGTGCATGTGTGTGTGACCGTGTGTGAATGTGTGTGTGAATATGTGTGTGAATGTGTGAATGTGTGTGTATGAGTGTGTGTGAGTGTGTGTGAATGTGTGTGTGTGAGTGTGTGTGCTTGGAAGATGAGCATGATGTCAAACAAACATACACTTCCAAAAGTAGTGGGCATTCCTGCTTAGCCTTTTGAAAGCGATATGGGGAAGAGAGAAAAGAACATGAGCCATGCCTCAGGTACTCCATGTCCAGGGAATGCAAACTTCATAAAGGCAGAGGTCACATCTGCTTCTGCTCACTTCTGTGTCTAAACTCAATAACTGCTCTTTGGAAAAGAGGAAACCAAGTGACCCAACACATGGATACACAGAGTCAGGGGACAGCAGTTCCCACAGAAGACCACCGCAGCAAAGCTGCTCCCAAGTAGAGATAGTGATGCCTGCTCACGGTCACAGGCTGTCAGAGGTTATGTGCCCAGCAAGAACAAAAGGACCATTGGAAACTGGGTAGCAGTTGGGGCCGTTCTGAGAAGGCAACAGTTCCTCTCTTCTGTAAGGACAACTAGAGGGCCAGAGGGAACTTCGTGTTGAGATGGGGCTGTACGGCACCCAGGGTTTAGTGATGGAGGGCTAGGAGGCTTTGATCCAGGAGCAGAAGAGGCAGGACATGCTCATGGAGCTCATGAGGAACAAATCACATTTGAGAGAGCAGTCAATGGTAATTGCAAGTCTGAGGCCGAGCATGGTGGCTTACGCCTGTAATCCCAGCATTCTGGGAGGCTGAGGCGGGTGGATCACCCGGGGTCAGGAGTTGGAGACAAGCCTGGCCAACGTGGTGAAACCCTGTCTCTACTAAAAATACAAAAATTAGCCAGGCGTGATGGCGTGTGCCTGTAATCCCAGCTACTCCAGAGGCTGAGACAGGAGAATTGCTTGAACTCGGGAGGTGAAGGTTGCAGTGAGCCGAGATCACTCCAATGCACTCCAGTCTGGGCAACAAGAGTGAAACTCCATCTCAAAAAAAAAAAAAAAAAAAAAAAAGAAAAAAGAAAAAGAAAGTCTGAGCAGGTTTTCTGGGACTTAGCAGTGTTCCTATGCAGGCTATACATTTACATTTAATGTTAATTCTTTTGTGGATGTGTTTTCCCCATTAATTTATCTTCTTGGTATGACTTTCCCCAGAGTGCATGTAAGAAATAATGTGCTGGGCAAAGCAATGGCTTGGTAGAAGAAACCCAGCACCCCTGCATGGACTGCATACTTCAAACATAACTTCAAACCTCCTACTAGGTTTGAAGATCCTTAAAGAAAGGGATATCTGAGTATCCTGCATATATTAGGTGACTGGTGAATGCTTGGGGAATGGATATGTGAGTAAGTGACGGTGTCATTGTCATGAGAAAGAGAAATATTCCTTGCATTTTCTTATTCTATCAATCAAGTCTATAAGATGTCTATTTACTCTTATACTTTAGCACAGTGCTGGTGAGATGAATAAACAGGCATTAAAGAGCCTTCTAGAGCATATTAAAACAAATTACTTGCTTTGCAAGCTCAATTTAATTTTATTTCCTTAAAAATCCAACAAAAGTGCATTGAATCACCTCTAAGCATTAAGTAATGTGCAAGGTTCTAGGGTTTCACTGATGATGAATATGTGATTCCTACTTTCAAAGACCACTTTCAACTGAAGAAACAGGTTATCTAATTTTAAAAAGGTAGCATAATTTGTACTCTAACAATTGTATTTGTATAGAGCCAAGACAGCATTGTTGTTCTCTCTGCAAAGTTCTCAGGGACGTGTTGTTGACCCAGTTGTTAGGGTGGTTAAAGCTGTGAATGAACCCTATTTTAAGGCGTTAGCAAGAATTCAGTCTCTTTCATCATGAGAAGCAATGATCAAGGAACAGATACATTTATAAAGTTGAAGAAAATACCGAAAAATGTATTGAATCTATGTTTTCCCAGGAAGATTGTCTTTTCTTTAATTTATCCATAAAAAATATCTGATTTTACAATTTTACTCTGTGCCTTTAAGAGATAGAAAGGAATGAATTCTATTACATTGCATTGTTTGGTGCCAAGCCATAAATTTACATAGTTGCAACATAAACAGTTTCAAATTATAACTCTACAATATCCAAACGAAACACTATCAATTCTTTTGTTATTGACTTGTTTTATAGTTGTAATGCAGACTCCATATATTTGTTATTCAGTTTTTTATTATATTATTTCTCAGGCAATTACATTTTTACTGCAAATTTGGGGGATTTACTTGATATAATCATTGAGTACAAGCATAGTGCTAAGTATTTAAATGAGAATGTTATCAAATGAACTTAATTTTTCTTGTCCTGTTGCAACCAGATTATTTTTACTATGTAAGATTTATTAAAACATATTTTCAATTATGCTGGGAAATTTAAATGAGGCAAGCATTCCACACATAATATTGCCTCCCAATAAGGTTGACATTTACAAGATGGTGAGTAACATTTTGTGTGCTTATTTCTTAACTACTTTTGATTTTGTCAATACAAGATAAATTAGCCAAAATCAGGCAACTATGTTTAGGCATTTGTATTAATCAGGTGCTCCATCTTGTCTGCAATATTGATAGGAATGTTTAGCAACTGTGCCAAGTAGACTGAGTGGTAAAAATGAATACAGATTTTGCTATAAATTGCAAATAAGTACAAAATTAATCTGATTGACTTAATCAGGAATACAGAAAAACATTAGCATTTCAAGTACTTCTATTTTGATTTGCAGGATTCATTGGCCATGTAAAACAGCAATTCTATAAATCCTCAGAAGAAATAGCAGAACTGCTTTTACAAATTAATAATGTTTATGTTGTGTAAAGTCATTTTAGACAGTGCCAGTTTGGTGTTATTGTTTAGGAAAAAACTGAGCCTTGTAATGAAAAATAATTGTTCCTCTGTCATAGGAGGGGTTTAAGACATATTCCTTGATTGAATGTTTGATATAGGCTCAAGCACTGGTGGGAAGTTAAAGCGTTCTTGGTATGACCTCTTCTGCTTGTCCCTGTTGACCAAGTTCTTTAACTTGGACACAACTCACCACCCCACAAACCCTCTCCTGGTATTTTGTGTTGGGGTTCCTACAGTAAATATCAGTTACTGGAGAAAAGGACTTTTCAAAGAAGCATGCCTAGTACTAACACTCAACATTCACATTCCATATTTTCTTTTAACCAACTGTCTAAATAAGTATATATTGCACGAATATTCAGTTTTAATCTATCGTAATGTTCTCAATTATTCTTTGAATTAGCTAGTTGCTATTATTGAGCTGATTTAGAATTAATCAGTTTTTCTGAACACATTTGTAAGAAGAAACAATTTAATCTTTTCCCCATTTTTACACCTCAAAATTATCTTAAGAATTCATTTACTTTTGAGACAGAACCATTTCTAGTTTCAGTACCACTTTTGAAAGAGTACACATATAGGTAGATCAACTTTGAAAAAATAACACAATAGGTAGTGTATATAGGATATATTGTATAGAAATAGGAGGAAACTTTCCTGTAATAGGAAAGGAAACTTCCGTCTTCTGTTTGTTAAGAAATATTTGAGAGATCTCACCATCCTGCCTTCTTGCTTTGGCCAAATTGAATAAACCTTTCTCTATCTCTCAGCACCTATGTGTCATGTTTGGCATTAGCTACACATCCCATACAGGAGCCTGAATTTGGGCTTCTACAACATGAGGGTGGCCTCTAGAAACAACCTTAAGAGCCCCTTGCAGTAACCCAAACAGGAGATAATGGTAAAAGAACTTTTCCCTTTCTAGGATGCTTTGTAGAATAAAACATTTAGATGTGTTGGTGACAGGCTGGGAGGCTGGGAGAAAGGGTAAGCAAGACCACTTCAAAGGATTTATTGCCTCTGAAAACCAGGAATGTTAAAGCTGTTATCTACTGTGAGAGGGACTAGGTTGTAATGAGGGTAGGATCAGGAGTTGGGTTTTGGACTTGCAACATTTGGAATGACTACTGCCATCCCAGTGGCATTCAGTGAGCTCCACCCATGAACACCAAGCAAAAGGAGGCAAACAGGAGACAGTGTCAGAAACAGAGGATGCACCGGCAGAGGTGAAAGCAAACAGCCTGAAACTGAAACATAACTGGAAGAGTCAAGCTGCCGCTTCTCATGATTAATTTTAGTTCTGTGTGGGCTAAGGCTAATTAGTAATGTAAGAATTACATGAGCAGGACTGAAAAGTATTTCCCCAGCCGTGGCATCTGGCTCCTTAAAGGGTTGTATTGGCAGCTCTATGGTGCTCTCCAAATCTGGCATATGGCTGAAATTGGGTTTTGGCAGGTGTGACTTGTGCCCTTGTACCTTTTCATTAATGCATCCTGTGTTTATTGGAATAAAAATGGTATTGAACATAATCCATTTCTAAGGGAAAGCAACCTCAAAATGATATATGTTTGCGAACATAAATAACATTTAATAATTAAATGTCATTTCTAACTATTAAAAGTGCTTGCATGTGGATTATTAACCAGTTGACAATCATTCATGGGAAGGTCACTATGCATATCTCGTTATTGTAAAGGAGTGATAAAAAAAAAGGTTGATCATTATTGGGTATTGGATCTGCACACTGATTAGATAGGAGGGGTCCCAAGGGAGAGGCGAAGTTGGCCAGCAGTGGGGTGAGCACGGGGAGTGTTGGGGCAGTGGCTGTGTACCAGTCATATAGTCAGATTATGACACTTGAGCAGCCCTTTGTTTCTAGTGTTTTCCAGCTAATACTTACACTGGTTTAAGCAAGGTATCTTACAGGATTCTCTCAACAATCTGGTGGTTTGTGTTTCTTTGGCAATTGAAATAGATGCCCAGAAAAGTTGTGATTTTCCTAAGAACATCCAGCTGGCTGTGAGCAGTACTGAACTCACATCCAGATGAACTGGACTAGAAGAGCAGGCTACATGTTTTTGAAATTTCTAAGGATTGTTAATATTCAAATCTTCTTTCTCAACCTGGTCATATAATCTCTGATATCACCTCCTTAAACTCATCTAGTAATATTTCCCATCTTCAGAGCCTAAATGTCAAATGTCATCAGTTTTATGCTTTTATCTTACAATAATATAAAATAAAATGACTTTACTCAAACCACATTGCAAAAGCATTTTTCCAGCATATTAACCTTTTTATAATTGTTGATATGGAAGAGTTTTAATTCCGTCATAGGTTTTATGCATTTTAAATATTGAGTCTTGGACTGTGCTGATATTTTTGGTAAATAAACAGAAAGATGTGCAACTGTGCTGACATTACAGTCTGGAGAAGTGAGAAATTAACTCTGTAGGAAGTCAACATGATGTCAGATCAATGTGACCACTAAATAGATGAGAGTTGCCAGGGCAACTTTTCACATGCTCTAAGCAATGTGATGGTTTGTTTTCCTATTGATGCATATGCTACCCTATTTTGGCTAACATCCAATTCAATTACGTAAGTATTTATTGCACCCTTTCTACATATCCAGCATATTTTATAATTTTCTGACATCATTCATATATCTATTCAAAAACGAAGGCTTACACATAATGAACTGGCTTAGACTTTATCTACTTTATCTACCAGGAAATTGATTCTTTTTGTAAAAATGACGAGTTCCATCGGCCAGGATCTATACCAAATTCCGAAGCCAAGGATATGTTAGAAAATATTTTGACACACCAGCCTTTACTTGATCTGTAGTATAAAGCAAGAGTTTCTAACTTGCCTACTATCTTTTTTTCTGCCTCTGAGATAACATATACAGGTTGCTGTTATGGCCCCTTTAACCATGAGTATACCAAGGGCAAAGAGGTAGAAGTGAGTACAGGCACTTTAGCTAAACATTTAGTTGAGTTGAGTTTAACTTTTGGTTTAGTTGAAGTGCCTGCACTTAATCAACTAAAAGTTGGGCTGCTTTTTGTTATTACTGTGCATGGCCAATCCAACTCAGTGTATTTAACTCATAGACTCATAAATCAGTGCATTAACTCATAGACAACTGTGTATCTTGTTTGATTGATTGATTGATTGATTGATTTGTTTATTTTGAGATGGAGTCTCACTCTGTCGCCCAGGCTTGTGCGTTCTTGGCTCACTGCAACCTCCACCTCCCGAGTTCAAGTGATTCTCCTTCCTTAGCCTCCCAAATAGCTGGTACTACAAGTGTGCACCACCATGCCTGGCTAGTTTTTTTCTTTTTGTATTTTTAATAAAGATGGGGTTTCACCATGTTGGTCAGGCTGGTCTCAAACTCCAGACCTCAAATGATCCACCCGCCTCAGCCTCCCAAAGTGCTGGGATTACAGGCATCAGCCACCGCACCCGGCAGTATCTTGTTTTTTATTTTTTTTCTTTAACTTTCTAAGTATGAAGGAAGCTACGATTATTCTTTCCAAATCTGTCAGGTCATTCCATTCCTCTGCACCAAACCCTGCAATGATCCCCCTCTCCGTGCAGGAAAAAAAACACCCACAGTCCCTTCAATACATCCAATATGCTGTGTGTGCTGCCCTATGGTCTCACCTCCTCCCCACTGCTCCCTTTCTTCCTGTGCTCATTTACTGCCCCTCAGGCCTTTCACCATTTAAACAGCTGTGCCCACTAGCCTACCTGACCACTTTGTAAGGATGGCTCCCACCACCTGAGTCACTCTTTCATCTAATATCCATGCAGCTCCACAGCTCTTCTTTCAGTTTTACACAAATACTGTATTTTCATTGTGGTTGCCCTGACTGCTGGGTTCAATACTTCAGATCCCACACCTAGCATGTCCAGCTCCCCACATCCTGTTTCATCATATTAGATCACTTAACATCTTAAAATACACTACATATTTTGCTCACTTATTGTGTTTACTTTATTTTTCCTCCCACTAGAATATAAGACCAAAAATAAAGATGATTGTCTGTTTTGCTTTTTTGTCTCCCTGATGTATCTCAAGTATCTAGAAGAATGGCACAGAGTAGGTGCTCATTTTTGTTGTTAAATCAAAGAGTGAAGGAATGAAAGTTAATCCTGAATCTTGTATTCTGTCCTATCATTATTTTAAATATCTTAAGGATGCTCTTACAAATAAGTACTAAAAAATAGCAGGAGAAATCTATGCCATCCAAGAAAATCTCTGACAAGCTGTCACATGTTTGGACACCTTTAGTCAGTTGAAGAAGAAGGGGAGTTGTGGTCTTCTGGGTAAAGAAGTTGCCCTGGGAGGTGACTGGAGACCATCTTACACAAAATAACTTGCCTTGATGCGAGAGAAGCCGGAGCAAAGGATAGTCCTTTTCAGATCAGGTCAAAAGACCACCTACAACGAAATCTCCAGCCATAGAGAGGGGCATTATGTATGGCAGATGCCAGACGCCCACTATTTAATCCAAAGAAGACCAGAACTGGACCAAGTGCACTAGAATATCTGCAGATGGGACATGGAGACCTGTACTTCCTAGCAACCCAGGAGACCCTGGCTTGACCTAAACTTTACCTGGATAATTCTATTTTCTTTTTTGTTTTGAGATGAAGTTTTGCTCATGTTGCCCAGGATGGAGTGCAATGGAGCGATCTTGGCTCACTGCAACCTCCACCTCCCGGGTTCAAGCAATTCTCCTGTCTCAGCCTCCTGAGTAGCCGGGATTATAGGCATGCTCCACCATGCCCAGCTACTTTTTGTATTTTTAATAGAGACGGGGTTTCACCATGTTGGCCAGGCTGGTCTCGAATTCCTGACCTTATGATCCGCCCACCTCCGTCTCCCAAAGTGCTGAGATTACGGGTGTGAGCCACTGCTCCCAGCCTGCCCTGAGAATTCTTACCAATGGTGAGGCACCAAGCATCGGATTGGAGGGAGAAGGGTTGGTATAAAAACAGAAGAAAAAGGAAGAAGATGGGAGGGACATAAATCACAAATGGGCTGAGAAGCTCTATTATTATTGTTATTATATATTATTTATTATTATTAGCTTCATTTTGCAAATAAAATAAACCTCACCACCAAGCTCTAGCAGCAAAACATTTGCGGAGCACCACTGTGTGCTTGGCCCCAGGCACACCTGCCATCTCATCTCTATCGACACAGATTGTTCATTTTGCAGATGAGAAAAGTTGATAATAGGAGAGATAAAGCAATTTTCATAAGATTGTTCTCTCATTAAGCAAATATTTATCAAACACCTTCTATGTTGTCTGTGGGTGGGGCATCCTGAGAGGAATAAGGGAGATGAGGTTTCTGCTCTTACAGAGTTCACATTCAGCTGGGAGAGGCAGACCACAAAAAGCGACTAATCAATGATGAAGAAGCTTTGAGGTCACGGAGAAGAAAGTGCGTGGAGAGCTGGGATGCAGTGTCTGGAGCCTGGCTCTGGCCTTTCCTCTCCTCTGCTAGGCTGCAGTTCTGGGCAAGAGCAGACTTCACTGAAACCCACGCTGGCTGTGTTAGCCAATGTGTTGACAGCACCCTGTGTAAAGAAGTCACCCAACACTGCATCAGTGTGTAAAGTGGAAACCTAACAATCTCACAATGTTCACGAAACGCTAAGGACATCACAAGGAATGATGTAGTAAAGTTTTTCCACTGATGTCATCTTTGGAAGTAGATTTTGCTCAATTCTTATTGGAACATGTGCACAGCTGAACTTCAAGATCCTTGGGTTCTCAGCTCAAATCTATATAAATGACTTAACCAATTGCTTAACTTTCTGGAATTCAGATGCTTTAACTGTAAAATGGTTTGGAGCTCTGAATGGAGTATTTCCAAATTATATCTAACTGTGAAAATTCAATGACATAGAAGATTTAGGATGGAGAGGAAAAAAAATAACCTACATAACGTACAAATGAATAAAAATTATAACAATAATAATATAAATTTATTAAGGTGAGATTTAAAAGAAAAAAGATTGCTATTTTTTTATTGCTAGTTAAAGCTATTCTTGGAAGATTTCCAGGTACTTTTTAAGTGAAACGTTGTGTGCATGAGATGTCCTTATATCTTTTTCAAGTATATAGATGGGCTCTATTCAAAAAGGGCCTCTCTTCTCGTCTTATGCCCACCTGCCATCTGAGCAACTATATCTATTTTTTGCTGGGCTACGTGGAATGATTGTTCTTTTTATGTTCTTGCCTAAGAACACACACAACCACAGCACTCCTGACACTTAGAAGGAGATGAATTATATTTAACCGAAAGGACACTTGCTTGACTAGGACTGCTAAATGTGTTAGCTGCAGGGAAGGCCAGCTGCCTTCTTGGCCATTTGGACATGCCCAATCTTCTCTTACTGATGCACAGATGTCTGAGGCCTTGTGGGTGAATCCCAGTGTGCTTGCAGCCAGGAGAAGGTATTGTGAGCGGTGCTGAGCATGTGAGGTGACATATGGTTCTCCTTCTCCATTTGACAACTTTATCAGCTTCTTTCCATAGTTCAAGTTTGCAGCTCTGCAGAACCAAAGGCTGCTATTCAAAATAGCCTCATCACCTCTTCCTTACTCCCTCAACCTCCAGCCCTTGTCCAATTGCCTGGATTGGGAAAGTTCTGCAGTGGTTTGAGCAATCACTTAATAAGACGGCTGTCGGTGGTAAAACTGGAATTGGTTGTTGCTATTGTTGCGGCTTTGGTGAGTATCACAAGTAAGCACTGGAAAATTAGAAGCACCCAGAGGTTTTAGATAACATATATGTAATGGACAATCATGTCAGGGACCCATTGATTCCTATATAGAAACACGCTGTGCCGTAAGTCTCTTTACTTGTATGTATTATAAATATTTAGAAAGGAAAAGTGTGTGTGGGGGTGTGTGTGTTTTATACTCAAAATGAACTTTTTGATCACTACAAAATTCATTTGGTATGGTAAAATTTAGAAATAATCTGGAAGTTAAAATTTGAAGAAATATCAATAATGGCCCTTTAATATATAAACATATTATTACTATTATAAAGATTATATAGCAATATTAAAATAATAATCATCTAATATTCAATGACAATGGAAAATATAAAATATCTATACTCATGATATCTCTAACAGTGTGTGTATATGAACAATGTGTGGAAAGAAACACATTGAATTGTTGATATGTGATAGTGGTAGGACTCTTGTTCTTATTTTAAAGCTTAATTTCATTAGAATAGCATCTGCAAGGCATATATCAAAATATATGTTTATAAGGTTTTAATAAATAAGAATATGAAATAAGGTGCATTGATCTCTTATTATGTGTCAAGTCTTTGGGCCGTTCATGCTCACAGCCATGTTGTGAGGCAGACAGTATGCCCATTTTACAGATGAACAGACCAAGGCCGATTAACCAAGGTTAAATTAATTGTCCAACTGTAGCTACAAAGTTACGATTAGAAATAAGTTCTGGTGTTCTGTTGCATACTAGGTTTAGTGTGGTTAACAGTAAGGTATTGTATATTACAGAATAGCTAGAAGAGAGGCTTTTGAATGTTCTTACCACAAAGAAATGATAAAGACATGAGGTGATGAATGAGCTAACTACCCTGATATAGTTTGGACATTTGTCCTCTCCAAATCTTATGCTGAAATGTCATTCCCAATGTTGTAAGTGAGACTTGGTGGAAGGTAGTGTATTATGAGGGTGGATCCCTCATGAATGACTTGGCACCTTCCGCTTGGTGATGAATGAGTTCTTAATCACATGAAATAGTTCACACAAGATCTGGTTGTTTAAAAGTCTAGGACCTCCTGTCTCTCTCTCTCTCTCTTGCTCCCTTTCACACCATGTGATACTCCAGCTTCCCCTTCCCCTTCTGCCACTATTGAAAGCTTTCCGAGGCTCCCACCAGAAGCCAAGCAGATGTTGTTCACAGCCTATAGAACCATGAGTCAAATAAACTTCTTTTCTTTAAATTACCCAGCTTCAGGTATTTCTTTATACCAATGCAAAAATGGCCTAGTACATACCCTGATTTGATCAGCATACAACACATATACAAATTAATGTACCAAATCATACTCCACAAATATATAAAATTACAATGTGTCAACTTAAAAAGAATTACATATTTGATTTACAAATTTTTTATTCCTTTTAATTCTATCTCAGTATTTTTTACAATCTTTGATTACTTTCTCATTTTTCTAATTCCATCTTTTATTTGTTTTAAATAAATATTTTAACCAAAACTGTTAAAAGAAGAGCAACGTGCACCAAATTAAGTTCAGTGCTCTTTCAACAACATGAAATTTCTATTATGCAAAGTACTGAAATGAGGTACACAAAAAACTCTTGTTATCTTAGAGCGAGTCTATTGTCAATGTGTCTGGAGAGACAGAGAACAAAAATCCTAGGTCTCAAAATAGATGATTCTTTTTTTGGAATAGTTTACTCCTAAACAACTGATATACATGTTTTTCTATTGTATTTCAAATAGGTGAAGTTATTTTCACTAATCCTGTCGGTGCTCACAGCTAAGTCCTACAATGACAGATCATCTACCAGCAATCTAGAGAAAATCAGTTTTGTGTATAGAGAAATAAGTTCCCCTGGCCCACCATGGCCAGCATATGACAAGGAAATGACAGAGGGGACTGACTATCTGGGCCAGGGGAACAAAGGGAGGTTTGCAGAGATTCTGAGGGTACACGCAAGAGAGTAGGGAGCATTTCTGCAGCGAGAGGTACTTGGCCATGGCTACAGCAGACAAAGGATGGTCAGGAATACTTTAGCCACAACGTTAGCACAGACATTAGCAGAATGCTAAATCGTGGGATCCACCATAACCAGAAGAATGCTAGATCAGTCCCACCTCAGCAAGGACTGGCAAGGACCCCCAAAACAAAGAAAAAATTCAAGGACTCTGTCACTCCATACCACAAGTTCACAGGAGCCCTTCATCCTCCAAACAGTGTGATGCCACACTGCGGACATACAGATGAGGGCAGAATTGATGAGACTGAAAAAGTGCCTAAAGGGATTATTTACAATATTGGTTTGGACACAGTTTTGAACCAAATTAGACTAAGTAAATTTCCATTTTTATCATCAAATAAAGGATCATGAAGGAACACCACGTCAGTTTTAGACAAAATGCGTTCTATATCGGCATACACAGATCCCCCTCCATACTGTGTATATGTGTTTACTCATATATAGATGTGTGTACATGCATAGTCACATACCTTATTGACATTACAACTATCATCACAATGGTTTTCACCATACTATAGCACAGACAAATATTTTTATTTTATTTTATTTTAGTTTAGTTTAGTTTATTTATTTATTTTTTTTATTTTTCAGACAAGTTCTCACTCTGTTGCCCAGGCTGGAGTGCAGTAGCACCATCTCAGCTTACTGCAGCCTCAACATTCCGGGTTCAAGTGATCCTCCCACCTCATCCGCCCAAGTGGCTGGGACTATACGTGCATACCACTACGCCCAGATAATTTTTTTATTTTTTGGTAGAGACAGCGTTTCACCATGTTGCCCAAGCTGGTCTTGAACTCCTGGGCTCAAGCGATCCACCTGCCTCTGCCTCCCAAAGTGCTGGGATTACAAGTGTGGGCCACTCACCAGGCCAAATCTTTTGATTACAAATCTATTTGCTCAATTCCTAGTTCTGTATTCAACACTGATATTGTTGTTGTTTTAGATCACACACAATTCACATTGAGCCAGTAATGTCTTTGAAGCATTACTGAAATAAAAATTTCAGCATATTCTCAATAATTTTGCAGCTCCTCCAAATTTAATCACTATATAGAATCTTTATTTACAGTTTTAAAATTGCACTAGCCATCTCTTCCTTCACCTTTTTTTAAACTGTACAAAACTGAGAAGGCTGAAATTATATTTTTCTCATAATTTTACAAACATACCTACTTTTTCTACCTAAAATTATCCAGAAAGTGCTTTCTTCTCTATGTGTTGTGTGGAAAGGCTTCTATATGCCTATTTTTGAAGAAAATAGTTCACTTTTACTCCATTATATGAAATTTTTTCATTATTTAAATCCTGTGATTAGTTTTTTCACTGAATAGTCACTTCCATAGCAGTTTGGTTAAAAATTCTACAGTAAAAGTAGTAAGTGTTGGCCACTTACCACTTGTAAAGTGTATGGGCATAGCTGTATGTGTGTGTTTATACATTTATATACAGATGTGTGTATATTAAATATGTAATGTAATATAATACAAATGGTCTCTGACTAATGAAGGTTAAACTTATGATTTTTTCACGTTACAATGGTGTGAGATTGGTGCACATTTAGTAGAAGCCATACTTTGAGTACCCATACAACATTTCTATTTTTCAGTGCAGTATTCAACTAATTACATAGCTCTTCAATATTTTATTTGTGTATTTTATGCACATATTTATTTTAATACAAACGTACAGCTTTGGTCAAATGTTTAATATTCACTGTAATTTTATGGGTGACATTAGCAAGATCTATTTGTCTAAAAACTCTTTCTTACAAAAAAACCCACTTTAAACTTCTCAAATGCCCCTCCATCCCATTTTTTTAAGTTTCTAATAAACATAAAACATATTTTTAAAAGAAGAAGAAAGGCTCCAGAAGATCAGAACAATACAACTGGTTTTACCAAATTCAGGCATTTAGAAATTGAGAAAAGAGGCAATTTTTAAACTTATGACATGACAACAGGCATAAAACAGCCTGCTATGGACAAAGCAGCAAGTGTAGTCAGCCTGCTAAAATTCAGCCTCTGTGAGCACAGCACTTAATTTTACCCCTTATTTTTTAGTAGAAATAGGATCTCAGAAATCACCGGACTTCTGTATTGGTCTCGTTGGAAGCTGCAGACCGGAACTGTTTCTATTTGGCCATCTTGGCCCCCCGCCGCCAATTCTACTGTAAAGACACATGCACACGTATGTTTATAGCAAAGACTTGGAACCAATTCAAATGTCCATCAATGACAGACTGGATAAAGAAAATGGGGCACATATACACCACGGAATACTATACAGCCGTAAAAAAGAATGAGTTCATGTCTTTTGCAGGGACATGGATGAAGCTGGAGGCCATCACTCTCAGCAAACAAAGGAACAGAAAACCAAACACTGCATGTTCTCACTCATAAGTGGGATTTGAACAATGAGAACACATGGACACAGGGAGGGGAACAACACACACCGGGTCCTGTTGGGGCGTGGAGGAAAAGGGGAGGGAGAGGATTAGGAGAAATATCTAATGCATGTGGGGCTTAAAACCTAGATGACAGGTTGATAGGTGCAGCAAACCACCATGGCATATGTATATCTATGTAACAAACCTGCACATTCTGCACATGTATCCCAGAACTTAGAGTAAAGTAAAAAAAAAAAAAATAAGAATCGCACTATGTTTCCTAGGCTGGTCTTGAACTCCTAGCCTTAAGTGATCCTCCTGCCTCAGCCTCCCAAAGTGCTGAGATTACAGGCTTGACCCACCATGACCAGCCCAATATGGCTTTTAAGAAGAAGCTGAGCCAGCCCCACCTGTTTCGTTTGGTTCTGGTGCTGGCCTGTGTTTTGACAACATGCTTGTAAGAGTTTTAGGTTCTGTCAGCATCAGCAGACACAGCCCATCCTTCTCTCCAAATGACTGTTCCCTTAGGCACTTGAGTCACTTTTCAGTAAACATCTGCATCATACTTCAAATCCTGTTACTAACATTTGTGTCTCCAAAATTTATTCTCCAAACCCCAAACCCCGCACACTTTAATGCAGGCCTGAAGTAGATGGAAAAGGGGAAATAAATGATGTCACCATAGCTTATCACATGACCTAAATTAACTTTTCATGATTGACCAGCATTAATATTCACAGATTTAACAATGCTTTTTAAGAAAAAACAACAGTCCAGAAGTGATTCTTTCTGTGTGGTAGATATAGGTCTGTTTATTTTTAAATGTGTTTTTCTTTGTACTTTTTCGTTCTGAAAACTCTTGCATTTTCATTTAATATCACTCATTATAAAGTTTATCTCTGAAGTAGGATGTATTTTCTGATCATATTTTCATTTCTTAGAAATATATTGTATTTTAATACCTCAATTTTATCAGTATTTTTATATATACTTGTTTGCTTGGGGGAAGATATGAGTGAGAGAAGCTTTGCACTTCTTTCTCTATGGGTAAAAAAATAAAAAGTTAATTTTAGCATTAGAATTTATTTTAGCTTACTATATTCAGGGGAATGCAAATAGCAAAATTTCTATTCTTCTCAACACTCTTTCCAAGATGAAATGTGCTCAGATTGTTCAAACCTAACTTAATAGCTATTAGAATCTGTCTTGTCGAAAGTCTCAGATTCTTTATTTTACTCTTTGTAGCAGCAGGACTCTTTGGTCCAACTGCCCGAAAAACTATTGTCAAGAAAATGCCCAGTGACCTCCAAACTCCTGACCTTTCAATTACCTCAGTGGATGGACCGAGAGAAAGGTGACTTTTAATAAAACACAAATAATATCACTAAACCATCAAAAATTGAATCCCAAGACGGTTTCTCACTAAATTTTATTTTCCCTGCCTCCCTCAAAGGAACTGTGTATTGAAGTTCTCCATCTGCTGATGATCTCTTAGGCTTATCTCGGTGTAGTACATCCATTTAGCAATGCAGATAATCAGCATTTGCAGAATGGCACTCAGTTTTGCAGCTGAAAAGATTAGAGTATACAATCCACCATTCATTCTCAAGGGAAGGAGTCATCGCATTGAAGCAGTCTAATTATGGCCATCAGTCCAAATGGCATGGTGGCCAAGGATCAACCCCACCAGCATAGGAAGTTCCAGGCTCCAAGAAAGCCCAGAGGTTTTGGAATTAGTGAGCTAAGTGAGTTTGCCTCATTCCCACACATCTTGCTCCTCACTTCCTTTACTGTGCCCTGTGGTTGGTGACATGACTGCATATCTGCCACTTCTCACCACTTTGTATATTCACCCTGCCTTGTCTTGATTTCTCATCTTGATAATTCTCCCATCTTTTGCTCAAGACACTTTTAAACAACTCTCAGAGTAACATCCTTCTTTGGCCCTAGTGAGCATTTGAAATATGTTCTATATTCTAAAGATCCAGAACATGTGGGCATTTTCACGATCCAGCCTGTCACCATGTGTTGTTTAGCCACACGTGTTCAAAGCAGATTTCGAGTTGAGTTATTTCTAGCTGGGCACAAACAGGGTTCCATTTTCATAGGCCTCACTCTTCCCTACTGCATTACATGGTTTCTTCTTCACTTCTACTACACTACTCCTTCTTTAAATTACAGAAGCTTAAACATAAACAAAAGTAGAACAAAGTGGCATAATGAAACACCACAAATCCATTACTTTGCTTCAAAATTTCTTAGTACAAAGCTATTATTTTTTATACCTACATGCCTGTGCTGTAAAATAGATGGACTACTTTGAGCCAAATCAAAGACATCTTATAACTTCATTGGTAAATAGCTTGTATTTATAAGTAGGTAAGAGACGTTCACTTTAAAAAGCACAAATCAAATATCAATTAAACATTCAAATCTCAAGAATTCTCACAATCCCCACCCCACCCACCCTCCTCTATCTTCTCCATCCCCATTACACTATCACTCTTCATTTGACTGGTTCAAATCAGAAGTCAAATGAAGTTGACACGTTGTGTTTGGTTGATATGTCAACAAAGTCACTTATAATTTATCATTTCTTATCTTGTAATTTCTTTTTGAAAATGTTGAGTTTATCACATTTGCCCTTTTCCCAGCAAAAGGCATCCCAGTGTCTCCTCACTATGGAGTGGAAGGAGCAAGAGGTTTATAATAGCATCTTGTTATATTGAAGTCACAAGCTACCAGCATCTTCTTATATTGAAGTCACAGGCAGGATTTAAATTCATCTTATATGTAAGTATGGTATCCCAGTGTGTCAGTGAAGAGACAGATGTTACTGAGATCACCTTGCCCAGGGACGCATCTCCTAATATCTGCAAGGATGTCCTGTATACCAAAAGTATAGCTTCATTCCTTCTAATCCCAAAGACTCTCAAATAAAGCAAATCTGCGGGAGGACAAAGATGATGGTAAGCACAGAGGAGAATGGGTATCAATCACTTACATCATTAGGAAGGAGTGAAATCTTACAATGATCTTTCCCTCTGCTTTCTTCCTTTCAGGTGATCTAACTTCCTGTGCCAGCATCATCATTTTACAATAAGATTTGACTTTGGTTAAAGTTTGAAATTCTCCTCTGAGGAAACACATTTCAGGATGTTATCTTTCATGCATACCTTATCATGAAGAAAGGATCCAACTATTCATAATCTAGATTTCCACTGATTTCTTTAACCACAGTTTGATAACAACCACCAGTGAGGTAGTCAGGTCCAGGTCTTATGGAACTTTATTCTGTTCATTGGGAATGTGGGTTTTATTGATGAGGGAGTGATAAACTATTGGAGAATTCTCAATTGTGGCGTCATGTCTTCTGAGTTATACTTTTACAGGAATGATTCTGGTTGCTCTGAAGGAACAGATAGATGTGGGGAGACAAGAATAAAAGCAAGGAGGCTTGTAACTGGCTGTTTTCATACTAGAGGTGAGTGAGAGAGTTTGAGAGTTTGATCTGGGCTTTAGAGGCCATAGTCTTACTTTATCACTTTTACAAGGAAAGAAAGAAAGGCCCATTGTAGTAAAGTGGCCCCTTTAAGAGGCCATAGTAAAAGGATCTCAGTCCTCAAATATATAAAATAGTATATATTTTTTAAAAATTGTAAAAACCTTTGCCATTCATTTTCTGACTTAAAATGCCTGATGAGGTTGTCTTAGTTCTCAGATTTCAAATCTTCTGATCTATGCATGGCACATAAGTTCCTCACTGAACAATTGATGATTAATTATAAATGCCAATAATGGTTATTGTTTGAGAGGAGATGACTGTGGATATGGAGAAGTAAACAGAACACTCTCCTTTCTCTTTGACTTCATTTAACCAATTTTTTCTTTCAAATCATTTTCTAGTAAGAAACCACCTACAAATGCCCAGAGGATTGCTGCCTTATTTAAAGTATTATAAAACTTATTGCATATGCATAACGTGACTGTGACGTGGAAACTTCTCAGCCTTGCCCAGTCCTTTTGAAATGTTAAGCTCACTGTAAAAATGATAAAATATTGTTATTTTCTCTTAAGAAATAATAAAATTAAAACCCAAGAAGGAAAAGACTCTGCTAATAAATAACAGTGTCAAATTTAAAGAAGATATTTGCATAAATATTAGGTTTAACCAAATGAAATTGCCAATATTCAAAAGTTTTTAACCTTCAAAGCATCGGTTTCATATGGTTCCGTCTATTACAAACTCTTGCTCCTTCCAATCCACTGTGGCAACCTTCAGAAAGATGGGGGATATTAAATGTCCTTTTGTTCTCACAGAGTATCCTTTATGTTGTGAACATGGACTTAGTTATCACTGCCACTCTGTGGGCTTTTATGATCTATTATAACCTTTACTATAGTGCAAATATCTGTATATATAAACACATATATATATAGCCTATTAGACCCTGAATATCTTAAAGGCAGAGAAAGTCTCTTATTTTCCTTTTATAACTAGCAACTGGCATAGTGACAGACAAGAATGGATGCTCCATATGTCTTTGTTTAGAATGATATAAATGCAGGGGTTGATGAATCATATTCTTTTAATAATCTTATAAGAAGCAGTAATGAGAAGCCATTTTGACAACAGGCTTTTAAATCAGACACCCTGGGTTTAGATGTGAATCCGATATTTACTTCCTATGGAAGTTGGGACAAGTTGCTCAAACTTGAAGTGCCTCAGCTTCCTCATATATGTAACAGACAATACTTACCTCACAGAGATGTAGTGATAATTCAATAAGTTATTGCTTAGAATAGTGAGTGGCATGTAATAATTGCCATATACATGTTATATGTGTTTGATTGTTATTTTTAATAATTGTTTGTTGAATTGTGATTCCTGTGTGTGTGTGTGTGTGTGTGTGTGTGTGTGTGTGTCTTGTGGAGGTAGTGATGGCAGTGGGAGGCTGTTCTCACTAGTGTTGCTTTCAGAATTCGTTAGCACTAATTTGCCAGCCAATTACCTGGGAAGTATGGCATCTGGTTGAATAAAGGAGTCATAATTTTTATAACTTTTGTTTTTGTGACCCTTTGCAATTTTTTGAACATCCACAGTGAGTCTCAGCAAATAAAGCATCTGGAAATGAATATTAGTTGCAAACTAATTGAAGCAATAACACTAAAAAAGATTAAAAAAGGATAATTGTCATGTTTGAGATCCCACACAATAGTGCCAATATCCTGTGCTGAATCTTTTCTGAGGCCTGAAAACAAGGTAAGGGGTCATTGCAGGCATCATGTGATTCTTTTTCACAGGAACTTCAGGACTGAATCCTGCAGTAGAAGCAAGAACAGGCTATTGGGAGACTCTGGTCCTCAACTGCACAAAGAAGGGCCCATATCCTCAACTCTGCCACAGACCTCTTTGATTCCAGTTGGAAGCCTGGAGATTTCACTGCTGCTGAGGAGGGTTCCAGGGACTGGGAAACCTGAGCTGTGAGCTGAGCTTGGGTGATCTGTTTCCATCTGTGGTCTGGTGCTGATGGTTTCCAAGGCAGGAATCAAGTCAGTCCTTGAAGAGCTACAACAGAGCAAAAGTGCAGGTATGAGAGCATAGATGGACAAAAAAAAGCAAGTAATCATAATCAGAGAAGAGCTGGAGCAGCTAGGAAATTTAGAAGAAGAGAACAGGTTACAATAGATGCCGTGAACACAGCGATGGTTCTAAGACTATGCCCATCTTGTTTACTTCTGTGGCTTCAGTGCCTGACAAATACATAGTCAGCACTCATCAAATATTAAATAAATACATGCATGAATTGTCAAAAGGAGGTGACACTATCCAACCACTTAAAGTATAAATTTTTCCAGATAGATACAATGCTACAGATACATTATCAAATAGGATGGAGGAACTAGAAGATTAAGAGAAGCATTAGATTGCTCTACTCTGGAAGTAATCTCCAGCAAGATAAGGAATCAATTCTCTTTGCCCATTTAATTACCATATTTCCTGAAGATTTAGAAATATTTTATCTGGCTCCCTGGTCCTAATATTTGAGGAATCTATGATTTGATAAATGGAACAAATGCCTTACAGAGATATGATATAGCCAGGGTGTCTTGGGCAGAAATACGTAATTGGTAAAGTCAAGATGGTGGAAGGTAAGCTCTGTTTCTGAAGACAAATCACATCCCTGTACTTCAGACTTGATGGGTGTCTATGAGCAAGAATGTTTTCTCTATCTGAGCCCCAGGGTAAAAGACAAGACATGGAGCACTCTAATGTAGCCAATCGACTCAGAATATCTCATTTTAAATATATTTTTTCATATTAGATGTGCGAGTGGGAAAGTAATTATGAGGTCACACATCCTTTCCTTAGGTAAACCAACATTTTTTTACATTTAGGAAGAAACTGAATAAAACTGTCTTTTGTCCAAGTTAATATACCTTGTGAACCCCAGCTTTTTGTTAAGAAAACAAAGTGCTGTGACTTATTTTAAACAACAGAAGGGAAACATGACTTCTGATTCATAACTTCCCTTAGGCTTGAGGGTCTCTGAAAGGAGAGCTGGAAATGCTGAGAGATGTGAAGATGCTTTGGGAGGGCACAGTTTCCCCTTTGCCTTATGGGAGATTATAAAGTTTCACAGACTATCACCACTTTACTTTAGAATTTTCCTCAATACTTCCCTCTAGAAGTTTGCAGGGAAGATCTCTTCTTGGTTATTAATATGTTTCAGAAATGACAGGCTAAAGTTCTACCTACCCAGATGGAAGCAAACTGATTTTTGGCTTCTCTGTTTGAGTGGCAGCCAGTGTAACCCTGGGTTTCTGGTTGAAATTCCAATGCAGAGATTCCCAAGCCATCAGCTGGAAGACACAACTTTCAGCAACAACTCTGTTTGTGCCCATCAGGAAGTTGGATGAAATAATTTTAAAATATGGATATCTGTACATCCAGATATTTTCAGACAAGTTCAGAAAGATTATTTTATAAGGGATGCAATTAGAAAAACAATTATTACAAAAATTGTACTATATTTAATAAACCTCCTCCTATGTCTCCTACAATGTGTGTGTTATTATCAGATTGATGGGAACATCACTGAATAATCAGATCAAGTGAATTTGATTGGTGAGAAAAAAATATGCTCGCTTATGAAATTAACAATTGGTCATGACACAGAGTAACAAAGATTTTATTTATTATTTATTCTATTATAATGTTTAAATATATAATTTTATGCAGATTATGCATTTTGCATAAATTCTGTTATGCAAAATATAAATTCTGTTAAGTTCTATAGAGGGCAGAAGTTTGATTTAAGACAAATATGAGAAAATGTTCTTTCATGACTGAATAATATGATTCTGGTAAAATAAGTGTCTCTGAGAGAAGCCTCAGACTTGTGTTTTTATGGGAAGAGCGAAATTCTTCTTGCTTGAGGGCAACCTTTTGCAGAGAGGAAAAATAATAGCAAGAAGGAAAGGTGAGGACTACTTTTTGATAGTGGAAATCAATCTGTGATTCATCACAAAATACAAGTCATCTGGAGCTACAAATTTATGGGTGGTTTAAATAGCAAGAAGCAGAAAGCATATACTTGGGGATAACTGGAAAGAAGATCAGAGGTGACCCAAGTTTCAGGAATTGAACTAAAGAGATGGTTGGAATAAAACTTTTTCAGTGGAAAGGCAGAAGAAGGGAAGTGATTTTTATTGTCTACTTTACAACACGCTTAGCCAACATTATCTCACTTTAATCCACACCACAGCCGTAGCCTTTCACAGTAATATCATCCACATATCACACAGGGATAGATGGGGTTATGTTAGATAAATTGTCCATGACCACCCAGTGAGTAAGCAACAGAGCCAGAACTCAAACCTAGGTTGTCATCCAATGTCAGGCATTTTTCAAGTTTGGAAAAGGGGTCTATACTTCTAAATATATAGAGCAATATTCTGAAGAGAAGGTTAAATAATATGTTGAATGGAGAGAACTTTATCCTGTCTGAACAACCTCTTTCGATCTATTTAGATTACATGTGAAAATAAAAATGTTCTGTTTTTTCTCTATATGGTAAAGAATAAAAGTACATATGTTTATCAAAGTGTACAATATTCTAAATCAGGAGTTCTTGAATAAATTAATTACTACATGCTAGAATTCTTAGAAATTTAGATTACACACTTTGTTTTTATAAACAGATATTTAAATAACATCGGTCTTTGCGTATCTATGCACACGCGATGTAGAGGATATTTTCACCAAATGTAAGTGGGATGGAGGCGGCAGTTTGTTGACTTTTCCTCCAATCTTTATTCTATTTTAAAGCCTTTAGGGAATTGTTCCTTCAGAAACAACGTCAGATACTGTCTCAAAGAAGCTTTTCTGGAAAGCCCTGATATTAAAAACAAAATGAGAGCCACAAACAACAAAAAGTCCAGGATGTCCAGAGAAAATGGTCCATCTTCAGGCATTCCTGAAAGCAGACCATCACCAACTTTGTCATCATTATTATTATTTGCTCAGGCATTTCTAAGGAGATAACATCATATCTCCCAGGAACTGCCTCAAAGGCCCAATCCACACAAGGAAGCCCTATGCAAAATTTTCAATGAAAATGCATTGCCTAGAGTAAAGATGGAGCATTAAGAGAAGATGGAGGCAGAAGTAAGGATCTATGAGTAAATCAATGGCCATGAAAACTGGAGGCACTAAAAGAAGCTGGAACAAAACAGGTTGAGGTCAAGATCAGAGGTAGGGAATGCACTGGTGAAATATACAAGCTACGTAGGGTTAGATGGTTCAAAGGAAGGCCTTTTCATGCAGGGTTGTACCTAATTGTAGACTTAAAATTGAGGCTTATGGAATCACAGTAGTGGTTGACCCTAAATGATTATGTTATTATTCTTATCCCCTCATATGAATTTTTTAAATGACTTTCTGCTAAAGACGCATTTCTATTTCAAAATTTAGTATCATTATCTAACTCTGACTCTCTTCCTAATTCTTGTCCTTCTAAATCATTTTTGAGAGCTAATTAGGTTGAGTGCCATTTTCAACTGCTACTTTGGAAGATAAGGTACATGCCTGCATATTGTGCGCTTACTGCTGTGCACATCTGTGCTCAATATCAATCTGCAGGGATTCTGAAAATTAACATCCCTTTAAAGGCAAACAGGATTACAGGGAAAGCTATGTATTATTACTTGGTGTTTGGTTTTACGGATACAGCCTGGATTTCAATTGAAAATAGTAAGAAAATTAGAAAATATTTTCTCTTTTCTAAAAATGCTCCCCTCCTCCACACACACATAGAAAAATATAATTAGAAAAAATCATATCTTAAAAAGCAAATAAGTACTTTAAAAATATATTCATAGCTTTGAAAGATGCACTATGTCAATATAAAATTAAATCCATTTTTATTGTCAAGAAAATGGGCTAATAGAATTTTCTACCAATTTTATGATAATTGGCATATGGATAAAACAGAAAAAAACAAAGTCTTGATTAGAATTACTGTATCTGGAGGTTTTAAGTTAGGGGAAAAAAAGTCAACTTTTTTTTTTCCTCTCTCTCTAACAGTTTATCACAAGCACAGTTTCCCCCCACTACTTTCAATTTTATATTCTAGGTTTTAGACCTCTGAAATCTGAGAAGATCTGTGCCTAGGGGAAAGAGACTGCCTTGAAGAAACATGTGTTTGTGACTGAGTCTTATCAGAGTATAAATAACACAACTGTTTCCAAGAAGAAAAGATCAGATAACATATAGTCAATTGTAGCCTGCAGGGTTGAAAGAATTGACAGGTTTTATTACTTGCTCAAATGAATCTTTAATACTTTTTGTTTTGTTTTGTTTTGTTTTTGAGACGGAGTCTCTCTATGTCGCCCAGGCTGGAGAGCAGTGGTGCAATCTTGGCTCACTGCAAGCTCCACCTCCCAGGTCACGCCATTCTCCTGCCTCAGCCTCCCGAGTAGCTGGGACTACAGGCGCCCACCACCACGCCTGGCTAATTTTTTGTATATTTAGAAGAGATGGGGTTTCACAGTGTTACCCAGGATGGTCTCGATCTCCTGACCTCGTGATCCACCTGCCTTGGCCTCCCAAAGTGCTGGGATTACAGGAGTGATCCACCGCACCCGGCCAATACTTTGAAGATAGTAAGAAAAGGAGCAAGATCGGTAGTTAAAAACACCAGAGAATGTTGCTAGAATGAGCTCCACAAGTGTATGTTGAATTCTCTGGTGTTATAGTTGGGACGACAGAGTAGACAGAGGGAGTGATTAAAGAACAGAAACTTAACACACCGGAGCACCCTTGTTTGTCCCGTGCTTTACAGTCTTCATTTAACTTATCACACACATAGCAAGTACAGTATAGACAGAAACCAAGACAATATGCTATAAGATTGAGTAAAAAGGAAAGTGATTTAAAAGAATAAGGAAGCCAAAAAGGAAGCAGTTTGTGGTCGCCTGAGAGATTTGTGACCATAAAGCAGGGGCTGGTTAATATTTTCTGCAAATATCCAGATCGTAAATATCTTAGATTGAGCAACTATTCAATTCTGCTTTGCTGGTAGGAAAGTTGCCTAGATAATATATCAACAAATGGGTTTTGTTCCAATAACACTTTATTTAGGAAAACTGAAATTTGAATTTTATATTATTTTCATATATTACAAAATGTTTTTCAAGCACTAAAACATATGAAATCCATTCTGTACTCCTGGATTACACAAAGGCAGGCACTGGGCTGGATTTGTCCAGTGGGCTACCATTTGCTGATCCCTGCATTAGGGCCTGTGCTTATACCTTGACTTCAGGTATCTGCAAGGATAAAGAGGAGGAACCCTATAACACCCTCAAGTTCTCTCTGACCACTGTGATTTTTAAAACACACTTTCTTTGAATGGCTATCTTTTTCCTTTAAGAGATAACCTCCACATTTAGAAACATAGACACTAGAAGGTCTGGCAAATGAAAGAGAATTGTGGATTATTTTTCCATTGAATGATTTAAAAATAAATAAAACAACTTTGATTGACATCTGGTAGATTAAAAAGGCAAGATTTATTTCCTACAAAATAAAGAAACTGACACATATGTCAGACACACGTGGCATTTCTGATGTGGAAAGAAGGAAAGACATCAATAAGACCAATTAATTTACTTTCTTTAGCTTTGTGGCAAGTCACCTAACTCGTCAATCTGTGTGCAGGCAAATATGTATTACATTGTTCTGTGCTAGGATGGTATTAAACATTGCCACTTTTTAATTTACTCTTTATTATACTGACAGGTAAACAAAGCAACACGAAGGCTAAATAAAAGTCATTTCCCCAAGGTAAGTTTACAATGTTGGTTCATTTACAGTTTAGTGGTCTTGAAAGTGAAGAGTTTATTTTGTATTGTTCAACTAGCTTGCTTTGCTGTGGATACACTTGCTCAATATTAGTTATAAATGTAATGGACATGTCTATATAAGAATGAGTATAGGTCCTATAATGTTTATTTAACCAGGCTGAATAATGAGAAACATCCTTGTCATCTATCACACCCTTCAAATAAAAAGATGAGCAACCCTGAGGGTGCGTTGCTTTTTCTTTTTTTTTTTTTCTTTGAGATGGAGTCTCGGTCTGTCACCCAGGCTGGAGTGCAATGGCATGATCTCGGCTCACTGCAACCTCCAACTCCCGGGTTCAAGCGATCCTCCTGCCTCAGCCTTCCGAGTAGCTGGGATTACAGGTGCACGCCACCATGCCCAGCTAATTTTTGTATTTTTAGTAGAGACAGGTTTCACCATGTTGGTCAGAGTGGTCTCGAACTCCTGACCTCGTGATCCACCCACCTCAGCCTCCCAAATAAAGCTCAGCGGTACATTGCTTTAACAACATTAAATTGCAAGGTCTATGTCTCATAAGAGAGCAGGTTAGGACTAGTCTCCACAGGTCCAGTGGCAATATCCTTAGTATCATAAACAATACACTCAGACCATTAAGACATACTGGAAACAACATTTTGGTTGCCACTATTTCCACTGATGTGTACCAGAGACATATGAAGACACTTTTACACAAGTTGCATAATAAAACCAAAGCAATGAATAAACTTTGAACATTTGTGACTAAATGATACCTACATTGTATTTAATTATATTATGCATATATACTGCATTTGACTCTCACTCCAAATATGTTAGAAACTTTTCATATTAAAATATAAAGCTCTATTTTCATTCAATAGATGATCCTTAGTTAATTCAATGAGTCCCATTCATTGATGAATTGTTTGCCTTCATTTTGTGTTAATTTTTTTGTCATTTTTTTCTTCTCATGAGTTTTGTTACCTGATATGATAACCTTTCCCAGTGAAATATTTTAATTTTATCTAGCTATACATTCTTCTAGATCTTTTTTGGTTATAGGCATTTTTAGTTTTCAATCTGTGATTTTTCTGTAATTAATTTTTGTAAGAACTAAATTAAATATTATCTTTTTTGAATTATCTTAATGTCTCACATCACTTATTGAGTAGCCTTTCTATCCTCGCTAGTTTAATATTACTGCAATTTTTACAAATTGAATAGCCATGTGCATTTGTATCTATTTCTACCTCTAGATTCTACTGAACTGTCCAGATATGAAATAACTACAATAAACAGGCTATTACAATATTAATAAACTATCTTAATTGTCTTGTTACTATTTTTTCTGTTACAGCAAAATAAGGGTAGGGACCTTCAGATGGACAGATTAGCCTGGATTAAGCAGGTAAGCCCAATAAATCACATGAGTCATTGACTATGGTGAACTTTTTTTCTGGCTGGGAGCAAGAGACGCAAAGATGGAAAGGTTAGAGAGATGCTATGTGAGAAGACTCAATATTCTGTCTCTGGCTTTCCAGATGGAGAAGCCGAGGATCAAGGATCGGGCCAGGAGCCAAGGAATACTGCCACCTCTAGAAGTTGGGAACGGCCCTCAGCTTACAGCCACTAAGAAAAGGGGGATTTTGGCCCTCTAGCTGCAAGGAATCTAATTCCACTTGAATTAACAAGGAACATCCAGGCAGGAATGTAGCCCTGACAACACCCTAATTTAGGCCAGTCAGGCCCGGACAGACTTCTGACCCACGGAATTCTAAAATAATTTGTGTTTCTTAAACCATCAAATTTGTTGTAATTTGTTATGGTAGCAACAGGAATCAAATATACCTCTCTACTTTTACAAGATATTGTTGTCTGCAGCCTGTTTGAAGTCGGTGACTAAACACAGCTGGTTACTATGGCAGGCCCATTCTGAAGAGTTGCAGGACACCCTCGGGAGTACTTTGGTTTGAAGCCTCCTCATCACCTCGGCTGCCGTTTCTGGGATCTGGGTTGCAGTCTGAGGCTCATTTTTCCAATTCCCAATACTTCCTACTGATGATATTCTTGAGAGTCAGGCTTTATCAAGAGAGAAAAAGGACTTTAAAATTTTCAAACTCCTTTTTAAATATCAGAGATTTTTTTGGCCTACTTTGATTACAGGTCCTTACTTATAAGTCTCTCCTTCCTAGGGAGAAAATAGAAAGCTTTAAGAGACAGATTACACTTTACCTGACATTCATTTTTGCATGCCTTGTTAAACATGAAAGAATGTGTTAAGGCCATTTTTTATTGTTTAATTTGTTGTTTTGACTTTGGGTGTGTGTGTTTGTGTCAATTATTTTTTAATCTACTAGAACATTCATTATCCTTTTTATTTTGGAAAACAAGGGTGAGAAAGGTTACGTGATCTGGAGGTAAAAATACACCATTATGTAAAGTTGAAGTGTCATCCCCTGAATCCACATTGCACATCTATAAAGTAGAAGAACTTGTCTTACTCCAGTGTTTAGTATTCGTTAGGTTAATGTTTTTCAAACAAGCTTGATAGTAAGAAGCATTTGAGACTTTTGTTTAAAATACATCCCCCTCTACCACTGAAAGTTTAATTTGGTAAGTTTGTTTGGACATACAGATTCTGTATTTCTAAGAAATATTTAGATGGTTTTTATCAGACTTGGAGGTCCTCTTATTGAAAATAAAAAAGTAGACATGCTCACGATGAAGTTTACCTTTTCTTTCTATTCATCTATTTTAAAAAATATTTATGAAAAATGCTTGCCTGCTGCTTAGCTTGATTTAAGAGATAAACTGATCAGACAGAATGTCAAGCCAGCCAGCATCTCCTGGTCTACACCAAAGCCTTTCCTACTTCTTTCAAACAGTGAAGGCACCAGGACAGAGTGTAGGGTAATTCTCCTTTCTACCCTGGCTATATAGTATCTAGTTTATTCCTACTAGCCTGCCAGAGAAAAATGTATAAATTCATTCTATTTTCTCACATTTTCCAGCAGGCTGCTGTACATCATGCATCATTCATTCTTTCATTTCTTTAAAATATTATTATTGGATACTTATTCTGTGACAGATACAGGAATTATAAAGGTGAGATGAATACTTTTTCTTCTTTCTTGTATAGAAGAGACAGACACAAAGGCAATGAATGAAATCATATGATTAATGCTTTCAAAAAGTAAGTATATTTCCAGCTCTGTGAACTCTAGAGGTACAAGCAACTAACTCTTTCTGGTTAAGTCAGGGATAGCTTCAGGAGCACAGGAAACTGAGCTGTATTTTCTGTTTTCTAGGCAGTGAAGAGAAATGTAGAGGGCTAGAGAAAATACTCTGCAAAGAACACCGTACATTTCCGTCCTCTGGCCATCATTAGCTTCCTTACCATACATCTTACTGCATTTAGTGTTATTTGCCTCAGTGACCACTTAGGGAACTTGTAGGATTGACCTAAGTAATATTTGTAATTTGAAGAGAAAGTAAATGTTGTAAGTGGACAGAGTTCCCGAACTCCTTGCTCTGGGCTGAAAATTGGGCTTGGCGTAAAGTTCATGATATATGGAATAGAAAATGCTTTATAAATACCACATCTGGAACATTCCAGATGAATCGTTATATAAAATGAAGATTTATTGAAGACTCCCTGATCCATATGAAAGTGTTCATGCATTTAAAAAACATTGATTGCATTTATAAATGCATTGCTTGTGGGATAAATGAGTGAAATAAATGGAAGAGAAACATATTATGAAGCAGCTTGTTAAAAATCGTGATATTTAGTCACAGCAGCCATGACCCTTGTTCTCAACAAAATCATTTCATAGAGCCTTGAAAAAGAGATTTCAAACTGATTCCCCGACATAGACCATGAAAAGAGAAACTCTTTCTGTTTTATGATTAATGTGATGTATTTGGTCATGCCATACATTTTCAACAATGTAGGATTCTCCAAAAATTATTCAAAGAAGTAAATAACTTTTCTTATTTTCTTCATATTTTAAAAATCTCCTGGAAAAACAAAGAAAAACTAATAAAGACAGGTTGATTAGCTAGTTAAATCCAAATGCTCAAGGATAAGGTTAGTTCATTTTTGGGAAATGGCATTTTCTTGCAATTCTCCTGCATTGATATTTAATTTGTAGTTTTTTTCTTTGTCAAGATGTAACATAAAATCCTATTTCAGAAAGGCCTTCTTTAATAGGGCAGGATTTTTATTTCTTTTTTGTAAGTTTTTATTTTTGTTGTTTTTCTGACATCAAATGTTTGCTGTTTTCTTTAAAGACAGAGCCAGCATATATTTCAAGTTAAACACATATTTAAAAATGAAGTAAGTTGTACATAATATTACTAAATGATGAAAATAATAATGTGCCTCAACAATGCAAATGAATTGCAATTTAATCAGATGAAGAGTGGAAAAATACAGCATTATGGAGAATCTTCCATACAGGAGAAGAGAAAAAACTGGACTAGAATCACAGGATCTGTATCTTCACCTGTTAATGTTAGGGAAGCCATTTCCCCTCTCGCCCCTCTGTGACTCTCACCTTATGCAGCTGCTACTTTGTTTTTCAAACTGTATTTATTGAAAGCAGGGGCTTCTGTTGAGGATGCTGGGATTTCCTCAAGTTCTCCCACAAGCAGAGAAGAGAAGAGGCAGAAATCCACAAGGGTGTCTCACTCCCACTTATCGTTTTATATCTATTTAACTTCTGCATAGAATTGTATTTGAAATAATAGTTCTGTGCTTTAAGAGGTATGAAAATCAAAGAGTTAGGCATTGAAGGAGTTTGGGTTGATTATTCCCAAATTACTTACAAATTAATACTTTTATTGATTTCCCATTGGATTCTCTCTTACCTGTTAATTACGTGAAAATACCTCAGGATTTAGAAAGTCCAAGTTCAAATTCTGGTTAATAATAAAAGAATTGAATTAAATCAATGGAAATGAGAAAAAAAGAACCTCCAAAAATTCCTTCCTCCTTAAAAAAGCAATGAGAACATTGGCAAACATTGTAAAAAAAAAAAATCCACTCTTTTCAGAACTCTGTAAATTAACCAAATGCTTGAAAAAAAATCTAAGGAACATCTATTCAAGAAAAATGGAAGACTCTCAGACAGAACAGGAAGTTTTACGGCATTTTACATGCCCTTTTCTCATCACCCTCTCCCCAGCTACATGGTAGCCTTGAAAATGAACATTGCCACAATCACACTGAAAGTCAGCAACCTAGCATGCGCTAGAGGAGGAGGCAGATTGGTTTGGAGTTTCCCCAGAAGCAAAATACTTGAATAATTGTCATCATTTGACAATTTGTAACTGTAAATGTCTACATTAAAAAAGAAAAATGACCTCAAATAAATAACAAATCTCTGACTTAAGAAACTAGAAAAATAAGAGCAAAGTAAACCCAAAGCAAGGAAATGAAGAAAAAACAAAGATTAGGGTGAAATAAATGAGATGAAGTTCAAAAATCCAATAGAAAAATCAACAAATCCAAAAGTTGGTTATTTGAAGAGATCAACAAAATTGACAAACCTTTAGCTAGACCGCTGAAGAAAAAAAGAAAGAAGACTTGTTTTACTAAAATCTGGAATTAAAGAGAAGGCATTGCTACTGACATTGCAGACATAAGAAAAGATTATAAGGAAATGTTAAGAACTATTGTATGTCAAGAAATTAGACAATGTAGATGACATGGATAAATTTCAAGAAGGACACAAACTACTGAAACTGACTCAAGAAAAATCAGAATAGACTTTAACAACTAAAAGGACTGGATTAGTAATCCAGGAACTTTCCACACACATACACACACACAAATACAGGCTTAGATGATGTAGTTAATTCTACCAAACATTTAAAGAAGAGTTAGCACCGATCCTTCACAAACCCTTCTAAAGAGTTGAGGAGAAGGAAGCATTTTCCAGCTGATTTTATGAGGCCACTATTCCCTGACACTGAAACTAAAAGACATGAAAGAAAACTAGGGACCAATACCTCTTATGAATATCAACACAAAAATCTTCAACAAAATACTAACAAAGTGAGTCTGGCAACATGTAAACTATAAAAATCAATTAAGGTAATATCCATATAATACAATAAAGACAAAGTCCATGTGATTATTTCAAGTGATGCAGAAAAGGCATTTGATGAAATACAATATCTTTTCATGTAAAACAACAATGCTCAGTGCTATGAACTGATTATGGCCTTCCAATATTCATATATTGAAGCCCTAACTTCCAATCTGATTACATTTTGAGATACGGTTTTTAGGAGGTAGTTAAGGTTAAATAAGATCATACCGATGGGTTCTTAATTTGATATGATAAGTGGCCTTATTAAAAGGTAGGTCTCTCTCTTTCTTTCTCCCCACCCACGTTTCCCCACACCACATGCATGCACTGAGAAAGGGTCATGTGACTCACAGCCAAAAGACAGCCATCTGCAAGCCAGAAAGAGAGCTCTCACCAAAACCTGACTGTGCTAGCACCCTGAATTCAGACTTCCAGCCTTCAGTACTGCGAGAAAATAAATTCGTGTTATTCCACATAGCCTATCGTATTTCATTATGGCAGCCCTAGGTGACAAATGCACCTGACAAGAATAGAAGGAAACTTCCCCAACCTGATAAAGGGATCTACAAAAAACCCACAGCTAACATCACCGTTAATGATGGAACACTGAATGTTTTCTCTGTAAGATCAGTAACAATATAAGTATTTCTGTTCTTGACACCTCTATTCAACATTCTACTGGGTGTTGTAGCCTCAAAAAAAGAAAGGCATAAATAAATAAATAAATAAATGGTGTCCATATTGGAAAGTAAAATTATCTCTATTTTAAAATGACATGACCTTGTATGTAGAATATTCTAAGGGATACCACAAACACACACATTGTTAGAGCAAATATATTAGTTTAACAAAGATGTAGGACACAGGATCTACATAAACAAATTAAAGTGTATTTCTCCCAACTATCAATTCATAACCCAGAAATGAATTTAGGTAAATAATTCCATTTACAATATCACTAAAATAGTAAAATATTTAGGAATAAATTTAACAAAAATGTGCAAAACATTGTCAAAAAATTATAGAAGATCTAAATAAATAAAATGACATGTTATGTACATGGGTTGGAAAATTTCATATTGTTAAAATAAGCATAGTCACAAATTGATCTACTGATTCAATGCAATTCTTATCAAAATTCTGACTGCATTTTTTTTCAGAAATTGACAAGCTGATTCTAAAATTTACATGAAAACACAACGGACCCAAAATAACCTAAAGATCTTGAAAAAATCCCCAAAACATGGAACACTAACACTTCCTAATTTCAAAACTTACTTCAAAACTGTTGTAATTAGGTCAATAAGGTACTGGAATGTGGACAGAGACATGGAAATATGAAATAGAATTGAGAGTCTAGAAATAAATTTTTATATTTTGATAAATTGTTTATTAACAAGGGTTTCAAGATGCTTTGATAAAGAAACATGTAGGTTTTTGTTAAAACGTGGTGTTGGGTAAAGTGGATATCTTCTTGAAAAAAGTTACAATTATACTTCATTCCATATACTAAAATTAATTCAAAATTAATCAAATATCTAAAAATGAGAATGTAATAATAAAATTCTTAGATGAAGACACAAATATAAAACTCCATGACATTAACTAGGCAATGTCTTTTTAGAAATGACACCAAAACCGCAGTCAACAGAAGAAAATAAATAGGTAAATTAGAATTCATTGAAAATAAAAATTTTGTGCTCAACAGGCACTACCAACAAAATAAAACTATAATTCAGAATGAGAGAAAATATTTATTACAAATGAGTAAAATAAAGACTAATAGCCTAACTAACATTTGGACAAAGTATTTGAATAGACATCTCTTCAAAGAAGGCACGCAAAGGTCAATAAACATGAAAATATGCTCAATATCATTAGTTATTAGGGAAATTAAAATTAAAATTACAATGAGATACTACATCATATTCTCTTGGGGGGCTGTAAAAATTAGACAATAAAAATGTTGGTAAGAAGTTGGAGAAGTTGGTAATCTTACACATTGATGGTAGAAATGGAAAAATGTTGCAGTCACTTTAGGAAACAGTTCTATAGATTCTCAAAAGTCTCATATTGGAATTACCATTTGAATCAGCAATTTCATTTCTAGCAACTTCATGACACATTCAAGAACACTGAAAATCAATATACCCACAAAAATTTGTACATTAATATTTTAACATTATTCATAGTAGCCCAAAGTGGAAATACTCCAAGTATTCATTGATTGATAAATGTATAGACAAAAGGTAGTATTTCTAAACAGTACAATATATATGGCCTTAAAAAGGGATGAAATACTGATACATACAATAACATGGGTGAACCTTAAAAATATTAAAAATATTATGTTATGCGAAGGAAGTCAGACATAAAAGGCCACATAATGTATGATTCCATTTACATGAAATATCTAGAATAAGAAAACCCAGAGAGACAGAAAGTTGATTGATGTTGCCAGGGGCTCACATGAACAGAGACCGGAGAATGAATACTAATGGGTATGTGCTTTATTGTGGAAATATGAAATATTCTTAAATTAGATATTGGTCAAGGTTATGTAACTTTGTGGATATACTAAAAACCACTAAACTCACCTTTTTAAATGTGAGTTTTATAGTACATGAATTATATGTCAAAATGTCATATAAAGTATTAACAGTATTAATAATAGCTAACAGTGTTCTAATTGCTTTATATCTTTTAATTCTTTAAATTATAAAAACCCTATAAAGTAGGTACTATTGTTAGCCTGTTTTACAAATAAGAAAATAGAGAATTGGATAGTTTCATTAACTTCTCTAAGGTTACTTAATTTCCTACACCAAGTGGGGAATTAGGAATTAAATTTAGGCAATCTGGTTTAAAAGTCTGAGATTTTAACATCTATGCTACACTGTAAATGATTCTCTTCATTTCTGCACCCATAATGTGAAATTAATATAGTAGAATTGACTAGATGATCTTTACGGTCTTTTCCAGTACTATGATACTAATAGGTGATGACACAGTTAACCAAATATAAAAGTAGATTTGTGGCGGGAATAAAAAGAGAACTACTTTGAAATAAAGTGGAAAAATGGATATATTGCGATATATTGCCTTTGCTAAGAGAATGGTGTGCTATCATATGAAAGCTCGGCACTTGAATCCTGGTAGCCAGGATTCAAACAAGTTTCATTCACCTCCTAGCACAGTGAGTGGAGCAAATGGCTTAACTTTAAGACTTTAGTTTCCTCATACACAGAACACAAAGAGTTATGCTTCATAATAATACTTCATAGTATGTAAGATTAAATAAAGTAATGTAAAGAAAGACCTCAGCATTTAGTAAGTGCACTGTAGTTGCTAATACTCTATTCTGCCACATTTGTCAGTAAAATGTTAAGCTCCACATTTTCCTCATTTTCCACCTCTGACTGTTCATCCCTTTTCTTTTTTTTTTTCCATTTCTTCTTCCTATTTTTTTGACACGTTTAGTTTAGATGGCCCAGAACTCAGCCCTGAGATCTCTTTGTTCGCCTAACTTTTCTTCTTTTACTTTGACCAGACCAAAATATATTTCTCTATATGAGACAATTCCTCTTACCTCATGCTTGTAGATTCAACAGCATCCTGCGCTAAGAAGCCTGACTTCACAGCTTTCACCATCTCAGTTAATGAGTTAAACTGCTTTGGCCAAAACTCTGGAGTCATTCTAATCTCCAATCTCTCTCAAGCCCTACATTAACTCCATTAATGAGTCATGTTGGCTTTTGTTTCTGAATAAATCCAGAACATGGCTACCTCTTACCACTGGTACTGCCACCACTCATGTCCCAGCCATCATCTTGTCTCTTTTGTCTTGTCATAGACATCTTCTAACCTATCTTCCTGCTTTTTCCTTGTCCTTATTCATTCAATGTTTTACCACAATAGGCAAGGTTTTCCTACTGAAGCATATGTTACCTGAGTTTTTTTTTTTTTTGATAAAAAAACTATGATGCCCCTCAGTCTTATCAAAAATAACTTCTGAAGGTTTTACAATGCCTATAAAGCCATACAAAATCTGGCCCCATTACCTGTGTGATCTCACCTCCTAATACTCTCCCTTTTGTTCACTTTTCTCCAGTCCTCCACTCTTTACTGGATTGCTTCTCTTCCTTGTCTCCAATCCCTACAACTTTACTGGTGTTTTCCAGGATCACCTTCTGAATAAACTCATTGCACTGGAATCCTTATCCCAGAGTTTTCTTTTAGGGAGAACAAAAGTCATGATTTTTGGTAATAGAAGTGATTTTAGGAAGTAAAACCTTAGGGATCCCTTCTGTTTTACGATTACCTGCTTAAGAATCCCTTCTATTTTAGGATTATCTGCTATCCAATGGCAAGAATGCCTTTGATGTTGATGACAGAAAAGAAAAATGTTGGTTAACTCCTGACATGTTATATCATCAAAATTTCTAAGATTTTTACCTGTGGTGAATTGGGATGGCATAGGGGTAGGGGTGGTTGCACTAGTCCATAAACAAGCTTTAGCATCTGAGAGGTAGAAAGTCAATGGCAAGTACAAGACAGTGGTCTACTACTGTCAACTGCCATTAAAACTCTGGGAGAAGAGAATCACAGACTCGGGTTAGCCACCATTGAATCAACTCTAGGGTAACAGTTAGACAGTTTAAAGGCACTCATGTCCTGCAACTGGATGGTAGATTGTGCTGAGAACCAAGTCCAGGATGTGATTGTGAAAGTGGAAGAACTGCAAGGGTAGCTGAATGCACAGTCACAAGAATTTCCTAGTTTGGAGTCAGAACCCAGATTGGAAAGGAACAGAATCCCAAAGTCAGGGACATCCAATAGATGTGCTGGATCATCAGAACCTGCGGATTCTCCTGAATCCTTTGAGAAGGTGAGTGTGGCCTCTTCCTCTTTGCAACAGATTAACAGGCTTCCCTTGTCAAGAGGTTGTTCAAGTTTTTACCCAACATCATATTTGCCTCATCAAGACTTTTCTCTTTTTATTTTTTTATGAGCAATAATCAAGGTCAAGTTTCAGTATGTTTCAGCATGGCCTGTCTCTGCTGCAGTAGGAAAGAGATTATTAACTAAATTACTAAAGGAAATGGCCAATATGGATGGACAGAGATAGGAAAGCAGCTTAGAAATATTTCTGGAGTTTGCCAAACCCCAGTGGGCGAAGAGAGTATAGGGATTGATAATGGAAACTTAATTGATATTCAGGCATTCTTCTCTAACTTGGGGTTTAATATCCTGGCACGAACAGCTAGAGCTAGCTTTGATACACTGCTGGAAGGCCTCATTAAAGCTTAAAAAAAGTGGTGGCATATTGAAAATAAAGTGAAGATTACAGAGCAGCCTTGGTAGAATATTGATGAGCAGATAAAAAGGCCCAAATAATAGGTCACATTAAAATCTATTTATGATGTAACAACAGAGAATTCACCAAATGACCACATTCTCTGAGAAGGCCCAAAGAGTCTCCCTTTAGTCACAACAAAAATGTGCTAGTTAGGAAGGTACTAGCATTGTTGAGAAGCTACGTGTGGGCCTCTGCAGGTCTAGGTGGACAGTGAGGGATACTGCTGTGTAAATCGACTCCTTTGTGTCAATGGAAATGACAGAATTTTAGAATAGCAGAGGCTGATTGGTGTCACTAACCTGTTAAGAGAGCAAGTGAAATTAAGCAACATAATGTACCAACAAGATGGAGTAGTAGTCAGGGACACCGACTCACAGGACCATGCCATTACTAGGGGTTCCACGAGCAGCAAGTGGTGAAATTGCTCGACATGTACAACCAATAGATCAAGAGTAGAAATGTCGACTACTGATATCATCTGTTACAAAGGAAATATATGACCATTCCCAAGTTTCCATTTCTGATACAATTTTGAGACTCAGATTTCTTTAATTGAAGGTCATAGCAAGTACACCAAGTAGAAATTTATCCACATTTTATTTAAGGAACCTACAGGTATGTACCACAATAATTGTATACTGGGGAAAGGTAAATACCCACACACTCAATGAAGATGGTAGAGCAGGGGCATGTGTGGATGGAAGATTGGTGTCAAACTCAAGGGCTAAAGTGTGCATGGGTTGTTGTCCCCAGTCACATCCATATCTTGGCTTCCAGTTTAATGTCTGCAAAACACAGAAGGGTCATGGCGGATGACTATAAACTTTACTAGCATCTATCAAAGTGAGGCGCAAAACAAAAAGTTACGATAACTTTTCTAGTGAGGTTGAATCATCTTCTGTCTTTGGCTACCTTGAGGAAAGAAACAAGATCAGTGTTCCATGATGGGCCCATGAATAAAGTAGCTATTGTGGCCAGAGTAGAAAATGTGCATGAGTCCAACTGCATGAGCTCCCTATCACCAAAGAAAAGGGGATCAAATACACAGGAACAAGGGTCTGGGTCACTCTACTGCACGAGCAACTTTAACCAGCAGAAGTAGAATCAAGGGTGATGGGAATATCAAATGAGTGGTACAGGATGGAGAGGATGAAAATCAATTACAGCTTTGGAAACAGATGAACTGTCAGGGACTATACCGGGTCTCATTGAAACTGCTGTAACATATGTTTTTTTGGTTGTTGTTATGTATTTGTGACTATGACTTGACATTTGACAGAATGAAAATGGAGGTGGTGAAATATAGCGGAGACTTTGGTGTCTTGCCCTTATCTTCTGAGCACACATTTCTGTATTCTGATGCTGCTTAAGCAAAAATACCTGAGACTTTTTCATAGGACACTTTTTTTCCAGCTTTGGGAACATGCTTCGTCTTTGCACAGGGTAAACAGAAGTATGGCCAGCATGATAACATCAGTCACAGCCCTCAACCAGTGAGGGTCAAGGGGTTGGTGTATAAATACCAGAGTTTCTTCAAGTCATCACAAGCGGGATTGAGCATCAAAGTCCGCAGTAACAACTAGCTTAATAACACACCACACTGTTCTTGGCTTCCCCCCATTCCACGTCTGAGGACATCACTTCCATATGGGCATTCTCTGAAATTATTTTGCAAACAACCTGCTGCAACTTATATTCTTTTTTAAGGTCTGTTTCTGGAAGATGTTACACTAAGGTAAAGATCTGGTCTGGACTTACATTTTAAGGGAACATTACACTCAATGATACAAAATTCCAGAAGTTTATAGTTGGATGAGATTCTGGAATTCTTTAAATCTAGCAATTATGAAAAGTGTATCTAATATAATCAGTCTCTCTTCTTACTCAATATGTAAATAAGCTATAGTCCACAGTAGTTAGATGAACCTAAACTAGAAATATAATCTCCTAACTTCTAGTTAGTTGCATTAACCTGCTCAACTAACTCATATTTTTAATTCGTTGGTCTCTGAGAGCAACAATTGATTTTGTCACAATTATTCCCAACAAAACAGAAAATGAATAACTAAAGTTTCCATAATTTTGAAGAATTGTGTGTTATAAGGCTTTATTCAAAGATGGTCAGAAGTGAAATCTTGTTCATTGGTGTGTATAAATATATTCATTATAAGAGTTGATGATATAGTCACCAGTAAGGATAATTTCAGAAACAAAAACCCTATCACTCTATTAAATTATGTTTTCTAGTCTCACAGGTTTTACAGTCTTCTTTCAAGTAACTACCTATTCCATTCATTCACTTTTATATCCGTCATTTTTTTTTCAAAAATAATACATGGTCTTTTGAGAGGATAGGAAGTACACATATATAAAGCATAAAGTGCATTCTTTTTATACTCCTCCCAGCCTTCCTCTCCATTTACTTAAAATAGCCACTGCTTTCAGTTCCTTGAATATCTTTCTAGGTATTTTTCAGTAGGTATACATATTCATATACCTCGACTCACCTGCACAAGCACACCTTCAGAGAAGCACATATGCATGCACATATTTGAAAATATAAGATTATACTATGAATTCCACTAAGTGTTGATTCCATTCTGTGGCTATTGTGAAGAATGCTGCAGTGAACATGGGAGAACATACATCTCTTTGACATATTGATTTCATTTTCCTTCAATATATACCCAGAAGTGAAATGGTTGTCTCATACGGTAATTCTATTTTTAATTTTTTGAGGAAGTTTCATGTGATTTGCCATAATGACTATACCAATTTACATTCCCACCAACAGTGTACAAGAATTCTCTTTCCTGTGTGTTTTTATGGCCGAGACTGCTAGCTTCTGCCCTTTCTCTTTCTTACCAGTTGTGATCAAATATCTCAGGTTTGACCATCTCTCCAGTAATCCTTTCTGTGTGGTTGTTCTCTGTTTTTTGCTCCAATAGTTCCATGTATGTTGCTGCATTTTCTTAAATGGACCCTTGAGCTCTCCCAAGGCTACTAACTATTCATAGATAACTGTCTATTTGCTGTTTTTTGTGAGGTGGGGGTGGTGGGGGAGAAATGAGGCTACTCCACCATTTTGCTGTTTATTATCATACCTGACTTTTTCATGTTTAGCTTTAAAATACACCTGGAATTCATTTTGTTATAATATAAAATAGAGTAACTCTTCACCCTTCACTCCTCACCCTCATTATAAATGAGTGTCATGCAAACTGGAGAAAGCCCTTGTTTTCCTGATCAATTTGGAATGATATATCATAAATATTTACACACACACACACACAATTTGTTTCCTCCTTCCTCCATAATAATGAATCATTTTCTGAGTACTTGGATGGTAAAGCTCATTCCTGAATGACTATGTTTTATTTACTATAAAATTATAGAGTGCTTTGATATCTGATCAGGCAAATTCCACTCACTGCTATTTTTAAAAATATTGGCTTTCTGGGGGTATTTACTTATTAACTAAATTTAAGAATTGCTTTTCAAGTCCTTTTGATAAATCCCTTTGATGGCAAACATATAAATTTTGAAAGGCAAATAGCATTTAATCTATTTTTGTATTTTCAGTTATTACAAACTGCTATTCAGTCAGTTCATGCATACTTACCATGCCAGGTACAGTTTTAGGCACCAACTGTAGAGCTATTAACAAATCATTGACAGCTTATTATCTCTCTGGGTAATATTTTAACATTTAAAAGTCAGCACATAAAATCTTCTCACCATCCAAAATTATTTCTATTTCTTATATCTCTGACTCTAGTTAATGGCACTTGTACATTCTCAGTTATTTAGGTTAAAATTCATGAAACTATCTTTTAAAATTTCATTTTTCTTCTCCTATCATAGTGTATAATATTTTGTCAAAACTTGTCTTTCCTCTTTGGTTCTTCCTTCCCTTCATTTTTACACCATCATGCCAGTTCCCAGCCAGGCTGCCTTCATTCCTCCTTGCTTCCTTATTCTGTGTGTTCACTGCTATCAAAGCAGAATTCCTAAACCACAGCTCTGATCAGATCCTTCAAGTCCTTCCTGGAAACTTTCAAGAATACAAGCTGTGGACCTGGCCTTCAGAAAAGGCACAAAAAAATCAGTAGCATATTGTGAATTTATTCTTCAAATTAATATAATCTGTAAAAAAAAAACTTGAAGCATGATAAAAAGGAGCAGGTCACCAGCAGATAATGAACAAAGGTACAGTAAGTGGTGCAGAGGGATGATGACTAGAATAGAAGCTCCATGAAAACAAGATTTCTCTGTCTATTTTATTAGTTCTATATCCATAATACTTAAAATAGTACCACGTGCATAATATACCATCAGTAAATATTTTTTAATGAATGTCAAAGGCAGAGACACAGACATTGACAGGGATTGTTTGTTTGGAAGGTTCCAACAAAGGGTATGGACTCAGGCCTTCCTCTTTGAGCAGTGGTGGCTGTTGGTCAAGCAGTTCCTCAATGCTCACCAGGTGCTAGGCCTTGCTAATGCTTTACATTTATTATATTATATAATCCCTAAACAGCCACATGATATAATTGCATTATTTGTTTCCTATTTTAAAGATAAAAAAACTGAGGCTTACAGGGGCTGATTAATATGCCCAGATACCAAAGCTAAGTATGTGATGGAACCAGGATTTAAACATCAGAGACTTACATAGAGTTCATTAGGAGCCAGGCATTTCTAAGATTTGAGACGTATTTGTGTCACCAGAAAAACAGGAAAATTTATCACAAGTAGAAAACATAATTACATAAATATGTAATATATTTTTAAAAATGCTAAAGAATTAAAATATGAAACAATTATTGATTATTATATAATAAATTCTGTCAGATTTTTGTGTTGATACATTCAAATACTACAACCTGTTTTTTCTAGGGAACAAACTATAAAAATTATACAATTTATATAATTATAGAATTTTAATTATTTATTTATACAACTATTTTTCAAAAAACCTGTAGAATGATCACACAAGTACAGATATAATGATTTTGGATAAATTACAACACATATAGTCCAATAGTATATTAAAATTATATTCCAGTTGTTAAGCAACATTTGCAAATCAATTTAATACTAGGAAATCTATTTCTATAACTAAGCCACCATATGGAAGGAAAAAGATGTATGTTTATATTGTAGACAACAGCAATCATGTGAAAAAGTGCAGCAACACTTTCTGATAAAAGCTGAAAGCTAGTTTCATAAGGATATGTTCTTTATGGAATAAAGATTATCTATATTGAACCAACGGTTCACTTCATAATTAAAAACAAAACACCCTGAGGATTTTCATCAAATTTAGAAACATGGCAAAAAGTATGATTATTTCAATATTGTTTATATTAACCTGGGGAAGCGCTAGTCAAGATATAGAGGCAAATATGTATAATATAAGAAAAGACAAACATTAGTTTTGTTGTTATTTAATATTCTTTATTATTCTGGTGTTTGGAGGGAGAGAGAGATACTTACAGATACAATCCATATGTGAAACTGATTTTACATCTGATTCTCCAATTTATTTTTAATATATATACACAAATGGTCTTATGGAAGAAAAATAGAACCTTTCAGATGCAGTGAGAATAGTACATGTTATGATTGTTCTGTTGGATAGAACCCTTCCCTAAGATCTAGGCGTCCTCACCCCCGAGGCATAGACTTATAATCTATATATCTTGGAGGGTGTAAAGTGTTTTCTTTAATATAAATCTTTTCTAGATTCCATCTGTTGAAATAATCAAAGTGAGATCCAGGTTTTGACACAGCAAAATTGTAAGCTATTAGCCTATCAATTTAAGGGGCATCAATTGAAACATGTTATACTTTTTTCCATTCTAGGCATAAGTAAAAACTGTACTTGATTTTACTTTCTTCATTTCCACAAATATAAAATAGAAGATAAGGAGGAGGTGTGTGATAATCTTGGGGTTTAACTCCCAGGGGCTGGGTACACATCCCAGGAGTAAGGAGGAACAGGAAGTTCTTCAGTCATGGGAAGAGTGAGTGATATGCTATGTCTACATAGAGGAAGCCTTAATGGAATTAATATGATGTGCTTCTTGTCAAACTGCCTGCCAGAAGATAAAAAGTTATTGGAAACTCTACAACTCTACAATGTTTTAGTCTGAATGCCCAATATTTACTAAACAAATAAGTAAGCAAACAAACAAAGGAAACAGCCATGCTAAACAACAGAACCAAAAGAAAACAGATTCACAGATGACCCAGAAATTGGAGTTATCAGGCATGATATTAAAATAACCATAATTAATATGATAAAATAGATAGGAAGATGGCTAAAAAATTGTAATTTATACAAAGCAAACACATGAAAATCTCAGGATTGTTTAAATAAGTACTCTATTAGATGGGTACAACTGCAGATTGGGCATTATAGAATAGAGGATTCATGAGTAAAACTTCGATTGACAGGAAAGAATCAAGACTGAAACACTGATAAAAAATTGAAAATACATAAGGGAGAGTGTGAAAAGATCTTAAAGGCATGTAATTAGCTTATCAAGAAGAGAGGAGAGAGAAAGGGAGATTGGGAAAGAAAATATTTGAAAAGATGATGGTCAAGAAATTTTTTAAGTTGATGAATGATATAAAGAAGGGCTACCAGAGCAAATGGGATAGATACAAACCAGATAAATAAATAAGTACAACTTTTACCATGTAATAAAAAATAAAAGACGGCCAATGAGAAGTGAAAACCTTAAAAGTATCTAGAGAAGAAAAGGCATATCTCCCTAAAAGCAATAATGAAATGACAGCTAATTCCTCAGAAGAAAAGATGAAAGCCCAGAGATAATGGAATAGCATTTAAACTATTGATTTTTTTCCACATTTTGAAGCTTTTCTGAAAGATATTCCCCAAAAGCTAGTTAGATAATAATTAGATAATGATTACATATAGAGAAAGAAGAAATGCCTTAGATGGATTGAGTTCATTAGACTAATCCTCAAAAATAAAAATGTTCTGAGAAAATAAGCCACAGAATAGGCACTACCTAAACTTAGGCAAAGAATAGGCAAGAAATCACTAAAAACTGGATTCAGTGACAGCATATAAAGTGTCACAATTCCACATAGAATAAGCACATATTAACACACTTTTTGAAGATGTATTGCTTGTATATTTTGGACGTGTTATATGCCCATTTCTTTCTCCCCAGCTCTTGTTACTTACAATTAAAAGGTTTTAGTTTTTCTCATCTGCAGCCTTAGGACAATGAGCCTTAATTAATTTTTGGCTGTGTACCTGTTTCTTCACCTGTGCTTTGCATAATGTAACTTCCTGTTCTTCTGTTTAATGAGAATAGCTCTATGGGACTGTGGCTCTATACCTCTTCTCCCTTCCATCCCAGTTGTCTATGTCTGTGTTCTCCTTGTGAGCCGCGTCTTTCAGTGGATCAATAAACTTTCTGAGTTGTGGTGAGCAGGAGGCACTTTAAGCCTCTTTTGGCTTGACGAGCCCCTTGTGCATTCAATTCTGAACCAAAAATAGATGCCTCCACTTCTCTTACTGGCTGCTTCTGGGTGCAACATTAAACACTGGCCTAGCAGCAACACTTAAGATCACCATTGTCTAACGACTATTTGCTTCAGAAGAGCCTTCAAAAGTGGGAAAGAAATAGTAAAGAAAGGAAGGTAATAAAAAGAGAGGGATTCTATTAGAAATTGATGAACGAGAGATGGAAACACTCGTTTATGAAGTTTAATCATTACAAGTTTTATTGACAATCTATTGTTACAGTGCACTGTTCTAATCACAAGAAGTCAGTAAACTAGATATTTAGATGTGATCTCTGATTGTCTTATCTAAACAGCAAGTGAATGAGCTGGATTCCAAACACAAGATGACTTGCACTGAAAATATTTTTCTCTAATATCAAAATGACTATAATACAAAGTGTCCAATTTTTTTTATCCTCTACAGTATCTTGGTAGATATCGTGGGTTTGATTTCAAACCATTGCAATAAAGCGAATGTCACAATAAGCAAGTCACAAAAATTTTTTGTTTTCCCAGTGTATATAAATGTTATACTTACACCATACTGTAATCTATTAAAAGTGTGCAATATAGCATTGTGTCTAGAAAACAACGTAAATACAAACATTAATTTAAAAATACTTGCTGGGCATGGTGGCTCACACCTGTAATTCCAGCACTTTCGGAGTCTGAGGCGAGCAGACCATGAGGTAAGGAGTTCAAGACAAGCCTGGCCAACATGGTGAAACCCCATCTCTACTAAAAATACAAAAATTAGCCAGGGGTAGTGCCAGGTGCCTGTAAGCCCAGCTACTCAGGAAGCTGAGGCAGGATAATTGCTTGAACCCAGGAGTCAGAGGTTGCAGTGAGCCGAGATCATACCACTGCACTCCAGCCTGGGCAACAGAGCAACACTCCATCTTAAAAAAAATACTTTATTGCTAAAAAATGCTGAAACAGAGATATGAAGTGAGCACATGCTATTGGAAAAGTGGCAATAGTAGACTTCCTTAATTCAGGCTTGCCACAAACCTTCAGTTTATAAAAAAATGCACAATATCTGAAATGCACTAAGGCAAAGTGCAATAAAATGATGTATGCCTGCGTATGTCTGTATCCTATTTCTAATAAACATATATACATTAGCAACACTTTTACAGACTCTGTCTTTTAAACAATGTATTAAAAGATAAAGCTTAACATTGCTGTCAGCATGTGTGTCTTCAAATTAGTAAATTTGGTGTTATGTTGAATTACAGTAGATACCCAACTTTAGTTTTAATTAAGTCATCTGTGATAACATATGTAGCAAGTGATTTGTTTTTCTTCTTAATTCTAGAGAATTATTTTCAACACAACATAACTACAAAGTCTGGGATATTATGATTGTATTTTTTCCACTAGCTATGTATCTAATTATATTTTGTATACATTTTCAACACCTTACCAGTGTTTTCGACCTAGCACACACACTTCTCAATCCAGTATGGTACTTGCAATTTCTCACATAACTGAATGGAGCTCCAAGAGGGTAAATTCTATATCGCCAAGGCCCACGCATTGTCTGATATATGGAAAACATCTGGCAAATAGAACTAACTAGTTCTGTGATGTTTTCCTTATTTACTAAGCCCTATGTAGTGACTCCAAGTTTTAAGAGCCGAGCAAAATCTTGGCCAACTTTAATTCTAATTATTTTAAAACCAGAAATGAAGACAAATTTTATGGCACATGAGAGTTCAGTCTGAGGTTATGTGCATTTCCATTGCCCTTTGTCCTTTAATCAAATGATAATAAACAATAATCAGATAATACCCACAATAAACCTAGCCATCTGCTACCGGAAAGGGGTTCTGATCCAGACCCCAAGAGAGGGTTCCTGGATCTCGCGCAAGAAAGAATTCAGGGCGAGTCCATAGAGTAAAGTGAAAGCAAGTTTATTAAGAAAGTAAAGGAATAAAATAATGGCTATTCCATAGGCAGAGCAGCAGCTTGAGCTGTTGGCCTAAGAATATTTACAGTTATTTCTTGATCATATGCTAAACAAAGGGTGCATTATTCATGAGTTTTCCAGAAAAGGGGTGGGCAATTCCCAGAGCTGAGGGTTCCTCCCATTTTTACACCCCATTGGGTAACTGCCTGACGTTGGCATGGCATTTGTAAACTATCATGACACTGTTGGTGTTGGAAGTGTCTTCAGCATGCAAATGCATTATAATTGGCATATAATGAGCAGTGAGGATGACCAGGGGTCACTCTCATCACCATCCTGGTTTTGGTGGGTTTTGGCTGGCTTCTTTACTGCAAGCTGTTTTATCAGCAAGGTCTTTATAATGTGTATCTTGTGCTGACCTCCTATCTCATCCTGTATCTTAGAATGCTTAACCTCCTGGGAACGCAGCCCAGCCCAGTAGGTCTCAGTCTTATTTTACCCAGCCCCTATTCAAGATGGAGTTGCTCTGGTTTAAATTCCTCTGACCCTTCCATTGACGTAGTTTAGCCTTTTGCTTTGTGAGGGTTTTGTTTTGTTCCCAAAAGTCTGAGAAGTTCTTGACTATAAGTTTCAGAGATAAATAAAGAAAAAAAAATTCTCTTTCACACTGAAGAAATGCTTCAAAGCATAGCATTCAAAAGCTAACCCAACCCACTTTAGGTAGAAACAATTTGTTTTGTTAAGTTCTAATCAGAACTACATTAAGCCATTTGAGTCCAGTTGAATGGGTAGGTTCCTGAGCATCTTCATAGACCCAGTAAACAGTGAGCAAATACTCATTAAAGCAAATTTTCTTGGAAAAACTCTTCAGGCATTTAAGTTTCATATTCTTCAATACTTACTTCCAAAAAAAGAAACAGACAGATCTAGTGCAACTTTCTTAAGATACACAGTTTCTTTTTCACTTTTTTTCTTTAGTAAATATGATTAATTATAAAGTGAGTATCAGGACACATGTAAGAAGAATAATAACCAAGGGTCTTCTGGAACAGTCTGTCAGTTAACTGATTTTGAACTTAATGGATTCTTCCTAATTACTAACGACAAAATGGTGAATCAACATGAAATTTGTAATTAAGTGGGAAAGCTGAATATTAACACTTTTGTTTTGTAAATAACTATAGGTACGAAAAAATCATTGATGAAGGTGGTTAGGAAAATTTGTCTAGTCTGGGATTTCAGTGAAATAAATATAGGCATGTCAGTTTCTTTATAAAGCTAAGGCACCATTCATATTTCTAACTAAACTCATGCTACCTGATGAACTTCAGTCATCCTTCACAGAACAGCTCTTGTGAGGTCTTCCTAGCATACTAACCACCGTAGCTTTCTGTACAGACTTACATAATGAGGAAATTTACATTAAGATGTAATGAAATATTGTTTTCTGTGTGCATCTGTATTAGTGAGCTCCCTGAGTGCAAGTATGTGTCTGTGTCTTCGTTCATTTTGTACAGCTGAAATAGAATACCACAGACTGTAATTTATAGTAAATACAAATTTACTATAAAATTTGTGGCTTACAGTTCTGGAGGCTGGAAAATCCACAAACAAGGTACCACAATTTGCTAATGGCCTTCTTGCTGCATTATAACATAGCAGAAGTTATCACATTTCCAAAGGGCAAAGATAGGATGAAAAAGAGAAAAGAAGAAAGAGAGAAAGAGAGAGCAAAAGAGAGGTGAGGGGAGCATGCAAAAGAAGGTGAATCCACTCTCACAATAACAATAACTAACCGACCCCCCAAGAAGATAAGGGCATAAATCCATTTATAAGGATACAGTCCTCATGGCCCAGTAACCTCTTAAAGGTCCCACATTTTAATACTCTCACAATGCTAATTAAATTTTAACATGAGTTTTCAAGGAGGCAAACATTTAATCCATAAAAGCCTGTAATAATCAGCACAGGAGCTGTCTCAGAAAAGATCCACAAAATATATTTATTGAATTGAATAGGGCATTCAAAATGAAAAAATGAAGCCTGTTAATTTCCAATTTTTAAAATTTCCAGTGCTGATGTATATTAGTGTGTGTGAGGAAACAACAATTAATGAGTGTCAAAAAGCAAATAAAGATGTTAGCTGAAAGCAGAAAGAAAATATTAAATATTAGGAGGTACAGTACCTTCACAGAAGTACAGATAACTCTTTTGGATAAGAAACTTTTTATACAGAATGATTCTCATGTGCTTGTTTTCATGAGCAGTAGCCTCAGGTGTTTTCTTCAAACTCATCATTTTCTTCTCTTGACTGCCTTTTCCCTGAGCTTTAAAAATATTAGCTGGCTTTTCTGATGGGCATTGGCATTCCCAGTTTATCAAGCATGAAATCTCCTCCTCATTGCTAATATTCCGCACAGATGGTGTTTCTCAACATGAACTACTTTGTCAAACATGACATTTACTTCCAAGGTTGCTAAGGGATAGATTACAGGCTTCCTCATGATTTCTCTGCTACAGGTCATTTTTTCATAATTCTCATTGATAGCTTATTAGTTACACCACCTTGCTACTTAGGAAGTCCAGTGTGAAGCAGTTTAAGATTTATGCTTCATAGATTCATTTAAATAAGCCACTTCTGCTTTGATTTTATCTTTCATTACTATCTAGAAAGGAGTCTTCCTGGAATTTTCTACCAATCAGGCTAAAGACACAATTCTTTTTTTGTGTGTGTTTGCGTGTGTTTACACCACATATGCATGTGTTTCCATATATGTCTAATTATATGCTTCAAATATTTAGTTATCAACATATCTGGCTGGTATACTCAGAACAGAGTGTTTAGGATTGGGAATTTAAAAGTCTGAAAAATACAGTCACAAAAAGTCACAGAAATCTGTGTGTGTGTGTGTGTGTGTGTGTGTGTGTGTGTGTGTTGGTTTTAACTAAACTAGGACAACCAAAAAAATTTTTTTTAAATTGTATTTTGTTAATAATAAAGTCATTTGGAAATATCAATTTCAAAGATTAATTTTTAAACAGATGTTTAATGTCATGTGGAGATAGCTTCTGGCAATCTTAAAGATTTTTCAGCTGGAATCTGCGGGTGTAGCATTAATCCCCAATGCTTAATTTTTTTCATTAAATTCTTTCTTCAGTACCATATGAGCGAGATTCTTCTGGGTTCTGGTTTGAGTTTTGTTTTGGGAAGGGCAATAGATTCTGGCCCCTGGTCTGCTAATTCCTTTTCTTCACCAGCCCCAGCCTTGCAAATTTCCTCTCACTGCCATCCAAGTGGACACTGAGCACTGCCTTATACATCTTCCTGAGGCCTAGGAAAGTGGGCTGAGCCATGGTTCTGGAGGCATGAAGATTCCATTGGGTCACACATGGCTAATTAACATTTTAAAAAATATTATTTGGGGAGAAACAGTAATTGCAAAGATAGAAGGACATAAAAGTCTTCCTGGACAACCAATGAACCTTTATACACTGGATTTTAAGATTTAATACATTGTTTGTCCTTGCAAATCCACAGAGAAAGAGAAATTGTGTCCAGTGAAATAAGATTTGGGACATCGAGAGTTCAAAATATTATAAAAGTGATAAAACATCTAAAACTCTAACTTAATTTGCCCTTATGAAAACCAGGGCACATTTGTTCTGAAAAAGAAAAGTATGTAAAACAAATTGCAAAGTGTTATTAATAATTTAAACTCAAGCCACACAGAAAGAAAATGTAATAGCAAATTTAGAAATTAAATTAGTCAGTTAATTGCAGTTACAAGGGCTCACACTAATTATGGTTTGAGAAGTTAGGCATTAACTAGAATTCACTGTAAATGGATTTCTTACAATTAGTTAAAATAGGCTAATTCCAGAGCTGGATGATAACTGTTTTAATCAATTTAATTTATTAATTTTTCCCATGTCCTTAATTTTTATCCTTATTCTTCTCACAATCAGAGATCTACAATGTGTGTGTTGACCAAAAAATATCTTCCAGCTTACTTCCTTTACTGTCTTTGGTTCTTCTTGTATATTTGTTTGGCAGCATGTTGAGGTATATATAGTCATGCATTTCAACTCACCTTTAATTTACTTGCATCCTCCTGCTCAAATTTTAGGCTTAACAGCAGTTTCTCATGACTGAAATGATGGTGAAACACATTGCTACCAGGAAGATGGTGCCCTGAAGAAAAGGCACACATATACACAGAATTCTCAGAAAAGCTCCCTCTCTGCCATTATATATAGAATATGTTTCATCTGTTTCTTTGCATTATATGGGGTTTTAAAATTAAAGATAACAACTTTAATTATTCCCCTATAAAGGGCTTATTACATTTTAATGCTGGACCAAAGTATATTCCTGTTAGTTTTTGACATTTTATCTCATCAGGTATGGTGATCGAATGATTATGGCCCAAAGAAAATTGCTGGGGCTACTTCAAGGCATTGCACTTCTAAATATCAAAGCTACAACCAACTGGAGTGATGAGCTGATGTTGCAGACAGTGTGGAATGCATCACTGGATGCATTAAGTTGAACTTTAAACAGAGCTCCATGCTAAAATTTGTTAACTTGAGTAAATTAATGTTGAATATGAGTTTAGGTTAGTTGGGGTTTGTGTGGATTTAGACCGGCATGTTACAGAGTATTTCACCTGGATCGGTAATAAGCTATCCATAGAGATTACAACTTTTCATTTCACTTCACTTTTGTGAACTTAAAATGAATCATAAACCTTCCTAAACCTGAAGATCAGCTATAAGACTGTAAAACTTCTAGGAAAAGAAAAGGATAAATTATTTGTGATTTGAATTAGGCACAGAGTTTTACATAACTCCAAAGCATTATGCTTAAAACTTAAAAAAAAAATTACAAATGGAACATGCTCCAAATTTAACACTTGTGCTATGTAAATGAAAGACAAGTTATAGACAAGAAGAAAATATTTTTAAATCATAATTGTCAAAGGACTTGTATCCAGAATACACAGAGAATTTTTGAAAACTCAACAATAAAAAAATCTGATTAGAAAATAAGCAAAAAACTGCAACAGATACTTTATGAAAGAAGCTTTATGCATGGCAAATGAGCACATGGAAACATACTCAATGTTATTAGACAAATTCAAATTAAAACCATAATGAGATTGCACTAGGAACCTATTAAAATGACCAAAATGACACTTACACACACACACATATCAGACATTACGCAGTATTGATGAGCATACAAAACGACTGGAAGCATCACACATTGCTGGTGAGATTGCAAAATGGTACAACCACCTAGGTAAAAAATATGGCAGTTTTGTATAAAGTTAAGCATACACTGACCAGATGATGTAGTGCCTACTCTCTAACTATGCACCCAAGATAAATGTAAACTTATGTTCATACAACATTTATATGACATTATGGAAAAGGCAAAATTATATCAACACAGAGTAGATTGTTTTTTCCAGGATTTGGGGTGGAGGAGAATCTGACCACCAAGGGGCAACAAGATAAAATTATTTGGGGTGATGAAACTATTCCATATCCCAATACTTTGGGTGGCCGAGGTGGATGGATCACCTGTGGATCAGGAGTTCGAGACCATCCTGGCCAACATGGCGAAACCCCGTCTCTACTAAAAATACAAAAATTATCCAGGCATGGTGGTGAGCACCTGTAATCCCAGCTACTCGGGAAGCTGAGGCAGAAGAATCGCTTGAACCTGGGAGGCAGAGGTTGCAGTAAGCAGGGATCACACCACTGCACTCCAGCCTGGGAGCCTGGGCAACAGAGCATGACTCCATCTCAAAAAAAAAAAAAAAAAAAAAGAAACTATTCTGTACCTCAAATGTGGTGGTTCATATATGAACACATGATTGTGCATTCATCAAAACCCATAGCTATCCACCATAGAGTTAATTTACTCGATGTAAATTTAAAAATGAAGATAAATACAAAACGTCTAATGGGTTGGTTTGGTAAAAGGAAATGCCTGTTTTAGTTTAGTTTAATAATGAATGCCTATAATTATGATGTCCAGATCTGCTGATGATCTTGCAGATAAAAGCATTATGGCATCTATGGCATTGATGGGTACAAGAGGAAGAGTAAGAAAATGAGAAATGAGATTGTTATGTATGGATCACTAGTATGACGTGGGCTTTTTTCTTCTTGAGGCTTTTAATATGCTTGACTGATTTATCTTCATGTTCATATGTATTAGTATTTTCATTTGATTTATGACGAAATTGAGGCTTGTCCTGAGACAAAAAGAAATTTTTTTGAATATACACTGCTTCTACATACAGAATACGTAACACTGACCCAGGCCTACAGGTAAGGGGGCATTAAAATGAAGAAATACATAACAAAGCATTGAGCAAAATTCTATTTAAAGAGTTTTTTTTGTTTGTTTTCCATGCTGGAGGAACATTGAGGAGTTGATAATGGAAATACCTGGGGTTATAAACATCAAAACAGCCACCCCAAAGGAGTGTTTTAACACCAGTATTTTGGTGATGTGCCACAAGGCTCTGTGCTTTTCTATAATCCAAACCACAACTTGAGTGAAGGCATACTATGTATGCTTATCAATTTCACACATAATACAGAGCCAAATAAAATGTTTTATGTGTTAAATTATATATTCAAAATATCATGCCAGACTTGGCATATGGGAACAAGTAAACACTTGAAATGCCAGCAGGGATCAATATAAAGATGTGCATTTTAAGTCAAAAAAATAATTTTAAAAATAGAAAGTTTGTGCTAACATTTTGTAGGAAGAATGAGATAAGCACATAGAATGAGCTTCAAGTGCTTGTCTGCATCATTTAAATTCACACTATTTTTTTTAAAAAAGACAGAAATGAGGAATCTTGGTTTTATAGGAAGTTTCAGGGACACATATCTGAGGATTTTTGTTGAACAAATTGTAATGTGTCAATCGTGTGGCTATGTATGCTCCATCTCAAGTTGTATCAATGAATGTGTGGTATGGAACAGATGTCAGTGGAGATGGGTCTGTTTCCCTCTACTGAACTGACCATATCGTTGAGGCTGGCTCCCCACTTTGTTCTGTGTGTGCACACATAAGCGGTTGTGTGTATGCATGTGTGTATGTGTGGATGTGTATGTTTGTGTTGATGCTTGTTGAGATCTAGTAGGCAATGGCAGCATTCCTGATGGAAATGAGGAATTAGCAATGAGATGTGAACTTCAGTTGTTTTATTTGTTAAATTAAATAATTAATTTGGCTGGGTACAATGGCTCATGCCTGTAATCCCAGCACTTTGGGAGGTTGAGGCGGGTGGGTCACCTGAGGCCGGGAGTTTGAGACTAGCTTGGCCAACATGGTGAAACCCCGTCTCTACTAAAAAGGCAAAAATTAGCCCGGAATGGTGGCAGACACCTCTAATCCCAGCTACTTGGGAGGCTTAGGCAAGAGAATCACTTGAACCAGTGAGACGGAGGTTGCAGTGAGCTGAGATCGCACCATTGCACTCCAACCTGGGCAATGAGAGTGAAACTCCATCTCAAAAAATAATATTAATAGTAATTAATACGACTAATTTTTTTTCAGTGTGTACCATGTATGCCAAACACAAGTCCCAGGGCTATAGAGACAGCAGTAAATTATACATTAAAAAATAAAGACAATGAAATCTCCCATTTTGCTCTATTGTGAGGACTCAAGACATTTGGTTATTACAGGTGTTTAATCATTGCTAGATGTGATAGTTACTGATGAAGTGAACAATTTAGGATAAATATTCATTTTATATTCTGATGATGTTTAGAAACACACAAAGGTGTTGGTTTGCAAGGACAGAATTAAAAATTTTGGCTGCTCTAAGTTGTTATTTCAAAGATCACTTTGGACATGTTAGTGAAAACCCCATTAAAATGTCTCCTTATGATCGGCAACTCCTTCTAACTGCATTGCATACTTGGCAAATTTGACACGCTAAGCTTTTTTGAAACCAACAGGAAAAAACAGCATTGAGAAAATGAGCCTGCTGGAATTGTCAGGGCTCTGAGAATGGCTGGAATCTATGGCTTGAGGAAAAGTCTTCCATTGGCAAGAAGCTACTGAGCAACAAGGCTCATGGAGAGCTGCTGACCCTGGCAGCTGAGAACTTGGTCAGCCTAACAGGGCCAGCAGCAATGCCTCAAGGGCCATGGTAATTAGAACCTTCTCTGCCACAATGAGAAGTCATCAAAAAAAGGTGGTGGGGCACAGCCAGTGGCTAAATGTCCAAATACTAGCTAGAAAAGAATAACTTAAAAAGGAAAGAAAGATGACTTTGGTCCCTCCTAGAAATAATAAGAATTATTTATATGAACCTACCTCCAAATACAAAGGATAGAATGAACCCTCTTTTAAGGAATAAAAGGCCAACTGAAATTTTGTTTGCATAGGTTTCCCGACCAGGGAAACAATGTGATGGCCCCACTGTTTCCATTCCATGCCAGGTCAGGTGGCTCCTCTGGGCTGTTCTGCCAGTTAGGGGGCAGCTAAGGGATGTGTCTGGCTTTTCATTTAGGTATTTTTTTTTTTTTTTGAAACAGAGTCTTGCTCTGTCGCCCAGGCTGGAGTGCAGTGGCACGATCTCGGCTCAATGCAACATCCGCCTCCCAGGTTCAAGTGATTCTCCAGCCTCAACCTCTCAACTAGCTGGGATTACAGGCTCCCACCACCATGTCTGGCTAATTTTTGTATTTTTAGTAGAGACAGGGCTTCACCATGTTGGCCAGGATGGATGGTCTCAATAACTTGACCTCGTGGTCTGCCCACCACAGCTTCCCAAAGTGCTGGGATTACAGGTGTGAGACACCATTAAGGTGTATTTTCATTGCGTGTAGGAATATGTTAGTATATTTATCCTAGAGTCAGAAAATCAGATTCTGAATTCTAGCTGTAATAAAATAAAAATAGAGTCACAGAGGCAGACATTCTTTAAGAAATAACTGCCTCACTACTGGTCATTTGGCACCCATGCAGTATTTTACCAAATCTAGGGCCACAGCTTAAGCACACTTAAACCACATCTAAGAGAAGTCTCTGCATCCCCTTCACTAGCTATGGATGTTTGGGTGTGCTTTTCTATTTATTTGACATTAGCTAAACATCTGCCATTTCAGGCAGTTACGAATTCCTGTTTGTTGGGATTATATCATTGCTTCCTTCAAATCTTTTACTCATTCATGGAAGAGAAAGAGAAATGCACACATAATTACAATGTACTATGGTAAATTGCAAATATTATGGTCAGTTTTATGGCAAATTATGTAATGATTGTTAAGGGGCATCAAAAAGATTTGTCGGAGATTAAGTTTAGAATTAAACCTCCAAATTCAGGTGAATATTAATCAGATAAATATAATGCAGGTAGAAGAGAAATAGAAATTCTAAATGAGAAAATAGATACAAGGATTGCCAGATGCATTCAGAGAACTTTACCTAAAAGATTTGGGAGATAGGTCTATAGTTAAGGAGCAGCAAAAAATGATGCTGGAAGGGTAGGCAGAAATCATAGCATAAATGTTCCTGAATTTTTGCTAAGAAATGTTATCCTGAAGGCAAGAACAGATTCCAGGGAATCTGTGAAAAGTGAAAGTGACCCAGGTTGTTCACTTTCCTCCAAGCTGTGGTTGAGTCAAAATAATGTGGGGCATTTTGGCTAAAGTACAGAAAGACCTAAGCTTCAAGAAATATGCTGAACAATTGTTTACCCTTAGCAGGATGTTTGTTGATGAAAGGCAGAAAGGACTGCCCTTTTTGGGAACTACTGAAAGCAATAAAACTAGGCTTCAAGAATTGAATATGTTGATACACCATGGAATACTATACAGCCATCAAAAAAACAAGATCATGTCCTTTGCAGTAACATGAATGGAGCTGGAGGTCATTATCCTTAGCAAACTAATGCAAGAACAGGAAATCAAATAATGCATGTTCTTATTTATAAGTGGGAGTTAAATGACGAGAACACCTAGACACACAGAGAGGAAAAATACACGCTGGGGCCTATCAGAGGGTAGGAAGTGGGAGGAGGGAGAGGATCAGGAAAAACAACTAATGGGTAGTAGGCTTAATACCTGGGTGACAAAACAATCTGTACAACGAACCCTCATGACATAGGTTTACCTATATAACAGACCTGCACACATACGCCTGAACTTTAAATAAAAGTGTAAAAAAAAAAAAAAGAGTTGGATACGTTGAAAAGCTAGAAAGTTCTTTAGAATTAAGCATATAGAAAACGTAGGATAATTAGGACATAAGTGATAGAATTGTGCCCGTTTCTGAGACATTAGTAAGTCTATAGAGCAGATTTAGCTGTTAAATCAGAGGTCTTACATGCATAGAGCAAGCAAGGGAGCTGGTGGTGAGTATTTCATGTATAGAGATCTCATCTGGATTCATAGTTTGGTGAAGCCTGGGGGATGTGGGCTTGAAAGGGTTCCAAAGAGTTTAGTAGGAGCAAGGGGCTCACTGTTCAGAAACGCTTTAAAGTCATCAGCAGTGGAAGATCTCCTAATGGGAGTGTTCTGTTTATTTTGAACCAAGTTTGGCTCTTTTTCAAGATTGAATTACCCTATCTACCTTCCCCCACATCATTTCTTCTTCAGTGGTCTGTTTTACGCTCTCTCCTGAAGTTCCACAAGGGAAAGTCATGTTCATTATACTTATACCTGCTTCTACAGTGCATGAGGTATTGATGGGCCCTGATTTTTGGTTTGATGAGCATAATGGATGTAAGCATCAGTGCATGTAAGAGAAAGCCCCTGCAATCTGAACCTTTGGGAGTTTTAGGTTTAACTTCATTTTTTCTCCCAAAGGCTTTTGTGTCATTGAAGGATTCTGGAAACTTAGATCATCTTCATAAGAAAATGAAAACAATGTTAGTCAAATTTTGTTCTGAGATGTACCCTTCCCTCTGTATAATGAACTCATTTGACAGGAAAGAAGGGGAACAGTAGCAAAGTGGTCTGCATACTTCATCTGAAATCCCCCAGGCCTTCCTTCAATAGAGGATCTGGAACTGGATGCAGGCTCACTAATATGCAGATTCATGACTCACATAATGAGGTGAACATGTTTTACCTAAAAGATTTGTCACCACTGTAATTTCTACTTCCAGCAGAAGGGATCCAAACTCAAATCTGATTTAAAATTTTGCTTTGTTGTAACCTTCCAGATATCTACCTACCTCTTCCTTGGAACAAAGTTATTTCTGAGAAAAGTCAATCTCTTGAAATAGGATTTTATGGGTTTCCAAGAAAACCCTTGCTATAAAATGTATTTCTCATTGATCCTACCAAGATTTTTACATTAGAAAACTGATGTAAGCCAGGGTCATCCATACTCACAATTTTTGGATGTTGAAATTATTTTTACTTACCATTTTTAACAATTTCAAATAATTTAAATATATTAACTAAAAATGAAATTTATCATCACTACTAAATAAAACATAAACATATAAGGACACATGAGTAAAATATATTTTCTCCAAATAAATACAAGAAAAAATAACAGAACAAATCATTAATTTATGAGATTCAGGACACACACATACATCAAAATATTTGAGAAAATAGTAGAAGCAGACCACAGAAACTCAAAAAAAATTTCTCCTGAAGCAAGCCATAAAACCTGACTTTCCCCTGAAAGTAGGTCATAAGACCCTCATTATTTCAGAGGGGCCCTTTCCTATACCCATAAGCCAAGTAGGATAGAAACAAAAAGATCTTGCTAAGTTCTCCCTAGTTTATTACCATTAGATCTCACCTTTTTTTCTTTCTATCATATTTCAACATGACTGTCCACTCATCATCAAACCAAAGGATAAAAATACACAAATTTCCCTGTTTTTTTGAGCCTTCATTTATGAATTTGTGTGCTTTTCTCTTGTTAATCTGTCTTTGGATATAAGGATTTCAGTCATGAAACTTGTGATGAGTTAGAAAAGGTTTTACTTTGCTTCTCTACACCATTTATGTAACACTCTAAACCATTTCACAAACACTGAGCTAAAACACAGCTAGTAGTATTTCATCTTATTCACTGTGCTAGGGTCAGGGGTACAAAGATAAATAGATATAATTACTATCATTAAGGAGTACAAAATAATAAGGGAGAGGGACACAGAAACAGATCACTGTAACTTGATGTCAGCATTTCTGTGATGAACATAAACCTAGAGCATTTTTTATAGGCACAAAGAAAAGCACTCAACCCTACAAGTCTGTGTCAGAGAAGTTGCTGGGGTGGGTGATGGCAGAGTCAAGCGTTTGATAAGATGTGCGTAGAGTAATGACTAGGTAACCAAAGGAGGATATCTCAAGCAGTGGGACAGCATGAACAGCCTAGATTCCATCAAAGGCACATGATGAGTGGGATTTAGGTGGAATTAGCATTGCCACAGTGAACAGTGGAGTTAGGGAGCTGATGGAAGGAGTTGCGGTGGGATGCTAGACAAGCAACTTGCACTTCGTTTGGGGAAACAATGGGGGTGACAGGAATAGATTTTACCATTTCAAGCCAGAAGTTTATAAAAGAATGTTAGAATTTCAATCTAGCAAGTAAATACAACTCACTGAACCAGGAACTCAATGGGGAGAGGAAAATGGAAAGTTTTGTGAGTGACAATAGGTGAAGGCCTTTGAGAAATAAGATGGAGAGATCAGAGCATCACACTGCCTAAGACCAATAGATATTAAGCTGATCTTCCCTCCTGCCCAGGCGAGTTTGTTTCAAGGACAAAGTGTATGTCAGCATTGTGGTAATGTGAATTGTTTGGCCTCTAGTTGTTCTGCAATTGTGGACAGAGGACCTGATGACTGGTTTTGTTGAGATTGAGTCTATTCTTCTTGTAACTGATTGGGTTCCGAGACTCCTATACATTTCTTAAAGACTCCAAGCAAGAACTTCTTTCAAGGTCACGGCTATGACTTTGTACTCATATATGTGATTGTAGGTAAGTCCCTTTCTTATTAAAGGGTTAATATTATCATCTCTAAAATGAGATCAAGAAGAGTTACCTTGAAAGGCCGTTATGCGGATCAGTTGGTATAAAGTGTGTGAAAATACCTCACCCTATGATTTGTGCATATTATACATTCTCAGTATTTCTTAGTTTTCTATTTGCTTCACAATAGTAAGCATGTAAGCAATGTTTGATAATGATGGTGACATCAGAAAGGATTAACTGAGGCATGATTTTGTGGACTGGAAATGTAAAGAAAACTAAATACACTTTTATTCTGATTACAGTGTCTAATAACTTTGTGTTTGGGGCCTTCGTTGTATTTGAAGTTATTATGCACTGTTCTCTTACTGTGACAAAAGGGAATCCAGGTGAAGGGCATCGTTAGTCCTCCATTAACCCTGATGCTAGCCATAATTATGCCTGCTAATGGATACCTCTCCACCAGCTATTAGTCAATATTCCTATATTAGGACCTGGGCCAGGAAACACCAATAAAAATCCACGTTTACTTTGGAACTTCACAGAAGATTCCTGCTAGACCACTAAGCCTGCATTCCAGTTAGCGTTGAAGATACATCTTCAGACCAATTTGGAGAAAAAAAAAGTTTGTGGAGAGCTTATGTCTACAGTAGTTCACTTTTCTTTTCAGCGACTGTTTTATGCCAAAGTGACCAAAAGATCACATGATCACAAGGATTTAAAAATTGAACAAAATGCAAAGCAAAATTTATTTCTTAGAAGTATTTTATGTTGGTCAAAATGGTGATGTTCATCTTCCATTTATTGAAAATTAATACGTGTCAGGAATTGTGCGAGGTGCTTTACATATATATTTTAATTAATGTTCTCCAGAATCTGATGATGTATTTAGTTTTCATTCTCTTTTACAGATGAAATAAACCAAGCCTGAGAGAAGGCAAATAAATTGGCTAAAGTTATAGTACCAGTTAGAAAACAAAGCAGATATCCAATACCCAGTCTATCCATAGTCAACATTTAGGGAAATTGCTGTATTCTCCTTTGTCAGATGTTGAAAAAGGTATTTCCTTTGATATGAAACACCCAGGGAGACATGGAAATAAAGTAAGCGGATATGTATGAAAGTTATTTTTTAAAAAAATCTAAATTGCTTGGCACGGAAACCATAGGTAGTGTATCTTGACCACATCCAAAGCAGCTTATCATTCAAAGGAGATATCCAATAAGTACTTGTGTATGAATTTGCCTTTGACTGTGAATTGAACAGAAGGTCAACGAGAAGCAAACAAGTGGGTTAAAGTAGTTTGGGGTGGGCTTTTTTAAAACTTAATTTTTTTATTTTATATGTTTAAGATGTATAATAAGATGTTTTGATATACTTGATATACATATACTAAGTAATTACTGTAGTCGAGTAAATTAACATGTCTACATCTCATATAATAATCTTCCTTTTTTCTTTCTTTTTTTGGTGATAAGAATACTGAAAAACTACTCTGTTGTTAAATTACCAGTACACAATACATTATTAAATATAGTCCTCATGTCATAACTAGATCTCTGGACTTATTCATCCCACATAACTACGACTTTGTACTCTTTGACCTACATCCTCTCATTTCTCCTGTGTTCCCCACCCCACTCTTGATAACTTGTGTCTGACTTATTTCACTTAGCCTGACGTCCTCTTGGTTTGTGCTTGGTAGTGTTGTCACAAATGGCAAAATCTCCTTCTTTTTAAAGACTGAATTATCTATATCTGTATAAAATTCAGCAAGATACTGAATTATGTTTATATATAAAATGCATTTAAATTATGCTTATATATATAAGCATAATTCAATATCTTTATTTCTTTATCCATTGACCAAACTTTAGTTGTTTCCATATCTTGGTTTTTATGAACTAGATGGGCTTCTGATTAATATAATGTTCAGATTGATGGAGTTGCCATATCCTGTGTGTGAATTTTCCAATTCCCCAAACTTAGTAAATAGAAAATACTTCCCACTTCGCCAACATCCTGAGCAGAATGCCCACTTACTTGATGATCATTCCTGCAGAATGCTAAGCTTCCTTCCCACCCTCCAGAGGTGTCAGAAAAGATGTTCTGCAGAAAGTCTTTCCAAATATTCCCAGTCAGGTATCACTTTACTTTTGTCTTCTTTGTGAACCAAAGCAGTATGTTAGTAGCTTTAGGAAGACAGTATATTTGACCTCACTGTTTTAAACATATTTTCTGGGTTTGAAGTCTGTTCAGAGTTTATAAATATCTACTCTGAAGACACTTGAGGGAAGGCAATGACTGTTTTAGTTTGGTTTAACTACAAATGCCCATAATCAATGATGTCTGGATCAGCTGATGGTTCTGCAGATTAAAACTGTTATTGAGGGTTTATAAGGTCAATGGGATTGATTAGAGCAAAGGAAAGGGCAAGAAAATGAGATTGATATGTACTGATCATTAGTATGACCTGGGCTGTTTCCTAGGCTCTTAGCATGCATTTCTGATTTATCTTCATACTGATAAGCTGTAATTTCATTTAATAGATGATGAAATTGAAGCTTGACCAAAGAAACAGAAACTTTTCTGAAAATAAACTGCTTCTACATACAGAATAAATAACATTGACTCAGGCCAACAGATCAAAGGCATAAAAATGAATAAATACATAACAAAGCATTGAACAAAATTCTGCTTTAGGTCTAACAATTTTCCATGATGACTCTAAACAGTCTTGGGAACATGAGGAAGAAACCCTGGCTGGTTGATAAGACAAATCCAAGGGGCTATAAATACGAAAATAGCCACACTCAAATGGCATTTTACTTTCTAATGAAAAGTATTCAGGTGATATGTTGCAGGGCTCTGTGCTGTTCTATGATCTAAACCACAACTTGAGTGATGGCATACCTCATATGCTTATAAAATTCACATGCAATGCAGACCCAGATAAAATGTTTTATATATTGCATGGTATATTTAAAATAGCATGCCAGGCTGGAAATATGGTAACAAGGAAGCTCCTGAAATACAACAGGTATTAATATAAAGATGTGAAGTTTACTTCAAAGGAATTAATTCTAAAAATTTCTAGTGGCATAAAGTTCCACCACAGTTGGGGCCTTTAGTTCACTTGAACTCACCATTGTTGAACTCCTGGAATAAAATTTCCATTTAGAAATGTCTAAGTAGGCATTAATCTGTGTATGTATGCTCTAAAAAGAGGAGAACCTAGCCCTGAAAAGGGTGAGTCCTACAGACTTGCTGCATTTGACTAATAAGATTAATTTGGAAGAAGGTTCTCTTGCTTTTGGAAATGATTAAGTAACCAGACAAAAATTGCACGTGAATGTTGGAAGATGTGCCTTGGTCGTGGAGGATAGGGGTAGGATTTTTGGTAAGGAAGGATCTTACTGGCAAGAACAGATGTGTTTTCTATCCCCTGAAGCTTATAAAATTTTGTATACCTTCTTTAATAATAGAAGGTGATAAAAATAAAATTAGGTCCATGAAACTCTAGAGATGACAAATTTGCTAAGTTTCTGGGTTTGAAGTCTGTTTATGGTTTATATACACCTACTCTGAAGAGACTTGAGAAAAGGTAATGTCTGCCTTTTTCCAATTTGGGAGGAATTTTGGAAGAGAAGCATGAAATAGAAATTATTTGTACCTTAGATGTTTTTTGGTAAATAGTTCATTAATTTATATTTCCATTTCTTGTTGTTATCACCATAGGCCTAAGTCTACATGTTGAATCAACAGGGTTAGAACAAAGATAATAATCTGAAAGTCAGAGAAATCCTGTGACTAGCTTCATCTGTTCTGTGATTAGACTTTGTTCCTATGTTAAGCTAATTGTGCCTGCTTTCTCTCCAACTTGGGGATGTGATAATCATTAAATGCATTCATCAAATATGACCAGCACATGGTAATACTACATTTCCTGGGTTCTTATAGTTAAATGTGTCCATATGACTAGTCTGGCCAAAAATTTGTGAGCAGAATTAATGTGTCACTTTCTAGTGTGAGCACTTAATTGGTAGCCTGAGAGCGCAGAATCTTCCCCAGAGCTCTCTTTCCTTCTGCCATGGTAACTGGCAATTTGGGAATGTGGCTGCTCTGTTATCCTAGTTATAGTGAGGAGTCATGGAAAAGAGCCTCTAGAGTTAAAAGTATGCCTTTCTGCTTATAGGTCACTAGCTTCTTATTACCAAAGAATACCCTACGATACATGGGAGCTCCTTAGGCCCTCATGAAAATAATAAGTGAGAGGGAGCATGCAAGCAAGAGAGTGTAGGAACCGGAGTGAACGAATGCTGGAACCAGCTGCTTACTCCTCTCTGGTGGGAGCAGGCTCTGTGCAGGCCCCACAGCAGCATCCAAGCCCCTAACCTCTAGGCACCCAGGTTCTTGTCCAGCGTTCATGAAGAATCAGGTCACGTGAAAGGACTGAAGGGAAGTGTATTCAGAGGATTTTACTGGGAAATGGAAGTGGCTCTCAGCGGGATCGGGAATTGGAAAGGGGATGGTGCAGGAAGAATTTGATCTTTCCTGGAAGCTGCACTGTCTGAAATTAGCTGCGTCTATCTGCAGTCTCTAATGCTGAGTTGCTTCTCTGCTCGCTGCTCAGCCCCTTGTGTTCCTGCTGCTCAGCTGCTTTTGTTGCTCTGCCAGCTGAGGTCTTTTTATGGGTACAGGATGGGGCATGGCAGGCCAAAAAGGCAACATCTGGATGGAAAAACGGGGTCAGCTGTTTTCACTTAGGGCCACAGTTCCAGACTTAAGGATGGGATTTAGCCAGGAGCCCAAGCAGTTCTGTGTCATTTTCCCCCTCTGAAGAGGCACATCTAACTGCCGTTAGAATATAGACGATCCAGTCTTAGCTACTTCCTGCTGAAAGGGGGCATTATTTGGGGGAAACGGCAGTCAGATTCTTCCTAGAGGTCTACCCAAGGGTCCCTAGCAAAAGGGGCTGGTTATCTGAGGCTCTGCCTGTCTGCCCATTTGGAGACTTGATGGCTTCTTGGCAAGAAATAGAAACAAGCTTTACAAGGTAAGTATGCATGAATCAAACATGTATTATACAAGGAAAGAATCTAGTGCCAAAGATTACAGAAAGAAGTGAAATATACTAACAACGTTGTATCCTGAGCTCTCTCACCCTGATAAAATAGATTAAACCTTGTATAGGAGCAGTTAAACTTTAAGAGGGAGTAGCTGTTCTTGTCAAATCTGTAGCAGTTAAGAGGTGAACCTTAGGAATTCTGGAGTTTGTGAGCTTGAATGGTGGCCATTAAAGCTTCTGCCTCTTTCTTGTGTCTGAAAGACCAATGTGGCCCCTTTCAAAAGGTCCTCTAATGTACTATCTGGTCCCATGGTCCGTTTCTGAGTATAAACTGGAGGTGGTGAAGTTTGTTGCCCATTCTGAAAGACAGGGAATTTGGCATCCCTCATTCCCTTCCTCCTTTCAGCGAAAACTCGGAATGTGAGGTGGAAAGAAAGCAGGCACACCTCCTTTTCTTTCCCATCCTTATCCCCAAGTCCCAGTGTCCTTGGCAGGTGCCACCCATGGATGCCAATGTGGCTTGCACCCATAAACCAGTGAAGGCCTAGAAAATAGGAATTATCCACACTCATCTATGCCTCTACCTCCCCTACTGTCGACAACCTTTGAGTTTCCTGGGTCTCATTTATGCCATGCAGCATGGCCTCCTTCCATGAAGTGGGGGTTTAATCAGCAAGAATTAGTCCTGCTCATTTACACTGTGCCTATTGCCTGGCTTTAGCTCCCTCAGATCTGGTTTTCCTTTCTAGGGCCTCAATCTAAAGCTCGAAATCGAGTTTGGGACAAAAAGGTGTTTCAGGTGTGCATAGATTAATTTAGATTAAGTCTCAAACAGGCCTTGCCAAATGTACAGCTAACAGCCAGCAGGGATCGATCCTCTGTTGTTTCCCTATCATAAGCAGAGTGTTGAGGTAGGAAGAGAACTCTTTTGCTTAGAGAAGAAGAAAGCAACTGGGCCAGGCGCGGTGGTGCATGCCTGTAATCCCAGAACTTTGAGAGGCCAAGGTGGGTGGATAACCTGAGGTCAGGAGTTCGAGACCAGCCTGACTAATATGGTGAAACTCTGTCTCTACTAAAAAAAAAAAAAAAAAAAAATTAGCTGAGCATGGTGGCACATGCTTGTAATCCCAGCTACTCAGGAGGCTGAGGCAGGAGAATCACTTGCATCCAGGAGGCAGAGGTTGCAGTGAGCCGAGACTGTGACACTGCACTCCAGCCTGGGCAACAAGAGCGAAACTCCATCTCAAAAAAACAAAGAAGAAAGCAACTTAAACTGCATAAGGGGGCAGGGAGCCTAGGAGAAGAGCATCTTGCTCTGTGGAAATGAGTTTCTTTAATCACCGTATCCTTCCCCTGGTTCAGACTGGCTAGACCTCTGTGAAGGGAAACAGAGCCAACATTCCTTTTATGCAAAGGTAAAAGAGAAGTGGCAAGGTCTTTGAAAAGAGACAGATCCGACAGTTTTGCATTTTAACTCACCCTTTTTTTGTATCCTGGATGAGCCCCCAGATGAGACGGGATTGTTCCCTTGACCTTGACCCCCTTCATGGGTGGGAACTAGAGTGGCTTGACTCAGCCCACTACTGGTCAGTCCTTGCAAGAGGGAGCACATGAGCAAGTGAGTGCAGGAACCAGAGTGAATGAGCACTAGAACTAGCCAGTCACTTCTGTCTGGTGGGAGCAGGCTCTGTATGGGGCCTGCAGCAGCATCCAGGCCCCTGCCATTTCAGCACATGTGCTCTTGTCCAGCATCCAGAAAGGATCAAGTCACATGAACAGATTGAAGGGTAGTGTATGTTGAGGATTTTGAGTGATGGAAGTGGCTCTCAGTGGGATGGGAAGTTGGAAAAGGGATAGTGTGGGAAGAAGGTGATATTTCCCAGAAGCTGCCTCATCTGAAGTTAGCTGCATCTATATGTATTCTCTGACACTCAGTTGCTTCTCTGCTCACTGCTCAGCCACTTGTATCCCCAGCCACTTGTATCCTTGCCACTCAGCTGCTTGTACCCCTGATACTCAGTCATTTTTGTTCTCTGCCAGCTGAAGTCTTTTCATGGGCATAGGATAGAGGTATGGCAGGCCAAAAAGGCAACATATAAGTGGCAAAATGGGGTCAGGTGTTTTTACTTTGGGCTGTGGTTCCAGGCTTAAGTTTGGGGTTTAGCCAAGAGCCCAGCCCTTCTGTATTGACAACAAATTACCAAAACTTAACATCTTAAAACAATACCTATTTATTATATGTTTGTGTAGGTCAGAAGTCCAGGTAAGCTCAGCTTGTCTCTACTCAGGCTATTGCAAGACTGAAATCCAGGTATTAGCTAGGCTGTGCTCCTTTCTGGAAGCCTGAAGAATGAATTCATTTCCAAGGTCATTCAAATGCGGACAGAATTCATATCTTTGTGATTGTAGGACTGAGGTTCCTGTTTTTTTGCAGGGTACTGGGCTCACTTCCTGCTCCTAGAGGCCACCTGAATTTCTTTTCCTTTTCATTTCACTCTCCATCTTTACTCCAGCCATAGCACTTTGAGTCCTTCTTGTGTTTCAAATATTTCTCACATCCTCTTCTGTGCTCTTCTGTCTTTTAACAGGCTGTGTAATTAGATCAGGCTCACCTTGATAATCTCCAAACTCTAAGGTCAACTGACTAAAGCCCTAAATTACAACTGCAAAGTTCCTCTACAACAGTCCCTAGATTAGTGCTTGATTGAATAGCCGGGGACTGGGGATCCTGGAGGGAGAGGGGCAATTCTTGGAATTCTGCCTACCACATAGTTGCACTCTCTATGTCCTAGAATTTCTTAAAACATAGTATGTTGTGATCATGCTAACTTATCTAAATTTCCATTCTGATAATTTTCCATCTCTTTGTCTTGACTTGACTGTGATCCATGTATCTAAAAAGCCACTCAATTAAAAGTCTTTTTTGTTAAATTAAATAACACTCCCATAACTCCTCTACCCCCCAAAATGTATACATGTTCACACAACAAACAGCACACACTCTTTTAGTCCTAAAGTAAGTCAAAATATTGAGTTTTACATTTCTGGTGATGAAAAATTTACCACAGAACCCATTAACCCAGAAGATCAACAATTACAAAATAAAACAATTGGGAAATGACCTGGCACTAATTTGAGATTATAACTAATTTGTAATGAGAAGCAAAGACATTAATGCTTGCAAACATTCTCTAGATCCATTGCCACACCCCAGTTTGAACTTCTCGAATCCTCTAAATCATGTTAGCTTCCCAAGGCTCCTTTGTTCTGAATCCTATATCAAAGTGCCAAAGCCATTCAATGGACTCTTCTTTGTAAGTGCTAACTGCTTTGTATTTTTACCAATTTATGTTATTCCACTGAAGCTGAAGTGCCAGCTTGTGAACAAAGCATTCCTTCTCTCCCTTGTCAGACTGCCAAGATGCTGATTCTATTGAATAAACTCCTTCCTGCTGGCCCGTGAGAAGGACCCCCTAGCGAGTCCCTTGCCCTCTAACTCTAGAGCTCAATGGGGAGGAAACAGGCTATTGGCAGCTGTTATCAAATGGAGACCTCACTTAAGTGTTAATATGCCTCCCCTCTGCTCTAACCAGACAGAACTTGACATCTTTCCTGCTCAAGCTGTATTCAATTTCATCTCAGGATCTTTCTTTAGGCTCATTCTCATTCTTTCCTTCTACTTATTTAGAAGGTTATTACTTATTTAATTTCTTTAATAGATATAGGCCTAGTCAGAGTATTTATTAATCCTTGTGAGAATTCTGGTAGTTTGTACTTCCTAAAAATTGGTGTGTTTCATCTATTGTCAAATTTGGGGGCATTTGTTGTCCATAGTTATTCATATTATTATCATTTTATTTCATTATCTTTTATTATTTTAATGTCCATGGAATCAGGAGTGTTGACCCCTCTTTTATTTCTGATGTTGATAATTGATGTCTTCTATTTCTTTTCTTGGTTCTCCCAAAAATAAAACTCTAAGCCCCCTAGCTGACTGATTGGAACCTGCTGTTGGCCAAGAGAATTGCAAAGAAACCTGAAAAAGTACTTCAGGCAATGATGGGAGGGGAGGATCACATGTTGCCTCATTATACTCTCTGCCCTTTGGAATTCAGGCACAATTAACCAGCATTAACATTAAAATAGCAATCCTAAAACTGACCAAACAAACTCTTTTTAGCAATAAGATACCAAATTCCAACTACACTGTACTATAGCATCATATGACAGATACCAGGCACTGAGATACTAGGCACTGAAAGAAACCAAAGTATTTTGCCCCTTAATATATTTCTTTGACATATTTTGAAATGGCCCTGCACAGCTATCTTTTTTTTTCTTTTTCTTTTTTTCTTTTTTTTTTTTTGAGACGGAGTCTCACTCTGTAACTCAGGCTGGAGTGTAGTGGTGTGATCTCGGCTCACTGCAACTTCCGACTCCTGGGTCCCAGTTCAAGTAATTCTCCTGCCTCAGCCTCCGGAGTAGCTGGGATTATAGGCATACACCACCATGCCCAGATAATTTTTGTATTTTTAGTAGAAATGGGGTTTCACCATGTTGGCCAGGCTGGTCTTGAACTCATGACTTCATGATTCGCCTGCCTCAGCGTCCCAAAGTGCTGGAATTACAGGCATGAGCCACCGCACCCTGCCACAGCCATCTCTTGTGGGGAAAATTTACATTCTGTAGAGAATCCTTTTCCCTTTCCAGGTCTTTTTCTCATCCAGGAGAGTTTTAGCTAAGAGTCCGAAATGTTTTAAGGTCTGATAAGAGACATTTACCATCTATTCTCTCTGAAGACTGCTACCTGGAAGCTCCATCTACATAACAAGAATGTTGGCTTCCATAACTCCCTTATCTTAACCCCAAGCATTTCTTTCTGCTTACTTCAACGCTTTAGATAATAACAATTCTTTAAATTTATTGCTAATCAGTAAATCTTTAAATCCACCTATGACCTCTAATCCCCCTGCCATGACCTGGATTCAAGTTTTCCCACCTTTCTAAATCAAACGAATGTATACTTTATATGTATTGATTTATGTCTCCCTGTAACTTTTGACCCCTAAAATGTATAAAATCAAGCTGTAGCCAAACCACCTTGGACACATGTCCTCAGGACACTCTGGGGCTATGTTATGGGTCATGTTCATTGCATTTGGCTCAGAAGACATCTTTTCAAATATTTTACAGAGTTTGGCTTTTTTAGTCAACATTAATGCTAAGTAAAAAGAAATCTGAACTTAAGTGAAAAGAGATTGTATTAAAACGACTATTTCAACAGGAAGAACTCTTGAAACTGAAGATCTACAAGCATCTCAAAATCAAACAGAAAAAGAAAAGCTTTCCTTTTTTAGAGAGGGGTTCAACTAGTAGAACTACCAGGAACTTTTGAGGGGAAATTGAATGCGATGGAGCAGACAGTGTAATTGTGGTGGTCTAACAACTTTTGATTTTCACTGTGGTCACCTTACTCTCAGGATAGACTACTAACAGGGATGTTCTGCATTTTAGAGCTTTCTCAGATTTGGAGTCAAGCCAAAGTTCAAGGTCCTATTGAAAGGAGAGATGCCTGACCAGTATGAGCCAATTCAGAGGGTAAATTAAGGACAGCTGTGAGCATTTGGTCAATTGCATAGACTTGTAGAGGTTTATCAGCTTTCTTGATCTTTTGAAATAACAAGCTTTTGATCCAGTGATTCTTTCTATTGCTTTTCTATTTTCAATACCACTGATTTCTGCTCTAATTTTTATTATTTGTTTTCTTCTGCTTGCTTTAGGCTTAAATTGCTCTGTCTCTGTTTCATAAGGTGGAAGTTTAGATAATTAATTTTAGATCCTTCCTCTTTTCTAATGTATGAATTTAATGCTATATGTTTCCATCTGAGTATTGCTTTTGCTGCATCCCTCAAATTTTGATTAGATGCATGTTAATTTATATTTAGTCAAAAATATATTTTGAAAAAAAAATTGAGGCTGCTTCTTTGAACCATGTGCTACTTAGAAAGTACATGCTTCATCTCCAAATATTGATGATATTCCAGTTATTTCCAGTTGTTAGTTTCTAGTTTTCTAGTGTAATGCCGTTGTAGTCTAAGAGCATACTGTTAAAAGAAAAACTTCAGCCAAATTAAATTAAAGAGTTGAATTGAACAATGAATGATTTGTTAATTGGGCAGCCTCTTAAGCCAGATTAGGCTCAGAGACTCCAGCACAGCCAAGTGGTGGGAGAAAATTTATGGATAGAAAAAGGAAAGTGAGATACAGAAAATGGAAGTGAGGTACAGAAATGGCTGGATGGGTTATGAATCAACATTTGCCTTATTTGAACATGATTTGTACAGTTGGCTGTATTTGATTGGCCAAAACTTGGTGATTGGCACAGTGTAGGCTAATGTCTGTTTACATCTTCACCTGTTATACTTCACAACTTAGGGAGAAAAATTTAGGCTCAATATAAAATATCTAAGGAGGCAGCTTTAAGCTAAACTTGACTTAACAATACTTTAAATTATTTCTTCCTTCCTTTCTTCCTTCCTTCCTTAATATGGTGTGTTTTATAAACTATAACATCATCTTTCTTCATGAATTACCCACATGAGCTTGAAAGGAATATGGGTTCTGGCGTAGTTGAATAGAATATTCTCTAAATATCAATTAGATCAAGCAGATTGATAGTGATGCTCAGGTCAACTATATCCTTACTGATTATCTGCCTGCTTCAAGCATGAAATACTGATAGAAGTGTGTTAAAGTCTTCAACTATAACAGTGGATTTGTCTGTTTCTCCTTGCAGTGCTGTTTGCATTTGTCTCATAAATTTTGATGCTCTGTTAGGTATATACATGTTTAGTTTTGCTATGTCTTCTTGGAAAAGTGACAATTCATTGCCTCTGATTATTTTTCTTGTTCTGAAATCTTCTTTCTCTGAAGTTGTTATAGCTATTCAAGTTTTCTTTTGAAAATTGTTAGCATGGTATATCTTTTTTCTCCCTTTACTTTTTACTTGAATACTTTTTAAGTTGGGTTTCTTATAGAAAACATGCATGTGGGTCTGACTGTTGTTTTTTAAATATATTTTTATAATCTCTGTAGGGGTTAGACCATCCTCATTTTGTTTGGGCAAGTAATATCTCCCAGAAGATGCCCATGCTCTTATTTCCAGGACCTGTGAGTGTGTTACATTTCATGACAAAGGGAACTTTGCAGGTATAACTAAAGTCGAGATGAAAAGATTATTCTGGAGTTTCTATGTGGGCCCAGTCTAAATCACATGAGATCTTAACAGTGAAAAAGGAGGGCAGAAGGGCAGGTTAAAGTGATGTCATATGAGAAGGACTCAATCTACTAGTTCTCGTTTTAAATGTGTAAGAAGGGGCCCATAAACCAAAGAATATGGGTGACTTCTAGAAAGGAGAAAAGGCAAAGAAGTAAATCCTACCTTCAAGAGTCTATAGTGGGGTGAGGGAATGGGGGAGGGATAGAATTAGGAGAAATACCTAATGTAAATGACGAGTTAATGGGTGCAACAAACCGACACAGCACATGTATACATATGTAACAAATCTGCACATTGTGCACATGTGCCCTAGAATTTAAAGTATTAAAAAAAAAAGTCTATAGAAAGAATGCAGTCCTGCAGACACCTTAATTTTAGCCCAGTGTGAGTCCCAGACTTTGGATCTATAGAACTGTAAGACAATAAAATTACCCTTCTAACTTTGTGATAGTTTGCTTAATCCTCTAACTTCATGGTAATTTGTTATTCCAGCAATAGAAGATGCATACACTTATATTTCAGGATAAGACCTAGCCAAAATCTTTCTAGTATACAAAGCGCTTATACATTAATACCTACCATGGTTTCAATTTCTTTGGTCTAATACTGTTCTTAGCATCTTCAACTGTTCTTTGTTTTATGCATATTAATTCGCATATATGAGGCAGAGTTAATGTGCATTTGTGTTTTTATTCATCAACCCCACCCCCAAGTAAATTAAATTTTTCCTAAATGTTTTCCAGATTTTATGTGCTACCTAGATGAGTGCTACAGATAGAGAAGAATAAGGCCAGTTCGCTGAGGAGAAAAGCTCTGTGCGGTTGTTAGAAAATCACAAGTTCTACCTCCATGTTATTTAATATAACACCTAACAACACCTCATTTCCTTATCTGTAAAACAGGATTGAAAATATCTGCTTCGGGGGATGTTAGTGAGGATGAAATGCAGGAACATGTACATTGTTTGTCACTGAGTAGATGTTTAGATTTTAGATATTAAAATAGTACTTGATTTTCTTAATGGAAACAGAATAAACAAGATAATTGTAAGCATGACTTCTGTTGCTCTATTTTAAAAATAGCAGTGTGAGACAAGGAGAAAGTTTATAACTAGCATTTTTTGAGTTATTACATACAAACATTGTAGTTGCTGAGGGTCAACAGTACTGTTCATTGCATGATCTAGTGCTCAATCCTATTATACATGAGTAAATATAACAATTGTGCATACATTGCTCATTTCCATGGTCTAACAGACAACAGTTAAATTGTTTTTCCTTCATTTAGCTCATACTCATTTGCTAATTGGACATGCATTACATTGTTTCAAAATTCAATCTTGTTGACAAGAGCAGGCACTTCATATGATAATTTTCATTTTAATGTATTTTTAGACTACTGGGCATGTGACATTTTTCTAAAGTGGATTTTATTTTCACAGTACACAGAAAAATAAGTTTACCAATTTAAGTATTGTGGGCTTTAGAAAATAAATTAACTATATATAATTGATATAATTGCTATTTGACTATAATAAGAACAGATGCATAAAGGAGGTGGAGAAGAGAGTTTAAAAATCACCAGTGTATCTTCAAATCAAATAATTCCCTTAATATACTTGAACATATATTTATACATATTTTAACATACTTTAAAGAAATGTATAATATATTATGCATATACATATGATGTGTTTTATATATATAAAATTCCCTTTGTATATGCATGTGTGTATATTTGGATATCTTATACATACATATTTATATGTATATATTATATACATGTCATATATATTTAGACATATATGCTATACATGCATATGCAAACACGCATACATACTCACTTTGTTTTGCATTTCTTCAATGCTGTATACTTGAAGGAAACTGGTTACATTGATCTGACACTCCAGTTTGTCTTCTGGTAGGCCATGTTAGGAAGCAATTCTTCATGGGTCTATCATATTTCTGCATATATTGTGAACAAACCACTGGCACCCTTTGTTTAAGGCTGTCTTTTCAAGGGTGTTTATAATGTAAACAATCCTAGAAGATACAAATTGTGCCTTTCTCTAGAACAAAGAACAGGTTTATTTACTATCCAGTTTAATAAATTTAGTGTTTTCCTCCTTGGCAAATTTTGTGCAGGTTGGCTTGCAACTCAACACAAAATATTTACATTTCCAAAACAGGGGGTTTCTCTCCTGTAACAACGCCTTGCATGTGTATATGTAGTCATCCCCTGCCCCTCTTCATGTTGCCTTATGGGAACTGGGGCTTGGGGAACTTGAGTAAAAGTGATGATATTCTGGCTACTGTACTGCTATTGCCGCGAGTAATAAACTGTCCTTTGACTCTGACTGAAGAGTCTCATGTTTTCTGCCAGCATCCATAAAAGCATGACAGGCTAACTTGTTAGCTTGCAAGTAGAATAAAGTCTCAGACCTACCATGGTTCTTGATAGAATGAAATATCTACAAAATAAGTTCCCTGTGTTAGCAAAATAAATCAATTATGTGTATGCTCATTTTCAAGGAGAATTCTGTAAACATGATTTTCACACCTATGCAGAAGTGGCTTAGTGTAATGGGACTAGTGTTAGGATTATGGTGAGGACACAGGATCTTATTGCAACCTGTCCTCTATCTCAGTTTGTGAACTGAACAGTATGAGTGTTGCTCAATGTGTTTCTCATGTAAACTCATTTTATGCTCACAAATACAAAATGCAGTTGATTTAACATTTTATGCTTTTTTACAAATTCATATTTCTTTTTTCTTTTTTTTTTTTTTGAGACAGAGTCTTGATCTGTTGCCCAGGCTGGAGTGCAATGGCGCGATCTCCACTCACTGCAACCTCCACCTCCCGGGTTCAAGCAATTCTCTTGCCTCAGCCTCCTGAGTAGTTGGAATTACAGGTGTGTGCCACCACGCCTGGCTAATTTTTTTAATTTTTAATAGAGACGGGGTTTTGCCATGTTGGTCAGGCTGGTCTCGAACTCCTGACCTCATGATATGACTGCCTCGGCCTCCCAAAGTGCTGGGATTACAGGCGTGAACCACTGTGCCCAGCTGAACATTTCTTTTTATCTGTCCTGTTTGATATATGTTTTCTTAACACAGGAGGTGTGGAGGATATAGGATGGTGGGGAGGACCACATACAATAATTGGTTCATGATTATAAGTATAGTTCAGATCTTATTAGAAACTTTTCAGTGTTCATGCGTAATCTCATCTGTCATAGACTCCAATAATTTGTTAGAGAAAAATATAACATATTTAAGGCAAATGAGGAGCAAGGGTCATATTGACTTATATGCATCTTATGATAAGATACCTATGAGTCATGAGATATCGAATATAATACAGTTCATTTTTAAGGTTAGGCGACAAAGCAAAATAATTATGAAACAACACAATTAGAGAAGCATTTTTTTATTTATTATTTTTATCTAGGCCAAAGGCTTGCATTGCATTTTACATTTACAAAAGGCTTTTAGATGTTCTATGTTTTGATAGTGGTGTTGGTTACACTGGTGTCTATATGTTCAGAGCTATTGAGCTGTGCATTTAAATTATGTACATTTTATTATATGTAAACTATTCCTCATAAAATAAAGGACCTTTGATAAGACAGCACATTTCGAAAGGTCTTTATATTATCTATGACCTCAACTTCCGAGGGAGTTTTAGCTTTTAATGGGAGTACACAAGTTCCAGGGATACTATACAATCACCCCTCAGAAAAGATGGTGATATAAGATTTAATGTAGGCCAGGCACAGTGGCTCATGCCTGTAATCCCAGAATTTTGAGAGGCCAAGGCGGGTGGATCACCTGAGGCCAGGTGGATCAGCCTGGCCAACATGGTGAAACCCTGTCTCTACTAAAAATACAAAAATTAGCTGAGCGTGGTGGTGGGTGCTTGTAATCCCAGTTACTCATGAGGCTGAGGCAGGAGAAACCTTGAACCCGGGAGGCGGAGGCTGCAGTGAGAGGAGATCCCGCCATTGCACTCCAGCCTTGGCAACAAGGGTGAAACTCCATCTCAAACTAAACAACAACGACAAGATTTAATGTAAATAAGTTTGTAAACATGTTTCTCAGACTTTTTTTCTGAAAATAAGTTTTATTTGGGAGAAAAAGGAGAGAATGTGAAAGGACTAAGATTATGAATGTAACTGATAATTAAAGAGAGGCAGGTCTTCAAGAGAAACTGAAGCCCTGGGTAATTTGGCATTTTCCCCCCTATGAAGCCTTGATTTAATCTTTCATTTTACATGTTGTTCCTAGTGATTAAAACACAGGAATTAGACACCAAACCTTCTTCCTCTGCTCAGTGCCTCATTAATAAAAAAAGTTTCCTCTTCTGTTGATCTCTAAGTCTTTTCGAGCAGGATTAAAAAAATGCAGTTTATTGCCTTCCTGTTGCTAACTACATAAACAAGCTTAGAGAGCTGTGATAGACTACCTTGTATTTATTCAATTTTCAGGATGATTCAAGATTGAGTCACCATGAAAAATATTATCTATTAAAATATTGTCTGGACTTACTGGATCAATAATGGAATATGTGAAGAATTAACTGAACATTATCAGGGATAGAATTACATATTATTTATCATCATCATCATCCTCATCCTTATCAGCTGTACGTTTTTCCTAGCATGATGCCTTTGCATAATGTAGAAAATTTTAAAAGTGATTTCCTTTCTTTGGATCTTCCACAAGCACAATGGAAATTATAGAATGTGACCTTCTGATAGTATTCTATTTATTAATTTGAGTGTCTGCACTGTTCTATTCAGTTCAGGTTGATATAGGGCACATCAAATTCATGTCCTGTTCCTATTTAAGGCTGACCATGTGGACACCACAGGACCATATAGTATACTCCAGGGTGGTGGTATAATACAATTTCACAAAAATAACTGAATTCAGTGAGGTATTTTTTCAAAATGACCAGAGAAAATATGAAGAGAAATCAAGGGCAGTGCTCAAAATGTATGAAAGTTTAGTAGGGTGAGGGTTAGCTGTAAGCAGAAGGTGAGACCTGGGTTCTTTAGGGAAGTGTTCATCAACAGCTCTAGACGTGCATCTCAAAGTCAAGTGAGAAGAAATGGACAGAAGAGGGACTGTGAAACATTGATAAATGCCCCTTGTCATTTAGCATTGTGGAATTTGGCTCCATAAAGATATGAAGCCAGGTATCAAAGAGGAAACAGATTTTGCTGGAGACGTGACATCTCCATACAGTAAGCGGTTAGAGCAGTAGGTCTTGACTTTTAGTGTAGACTGTCCTCTCCCAGGTGCTTATTTTAAGTACCAGTTCCCAGATCCCATTGGAGAATGTTTCTGATGCAGTAGTTCCAGAATGGGGCAGAATCTTCATGTTTCAAATGCCAAAGTTAAGCTCCAAATATTATGATTATTATTCTAAATCGTATTCACTTATTGCACACTTTCAAAATGTAAGAGATTAACATCTAAATCTGATGCTGTGTGGCTATAAGCATTGGTGACCATGATGGATATAATAAAAATAGTTCATTATTGGTCTCAAAATATGCAAGGTAAAACCTGGCCTTTGATATTTATTAGTCATGCAAATGCTCTCAGTGTCAGCTTTGACATCTTTAAAATGGGGGGAATAGTAGGGTTTAACTTATGGAATTATTTTGAGGGTTAACACCTATTACTATCATGTAAAATGGTAAAACATTTTCTGAGTTTCTTGATGAAGAAAAAAGCATTTAACTTTTTCTCATATTATTTCTTCCTATCACTAAAATTGAAATAGAATATTTGCCTTTTATAACCACCACTAGAGAATGTCTAGGAATTCAGTGGTCTAGGGCATATTGTAAAATTCTCCCCAATGGAAGAAAAAGATGAATTCTACCTTTAAAATGTCCAGTGGTTAATTCTGGATTCTGGAGGCAGCATATATCATGGTTATGTATTTTTTCACTGAATATTTCAAAGGTTAACTAAAAAAGCTGTTGTTTTAAAATGTGAGCTAGAGCAACAGAAGGAAGGTTCTCCAGGTGATCCTGACTAAAAATACTTAGTCCATGGACTCCGGCGGCCCTGATGGAGATGATCTGTAATGACCGTTACACACTGGATAGAAGGCTCAAGATTCCTCTGTGGTTTTTAAGCAAGGCAAATGCCTCCTAAGTAAACTATTATGTGAGATAACTTGATAACTTGATACTGACTTGTGGAGTTAGAGAGTTTGCCATTTTGGACCCACAATGACTTTTTATATGAAACGTCTATTCACAAATTAAGTGCTATCTTATTAGAGTAACCATACTTCTCCTTTTCCACATCACATTTAAGATTCCACATAACATTCAGAGAAGGTGATGGACTAGTGTTCTTGGAAGCCCTAGGTGTCCTTAAAGAGGGAAAAAGAGTAGTGGCTAGGAGCCTGCTTTCTGGAGATAATTATTTGCATTCAAATCTTCAACCTTATAAGCTATTACTTAACTCTAAGTCAGCCTTATAAGCTAATCTTATAAACTGTACTCTGAGAAACTGGTTTCACCTCTCTGTGCCTTGTTTTCCTCACCTACAAAAGAATATGACTATGATGCTATACTTGGGGTTGCTGTGGGGTTTAAATAAATTGACGTATGAAAAGTTGTTAGAACTGTGCTGGGCATATCATTACATTTTACAATTTTAAAATATCATCATCATAAGTTAGTCTTCTGGAAAATTGAAATTGTTTATTCAATTTTAATTTTCAGGGCCTAGCTATAGTGCTAACTGCAAAATAAATGAACAATCTCCACTGTTTTGGAGGATGCCATCTTCTAGATGGCACAATAGCTCTGGTTTGACAACTTATAGAATAGCCCAAATACATAGGTTAAGAAGAAAGAAATGGAATTGAGGGCCAAGGAAAAGATATCTCTCTACCATATCTACTGACAAACTCTTATTTTTTTCTCAGTCCCTATGCATCTGTAGTAGATGTTTTATTAACCCAAGGGAGGAATGTTTCGACCCCTAGACTTAATTATACCACTCAACACAAAAGCGGAACCTGTCATAAGACTGACTAATCAAGGTTTCTCATGACATACAGGGAAGCAGGTAAAAAACAGGTACATGGGGAACCAAGGTTTATAACACATATCAGAAAAGAATACTTCCTTTGAAATCTTTTGTTCAGTTTTAGAAACAATCAACTATTGCAGTTTTTATGGGCAGAGCATTATTGTCTTGAAAACCAAGTTTTGTTGAACTCAAAGAGCAAATAAGGACTAGCTGAAGCGATATGAAGGGCAAAAAAATAGCAGTGTTGTTGATATAATAAACAATTTATAAAGAGTTTATATATTTGCCAAAACTGATTCAACTCTATGCTTAAGATATGTGCATTTTACAGAAGGAAAATTATGCCTCTGTGTGTGTTACAATATAATTACAACATAAATTTCAATATATTGCTTTATTTATCATAGGCACACATAAATATATACATTTATATTTGTTTTATTTATTATCTTAATACACATATACAAAATTTGTATTCATATTACATATACATGTAAATTTATATGCAAGTATATACATATACAAGCAAAAGTGGAAAGAAAAGGAGAAACAAATCTACAATCATCATATTTAAACACTTTATTATACATTTCAATATAGTGACCAAGTTTAATGCAATATTAGCAAATAAGATCCATTCATATATAAATGGGATAGAACATCATGACCAAGTGAGATTATTTCAGGTGTGTAAGAATGGTTTGCATTCAAAAACCAACTAAAATTATCATTAAATTATCAATAAAGTTGATATTAACAAGTATTCCCAGTAAATGCCTAGGCCTAATCAGCACACAGAAAATTCAAATTATCTGAAGGGAAAATGGAATCAATTGGCATTTGTGGGGTAAAGATCATATACGGTAAAGCTGACCACTTTAAAGTGTATAATTCAGTGGCATTTAATACGTTAATTATGTTGTGCAGTTCCAAAAGATTTTCATCACTCCAAAGGGAAGCCCTGTCTCCATTAAGCAGCGGCTACTCATCCTCCCTTTTCCTAGCTCCTAGCAACCATTAATCTGTTTTCTGTCCCTATGGATTTATCTATTACAGATATTCAAGACAGCTGACATAATAAATATGTTATCTTTTGTATCTGTCTTCGTTCACTTCGCATAATATTTTTAAGGTTCATCCAGATTATAGCATGCATCCGTATTTTATTCTTTTTTATGGTTGAATAATATTCCATTGTATGGTTTATTAAATTTTGTTTCTTTGTTTATCTATTGTCAACTTTTGGCTACTGTGAATGGTGTTGCTATAAATATTCATATACAAGTATTTGTTTGTTTGAATACATGTTTTCAGTTCTTTTGAGTTTATATGCCTAAGAATGTAATGACTGGGCCATATGGTAAATATTAACTTTACTTTTTAAGAAACTGCCAAACTTTTTTCTAAAGTGGCTACAATATATTACATCTCTCCCAGCCAAGTATGAAGGTTCCAGTTTTTCTATAATATCACCAACACATATATTCACCACCTTTTTTCATGATAACCATTCTAGTAGCTCTGAGCTACTATCCCATTGTGGTTTTTATTTGCATTTCTGTAATGACTAGTGATGCTCGGCATCATTGCATATACTAAGAGGTGGCTAGTTACATATCCTCTGTGAAAAAATGTTCCATGGATGCTCTGAGGCTTCTGGCAGGCCAGGCTCTGGAGGAAACGTGCTGCACTTGCACTCTCTCAGAGTGAATAGCACCGTGAGACAGGCCAGGCTCATGGCTCAGAAGACAAATCACACACGCACTCAAGGGGACAAAAACAAACCCCACACAAAGGGTTTCTCCTCCTTCTCCTAAGTGGTATTTATTTTCAACACCTGCTTGATGCAGTTTTTAATCCTCTACCTATTGAGCTGTTGTGACTTATTGGTCATTATTTGATTTTTGTATGAAAAAAAGCTTGGTTATAGAAATCAGCATACTATTTTTTGTTTTATTCTGGAGAGAGATATTCTGGTGACTGAAAATATGGTCAGGTGTCAGATATAAATGTGCAATTGCCTTCTTGCTATACTGTTGGTCTCAGTAGATTCACTTTATAGCCGCTGGCAATATCAAAGGTTCCTTTTTCGTTTGTTTAAGCGCTAATTTCTATCAAGGTGTCATGGATTTTTAAAATTAGTATTTCATTACAAATGTCTTAATGTTGGTTAACTAATTTTTGCCAGGACCATTATTGATCAAGCTAATAAATTGAACAGCCATTTGGGAAAAAGAAAAAAAAATGTTCACTCAAGAACTTTGTCAATTTATAAACTGAATCGTCTGCCTTTTAGTTAAGTTGTAAGTGCAGTGCTAGTCTTATAGAATGACTTAGAGAGTGTTCCCTCCTCTTCTATTTTTTGGAAGAGTTTGAGAAGGATTAGTGTTAATTCCTCTTTAAATATTGAGTAGAATTCACTAGTGAAACCATTTAATCCCAGGCCTTGTGGGGAGGTTTTTAATGACTATTTTATTTTCTCTGTTTGTTATAACTTTGTTTCTATTTATTTCTGAGTCAGTTCTGGTAGTTTGTGTGTTTCTTGAAATTTGTCAGTTTTGTCTAGTGTACCTAATTTGTTGGCATACAATTGTTCATAGCCTTCTCTTAATAATTCTTTTAAAAATATGGTAAGTAATACAGTAATTTATAATACTCTATATATCTCCACCTTCATTTCTGATTTTAGTAATATGAGTCTTCTTTTTTCTAAATCAGTCCAATATAAAAGTTTGTAAATTTCATTAATCCTTTCAGAAATCAACTCTTGATTTCATACATTTTCTCTATTGTTTTTCACTTCTCTATTTTACCTGACTTACCTGTTTTTGACTTAACGTCTATTTTGTCTGACAATAGTATAGTCATTTATTCCAGGTTACGTATGTAGATCACTATCTTTCATCCAATCTGGGAAGTGTTCAGCCACTATTTCTTTAAATCTTCTTTCTGTCCTTTTCTCTCTATCCTCTCCTTCTGAAATTCCCATTATATGTATGTAAGTATGTTTGATGTCATCCCATAAGTCTCTTAGGCTCTATTCATTTTTTTCAATCTTTTTTCTTTTATTTTGTTAAAGATAATAAGGCAGAATTTATTCAAGGGATACTATGGAGATAAGGATAGGGACCAATGCAATGGGGTCTTGCAGTGGGGGAGAAATATTAGACTCAACTCCCAGTCTTTTTTCATTCTGCTCCTCAGACAGTGTAGTTTTAATTGTCCCATCTTCAGGTTCACAGTATATTTCTCCTATTTATTCAAATCTGGTATTGAAACTTTCAGTGAATTTTTAATTTCAGTCAATATATTCTTTTCATCACCAGAATTTCTATTTGGTTCCCTTTTTTAACTTTTATCTATTTGGTTCCCTTTTTTAACTTTTATCTATTTATGCTAGGAAACTAGCATACTCTTAGTTTCCTTTATCTTTTCATCTTTTTTTTTTTAACTCTTGGAGCCTCTTTAAGAGAGTTAATATAAGGTCTTTGCCTAGTAAATCCAATGTCTGTTGTTTCTCAAGTAAAGTCTCTGTTAATTAATTTTGTTCTTATTAATAGGCCATGCATTAGTGTTTCTTTATATCCTTCATTTTAAAAGTTAGACATTAGAAATATTATAACATGGCCAGTTTTATATGAGATTCTTTCCCTCTTCAGCGTTTAACTGAAGGAAAGCGAGTTAAAATAGAAAGTTTAAATAAGAGCCACAGTTTCATCATATAATATCCAAGATATTCAGGTTTCAGTTGATGATCAATCATTATATCAAGAATCAGAAAAATATATTAATAAAACTATATGAGAAAACACCAATAGATGTCAATACTGAGATGACAGAGAGGTTAAAATAATTTATAATGATTTTAAATGGGCCATCATAAAAATGCTTCTATAAGCAACTATGAAAACATTAGAAAGAAGTAAAAATAGGAAGCTTTAGAAAAGAAATACAAAGTCTCAGCAAAAAAAAGATATAAAAAGAACCAATACAAATTTTAGATCTGAAAATTCCAATAACTGAAATAGAAATTCAAACTCAAAAGTGGAATGGGTGGGACAGAGAAAAAAATCAGTGAAAATGAAGACAGAACAAAAAGAAAATAATACCCAATCGAACAACAGAGAAATAATAGATTAAAGAAGTAAACTCAAGGACCCGTGGGACTATAAAAAGCGATCTAACATTTGTGTTTTTGGAGTATTGGAATGAAATGAGAAAGAGTGTGGGACTAAAAAATATCCAAAAAGACATGGCTGAAAACTTTATAAATTTGGTAAAAGAAAGAAATCTATAGATTCAAGAAGCTAAACAAACAAAAAAAGGATAAATTCAAATAAAGCCATGTCAAGACACATTATATTAAAATTTATGAAAACCAAAGACAGAAAAATCTTGAAAACAATAATAGAAACACTTAATCTATTAACAAAAAGTAATTCAAATGACAGTAGATTTCTCACCAACAACCACAGAGGCAGGGAGGCAGTGACACAATATTTTTCAAGTTCTGAGAGAAAAGAACTGCCAGTCCAGAATCCTATATTCAGAGAAAATATCTTTCAGAAATAAAAGGAAAATCAGATAGAGAGAAACTAAGAAAATTTGTCACCAGTACACCTACTCTAAAAGAATTGCTAACAAAATTTCTCTAAACACAAAAGAAAAGGTAAAATAAGACATACTGGAACATCAGGGAGGAAAAATAAACACAGAAGACAAAAATATAGGTCAATACAATGGAATTTCTTCCTCCTTTTGAGTTTCTTAGATTATGTTTGAATGTGGAAGCAAACATAATAACATTGACTTGGTTGTAATTCATGTAGATGATCATTAAGACAATTATATCATAAATATGAAGGATAAGAAAAAGGAATCTATGAGTAAATAAAATCTCCACACTTCAACTGAGTTGATAAAAAAATGACACCAGTAGATGGTGATAAGTTATTCATATGTTGTATAATACTTGGAGTATCTATCTATCTATCTTTCTATCTATCACCTATTTATCTATGTAGATATACTCAAAAACACTATCAATAGTGCCTATGAAAATCAGAATGGAATTCTAAAATATATTCAATTAACTGACAGTAAGGCAAGAAAAAGTAAGCAGAAAACTGTGTAACAAAGAGAACAAAAAGAAAACAAAAACTAAAATGGCCTACTTAATTACTAACATATTAATACTTACTTTAAATGCAAATGGGTTAATTCACCAATTAAAAGGCAGACTGGAGGTTTAAGAAAATTACCAAGATATATATTGTGTATGTGAAATTGCAACAAATATAGTGATATTGACAGGTTAAAAGTAAAAGGATGCAGAAAGGCATGTCATGCAAACGTTAGTCAAAAGAAAGCAGAAGTTACTACTTTTAATACCAGATGAAGCAGAACTCATAGCAAAAAATATTTTCAGAGACAGAGGTGGGCATTATATAATGACTAAATGTTCAATCCACCCAAAAGATATAATATTTCTAACTGTGGATGTACTAAAGAGCTGAACTGCAAGATATGTGAAGTAAAAATGTCTAGAACTGAAAGGAGAAAAAAGACAAATATACAGTTATAGTTGGAGAATTCAAAACATCACTCTGTATGATTGATAAATACAGCTACACAGAAAATCAGCAAGAATACAGAAGAACTCAACAGCACTATCAACCAACAGAATCTAATTGACATTTATAGGACACTGTACCCAGCAACAGCAGAAAACACATTCTTCTCAAGTACCCATGGAACACATAACAAGATAAACCATATTATGGGTCATAAAACAAACTGTAATATATTTAAAAGAATTGATATCATATAGAGTGTATTCTTTGACCACAATGAAATTGAATTTGAAATTAATACCATTAAGATAAAAGAATCTTCAAACACATGGAAACTAAAAGGCACACATTTAATTGCTCCATAGTTCTAAAATGAAATATCAAATAACGTTTAAAAACACATTAAAGTGTAAATGAAAATGAAAGTTTGACATCAAAATTTGCATGACACAGTAAAAGCAGTGCTGTGAGAGAAATTTATAGCACTAAACATATATATCAGGTGAGAGAAAAAGTGAAGTAACCTGATTAAATATAGGCAATAGACATTTCTTTATTAATCAGGTTGGATATCATAATCTGATTTTTAAAATGACCTGAAAAGTGCTGCAATGTAAGCCATGTTCAAATTTCTAAAAAATAATAATCTGAATAGACATTCCTCAAAAGAAGACATATGAATAGCCAAAATGTATGTGAAAAAAATCACTAACCGTCAGAGAAATGCAAATTATAACCCCAATGAAACACCACTTCATATCTGTTAAAATGGCTGTTATCAAAAAGACAAAAGATAACAAGCGTTGACAAGAATATGAAATAAAGGGAAACCCTATACACGGTTGGTGGCAATGTAAATCAGTATAGTCATTACAAAAAACAGTACGGAGATCTCTCAAAAAAAGTAAAATAGAATTACCATACAATCTAACAATTCCACTTCTGGATATATGCCCAAAAGAATGAAAATCAGTATGCCAAAAAGATATCTGCATTCCCACATTTATTGCAGCACAATATACAGTAGACAAGGCAAGGAATCAACCCAAGTGTCCATTAACAGATAATTAGATAAAAAATGTGGTATATATACACAATGGAATATTCTTCAGCCTTAAAAGAAATAAATCTTGTCATTTGCAACAAAAGGAATGAACCTGGAGGATGTTAAGTAAAGTAAGGCAGGCCCAGAAAGACAAATGCTGTGTGATTTCAGTGACACGTGAAGTGTGAAACAGTAGAACTCAGAGAAAGTAACCAGAGCCTGGGAGTTGGGGGAATTGAAGAGATGTTTGTTAAAGGATACAAAATTTTAGGTAGAAAGAAGGAATCAGTTCTAGATATCTATTGTACATAACATGGAGTATAGATTATAATAATATTGTATATCAAAAATTATAAAAAAGTAGATTTTAAGTGTTGTCATCACAAAAACAAGATAAGTGAGGTAATGTTTATGTTAGATACCTTTATTTAGCCATCCCACAATGTATACTTATATCAAAATATCATTTTGTACACTATGAACATACAGTTCTCATTCCACATTCCAACAATGTTCACAGCATCTTCATCAAGAGTAGATTCTATCTAAAGAAACAACTTTCTCTGCTCATTTATAAAAAGCAACTCCTTATTCATTTAGTGTTATCATGAGATTACAGCAATTCAGTCACATCTTTAGGCTCCACTTCTAATTTTGTTTCTCTTGATTTTTTCCTACCACATCTACATTTACTTCCCCTGCTGAAATCTTGAATCCTCAAAATCATCCATGAGGATTGGAATCAACTGCTTCCAAACTCCTGTTAGTGTTGTTATTTGACCTGCTCCCATGAATTATGACTATACTCAATGGCATCTAGAATGGGAAATTCTTTCTAGAAGTTTTTCAATTTTCTTTGCTCAAATTCATTGAAAGAATCATTATGGCAGCTATGACCTAACATAATTTTTTTCAAGTAAAAAGACTTGAAAGTCAAAATTACTCCCGAATCCATAGGCTGTAGAATGGATGTTGTGTTAGCAGGAATGAAAACAATGTTAACCTCCTTGTATATCTCCATCAGAGCTCTTGAGTGACCAGGTGCATTGTCACTGAGCAGTAATATTTTGAAAGGAATTGTTTTTTCTCAATAGTATATCTCAACAGTGGACTTCAAATAGTCAGTAAATCATGCTGTGAACAGATGTGCTGTCATCCAGGCTTTGTTGTTCCATTTTTATCGTATAGGCAGAGTAGATTTAGCATAATTCTTAGGCCTCAGGATTTTTGGAATGGAAAATGAGCATCATCTTTAAGTTGAAGTCACCAGCTGCGTTAGTCCCTAACAGGAGTGTCAATTTGTCCTTTGAAGCTTTGAAGCCAGGCATTGACTCCTCTTCTCTAGCTATGAAAGTCCTAAATGACATCTGCTTCTTATATTAAGGCTCTTTCATTTACACAAAATCTGTTATTTGGTGTAGCCACCTTCATCAATGATCTTAGCTAGCTCTTCTGGATAACGTGCTGCAGCTTCTGCATAAGCATTTGTTGCTTCAGCTTGTAATCGATGCATTGGAGATGGGTTAAAACTTAATGAACTGATCTCCACTAGCTTCAAACTTTTCTTCTGCAGCTTCCTCTCCTCTCTCAGCCTTCATAGAATTGAAGAGTTGGGGCTTTGCTCTGGATTAGGCTTTGGCTTAAGGGAATGTTATGGCTGATTTGGTTCTTTGTCCAGACCACCAAAACTTTCTTCGTATCAGCAACAGGCTGTTCTGCTTTCTTATCATTTGTGTGCTCACTGGAGCAGCACTTTTAATTCCCTTCAGTAACTTTTTTCTGTGCATTTACCACTGGGATAACTGGTTGGCAAGAGAGGCCTAACTTTCGGCCTATTTCAGTATTGACATGTCTTTCCTCATTAAGCTGAAATCATATAGCTTTTGATTTAAACTTAGAGGTATGTAACTCTTCCTTTCAATTGAACTCTTAGAGGCCATTTTAGGTTACTGTTGGCCTAATTTCAATATTGTTGTGTCTCAGGGAATAAGGAGGCCCAACGAGAGGGAGAGAAGTAGGGGAACAGGGAGTGGAGCAGTCAGAACACACATATTTATCAAGTTCGCTGTCTTATAAGGGCACAGTTGGTGACACTCCAAAACAATTAGCTTAGTAAAATCAAAGATTACTATTCACAGATCACACTAACCTATATAATAATAATGAAAAAGTTTGTAATGTTGCAAGTATTACCCAAATGTGACAGAGACACGTTGGGAGCACTTGCGTTGAAAAAACTGGTGTCAGTGGACTTGCTCAACTCACAGGTACTACAAATCTTCAATTTGTAAAAAAGTGCAATATTTGTGAAACACAATAAAGTGAAGTACAATACAATAAGGTATGCCTGAATAAAAATATAGGCTGACTTTATAACTAATAGTAATACCTTAATATTTAAGAAACATCCATTGCCTGCACTATACTGGACTGTGTGCTAACGCTAACAGCACAATAAAAATAACGATCATTTCCTCAACAACTCAAGTGATAAATTGTGTAACTGAGATATATAAAAAGCACCAAGTGAACCTGACATGGGTAAATATATATTCCCGAGGGAAGAGAAAAGCTTTAAAGTAGTGATAGCATTTGAATTTGATCTTGAAGAATCATAGAAATCCCTTCAGAGACAAAGCTGACTAAGGACTTTTCAGACAGAACATTGTTGGGAAATTCACAAGGATTTGGAGGCACCTGGTTTTAGAGGAGTGGATAATCAAGTGTACTTGAAATTCCATTGAACTATTAAGAGTAGAAGAAATGAAGCAAGAATTAACAGAAAAGAGATTATAGCAACCTATGTGGCCCATGTGAATGCATCTGAACAGTGTCAGTGTGGAACTTTTGCCTATTTTTAAGGACAGAAGTGACATGATCTGATATGGCATTTACGTCTAGTACTATGACAATAATAATGATGTTACAATCTTGTAGGAAATAGAGGACAAAGACCTGAATTAAGGAATTAGCCATGAAGACAGAAAGAAGAAATTAGATTTAGGGAATTCTGATAAAATAACATTTAAAAACATTTTGACCAATTCTTCAGTGTGATGAGGGAAGAAGCCATTAATTATCTCTAGCTTTTAGCTAGATACATCTTGTTGAGAAGTAGATGAGAAGATAGTAACAAAATGATACATATTTAGAAACATGTACTGGTATCTGTGAAACATGCCCAAGGAAATGGCCAATAGGCATGCCTGGCTACATACTTTGTAAGGCCCAGCACAAAATGAAAATGGAAGGTCTTATTCAAGGATTATTAAATGTATTAAGATGGTGACAGCAGAACATTAAATTAAGCACAGGGCTCTTCCATGCATGGGGCGCCATGTTTCTAAGCAGGTGGCTTGCCCTTGAAACTGGTTCTGCTGGTAGGCAGAAGAAAACATGGCAGTTTTCTGAATCTCAGGAGAGAGGAATGGACTGAAGAAATAGGTTAAAAATCAATAGTGTTATATATGTTATAAATGAAGTAAGGAGAGCTTGGAGCTCATACAGTAGAATGGGCTCTAGAAAGGTTGCATTTTCAGTGTATGAAGAACAGGAAAGGAGGTCAAAAGCAGTGGTGAGAACATTACAGAAGAATCTGAAAAAAAAAAAAAAAAAAAAAAAAAAAAAAAAAAAAAAAAAGTTAAAATATGCTATCCAGGAGAGAAAGACCAGGCTTCAGTGTAAGATATCAGAGGGAAATGAACTAAAAGGAAAATTCAGAAGTAAGCTGAGTAGGTAATTAGAAACTATGGTAATTTTAGTTAGATGAAATTCAGTGCACAGTGGAAGAAATAGCACGGGTCACAAAATCAATGTCGTTGAAGAAGTGAAAAAAATGTTTTCATGATTTTGAGTGTGCAAATGTGTCAATTTAATGCTTATTGAAAATGAGAAAGAAAGGTAGCTTATCCTGGAAGTTTGGCAAAACATCATCTTCTTTGCTTCAGAAGTAGTTACGCTTATTTGAAAATCTCTAAATGCCGAGTACTTTTTGGAAGTGGCTGTCAAGGCCATTTTGAATGAACACATGAAGAGATAAAAATGTTACCTTCCTGAGTGTAATCAAGTGTTTACTCAGTGACTGAATCAGCAAGGCTCTCTCTTCCCCAGTAGAGTGCCATCACTCCACTTGCCGTCATCAGCTGAAGAGAGAAGGATTACTTCTTCATGTTTTTCTAGAATTTGGGAGAAATGTTCTTACACAGCCTTAGAGTGATTTCGTCTCTATTCTGAGCTTGTTAGGGTCAGGAAAAGGCCCTTTTATGGACCAGAGTTCTACTGGCTTCTTGTTATATATTTTTTTCTTTCTTTTTTATTTTGGTACATAGATTTTTTTCCATTTTTATTTTCAATGTTGGAAAAGTTGCAAAAAGCCTGGGACTGATGGTGATGGAAATTTTGTGCCAAGAATTCAATGATGAGAGCAATATAAGGTTGCCACTCGCTATTTTATCTCACATAAAAAGAAACATCAAATTCTGGATCTCAAAAAATATTGGGATGTTTCACAAATATAGCAGATTTTTCTTTTAAAAAATTTTTCTCTCAATTTTTTTTAAACTTTTAAGTTCAGGAGTATATGTGCAGGTTTGTTATATAGGTAAACTTGTGTCATGAGAATTTGTTTTATAGATTATTTTGCCACCCATGTATTAAGCCTAGTACCCGTTAAGTTATTTTTCCTAATCCTCTCTCTCCTCCCACCCTCCACCTTCCAAAAGGCCCCAGAGTGTGTTGTTCCCCTCTATGTGTCCATGTGTGTTCTCATCTTTTAACTCCCACTTATAGTGAGAACATGTGGTATTTGTTTTTTTGTTGCTGCATTAGTTTTCTAAAGATAATGGCCTCCAGATCCATCCATGTCCCTGCACAGGACATGATCTTGCTTTTGTTTTTTATGTCTGCATAGTATTCCATGGTGTATATGCATCGTATTTTTTTAATTCAGTCTACCATTGATGGGCATTTAGGTTGATTCCATGTCCTTGCTATTGTGAATAGTGCTGCAATGAACATGTGTGTGCACGTGTTTTTATGATTAAAAAAACTAATACCCAGTAATGGGATTACTGGGTTGAACAGTATTTCTGTTTTTAGGTATTTGAGGAATTATCACACTGTTTTCCACAATGGTTGAAATAATTTACACTTTCACCCACAGTGTAAAAGCATTCCTTTTTCTCTGCAAGCTCACCAGCACCTGTTATTTTTTGACTTTTTAATAGTAGCCATTTTGACTGGTGTGAGATGATATTTCATTGTGGTTTTGATTTGCATTTCTCTAAAGATCAGTCATTTTGAGGCTTTTTTCATATGATTCTTGGCCGCATGTATATATTCCTTTGAAAAGTATCCGTTCACGTCCTTTGCCCACTTTTTAATGCGGTTCTTTGTTTTTTTTTCTTGGAAGTTTGTTTAAGTTCCTTATAGATGCTGGATATTCAAACTTGGTCAGATGTGTAGTTTGAAAAAAATAATTTCCATTCTGTAAGTTGTCTGTTTACTCTGTTGATATTTTCTTTTGCTGTGCAGTTCTTAAGCTTAATTAGATTCCACTTGTCCATTTTTGCTTTTGTTGCAATTGCTTTTGGCATCTTCATTATAAAATCTTTGCCAATTTTTAGGTCCAGAATGACATTGCCTAGGTTGTCTTCCAGGAATTTCATAGTTTTGGGTTTTACATTTAAGTCTTTAATCTATCTTAAGTTTTTTTTTTTATATGATGTAAGGAAGGGATCTGGTTTCAATCTTCAATATATGGATATATTGAAGCCCTATTTATTGAATAGAGAATCCTTTCCCTATTGCTTGTTCTTGTCAGGTTTGTCAAAGATCAGATAGTTGCAGGTGTGCAGCCTTATTTATGTGCTTGCCATTCTGTTCCATTTGTCTATGTCTCCATTTTTCTACCAGTACCATGCTGTTTTGGTTACTGTAGCCCTGTAGTATAGCTTGAAGTTGGATAGAATGATGCCTCCAGCCTTGGTGTTTTTTTTCTCCCCCTTAGGATTGCCTTCGCTATTTGAGCTCTTTTTTTAGTTCCATATGAATTTTAAAATAGATTTTTCTAGTTCTGTGAAGAATGTCACTGGTAGTTTGATAGGAATAGCATTGAATTTATAAATTGCTTTGAGCAGCATGACCATTTTTACAATACTGATTCTTTCTATCCATAAGCATAGAATGCTTTTATTTAAAATTTGTTTTTGTCATCTCTTATTTCTTTGAGTAGTATTTTATAGTTACCATTGTAGAGATCTTTCACCTCCATGGTTACCTGTATTCCTAGGTATTTTTTCTTTTTATGGCAATTGTGAATGAGATTGTATTTCTGAATTAGGTCTCGGTTTGTCTGTTGCTGGTGTATAGGAATGCTAATAATTTTTGTATGTTGATTTTGTATCCAGAGACATTGCTGAAGTTGTTTATCAGCTGAAGGAGCTTTTGAGCTGAGACTGAGGTTTTCTAGTTATAGAATCATGTTGTCTGCAAACAGGGATAATTTGACTTCCTATTTAGATGTCCTTTATTTGTTTCTCTTGTCTGATCGTTCTGGCCAGGACTTCCAATACTATGTTGAATAGGAGTGGTGAGAGAGGGTATCCTTGTCTTGTGCCAGTTTTCAAGGGGAATGCTTTCAGCTTTTTCCCATTAAGTATGATGTCGGCTATGGGTTTATCATTGATGCCTCTTTTTATTTTTGGGGTATGTTCTCCCAATACTTAATTTGCTGAGAGTTTTTAACATGAAGATGTGTTTGTGGAGTTTTATCAAAAGCCTTTTCTGCATCTATTGAGATAATCATGTGGTTTTTGTCTTTTGTTCTGTTTATGTGATGAATCACATTTATTGATTTGCATATGTTGAACCAACTTTACATTTTAGTGATAAAGCCTAGTTGATCATGGTGGATAAGCTTTTTGATGTGCTGCTGGGTTTGTTTTACCAGTATTTTGTTGAGAATTTTTCTATTGATATTCATCAAAAATATTGGCTGAAGTTTTCTGTTTTAGTTGTGTCTCTGCCAGGTTTTGATATCAGAAAGATGCTGGTCTCATTGAATGAGTTAGGGAGAAGTTGCTACTCTCTTTATTTTTTATTTTAATTTTTTTTTTGGAGTTTGGAATAGTTTCAGTAGAAATGGTACCAGCTCTTCTTTGTACATCTGGTAAAAATTTGGTTGTGAATCTTTCTGGTCTATGGCTTTCTTTTATTGTTAGGCTACTTATTGCTGATTCAATTTCAGACCTCATTATTGATCTGTTCGGGATTCGATTTCTTCTTGGCTCAATATTGGGAGGGTGTATGTATCTAGGAATTTATCATTTTCTTCTATATTTTCTAGTTTATGTGCATAGAGGTGTTCATAATTATCTCTAATGCTTATTTGTATTACTGTGGGTTCAGTGGTAATATGCTTTTGTTGTTTCTAATTATGTTTATTTGCATCGTCTCTCTTCTTTATTAGTCTAGCCAGTGGTCTATCTATTTCGTTAATTTTTTTTTTTCAAAAAAACAACTCTTGGATTCTGGATTTGTTGATCTATTGAGGGTTTGTGTGTGTGTGTGTGTGTGTGTGTGTGTGTGTGTGTGTGTGTGTGTGTTTGTCTGTCTCAATCTCCTTCAGTTCAGCTCTGATTTTGGTTATTTCTTGTCTTTTGCTGGCTTTCTAGCTGGTTTGCTCTCGGACCTCTAGTTGTTTTAGTTGTGATGTTACATTGTTAAATCTAAATCTTCCTAACTTTTTGATGTAGGTGCATGGTGCTATAAATTTAACTCTTAACGCTGTCTTGTATCCCAGATATTCTGGTATGTTGTATCTTTGTTCTCATTATTCATTTATTTATTATTCAATTAAAAATAAATTAAAATTTACAAACAGTAGGAAAAAGTACAAGCATAATGCTAAGTGAAAGAAACTAATTGCAAAAGACCCCATATTGTATGGTTTCATTTATGTGAAATTTCCAGAATAGACAAATTCATAGAGGCAGAAAGTAGATGGGGTTGTCAGAGGCTGAGGGTCTTTTTGGAGTGATGAACATATTCTGGAATAAGATAGTGATGATGGCTGCAAGCCGTTGCAAATATACTAAAACCTAGTGAAGGTTACTGAGTCAAACTCTGCCTACTATTTTCAGTGTGCCCATTTTTCCTTTTTATTTTAATAATAGTAATTTTCGTTTTCAAGACAATTAATTGTTTTTTTTTTGTCAGAACATTATTCTCGTCTCTGAGATACAATATCTTCTAATGCTGGAGAAAGTAGTTATTCATATTATGAAGTCTTCTGTTTTTTAATAACATCCATTTAGTCATTTGTTTGTTTTTTTGTGTGTGTGTTTCTTTCTCTTTTTTTTTTTTTTGATCTTCCTTAATTGCTCTTCTTAAAATATTTTGTGGTTTTTGTTTCTACGTTTATATTTCCACTTGAGAATCCCTGTTAGCCTGTCTGTGCATATTTTCTGTGTATTTTGAGGTTACCTTCATGGACTCTGTGGGAGGAAATGCATGTGTTGCTAGTAGACATACACCATTAGGGACTGTCCTCTATTTTTAGGCATTTTGGATCGTGTTGAATATTTTTACTCATTCCCTAGGACACAAAGCTGCCACTCTGTCCCAAGTACCTACACTCACTATTCCAGCCTAAGGGTAAATACTTCTAATATTTAATGCTAGCACAAATCGAGGACAAGATATCATGTAGACTCCATCCTAGCATACAAAAAAATAAGCTGGTCAACATCAAATGTTAAAATAATCCTCCAGAGCTCCTTCTGCCAAGGGTGTCTTCTATCTCTGATCTTCAGGCACTTGTTGACCAAATCACACCTTTCACAGAAGTCTTCTTTTGGGTATCCCATTTTTCAAAATGATTAATGATATTCCTAAACTTTTTCATCTGCAGATGGGATGCAATATTGTTTTCCATACATTTTGTGGCATTCTATTCTTTACCTCAAATTTTCTGCAATTACTGAAAATTTTGGTGAGAGTTTGAGATGAATATTTGTCTTTGCTCAGTTTGTCTTTTTTTTCCAGTTTCCTTTTGGAACTTTTCAATGTCAAAGTCAAGCAATAACAATTCCAGACAATCCCTGCTTTTACTTGTTCAGTCAGTAACATAATTGATCACTTCACAGAAACTGCAGGAGCAAACACAAATCCACCAATGGTTGTGTACATGGGAACAATCATAAATGGAACTCTGTTTCCTATAAACTAGGACACCAAAAAATCATTCAGAGGAAGTTGCCAGGTTCAGAAAAATAGTATATGTATCATTCAGCCAACTGTAGCCAGATAACTGTCTCCTCTGTGTACTTTTATTCCAGTGGATGGATGGTATAAACCCATTTAAGTATGGAAGATAAAGAATATTTGTAGATTTCAGAAGAGCCTCCTAGAAATACACCGAGGATTGTGAGTATATAACATATGCTTTCAATTATAGTAATAATTGAAGGACTAATATTTTAGTCCTTATGGATCCAGTTATATGTTAAGTACTTTATGTATATTATTTGATTTAATTATCACTATATTTCTACATATTAGGTAATTATATTTGTTTCACAAAAAAGGGTACTGAGGCACCAAGAGGGTAAATACCTCATCCAAGATCACATAACTCAGTGGCAGCATTTGAAGTCAGTTCTATTTGACTTCAAAGTGCATGCTTTTAATCCCCATACTGTATGGTTGCATTGCTCTATGCTATGAAGCATGCTGTATTGTTATATTGTTTCCCAACAGTCCATCTACTGCTCTGATGAATAAATATTCTTTCATTTCAATGATAAGAAATTCAATTATTGATTCTGTTCTCAACCTGAAATGGAAGAATCAACTAGCACATTCTAAGAGAAAGAATGAGGTGATATATTTAAAACACAACATAGAAACTGACAGATAATAGACATTTAATTGTTGTTAGACAATTGAAACCCTCTCATGTACTTCATTTCAGAAGATCCAGTTCGCAGCTATTGACAAAACATAAATTCATGATCAGCACTTAGTTGAGATGCACTTACAATGAAAGAACAACCTTCAGACTCCCAAAGGATAACTTTTAGTGGTGAAATTTCTTTCTATCTTTTTTAATTTGTTACTTCCAACACATAAAGATGCAAACTATGAATTTAAATTTGTGGACTAAACATTTGTCTATTTCCTTATAATTTTGACCAGTTCATAATACTAAGATGTGCATACAGTAGGATGAGCCCAATTTTCTATGCCTTTACTTGGAAAAGCTGTCAGCTTTTATTTTTAAAAGAAGCTAAATATGATGTACAGTGCTTTAACTGTTTTAAATACCTTAAGGTACGTTTTATTTCATTCATTGCTAGTGAGGGAAAGTTAGGCAGAGATAATAATCAAATGGATGTTTAATATTTTTTAATTATGTAGTCTTTGAATGTCTACCACCTTGCTGTTTTGACACCTCAGCAGTTCTTCTGCTACCCTTCCTTTTGCCTAAATTCCATGCTGCCTGGAGAATAAGAAAACACAAGGAAACAGACTGTAGGTTCAGATCATAAACTGATAATCACCTGCAGCATCCCATAATTTCCCTAGATGCAGGGAAAAGATATTTCCTAAGTCATGTAATTATGGTTTTATGTGGTATCCTTCACATTTCTATTTGTGTGGATTGCAGTCCCCACCGCCTGCCATTTGCTTCTGAAATTGAAATGTAACCTAATTGGAGGCTAATGAGGGATTATCACTGTTGCCATGTTAGCTATTTATGTGTATGTATTGCATGAATAAATAGCTATTTTTGAATGTAAGCATTGCTTTCAGGACTTAATATCAACAAAGAGACAATCTTAAGGGTAGAATGAGAAATATGTGTAATACATGGTTTGGGGCCTCAGAATTTTGCTTGTGATATAAGAAGAATATATTATATACAGTTCTTTATCTGATGTCAGAGAGTTTTTTTAAAAAGACTGAGTGGATTATAAATTGCAAAACATTCTCCTGATGTAATGCTCCCAGCTGTTACACATGACACCCTGGAGAACGCTGACCTTCCTTGTGGAAACACTGAGGCTTAAGTTGAAGAGGAGTGTGATTACTGTTCTTAGTAACAAACCCATTGATTAAGGACGTATTCCAAGTGTTTTCCTTAGTAACTCACTCTGGGTTATTAACAAATAAACGTTAGCTCTTCCGAAGATTCTTCTTTTACATTTGCCTCTCTCTAGGGTCATGAGTTTTAAAACACAAATCTAAAGGGAAAAAAATACACAGAATTTCACCAGACATTAATGGGTCCCTTCTTTTACAAATCCAATCAGCTAATTGGTTTATTTATTATTTGTTTGTTTATTTGGAACCCTAGTCTGCTCTCTAATTTCTTTTGGGTTCTGGGCCTGCTTGAAATTTATTTTTAAAGAAAGAAGAACAAGCACTTTTGGAGGCCAAGGAGGGCGGATCACCTGAGGTCAGGAGTTCAAGACCAGCTTGGCCAATAGGGCAAAACCCTGTCTCTACTAAAAATACAAAAATGGCAGGCACCTGTAGTCCCAACTACTCAGGAAGCTGAGGCAGGAAAATTGCTTGAATCTGGGAGGTGAAGGTTGCAGTGAGCCGAGATCATGCCACTGCACTCCAACCTGGGCGACAGAGCGAGACTTCATCTCAAAAAAAAAAAAAAAAAAGAAAAAAAAAAGAAAGGAGATAACTATGGCCTTCTCAATACAAAATACAAAACGAAGAGACGACAGATAATATAAACCCTCATTTTTATTAGTTTCCTGTACTAGATCCCCTGGCAAAGAAAGAATTCCTTCAAGTTCCAGATGTTTATACCCGTTCATTCATTCCAACGACACAAAATTTCTGATTGCAAATATCAGTTCTTCTACAGGATGATGGTTACATTTATATATTTTACTATTTTTTCAGGCATTTGTTACATTTATCTCTATCCAATGCCATCTCTGTGGAATGAGTAGAGAAAAGAAAATTTTCTTCTAGACATATGGGGAAACTGAAGACCAAGGAGGTAAGGTTAGTCAGAGTTCATAACCCCATCTAGTCAAGCAAGCTCTGTGAAGGCCTTGGCTGGGTGCACCTTGTTGATTTTCACATCCCCAGCAGGTAATATAATGACCAGGACATAGATGCTGTCTCATAAATAGCTATAAAATGAACAACTGGGTGAAGAGAGCCTAAGCTGGAAATCCCATCTTCACACCTCTTCAACTCAATCCACAGCTCATCATCTGTGCCACTTAGCCAGGAAAATTCACTCCCTCAACTATTCTGAGTCCTTCTCTTTTGACATTTATTACCCTATACTCTTATTGCAGAGCTCTCCCCAGGTCCTGAGAATAGAGAATATAAAAAACTTACTAGATGTTAGTTCTTTATAATCATGATCTTTTCTCTCTAGATTTAAATGCTGACTCCAATTATAACCAATTTCATTGTAATTAATATTTCTTAACATTTATGCTGTGCTTAATATTTTTAAAGCACTTCAGAGTTATTAAATGAATCATCTAACATTCTAGTGAATAATGACATTATTATTATTATCTGCAGGTTCTATAGATTGGGCTCCTGCTTAAGTGAAGAGACTTGTCTAAGGCAGTTGCCACATTTGCAAGGGAAGGAAACTTATTGAAACCTATAGCTGCAGAAGAGCACCCTGTTTCATACATAGAGCACTTCTGATTGACTTATGTATTTTCTGGAAGTGATGAGCTGCTCTTAGAAAGCCCTTTTTATTCTACACTGTGACTAGGGCACAACACTTATACGCTGTGTCTTCTCTTACCTTTTATCATGCTTTCACTTAAAAACTTTTTCTTTTGTTTCCCTACTTGACCCAGGAAAATCTCTTTACCTCTTGAAGTTCTGTGAAGATCAGGGTCACACAATGATGGAAGAGGAAGACAAGTTGATGCAGGGCGGCCGCATGCCAAGAGTTCCACTAGAAACTGCGTCTGTATTCTTTTTTTTTTTTTTTACTGCCACTCAGTGAGTTAGGAAGGCATTTGTCTCATTTGATAGATGGAGTATCCAAGGCTGAGATGGACAAGAAGGCTTATCAAGGTCTGGTGGACTTCACAACCCCTCCCTACTGCATGGAGCCTATGCTGGGATTCTGCTGCCTGGATCCAAGAGTCAGTGCTTCTGCTACTGGACATTCTGTGTACCATGGATCTTTCACTTCAATGTCTAGAGAGTTTTACGTGGAATAAAGATTTCACTTGCTCTGTAATTAACTAATTAACTTTATAAATGTGTATAAAACTTCTATTTGAAGCTGAATGTATGCTGTTTTATGCAGTGCTGGAGATGGCCTGATGAGCCAGGTAGACACCCCCTGTCCAAGCTGCTTCATCCTATCCTGCCAACTGAGCTGACTGAAGAATTTAGGAAATTAAAAATAGAAAATCTAGAAAAATAAAAAACACACTCCTAAGACCCATGAGAATACTTTTTCTAACTTATGTGAAAATCAGAAATAATTTCTTTAGAATTGCAATAGTATCCACATATTTTGTTGTCAGAAATTTCTATTAATTGGGCATGAGAGATCCTATATTACTTTTCATTGAACAGATGATAGAATAACTTAAGGAGTAAATTGAATTAAAAAAGGCCAATTTTGGCACATTTCTAAGAAAGGAGTTTTCCTTTTTTCTGCATAATCTAGTTTTAATTCCTATTCATATATGTTATTATATAAACACGGTGTATACGGCGTTTAGGACCAATTTAATTTTCACTGATTATTGTGTTTTAGATATTTTGCATACACTCCTGTCATCAAGACAAATATTTATTTATTTTGATCCTGTCTTATTTAAAATATCTCTTGTGACAGCATCCAAGACTCATTACAAGGTAATGAATTTATAGGTGGTGTAGAAGGAGAGCAATTGAGTCAAGTGTTCTGAGTTTATATCCCAGGTCCCCTGGCTAATAAATGTATAACATTGGAAAAGCTACTTAACACCCAATACCTCAAATTTCTTTTCTGTAAAATAGGAATACTGTACCTGCCTCATAGAATTTCTATGAGCATTCAATAAGGAGTATATTGAAAGTCCTAGGTGACTACCTGGTACAAAGTAAGCGTTCAGTAAACAGTATTGTTAATAAGGAAATAATTCACAACAATAATTACACATAATGATAGAGTAATAAGATGAAACATTGTACAAAATATTGCACTTCAGAAAATTTTATACTGTTACTAAAATAGCAGCAGAGTATGTGGTCTTCAAAGTATTCAAACATTTTATATATCGACATATCATCATTTATTAAACCATTGTAATTTTTAATATTGTTTTCTGTTTTCAGTTATTATATATACTCTTGTAATAAATTGTTCCAAAGAACTGTCTTTATACATGTATTTCTTGGGAATAAACTTCCAAGTGGAACTACAGAGTCAAAAGGTGTCAATATAACAGATACTGGAAATGTATTTTCATAATAAGGTAAAAGCTGACTTGGTTAATTTAATTCAATATTATCAAACACTAGCTTTTACAAAACACAGCCTTCAAATTCATCACATGAAGCAGAAAACGTAAATCATAGGGGGAAATAACATGGCTATGATGATATTTAAAATGCATGATACTTACTACACTAATTGATACAGCAATTGTGCTCCTAGGTATTTATCCAAAGGAATCAAAGACTTATGTCCACACAAAAACCTGCACAGAGATATGTATTGCAGCTTTATTCATAATGGCCCAAATGGGAAAGCAACCAAAATTTCCTTCAGTAGGTGAATAGATAAATACACTGTATATATCTAGGCAATGAAATACTATTCAGCGCTTAAGAAATGAGCTTGCAAGCCATGAAAAGACATGGATGAAACTTAAATGTATTTTACTGAGTGAAAAGCCTACATGGAAAGGGTACATATGATACGATTCCAACTGTGTAAAAAGGCAAATTACAGAAATGACAAAAGGATCAGTGGTTGCCAGAGGTCGGGGGAATGAGAGATGAACGAGAGGAGCGTAGAGGATTTTAGGGTTGTGAAACTACTCTGTATAATATTGCACTGTACATAGATGTCACTAGACATTTGTCAAAACCCATAAAATGTGCAAGCCAAGAGCAAACTCTAATGTAAACTACAGACTTTAGGTGATAACGGAGTGTCAATATAGGTTCATTTACTGTAATAAATAAACACTCCAGTGCAGAATATTTATAGTTAGCGAGGCTGTGCGAATATGAGGGTAGGTAGGTGGTGTATAAAAAATCTCTAGATTTTCCTTTAGATATCGCTGTGAATCTAAAACTACTCTTTAAAAGACATATTTAAAAAGAATTCCTGATGAAGGAATGCAAATGTTTCATAGTTTTTCTCCTATATAACCAATATGAGTGGTGAGGGCTGATCCTTCAGACTTCATGATTTAAAATAATTTATGAATCTTCTTTCAAATTTGCTAATGTTAAGCAAAAGAGACTATGTGCATCAAATCTCAGACTTGTCAGCTAGGATCACACAATAATACATAATACATTTGTATTTCAAAATATAAACATATATATGCATTTGTATATACGTATGCATACATATATGTATCACATTTAAGAAATTTATATATGTGTATATATTTTTAAAAATGTATTGGTTGATCTAAATGGAGAAAGGACAGTACAGATTTAATTAGAGATGTATTAGCTATAAGATAAGTATAAAACACTATGCTAGGCATTGGAATAGAATAAGTTATGGACTCACTTTCAGGAAGCTCAAAATTTGGTTAAATAAGAAAATATAATGTGGAAGGTTTGTAGTCAACAGCAGGAATAGACTTCAGAGGTAATAGGGAAAGGTAAAGTATCCCACACTATCCAGAGCCGTTATTTCAGAAAATTTCATGGCGATGGTATTTACATGATTAAAAGCATGCATTTTAGCAATTCTTTCCTCTGTGCAGGAACTCACCTCTCCTACAGGGTGATACAATATCATTTCTATCTTGCTTTCCACACCACTTGCCATTCCATTACCATATTACTTAGAGTGTATCAGTTGCTTTGTTCATATTGCATGTGCCTCATTTGTAAATGACATTGTCAAGGCTATTATTGCAGCTGTTTGCAGAATGTCGGAAAGCTGTCAAACTCAGCACAGTCAAGCTGTTTGCAGCAAACAGCAAATGAAACGTACTCATAAATGATTAAAGGCACTTCATAAGTGATCCTTACCAAGGAAATGGAAATGTTGTCAGACTGAGTCATCATCTCTCTTGTGCACCTGGGATCAAGCCAAAGACAGTTGCTACTAATAACCAGCTAGGGGAATGCTTGCCTCACAAAAGGAAAGAAAACTTATATGGAAAGAGCCTTTCAATTTAAAAGCAGTGTCGTCACATTAAGTGGTGGGGTTACTCCCTTGTTTTAAAATTCATTACAGAATCTCTATTTTAGTCATTTTGGTGAAATCATACAGAAAACATTAGTCATCTGAAAATCAAAATAAAACAAGAAAACAAACAAAATGAAACACACATTCACACAACCAGCAAGTATTCTGAAGGAACTGACTCACATGGATGTATCCTTTGATCCACTTGAATATATCTTTTCTTTATTGACAAAATAGCCAACTTTAGTAAGAAAAATGTTAGTTATGTTTAGTGAGCTTTGTTCTTAATATGTTCATTGATAGTAGAAGGTCAGCATTCCAAGAATTAATAAAATCCACTTTTTTAGTTTCGCCATTTTAAGAAATCAAGAGTCTTAAAAAAAGTTAGTTGCTCAAGATCATATCAAGATTAATAAAATCCACAGGGCAGCTGATAGTAAACTAATCGCACCTAAACAAGATTTTCATGTAAACTTCACTATGCACAGACAAAACAAGAAAGGAAACTTTTAGAAGATGTGTTTACACATGGCTCAAGGAGACAGGACCAAATCACATGTGATTTTTTTTATTAGCTTTATTTGGGTCTAATTTACATGCAATAAAATTTATTAATTTTAAGTGAACATTTTAGTGGGTTTAGACAAATGAATATCTCCACAAACATGCCATAGAATATTTCCATAAGCCTGAAAATTCTCTACTTCCATTTGCATAAACTCCCTTCCCCCTACACTCTGATTTTTGAAAAACACATCAATTTTTGTATACATAAATTTACCTTTTCCTAGAATCTCACGTAAAGGGATGGGATTTTGGTCTGGTTTCTCTCACTTAGCATAATACTTACGCGATTCATTTATGTTGTTGCATGTATCAATAGCTCTTTGTTTTTGTTAATATATTTTCAACATTAATGTTCATTCTCCTTTTCCTTTACAGAGTTCCTCAAAGACTGTAGAAATTAGATGATCTGAGGGTGTCACAGTGGAATCATGAATAGTTTTTGAAGAAGTACCAGGCCAAGAACTTGGTGTGCTCTATACATTGTCTCATGAAATTTTCTGTTTTTGAGACAGAGTCTCACTCTGTCACCCAGACTGGACAGTGGCGTGATCTGGACTCACTGCAACCTCTGCCTCCAGGGTTCAGAGGGTTCAAGCAATTCTCCTGCCTCAGCCTCTGGAGTAGCTGGGATTACATGCACATGCTGCCAGGCTCTGCTCTTTTTTTTTTTAGTAAAGAGGGGGTTTCACCATGTTGGCTAGTCTGGTCTCGAACTCCTGACCTCAAGTGATTCACCCAGCTTGGCCTCCCAAAGTGCTGGGATTACAGGGGTGAGCCACTGGTCCTGGCCTGAAATTTTCTTAATAATCATCCAAGAAGGAGTTTATTAATGAACACCAAAGCTATCAGATATTAAGGTACATGTTAAACATCTCCTTATTATATCAGCTTACTTTCTTATGGGAAGTAATTAAACATAACTGTATTCACCTATGAATTTATAATGTATACCATTTACTGAAGATTTACTTTAAGATAGGCATTGTACTAAACCAAAAGTTTACCTCTCTTATTTGGGACATAAGTCCAAAGTCACATGGCTCCGAAGTACTCCCATCATGTGTGTGTGTGTGTGCGTTTGTGTGTATGTGCATATGTGTGTTTACTTACCTCTTGAAACTATCAAATATCTCAAATTCTTCTTCCTGGAGATAACATGTTACATTTGTAATATTTCTTAAGAGATTAGTATTACTCTCTCTTCGAGTTGTAACATTAGGATGCTTACACTTTCAAAGTCGTGTAGATAAAATGATGGCTTTCATGGAAACGGAATCTAACTCAGTTTTTACAAAGGGAAGTAAGGAATCACAGGTTGGTAAGTTCTGTTTTGGAAAGTATGCTAGGTATTGTACTTGCAAGAAACAGGATCTACTCTAACAAGTTTAAGCAAAAATAAATAAATAATAAATAATTTAGGGATATAAGATAGATTTCAGAATCTTCACCATGGCTGAAGAGTCAAGCTCTGAATCTCTATATCCGTGAACAATCCTCAGTTACTATTATGCCACTCCTGTGTTGGCACAATAGATCACTCTGATGATGCTTGCACTTGGCCCTGAAAGTCCTTCAACTACTGTTTCACAAATCCAGACACCTTTATCACTATCCTTACCAAACTTCTATGTGAGACATACGTCATCATATTGCTTTTTGCAAATGAAATCAAATCCTAGATTTGATTTTATTTGACTGCAGACAAGTGCTGCAGTCTAGTTCACATGTCTGAAATCTAAGAGAAAAAGATTTGGTGCAAACAAAAGGATAGTTTCTAATACTGAAGGTAAGGAGGACATAATTATGATATAGAAAATTCTCCAAACATAGAAAAAGTGTTACCACTAAGATGATGTGTGATGTATGTCCACTAGAGCAAGTATAGTGTGTAGAGTAGAAGATTCTGTGATTATGAGAAAAAGAATCGTTGACACTTTTGTAAGATCACTGAAATACTGGTGTTTCTATTCGTACTCTGTAAAGATACCTCTTGTTTCAAAGCAGTTTGTTCTTGGCAGTGACTTAAGTTTTTTATATTTGGAAGCTTGGGGGTGACAGCTAGATTTACAAATCTTTTTTTATTTTATTTTATTTTATTTTATTATTATTATACTTTAAGTTTTAGGGTACATGTGCACAATGTGCAGGTTAGTTACATATGTATACATGTGCCATGCTGGTGTGCTGCACCCATTAACTCGTCATTTAGCATTAGGTATATCTCCTAAAGCTATCCCTCCCCCCTCCCGCCACCCCACAACAGTCCCCAGAGTGTGATGTTCCCCTTCCTGTGTTCATGTGTTCTCATTGTTCAATTCCCACCTATGAGTGAGAATATGCGGTGTTTGGTTTTTTTGTTCTTGCGATAGTTTACTGAGAACGATGATTTCCAATTTCATCCATGTCCCTACAAAGGACATGAACTCATCATTTTTTATGGCTGCATAGTATTGCATGGTGTATATGTGCCACATTTTCTTAATCCAGTCTATCATTGTTGGACATTTGGGTTGGTTCCAAGTCTTTGCTATTGTGAACAGTGCCGCAATAAACATACGTGTGCATGTGTCTTTATAGCAGCATGATTTAGAGTCCTTTGGGTATATACCCAGTAATGGGATGGCTGGGTCAAATGGTATTTCCAGTTCTAGATCCCTGAGGAATCGCCACACTGGCTTCCACAGTGGTTGAACTAGTTTACAGTCCCACCAACAGTGTAAAAGTGTTCCTATTTCTCCACGTCCTCTCCAGCACCTGTTGTTTCCTGACTTTTTAATGATTGCCATTCTAACTGGTGTGAGATGGTATCTCATTGTGGTTTTGATTTGCATTTTTCTGATGGCCAGTGATGGTACTTTTTCATATGAAAAACCTGGTTTTAGTGTACTAAATTTATGTGCTTTCAATTTTTCCAGGAACTACTCTCTAGTCATTTTTTCACTTTTCTTTCTCCTTCCTATAAAACTCTATAACTCGTATCATAATATCTCACATACAGTATGTTCTCTGGGAAGATATTCGGTGCATAAAAGAAAAGAGTATTATGCCCATCTATTTAGCCATTAGCAATGTGTTCTTCTGTAACATATATATATCTATGTTATATATGTATGTGTGTATATATATGTATGTGTACATATATATATGTACACACACGAGCTGGCAGAAGGAGCATGTGGTCAAAGAGGAAGAAATACTTTCAGGAGTCTCTAAAAAGGGTCAAGCTGTGGCTTTATAATAAATTTTATGTAATATATTATTAGTCTTCTATAGTTAGCTTTATTTTAAAAAGTCTTTTGCCATTTTTATTTATTTATAATTTCTATCTATATATTTTGCCACCCTTTCGCAATTAAAGTATCATTGTGATTTAAATTGAAATTGCATTAACAAATTAGTTACTTGGAAAAGTATTCATATGCTTTTTAAATGAAAATCCTGTATTTCTCTACTGGCACTTTTCTATTCATATATAAACATGGTCAGTTCATTCATGTCTTAAAATATCCTTCTTCAACCTGTACTTCATTTTGTGTCTTTGTTCTTGTCATCAACAAAGTTTTAGAAGGAACTGACTGTGCCCTGTGTCCTCTCCTCACTTTTGTGCTATGGTGAACATTCCTCTTGGTTTGATGAGAATCTCACCCATTTAGGCCTCTTGTGTAGTCATCTGTCCATTCGGTTTAACATCCATCCAGGATTTTTATTTTTAAATTAATCATTAATTTTAGCATTAACCTATGCCAGGATAGATTTGATAGAATTTTACCTTAGTTTTCTAACTTTCAGCCATGATTGTGCCTAATAATGAGTTAAGGCATGTGCAGTGGACAAACTTCACCTTTTAACACAAGGTTCCGTTTAGAAAGGTAGAGTGAGTTCAGGACTCTCAGAAGAAAGCTCTGAGGCCAAGTGCACTGACTACTACGAAACCGGGGAAGGACAGGGGAGTAACAAGGAAGTTCCATCCCAATTCTACTGCCCATGCCTCCTGCTTCCCGTTTGCTGCACCTTGTCCCTCTTCTTAGTCCCTGCTGGGACCAGTTCATACGTCTGTAACCTGAAGGAAGAATGCCTGGTCGTTTGTGAAACCCACCTCATGGATATTCAACGCCTTTGGACTTGTCTCTTCTGTTGCTCCTGGCAACTACAGGGGGCAGATGTCTACGCAACTACTCCAAGTAGGCTATTCCATCTGTCTCTCATCCATGGACACTGACGTTCCATTTCGTCTGAGATTCCTAAGTAACCTTCCCCCACTGCTTCAGGCCATCTCCCTAAGAGGGCATGGATTTCAGGCTTGTAAGATCCAGGTGAACCAGCTTGCAAAACTGCAAGTAATTTATTCATTCATTTTAACTCTTCTAAAGGTCTTTGAGTTTGAAGTACCTAACAATGTGCTGGATCTAAGGGTCTTAAGAAATATTTCTCTACCTGAAGACTGCACTTTCTGGTCCCAGTAGTAACCACATCCTTGTTCTTTTTTTCAGGCCTGCAGCAGCCCAATGAAAAGTTTTGTAAATCCGCCAGCAAATTAAAACCAAAGCGTTGCACACTAAACATTTTTGAAATATTCAATTGTTCATTGTTTTAGCATCCTCTTTATTCTCAAAAGTATCCATTAGATGATAAATTATTTGATCAGGTCCTTAGCCTTGCAACCATTTGAACCCATCTTTGTTCTACTGAGATGATTCTTGCTGAGAGATTAATGACATCTGTGTTGCCAAATCCCAAATGTACTTTCCTGTCCTTACTTTCCTTGACCTCTCTGAAGCATTCAGTACGGTTGTGAATTGTTTTCTTTTTGACATACATTCTCTTCTTATGATTTCCATTACATAACATTTATTTGGTTTTATTTCTACCCCTCTGGCTGACCTCACAATATTCTCTCCTTAACCTTGTTATACAATCTTTTTTTTTATTATTGTAAGAGACACATAACACAGAATTTACCATCGTAACCATTTTAAGTGTACAGTGCAGGAGTATTAACTTTATGTCTTCCTCTCATTATTGATTGGAATTTCATTTCATTACGGTCAGAAAAGATACTTGGTATAATTTTAATCTTCATAAATTTGTTAAGGGTTGTTTTGTGGCCTAACATGTAATTTATCCTGAATAATGTTCAGTGTGCTCTGAAAAAGAATATGTATTCTGCTGCTGTTGAGTGGAATGTTCTGTATTATATCTCTTAGGTCTCATTAGTCTGTAGTCTCTTTCAAGTCCTCTCTTTCCTTACTGGTCTCTGTTCTGGTTGTTACATGCATTACTAAATGTAGGGTATTGAAATCTCCTACTATTGTGGTATTACAGTTTATTTCTCCCTTCAGATTTATTAATCATTGTTATCCATTTAGGTGCTCTGATGTTGGGTACGTATATATTTTAATTATTATATCTTCCTGGTGAATTGATCCTTTTATTATCCATGTCCTTCCCTGTTTCTTATTACAGTTTTTGACTTAAAGTATATTTTGTGTGTTATAAATATGGACACTCCTGCTTTTTTGGGGTTATCATTTGCATAGAATATCTTTTTTCATTTTTTCACTTTCAGCCTATACGTGTTTTAACGTCTCAAACGAATTTTTATAGATAGCATATAATTGCCTTTTGTTTTGTTTTGATTGCCTTTTATCCATTCAACTTTATGAATTTTATTAATATAATCCATTTACATTCAGAGTACTTACTGATAAGGAAGGGCTTACTATTTTCATTTTGTTAGTTGTTTTCTATGTGTCTTACAGTTGTTTTTTTCCTCTTTTCCCCTCATGCCGTCTTCCTTTGTATTTCACTGATTTTTTTAAGTTGATGTGTTTGCATTTATTTATCTTTCTTTTGTGCATTTTCTATAGGTATTTTCTTTTTGGTTACCACGTGGATTACATAAAACATCTTATATGAGGTAACCATATATTTTTAACTGATAACAACCTAAATCATATACAAAAACTAATTTTTTACATTTTCCCCACTTCTTCATGTTATTAATTTAACAAATAATTATTATTAATTATGAATTTTTTAAAGGAAGTAAAATATGCTTAGAGGAGGGCCAAGCAGGCAACAGGAGAGATCCAAGTGCCTTGACGAATTATATCATGTCATATTTTTATTCATTAGCATAGTTTTATTGTTGTGATTTTTCTTTCCTTTTTTAGCTTTTAAATTTTATTCTTTTTTTTTCTGCTTGATTAAGTCTGCTGTTAAACACCTCTGGTGACGTTTTCAGTTCAGTTATTGTGTTCTTCAGCTCCAGAATTTCTATGTGAAAGGTTTTTTTTTTTATAGTTTTACCTCACTTTGTTCATGCATCACTTTTCAAACGTGTTTAATTGTCTATCTGCATTCTTTTCAGTTCACTGAGCTCCATTAAGATGATTATTTTCAATTCTATGTCAAATAGTTCTTACATCTTTTTTCCTTGAGACTCAGTTTCTGGAAATATAATTTAGTTCTTTGACTGGGCCAAAATTTGCTGTTTCTTTATGTTTTCTTCTTTTTCTTTTTTTTCTGAGATTTGGATATTGGAAAAAAGGGCCATCTCTCTCTCTTTACAGACTAGCTTCACCCAGAGAAACATGTTTACCAGTCTTCCCAGCTAGATATTCTGAGACCTCTCAAATATTTTCTGGAGATGTATGTTCTCTAGCCTTGTGCATGAATTTTTTTCATTACAGAGGTTTACCAGTTAATTTTCCATGAGACCAAAATCTCTTGCTGCCTCTGGTGTTCTTTTGTGGTACAGATGCTTCTCTGGTGCTGCAGCAACCCACTGAGCTCTCCCTTCTTTTCTGTGGCTCCCAGGCATCCAAAATATATGAGTTTCCATAGTGCTCAAGTCAGGGGAAACAGAAGCTAGTTCTTCAAGTATTCTTTTGAAAAAGTAAAAATAAATTGTCGTATGTTTCCTCATTCTTTCCCTTTCAAGGGAGAAACTGTATGTTGGGTGTTTTCTTCCAATTGCACCAAGTTCTGCTTGCTTGAAGGGATAGCTTTTGAGAGTAAAATGCAACAGATATTCTTAGACATTTCAATGCAGCTTTCATTGATTTTGCACTTATCTGGGGTACTATTACTTTTAACTGTCTTTTGAGTTTTCATAATGTCTTTTTGGATTATATATTGTTGTTAATTTGGTGTCTCTGTAGGAAATCTATAAGCACGGTTTTGTTTCTCACTGCCACCAAAAATCCCAATACCAGTATAAAATTATTGTTGTCTTAGTCCACTCAGGTTGCTATAACAAAATACTATAAACTGGGCCACTTATAAACAACAGAAATTTATTTGTCCAGTTTTGGAGGCTGGAAGTCAAACATCAAAGTACTGGCAGATTTTGTATCCGATGAAGGCCCATTGCCTGAATAATAGTTGGTGCCTTCTTGCTATGTCCTCACATAATGGAAGGGTCAAATAAGCTCCCTTGAGCCTTTTATGTAAGATAATTAATACCATCTATAAGGGCTCTACCCTTATTATCTAATCACCTCAAAAAAGTCTCACTTCTTAATATTACCTTGAGTTAGAATTTCTAGATATGAATTTGGTAGTTACAATCATTTGAGGGGACATTGCAATTGTCATTATTTTAAACACTCATGACCATATTTTGAATATATATGTCCCAGACATTGTGTTGGAATTATCGCACACATTTTACCAAATCCTCACATTTATAGTTTGAATAATTGTTACAATTATTACCTCCACTTTACAAATGAAGAATTCAATGGAGAGACAATACATAATTTGATTAAAGGCAAACAGATAAGAAATTAAAGACCAATATTTTTTCCCTAACTTGGGAAAGAAAATATATGACTCCTCTAATACATTCTATTTTCTCAAGTGAAACATGGCAGGCACGCTTCTCTTTTTCAGGAACTTCTGGTCTCTTTAAGGAATTATCACCAGAGTGCTCCTCATGTAAACACATGTGAACACACACATATGCATGCATACATACACACACACACACCCACTGCAATGTATGACCCTGACTAAAAAACAAAAACCAAAAAGGAACAAAACCAAAACTCTACCTATAGTAAAATCATGCCAATGGAGGAGAAAGCAGTGAGATGCCAAGCGGCATCTCTTTTTTGGCAATTACTTCTTAAGTGAAATGGGAGTTTTCCACCTTGGAAATTTGACTCATCACAAGATGACAATGAAACTCAGGTCTTGTGCTTTTAATGTACATTTGACTTTCAGGCTGGTTAAAAGGGTCTGGAGGGGACAAGAGGTATAATAGACAAGGATATTTCAGTGGCAAGGTGATCACATTGGGATGCAATCTTGTCTCCCCAGGGAAACTGTAAGCTGTCAAATATTGTTTTTGCTCAAGTATTTTTTATTGCTTTCATAACCTGAATTTTCAGGTAGAAATATTTTTAAAACATTATACATTTTATCTGTCAGATTTGTTTTAATGCCAATTACATCATTATTATTGTTACATTTTTAGCTGTCTAGTGACTCCAATTATTCAAACTTAACACATAATGCCCAATCCTAAATTTTTGATGTGCTTTGTATAATTTGTTTTCTTTGATACCTGAAGGGTTTTCTTTCTGTGTTCTCATGAGTTTGTCACCAAGTGCTATTTATTTTTGCAATTAAAATGAGCCCAAAATAGTTAGAGAAAAGGCTCAGTAACTTTACATCCACCCAAAAGCAGCACTTTTGGTATTGAGACACATCTGGTAACAGAATCTTGACCAGGCTGAGATCCCAAGGGTTCCAAGTATTTAAAAGGTGCTTAATATGCTCTACTGAGGTGTGGAACAGATGCTTAAAGCCCACAAAATCCAGGAGGTTTGTTGACATGAACTGGCCATATTGTTATATATCTTCCTATTTAATAAATAAAATACAAACCTGTTTAAACCTTGATTCTGTTTATGAAGAAATATACATTGGGTATTCAAAGATGGTCAAGTAATAAAGATGAATTATTTGAGGAATATGTGTAGAGGATGACTTCATGAATTATAAAAGTAAGATATAAATGTGAAATGTACTGATATTTATTTTTAAGTTTACTAAGTGAAATGCACATTAGATACCTTATCTTTTGTTCTGATAATGAATAATTGCCAAAATTCATTTCCCGATGTAGAAATTTCCCTTCATTCACCAAAGGGCTAATTCCTCTGATGTGCAATCAGTCTACCATCAGTGGATGTATTGATATATTACTCCATACTGCAGCATGCTACCAATATTTCCTTACTTTTCTTAATTCACAAATTATTTAATTATTTCACTTTCTGCATGCTTTTCTGTACTAGCAACAGCATCGTTTTTTTTAATGACTATAACATCCATGCAATTCCACCTAGTACTCTGACTCATCAGGTCTTCAAACTCTTCAAGTCTACTTTTCCACTTCTGAAATGTTGATTTCCATTATCTTGTTTTCTAAACATGATATCTTACCTTTAAAACTTACTTATGATTTTATCCAAACTCCAACATATTCTCAGCCGTATAGTGGCATGAGGCTGAGTGATCCAACTGCTTTTCACTGCTAACATCTTCTTTGTGTTATTTCTCATCTAATCTAACTTAGATTCAATAGTCTGATGCCAGTGCTGCTTTTCACAGAGTCTGAACACCTTCGAATGACATATATGACCAAAATCAAGTCTAGTAAAACTGACTAATCTAACCTCATACAAACTTAACTGTTGAATGAGATTACTATATATTTTATATAGCTAATATATATTATATAATATATAAGGTGCATTATATATATTACCATATATTATATATTTATATATAGTAATATATAAATATGTTAAATGTATATGTAAATTTAAGTTTATATATATAAATAAATAAAATCTGTCAATCTGAACTTACTTTAAGATAACAAATTTTAAGTGTTCCTTAGCACTGCCCAATAATGTCTCAATATTTTCCTAGTTATTTCCATTTGCAATGACCTGAGATGATTATTTTATATACAACTTAAATACAACTTCCTCCTTACACAGTCTCAGCTGATGCCTCACTGTAAATTCACTGGAAAAATAGAAATCATCAGATACGTATGAGTTATTTTTCTATTACCAATTATATATATGTATTTAAGTCCATGCACACACACACATAAACACAAACACACACACACTTCTCTTCCTCATGTTACATTGGATGTACTATCGTAGTGCCTTTCTAAGTCCAAAACTTCAATTTGTATACTGGACTCCATCAACTCTCACCATCTAAAAAATTCCTTCTCCAAATAGTCTTATATATACCTGCATTACTAATGCATTCCTCTCTTCATCCAATCATTAAGAAGAAAACATGCTAAGAAACTTTCATTTCTGAGATTATAGAATTTACATTAAAATACCTCTTGATTTTAGAAAAAGTATCTAATAGAAATTGTGGGCATGATTTAGCAGGGATATTTCTATAAGTATGATTGTGTTTATAAAATATTAAGAAAGGTTCCCCAGGCATCCAACATGAAGAAAGAGTACAAAATCCTACTGACATGTTGACATCACATGTATGGCTGCTCTGAATGTATTTCCATATCTCATTAACTTAGACATATTGAGTTTGAATGGATTCCTGTAGACCAAAACATAAAAATCTCTTGCTTTATTATTTATTTTAAGTATATAGTTTGCCTTAAAACAGTATGTGTATATTATTTAGAAATTTAAAAATATTTTAAAGGTCAAAATGGAGAGTGATATAGAACATAGAAAGAAAATAAATCCGGAACCTTCAGAAGTCTATAATCTATATCCTCAGTGAAAAATCAGATTAGAAGAAAAAAAAGAATTGCTAACTCTGCTCTTTGTGGGACAATGTGCCCTCTAAAGAGTCATACACATAGTCAAAATTCTATCAAAAAAATTAATTTAAAATGCTCACAGATTTGTGTTGCCCTGGAACTGCAAGCCAAATGCAAATAATCTTTACTGGTATGTATTTTCACATACCATTCCCACAAAGTTCTGCTGTTTGAAAATGAGTACATTATCCAAAATTATGAAACACAAAAGGAAAAACATACTGCTATAAATGAGAGTCTGAAGAAGAATATATTCAAAGGAGTATATATATTGAATAATGTATAAGTTCAAATGTTTTGAAAAGTAAAATAAAAAGTTGAATATGTGATCCAGGAATAAGATCTTAGCCTAATACATAAAGGCAAATATTAGAAATTAAAATTACACTAGATAGGTGAATCGGCAACTTAGACAAAGTCAAAGTAAAATTTTGTAAAAAGAGATACACACAAAGAAATTAAACTGAACATAAGAAACAGAAGCAAAGCAAAGAAAAAATATAAAGAGGAAATTCAAATCTATTGTAGCAAATAAAAAGAAGTTTGGTATGAGACCAACCCAGAAAAAGCCATGTCATATAGAGAAAGAAGGAGATAAAAATTAAAAGAAAGTAATGGAAATTTAAAGAACATTCTGAAAATGTTACAGAAGTAAAGAAGAAAAATACTAATATTCAGATTTAGAAATTATCAAAAATTATGCAGAATAAATAAAAGTAATTCCACCTCTAAATACATCATGGTGAAAAGAACAAGAAATGGTACAATTTTAAATCAGCCAAGAGGAAACACGGATTATTTACTAGGGAACAGAACTTTGATTGACAGCACCCTTCCCATCAGCAAAAATAAAGTCACAAGATAGAAAAGCAATAATAAATTTTTTCGATGTACAGAGAAAAATAATTATCAAACCAAAATTGTTTAACCAACCAAATGAGCATTTAATAATTAAGACATTTTCAATATATACACACACTCAAACACACACACAACACACACTCACACTCCAAAATAGTTTACCAGCAAGAGTCTCACTAAAGACATTCCTATGTCACATAGTTTTTAAAAATTCTCAGAAAACAGATTTTTGTTTATCTAATAATGTCTTGTTTGCAGGTTGCAACTTCAGCAAAGTCTCAGGATACAAAATCAATGTGCAAAAAATCACAAGCATTCTTATACACCAATAACAGACAAACAGAGAGCCAAATCATGAGTGAACTCCCATTCACAATTGCTTCAAAGAGAATAAAATACCTAGGAATCCAACTTACAGGGGATGTGAAGGTTCATTATTGATCTAATTTTCTTTTTTGTTGTTGTTGTTGTTTTTGTTTTTTGTTTTTTAATTTTATTATTATTATACTTTAAGTTTTAGGGTACATGTGCATAACGTGCAGGTTTGTTACATATGTATACATGTGCCATGTTGGTGTGCTGCACCCATTAACTCGTCATTTAGCATTAGGTATATCTCCTAATGCTCTCCCTTCCCCCTCCCCCTCCCACAACAGTCCCCGGTGTGTGATGTTCCCCATTGATCTAATTTTCTGTGTGCACTGTTTGTTTATAATATCTCCTACCTTTGTAGTTATATATGGATTCCAGAGTAGTTCTTCCAGGTTGAAGCATGTAGAAATCACAGCAGGAAATTTCATTATTCCTCTAGTGGTACATTTCACTTCACTCATGTTATTGCTAGCATTGAATCACACTGCTGTACCTTTGTGGGAAGGAGACATAAAGTAGTGGCTGGTTTACCATTTCTCAGGTACAACATAATTATAATGGAAGTAGAGAACAGATTTTAGTTAATAGCTTAGCTTTCCCCACCATTACAGCTCAATATGATCCTTTCCCATGTAATCTTTTTCTGGGGGACTGCTTTGCTCAAGGGTGACTCATATCGTATTGCTCACCAGTTAATAATTTTATAATATTGTGATCACAGCCAAATCATTTCATATCTGAAAAGGACTTTAGTAAATATGCATCTATATTTTCATAGATGTGTGTATCTCTTTATCTTTTTCTGAGCTCCTACTAAGGACCAAGTATTAAATACAAAGTGGTGACCAAGGAGCAGTGGTACTTACCCTAAGAGGTTTAAGCCTAAAGGGCAAGATGGGGATGAGATAAACAAGCTTGTGTAATAATCTCACTAATTAAGACATAACTTCTAACTTCCATTTTATATATATATACACACACATATATTCTATATATATAATGCTATATATAATATATATATAATGCTATATATATGTGCTAGGAATATATATATTCGTGTGTGTGTATATATATCTACATATATATACATATACACATAAGACTTTTTAAAAATAAATTTTGAATAGATTACCACCATTGTTTATATTAATCACTGAAGCAATTATTCTTCATACATGAGATAAGTAGTATAATATGGTTATATTTATTTGTTCAATTTTTTATGATTTAATAATTTCTTATTTTCTCTTTGTGTTCTTCCTGTGGAATCTAAGTAAGCAACTTCTCCATTTTCACATGGATGCAAGGAATGAATTAGACATTTGATCTAATTTTCATACTGCAAATATAATGTTCATCCCACTCTGCAACATGCTAAAGTTTGTGGAATCATCTGTGTGGAAGCACATAAAACAAATGACAGTTTTAGCCTCATTCAGCAAATAAAACAAATGACAATTTTAGCCTCATTCTGTTACAGCCTGAAGACATGATAGTAGTGTAAGGGAAAAAAGTAAAGATTAATATCCCTAGAGCAGTTTTTTTCTCATAAACTCCAAGGCCAAAGTTTTATTTGTCTGTTGATAGTCTAAAAACTATGAATATATTCAATTATTCATACTTTTTATAATTATTGAATGTATAGAAAAAACAGCTAGCAAATAAAGTGATGCTATTTTTATTTTCATGCTAGTTATCTAAAATTGTTTAAAAACAGATATTTAGGTTAACATCTGAGTGAAAACATTTAGGTAAAAATTATAATGTAACTGATAAGTTAATATAAAATATTGTGTGGTAGTACACAGATAAGTTACTACAGGCTGGGAAAAGCTGCATTCTAAGGCAAAGTAAGTATCTTTTGTATTCTTCACCTATTATGTGTCAGGGAGTGTAACATTCACATGTCTACTTTTTAAATCAATTCATCCAAAGAGATACATATAGTCCCATTTACAGAGGAAAAAAACCTAGGTAAGAATGTTAAATAAATTCCCCAAAGTAAGGTAACTGATAAAGGGCAAAGTCAACTTGTCAAATGCTAGACCTGCCCAATTCCAATGTGATTTTCTTCATCCTCTGCCTTGCCCAGGTGTATATGGAGCAAGGAAAGATCTCATAAGTTTACAGTGATCTTGAGGAAACACATTTTTGCTTGCTTGCTATGTATCAGCTACTCATTATACAGGTGTTTCCCAGGTCAGAAGAAAATACAAGGTTGTAACCATTTACCTTAGGCTATGAAAAGAGAAAGTAACAGTAAGCTCATGTGGAACACTCAACAAGATAGACCATGTTCTGGACCATGAAACATACCTAAACAAATTTAAAGGAACAAAAATTATATAATGTTTGATCTCAGACTTCAATAAAATTAAAATTAAACTAGAAATCAATAATGGAAAGATAACTGGACAATCCAAAAAATATGTAGAGATTGACACACTTCTAAATAGCATGAGGGCCAAAACAAATCTTAAAAGACATTTAAAAATATTTTTGACTTGAATAAAAATGAAAACAATTGAATCTAAAAGAAAAGTTGAAATTTTAAAAGAAAATATTGTGAGATTCATCAAAGTTAGTGCTTAGGAGGAAATTTATGGCATTGCATATAAGGAAAAAATATCTAAAATGAATAATCTGAGTTTCTGTCTTAGGAAACTAGAAAAAGAAGAGCACATTAAATCTATAATAAAAAGAAAAAATAAGAATTACAGTAGAAATCAATGAAATTAAAAACAGGAAATCAATAGATAAAATCAATAAAGCCAAAATCCGATTCTTTAAAAACAAATTGTTTTAACAAAAAAGTTAAATTGATAAGCTTCTAGCCAGGCTGAGGCGAAAAAAAAAGACAAAAAACAAAACAAAACAAAATAAAACAAAAAAAAAGTGGGCCAGGTGTGGTGGTTCACACATGTAATCCCAGCACTTTGGGAGGCCGAGGTGGGCAGATCACCTGAGGTCAGGAGTTCGAGACCAGCCTGGGCAACATGGTGAAACCCTGACTCTACTAAAAATACAAAAATTAGTCTGGCAGGGTGGCGGATGCCTGTAATCCCAGCTACTTGGGAGGCTGAGGCAGGAGAATCGCTTGAATCAGGGAGGCAGAGGTTGCAGTGAGTGGAGATCACACCACTGCACTCCAGCCTTGGCAAAAGAGTAAGACTCCGTCTAAAAAAAAAAAAAAAAAAAAAAAAAAAAGAGAAGAGTAGAGTAGAGGACACAAATTATTAATAACAGAAATGAAAGAAGGTACATCATTACAGACCTATGGGCTTTAAAAGGATAATAAACATATACTATGAACAATGCTATGCCCACAAATTTGATAACCTAGATGAAAGAGATCAATTTTTTTGAAAGACACAATCTTCAAAAACAAACAAAAAGAAATGAAAAAACTGAATAGGAATACATCTATTAAAAAAATTGAATGTATAATTATTAACCTTCCAAAACAGAAAGCACCAGGCTCAAATGGGTTCACTGGTATGTCTCACCAAACATTTAAGGAAGCATTCATACCAATTCTCTACAATCTCAAAAGACAGAAACAAAGGGAATAACCACTAATTCCATGAGGCCAGCATCATGCTAATACCAAAACAAAAACATTTGAAAAAAATATATACTATAGACCATTATCTCTCCTGAATATAGATAAAAAATTATCATCAAAATGTTAGCAAAGGGAATCCAATAATGTTTGCAAAAAATTATACATTACAACCAAAGAGGATTGATTACACACATGCAACACATTTCAAAATCAATTAATGTAATTCATCACATCTACAGGTTAAAGAAAAAAATCACGTGATCACATCAGTAGCTGGAGAAAAATCACTTGACAAAATCCAACACCCATTCATGATAAAAACTGTAAAACTAAATAGATGGGAACTTCCTCAAGTTGATAAAGAATATCTACAAAAATTCTGCAGCTAACATTGTATTAAACTTAATGGTGAGAAACTTGAATGTTTCCCACTAAAATCAGGCACAAGGTAAAGATGTCCATTCTCACCACTACTTTTCAACATCATACTGGAAGTACCAGTTAATAAGCAAGACAAGACAAGAATAGGAAATAAAATGCATATATATTGGGAAGGAAGAAATAAAACTATCTGTTCACAAATGACATGATCACCTTTGTAGGAAATCTGAAAAAATTTACCAAAAACCTCTTGGAACTAGTAAGCAACTATAGCAAGGTGGCAAGACACAGGATACAAAGTTAATATGCAACAGTCAATCAATCCGTTCAATATACACAAGCAATAAACAAATTAAATTTTTAATTTTCAAACATAATACCATTTACATTAGCACCCCCCGAACATAAATAGGTAGAAATATAACAAAATATGTACAAGATCTATATGAGGAAAGTTAGAAAACTCTTTCGAAAAAAAATCAAAGAAGAACTGAATAAATGGAGAGATATTTCACATTCACAGAAAGTAGGACTCAACATTGTAAAGATGTTAGTTCTTTCCTACTTGATCTATACATTTGATGCAATACCAATCAAAATCCCAGCGAGTTATTTTGTGGATATAAACAAAATGATTCTAAAGTTTATATGCAAAGTCAAAAAACCCAGAATAGGCAAAAAATATTGAAGGAGGACAAAATTGAAGACAGACACTATCTGGATTAACACTTACTATAAAATACAATAATTAAGACAGTATGTATTGTATTGGTGAAAGAATAGATCAATGAAATATACTAGAGAGCCAAGAAATAGGCCTGTGTAAACATCATCAACTAACCTCTGACAAAGTAGTCAAGGCAATAGAATCTAGACAAAGCCAGTCTTGCAAATGGTGTAGCACACATGGAGAGCCACATGCAAAAAACAAAACAAAGAATGTAGACATAGACCTTAACATTTTTACAAAAATTGACTCAAAATAGATTATATACCTAAAGTAAAATGTAAAACTGTAAAGCTCCTAGAAGATAATGAAAGAGAAAGCCTACATGATCTTGAGGATGGCAATAGGGCACAATACTGAAGGCACAATCCATGAAGGAATTAATTGATAAGCTGTATTTCATTAAAATTTTAAAATTCTGCCTCACAAAAGTCACAGAATGAAGAGACAAGCCACAGACTTTGGGAACATATTGCAAAAAACACATCTGATAATGGGCTGTTATTCAAAATATGCAAATAACTCTTACAAGTCAACCATAAGAAAACAAACAAGCTGATTTTAAAACTGGGCCAAAGGCCTTCACAGACACCTCACCAAAGAAGACGTTCATACGATAAATACACAAATGAAAAGATGTTACAGATCATCTGTCATCAGGAAAATACATATTAAAACAATGAGTTACTACTATACACCTATTATAATGGTCAAAATCCAGAACACTGACAAGATCAAATGATGGCAAGGATGTGGAGCAACTGGAACTCTCATCATTGCTGGTGGGAATGCAAAATGGTACATATGCTTTGGAAGACATGGGGGTGATTTCTTACAAAACTAAACCTACTTACCATACAATCCAGCAATTGGACTCCTTGTTCAAAGGACCTGAAAATATATGTCCACATAAAAACTTACACACAGATATTTATAGCAATTTTATTGATAGTTTTCAAAACATTGAAGCAACTATGTGTCCTTCAGTAGGTGAATGAATAAATAAATTGTGGTACTCTAGACAAAGAAATATTATTTAGCACTGAAAAAAATTAGCTATCACACCATTAAAAGACATGGAGAAATCATAAGTGCATTTTGCTAAGTGAGGGAAGTCAATCTCAAGTGGCTACCTACTGTATTATTCCAATTGTATGACATTCTAGAAATGGTAAAATTATGGAGACAGTAAAAAGATCATGAGAGTTTGGGGGAAAGGGAGAAGTGAATAGGCAGATAACATAATTTTTAGGGTGGTGAACATACTCTGTATGCTCCTATAATGGTGTATACATGTCATGATACATTTGTCCCAACCCATACAATGTATAATACCAAGAGTGAATCCTGATGTAAAGTAAGCACCTTGGTGATTAGGATGTGTTAATGCAAGTTCATCAATTGTAGAAAATGGACTACTCTCCTGGGGAATGTTGAAAAGCTGATAGGCTGCGCCTCTGTGGAGCTGGAGGTATATGGCCAAACTCTGTACCTCTGTTTTGCTGTGAAACTGGAACCATTCTGAAAAACAAAAGTCTAATTTCATAATAATATAAATCTATGGTGTAAAGCATCAGCAAGCACTCTGTGATTTATTACCAATAATTGCTTATTATTTACATTTTAATTCTTTTTAAATGCTAATATAGATGAAAACATAGAAGGCGCCATGCCCCCATTAGTTATAAAGAACCTTTCCTAACTCTGAATACAAAATTACTTGACATCAAATACTGTCAGTATTAATTTAAAAAGTACTATATAGCACACAATAGCATTGTTATATTTTATTTTATTTTATTTTCAAAATCATGAATCAGCAACATCATTGGACTTGTTGAGTTTTCAGAGCACATTTTTTATTCTTATTGCGTAAATGATCCTTTTTTTTTTTTTTTTTTTTTTTTTTTGCCTTTCATGGTTGCCTTCTTAAGGCACATCAAAATCCACGTAGTAAGCCGCCTGCTTCTAGTGTTGATGAAGTGTTTGCAGGTACAACGGGAAAAATGCCTAATGTTTCTAACACTCTTACCCAATTTTTGTTCTTTGGGGTGTGTTTCTTCAACTGGCAGTTTTGCTCCATGTCTTCTATGGAAGAAAGTCCCCTGAGGCAACAGGGGCTTGTCTGGCTTCAGGAAAAGGCTCTGCATCCCTTGCTCCCCTAAGGCAGCATCTGGGTGTGTGTTGGCTGCCAAGGAGTGGTGCACCTGTGTGCAGCATGAGACAGTGGCGATAGCTCTTGGTGTTTCGCAACGCCCCAGAGCCATCTGGAGAACCAAATGAGTGCCAGGAAATTAGGAAATTTGGACACAAACCAAGTCAAGCAACTTACTTAAAAGACAGACCCAACTTTCTCAATGCTTCCTCTTTAGAAAGTGATGGAAAAATTACAGATTTGGAGTCAAAGCGAGGTGAAAACTACGTCTTCATTTCTTAAAAGCTTTGTGACCTTACCCCCAATTAATTTGTCTAATCTTACTTTTTAAGAATAATATCTATAAAAAGCTCACAATTTTATAATATACATTATGCCTAATGTTTCATTTTTTTTTGACTTCAGAAACTCTGGAGATACAGATCAAATCAGGCCTGGGAGAACTGGGTACTTAACTTTGTGCAGATAAGTTAAGTAAATTCTCCCACTCCAAGGAATGGACCATGAAGTCCTTCTCTTTTTTTTTTTTTTTTTTTTTGAGACGGAGTCTCGCTCTGTCATCAGGCTTGAGTGCAGTGGCGCGATCTTGGCTCACTGCAACCTCTGCCTCCAGAATTCAACCGATTCTCCTGCCTCAGCCTCCCAAGTAGCTGGGACTACAGGCATGCACCACCATGCCCAGCTAATTTTTGTATTTTTAGTAGAGACAGGGTTTCACCATGTTGGCCAGGATGGTCTCGATCTCCTGACCTCGTGATGCATCTGCCTCGGCCTCCCAAAGTTCTGGGATTACAGGTGTGAGCCACCACGCCCGGCCAAAGTCCTTTTCTTAAGTGAGGACTACTCTTAGTGACTTCCTTCCAGTGAGAATAACACGGGAAATCAGGGAGGAAAGTGTGACTTCCCAGTGAAGAAACCTGGCAAATACTCCCTCAAGGCAGTGAGGAGTCATCTTGATGATAGGTACTTTTGATATGAATGTATGGAAGATGCTACTTATCTCTGTTGTCTTGCTTCCCAAAACCCATAGCCCCAGTCTAACCATGAGAGAAGCATCAAGCAGTCCCAAACTGAGGAAAGATTTTACAAAATAATCTTCAAAATTATCAAGGTCATCGAAAACCAGTCAATTTCGAGCAACTGCCATCGTGTAGGAGAGCCTAAGCGTGGCCTGGATGAGATTCCAGAACAGAAAAATGACATTATGTAAAGATTACACTTTGGGAGGCCGAGGCGGGCGGATCACGAGGTCAGGAGATCGGGACCATCCTGGCTAACATGGTGAAACCCCGTCTCTACTAAAAATACAAAAAAAAATTAGCAGGGCGTGGTGGCGGGCGCCTGTAGTCCCAGCTACTCCGGAGGCTGAGGCAGGAGAATGGCGTGAACCCAAGAGGCGGAGCTTGCAGTGAGCCGAGATCGGGCCACTGCACTCGAGCTTGGGCGACAGTGCGAGACTCTGTCTCGACAAAAAAAAAAAAAAAAAAAAAAAAAAAAAAAAAAAAAAAAAAATTAAGGAAATCCAAATAAAGTATGAACTTTAGTCAATCATAATATATCAATATCAGTCATTAATTGTGACACATACGCCACAGTAATATAAGATGTATTAAAAAGGAATCTGCATGTGATGTATACAGGGACACTTTTTACTCCCCTTTGCCATTGTTCTAAATCTAAAGTAAATATAAAATTAAAGTATTGTTTAAAAAGCCAAATGCATAGGAATTCACAGTAAGGGAAATGACTACAAGGTGTCCCCATTTTTCTCTCTTAACATGACTGTCCCTTTTTGAATATTAGACCAGAAAAAAAATGCATTCTTAAACATTCATTGTAAGCAATCACTTTTGTTTGAGTATACTTGAGTGAAAGATTTTTTAATGGAAAAAAATTTTTTTAAATGTAAATTACCAAAATTTATTTTTAGTTGAAACTAAATATATGTATATATAGGCATAGTCTACAATTCTCTTTGAAAAAAAATAAAATATAGGCATGTTTATGCACATTCTCAGTTGTGTTTGGATTTTACATCATGCAAAATTCAATGAGCTTCTTAGATGAAGTGATAATGGGAGTCATAAAATCATGACAGGCAATTTACACTTGACGAATCCGTCCCCATGAAATTTTGTATGAAAAAAATTAAACTGGGGCAAAGCTTGCTAAAACCAATCAATAGTGTGTGAATAATGTAGGTTAAAAAAAGGTCTTTGAGCCAACTGAATTCTGGCCACAGGAATTTTGGGGAAAATATGAGGAATATGTTTTGTCTAGTTTACCCAATGTGCTGATATTTACTCTATGGATTTGTAGGGGAAAACTGACTGGAATATGAAATAAAATTTGCTTTCCTCTTCATTAAGTCTACATTTGGACCACAGAGGAGAACAATCTGGTTACCTCCTCTGAGTCCAATATTTATGAACTGCAATTCTGGTTTATGTTCATTCAGATGACCAAGAAGGTCAGAGGCTTGGGACTCAGAAATACTTGGACTTAGACTCCAACTCTAATGTCTGAATGACGCTGGCAATTTGTACAGCTTTGAAAAACCTCATTTTCTTCTCCTCACATTCAGAAAATAATAACTACTTAATGTATCAGGTGTTTGATAACTGTAAAACAAATATTAGTTTTCTTCCTTTCTGTTTCCACTTTCCACACTCCCTCCTTCTCATATCTATGAAACAAAGCAAATGGAACTCCATTCATCACTTGTCTGATCAAGTCCAGTTAACCCACAAAATACCATTTTAATATTGTTCTGCCCAGAGTTCCCACCCACAAGAATAATTTTTGCAACAATCCGAACACTTGAATTATGATGGCTATGGGGATTTTTGTCTCCTTTAATTTCAGTGGAAACTATTCCTCTGCATTCAGATTTACAGAGCAGGTTGTTTCATGAAGCAGAATAGGCAGAAGTCAGAGTGAATATACTTATTAATACGGTGAAGCAAGAGAGAATATTCAATCAATATTTGCCGTTGTTAATGAGTCTGGCATACTTGGCTTGAGGCTTTGTTCTACTTAATTCAATTTCAATTTTTTGACTACAAAGAAATGACTGTTAATCCTCAAAAAGTGTCCATTTTTTCCTAAATTAAATATTTCATTTTTATGGTATCATCTGCTAATCCCCACAGTAATTGGTTTAATTAAAGGAAAACTATCCTCTTTATTTCAGTATGACTTATCCAAAATATTTTGTGGGTCTCTTCATAATTCTTACATCACTGAATTACTCTTAATTTATTTCCACAAAAATATTCCCTCTTATCTTCTATTCCTCAAGATGTCTATTATGAACACGTGGATACCAAAATTAAAAATATAAGGCCATTTACAAGAGGATCTCTTATAGAATAATAACCCAGTTAGAGAAAATATTTCTAAAAAATTATTAATAATTGTTTTATAATATATTTATAATACTTATTTTCATATTTACTTCATATATTATATAAAACTATAGTACTTTGTTATAACATTTTATTAATATCATTACATTTTGTAACATTTACACCATCTGAATGAGTTTATAGAAAGCGCTTGGTATTGGAGGAGTTTTGGCAAAAGTCTGAATGGGTGTCAGGGTGTTTACCTTCTAGCCACTTCCAAATCACATGATCTCAGGTGACTACTTTAATCTCTCTGATTTTCCATTATAAATGACAGGCAGGACTTTGAGATTTAAATTCTACCTTTCATGACTTTGGAAACATTATGCAACCTTTCTGAGCCTCAGTTTTCTTATTTGTAAAAGGGAGTTAATCATAGTATCTCCCTCATTGATACTGTGTATTCATTATATGTAACATACTTACAAACCTTATATAGTAGGTGCTATATTACTTTTCTCCTCTCCTATTATAAATACAGAGTTTTATTCCATAACATGCAAATTGTTTCTTACACTTAGGTGAGTGGAAGGATGAATATGAGAGTTTCTGGCTTATAGGTGCTTGAAATTTTTATTAAAGTTTGAACTGCATGTTTTGCAAATAATGCTCAGTGTCATAATAGGGTAGCTCCTAAGGAAGAGCAATTTTAAACTTTATTCTTTGATTCTACAATTACTTCTGGAGTACCTTCTAGTCTCCATGAACTTTTCTAGGGTTTGGAACAAAAATAAACAAATATGTCATATAGAAGATGGTTGGTGATGCTACTGCACGGGAATTTGTCTTGATGCAATGGGGACCTCTGTGCACACTATTAGGAAAGACAGCCCAGTGGGCACTAAGCAGCGAAGCTCACAAACAAAATCAAAATGCTCAATCACACAGTTATTGAATCGCTTTAAATCACAGAGTGAGAAGCAAGGCAAAAGAGATGACACTTAGCATAGGGTGCAAGTAAGAAGTCCTCACTGCCTGAATCCCGTGGCATACAATGCTCAGCTGTCCCAACACTCTCTGCCATGTCAATCTTTCTGCTGATGGTGCCACAATACAAGGACAGAATTTAGGTTCAAACAAAGGGGCCCACAGATAAGCAGTATCCTTGACCAATTACACACTTGCTCTATTGGAGAGACTCGGGGATGTGTAACTTGACAAAGCTGAAGCTTGACTGAAGAACAGCTATGGGATGAATGAATTAATTAATTAATATGAGCAGAGGATATTTGAGGCCAGAATAGGTGTCATCAGCATGTGGCTGAATTTAAAACCTCATGAAAATTAAGTATCCATGCCTGCTGACTATATGCTGAACATTTAGTGGCTCCTGCATACTTACATATAGTGGATATTTAGCTTGTAAATATCTCCCAGTACTTCTACTCCTTTCTGTTTAATACACATGCCCTATTTCCACATTACCTATCTCATACTTTAACATATCACATGCATTCTGCCCATATCTAACAAAAGTTTTGCTACTACTTATCTACCTTGAATATTCTGAAGTTTTTGCTTGTGTTTGGCAAACTGAAAATGTATTGATTAATGCACAAATACATTATAGATACAAAAAAAATCCCAAAGCAGGCTAATGATAGTTTGGCCCCCAAATCACCTATAACATTCCTACTCTCTGGTGCAGCACATGAATCAGGCCTTCCAATGGGAGAAGTTTCCCCACATTTCTGCACCGGTACTGACACTTGTGTCTCTGTCCTCCAGCCACTCTGGGTGCTGCTCCCTCAGTCCCTGTGGGCCTCAGTCCCACTGTCTCTAATCGGTGGTTAGAGCCTACTGAGTAGTCTGCTTCTGCCACCCTCTGCTCGTTCTTCGCTGAGACTCTTGGCATAGCTCCTCTCTCTGCTAGAGCTTGGAGGAGTTTTGCCTTCTTTGCTGCTTAGCGATCTCAGAAGCACATCTCAGTCTCCCTCTGGGTGGCAAAAAAAAAAAAAATCATTCCTTCACATGTTGATATGGTTTGGTTCTGTGTCCCCACCCAAATCTCACCTCGAATTGTAATCCCCATAAACTCCACATATCAAAGGTGGGACCAGGTGAAGGTAATTGAATCACGGGGGCAGTTTCCCCTCATGCTGTTCTCATGATAATGAGTGAGTTTCAGGAGAGCTGATGGTTTTAGAAGTGCCTGGCATTTCCCCTGCTTGCACTCACTTTGTCCTGCCACCCTGTGAAGAAGGTGCCTGCTTCTCCTTTGGCTTCCACCATCACTGGAAGTTTCCTGAGGCCTCCCAGCAATGTGAAACTCTTTCCTTCATAAATTACCCAGTCTCAGGCATTTCTTCATAGCAGTGTGAGAACGAGCTAATATACATGTCCTGTCTTCATTTTAGAGATATCATAGCAGAGTTGTATGAATCTCTCTCTCTAACCTATCTTTTCACCTATCTATCTCTTCATCCATTTATAAATGTATATTGCCTTGTATATTTTTGTTACACTATTCAGACCATGACTATTCTTTCAGCGGTCTCCATGTTCATTGACACATTCTGGTTTTCAATGAGCAACTTCAAATGCATCAAACAGGTTTGTATCTATCTGAATTCCAAAAATGATACATTTAAAATCATTTCCATAGGCTTCTCTGGCCGAATAGACATCAAAATTTTCTGCCGGCTGCCACTGAGAATGGAATGCCTTTTAATACTATAGGAACACATGTCTTGGCAATAAAAACCCTGATCACACAAAAGACACATAAATATTCTGTAATAAACTTTTGCTGTGGCTTGAAAGATATGGGGGAAAAATAAATACGATTTTGAAAAACTAGACAGGAACATTTTGAATAAGTAATATTTAAAATGAGAAAAGGTAATTTTGAGAGGTAGATACTGGAGACAGGGGATTGATTACTTAAAGAAAAAAATAAATAAATGAAAGCATGATGGTTTTGAGGTTGTTTCCAAAGAAAAATTGATAAATTTTTATACATCTGAAAATTGTGGAGGGAGGGACATTTGAATATGATTTCTACACAGATGGTGTTACGGCAGCCATTGACCTAACCAGTGATCTCTTATTTGCCATTTTATATTAACTTTTCATATTCCTCAAGTGTACAAGGTATGTTTTTGTTACATAAAGATATTTAGAATGTCTTTATAATGAATACTTCTGTGTTTTAATGTCACATTTTTTTCAAAATCTATTATTACATTTACTATTAAAATTAATGATTTCTTATAATCAGAAAAATATGCTATTAATCATATACTCTCAAGAATTCTCACCTAAGGAAAAAGATATGATTATAATCTAAAAACCCTTGAAAAGCCAAAATGTCAATTTGGTTCGCTTTTGGAATATGAAAACAGACTAGGATATAAGTTCACATGTGTCAAAACCATCCAGTTTTCTTCAGACACTCTAATCTTTTTGTTATGTCTTGGGTCTTGACTTCATTTGGAGTAATTACAAACTCTGCATTCAAAAAATAGCTACTTAAAAAACGAAGAAAAACTAGACATAATCACCATAAATGGATTATCTACTTCTCTTGAATAATCAGCACTTGTCAATCACCTATTTGTATTTCACCCTGTGTTGCTGCCTGCATAAAGCAATTAATCAATCAATTCAGACATTATTTTTTAAATTTAAAAATCTTCACTACAATAAAGACAAATGTAAAACTTTATCAATGCCCTTCAAAATGAAGACATCAATTTTATCTTTGGAATATCCTTAGGGAGCATTTGGTGTCAGCTAAGATGCCTCTATTTGCAAGCTAGAATGCCCCAAATCAGAACACAACATTGATTTTCTGCAATGACAAGAATTCCAGCAGTAGGAAAAACTCCAGGCTTGATGGCTTCACTGGTTGACTGCTGTCATCAATGATCAAGAAGTTTTCCATTCTCCGATTGGTCAGTTCTCCTCTATGTGCAAACTTTGCATTCACACTTGGTCCCAACATGGCAAAATGGTCACAGAAGTTGCAGGCACCATTCAGCTGCAAAAACCATTATAAAGATGAAAAGTACATTTGTTTCTTTCATTTATTTCTTATATGCAAAACATTCCATTAAGATTTATCTCCTGTCTGTATTGGAACATAAACCAATCACTCTCACAAGAAACCAGACTGCCATGATTAGTTTAGACAAATTATTTGTGAGTAGTAAAAATATTGAGGAAGGAACCACAAAGTTCTCTACATCAGGCAAATTTTAATGGGCATTTTAAGCCAGGCATTTGTAAGTCCTTTTTTTGTAAAGGGCCAGATGGTAAATATTTCAGGCTTTTCAGGCCACAGTGGGGGCTGCTGTGATGGGGCCAGGCTGGGTCACCCACCGGTGGAGGAGCAGTGCTGTCCCACAAAAAGGGGCCCCAAGGCACAGCTGGGCCCGGGGCAGTGCTGCACTTACACACAAAGCATGGGGGCTGGGCCCAGGGTGTGGAGCTGGGGCCACACTTTGGGGACCCAGGATGGGAAGTGGGAGCAGCGCCTGTTTTGGGGACCTGGCCAGCAGTGCAGCCACTGTGCCAACTCCAAGAGCACAGGATTCCTTTGCTTAGGAAGGAGGCTCTGCTCCAGGCCATCCTGCATTGGGGTGACCTCTGAGCCTGACTCTCCCAACAGGGGGAGCTCGTGGAGATGTAGCCCCTGTCCCAGACGTGAGCCCAGGCCCAGTAAGGAGCTAGAGCCCCAACCCCAGGCTCCAAGGGGGAGTGTCTCTGGCTGCATGCTCCACTGAGCCAGCAGAAGCTGGGAGTAGGCAGCAGCTCCACCCTCCCGGGCTGTGCAGCTGCAGCTGCAGCTACCCATGTTGGGGCTATGGACCCAGGTCTCCATGTGCTTTTGGGGACTGGGAGCAGGCAGGGTCCCCACCCACCTTGGGCTCAGCTGCACGTATTCAAGTTGGGGCTCTGGACTTGGGCATCTCTGTGCTCTTGGGGGCCCAGGAAGCACCCTTCACTGCCCTTGCAGGCTTGGAAGTGCATGCTTCCACCTCCAGCTTCTCTTTGCTGTCAGCACCCACTGCGATCTCAGAGCAACCTGGGGCCAAGCCTGGGTGCTCTCACAGCCCAGTCAGGGGTGCACACGCTCAAGGCAGTGCTGACAATGCCAGCCCCCTGCTGCCTCAGCTCCCCCTGGACTTTGGGTGCCCACAAGTGTGGGGGCTGGAGGAGGCTGAGGGGGTTCAACGGCAGCTCAGCACTGGCCTACAGGTGCCCCTTGGTGTAAGCAGCCTGGTTGCCATGGACTGCAGGCAGAAAGCAGACAGGCTCCTGAGTGGAAGGGATAGGTCCCTGGTGAGGTCCCACCTTTAGGTCAGGGAGGGCCTGAAGTCTGGAGATCGGGCTGCCAGTCCCTCAGACTAGAGTGGGAACTTGCAGTGCCTTTTCCAGGCCTGTTCACGGCCTACTGACATGCACTTCCTCCCTTTTGAGACCGTAAAAGCCTTGTGCTCAGCTAAAGCTGAACAGACATCAGGATGACCAGCTGCAGAGGGGAGCTACCCAATCGAGGGCCTCCTCTCTGCTGACAGCTGCAGAGACAGTGGGATGACCTGCCTGCAGAGAGAAGCCTCCCACTCCAGGGTCTCCTCTTTTCTAGGAGCTGAACACTTGTTTGGACACCCTGGCTGCAGAAAAGAGCTACACACTGAGGGTTTCCTCTGAGTTATTCTATTGCTCAATAAAGCTCTTCTTCATTTTGCTCATCCTCCACTTGTCTGCATATCTTATTCTTCCTGATCACAGGACAAGAACTCAGGATTCATCAAATGGCAGGGCTAAAAATGCTGTAACACAAACAGTGCTGAAATATGCCCCTTGCTTACCACGTTGTGGGCAAAGAGAAGAGAAGAGCTGTGGCCCTTTGGGGAGCCCAGAGCTGGGAGCTCCCTGAGGTAGGGCTATGACTCCCTCTTTGTGGCCCTGTGGTTCCTGGCATCTCCAAACTTCCAGGTGCTTCCGGGTTCCCAAGTGCCAGCTGTGGAAGTGGCTTGCAGTGCTCCTGATCCAGCCATAGCTTTGTACAGACCTGGCTCCCATGCTGGTATCTGGAGCTGTCCACGCCACTGCAACAGCCAGCCAGTGTGTCTGACTGTACAGTAGCCAGACCCCACATTTGCTCACATACCCCTCACTGCTCCATACCTTACTCGCCCTTGGCAGGCATGGGATCCAGGTCAGTAGTGTGAGCCAAGTGCAGTATGCCAGGCTGAGTGGGCAGAACAAGCACAGCGGGTCCGAGCAAAACTGGAGCAAATGTGCCACCAGGTACAGACATTTCAGGCCAGAAAAGTGACACCCCACTGATCCCATAACAGTATTATAAGAACGAAAAAACATGGCCAAGTGCAGCGGCTCATGCCTGTAATTCCAGCACTTTGGGAGGCTGAGACGGGTGGATCACGAGGTCAAAAGATCAAGACCATTCTGGCCAACATGGTGAAACCCCATCTCTACTAAAAATACAAAAATTAGCTGGGTATGGTGGCATGTGTCTGTAGTCCCAGCTACTCGGGAGGCTGAGGCAGGAGGATCACTTGAACCTGGGAGGCAGAGATTGCAGTGAGCCGAGATCATGCCACTGCACTCCAGCCTGGCGACAAAGCGAGACTCTGTCTCAAAAAAAAAAAAAAGGAAAAAAAGGAGAAAGAGGGAAGAAGAAACATGCAAAGACTCATAAGACAATGTGGTAGATGCTAAGATGGAAGTCAGTAGAGTATAGAGAGAGCTGTGAAACCACTGAAAATGTGACTTACTTCTACATGGAGGTGAGATTGGGCTGTCTCAGATTCCTTAATTAAACTAGCTGTCGAATAGTGAATTGAAATTAATGAATCAGGAACAAGAATATTCTAAGCTAAGAGATATTTCATGGAGGGGGAAAGCTGAGAAAGAATAATATGTGTGGTTCAGCACAAGTAGTTTCACAGCATGCACATGCAGTGCTCAATTGCAGAAGCTGCTTGGGGTGAGGAGGAACATAAATGATGAGGAGGCCTGTATGCTATGGGGAATGCATTGTCTTTCAAACGGAATCCCAATAAATTAAAATTCATTGATATTCTTTTTGACAGCAACAATGATGCAGTTTTGCAACAGGCTCAATTGCATTCACTTTTTATTTTAACTCAGAATACAATCGTCAAATATGTAAAGTTAAAAACTATTTTATTTTTAAATAATTTAAAACATTACATATTTGACAATTGTATTCTGAGTAGAAAATTATATATCCCCACATTTAAACTCGGTTTTGACTTTTGTACGCAATATAAAAGTCATAAAAACACATCTGTAAAATCCCAAGATCTCTTAACTATAAAAAGCCACAACATAGATAGATGATAATCCTAATAGGGCTGCAAACTGATACAGAAGTGTATCATGATGGCCATTTTCCACTATATCATTTGCATCTTATTAGCATTTTATGTCAAGTCTAGTTTATTTACTACCATATGGATTCGGTAGTGACACTTTCATGATAGTCATAAATAAACTTCAGATATAAAAATGCTGAGGAGGCCAGGCATGTTGGCTCATGCCCGTAATCCTAGAACTTTGGGAGGCCGAGGTGGTTGGATCACCTGAGGTCAGGAGTTCAAGACCAGCATGGCCAACATGGCAAAATCCTTTCTCTACTAAAAAATACAAAAAAATTAGCTGGGCATGGTGGCGGGCGCCTATAATCCCAGCTACTTGGGAGGCTGAGGCAGGAAAGTTGCTTGAATCTGGTAGATGGAGGTTGCAGTGAGCCAAGATAGCACCACTGCACTCCAGCCTGGGTAACAGAGCAAGGCTCCCTCTCAAAAAAAAAAAAAAAAAAAAAAAAAAAAACGTGGGAAGTGCCTCAGACAACCAATGATGTACCATGCCATGAAGTTGTTTGTAAGAAAAGTTGTGTTCTGTTCATTTTTATACTAATAATAATTTGCATTTTTCAGATTATTGGGGAATTATTTCTTCATATTTTCCAAGCACTTTGGAAGATATTTTCAGCCTTCATCTTTATAATTACTAAGCTAAGCTAGTATACGATCTAAATGATCAAGTTGATGAAATAATGTACTTGAAAAAGTGTTAGATTGTTTTAAATATATTTCAGTTGAGATTACTAACTTGGTAATTTTCTATGCTTTTATTACTTTGAGCCTTTCAGAATGAAATAAAAATGAAACAAGATTCTCTTTGAGAATCAGGTAAATATTAAGAGTAAGATTAAAAAGTGTCATAAATAAGGTGCCTCTTAGTTAATTTGAGGATATACTGGACACAACTAACTTTAACAGATTTATCAATAAATTTAATAGATGGTTCTTTGTATGAAATTAGGGGTTCTAAAAACCAGAACTAATTATTTTATCCATAGAACATTTGCTGAGGCTGTATAAAATTATGAACTAAAATTCAGTAAATTATGATATAGGCAGTTGTATTTAAAGGAAAAGCATTGTATTCAAAACTTTGCTAAGGACAGTCCTCACTTCAATACAGAGTAATTATGAATATCTTAGGAGTAAGACAGGTGATAGCAAAGAAGAAATATCAGTCCACTTCATGAACCTGGCAATACATACCAAACAGCAGAAGCTTTTAAAAATTAATTTAAAAACTAAACTCTACTTCTAAAAGAATTTAGATTGTAGTAAAAGAATTCAGAATGTAGTATTTTCACTGTTGTGCAAAATGGCAATCCTTATTCATCAAGAGAAATGAAAAGACAAGTTCCAAACTGAGGAAAGCCATTCATAATATACACCAGAAAAAAATCAAGAATGTATAAATGGCCCATGCATGCCAATAAAAAAGTATAAATAACACAAGAAAAAAAATGAGTAAAATGCATAGACAGGAATTACACAGAGGAGGAAATACATAAAGCAAAAATCATTGGAAGATATATTTAACATCACTAGTGATCACACAAAATAATGAAGACTACAAAATATATTATTTTATCTCTAATTATTTGACTCAAGTTAAAGTCTGACAATAACTTTGTATTCAAGAAGAGTACAAAATAATTAACCAAACTGATACTCACATAACTTATTGTCATTATCAAAATAGTTACTATCAGAAGAAGATAAAAGTTGTAAATAACTTTGCTGTTTGTTCCTGAGACTCTCTCTGCCAAACAACAAACGAAACAAAAATCAAAACAACAAAACAAACATTTACATATATATTAAACTATTCAACTCTTCTATAAATAGCATGAAATTGCAGTTTACATCCCAACAGTTTTCACTGCTTTCCTCAATATCTTCACTCTGCTGTGTTCATTGTTTTTCGCAGACAATCCTATTTTATGCTTACAATAAAAGACCTATCTTAAACTTTATTGAATACTTCATAAATATCTCAACTTTGCACTCCCATTCTAAATTGCAACTTAGACTTCATCAAGGTAGTGCTCTATCTTACTATGGTAAACTCATCTTAATCTTATCAGAAGTTATTATATGAGATATTTTCACGGATCAGGCTTTTACACAAAGGATGTATATTAGCAATTTACATTGCTTCTAGAGGTATAAACTGATGCAATACAATTTACATCTGACTTCTTAGAAGAGGCAACAGAGGCCAAAAGGCAGTGGAGTGCTCAAAGAAAAAAAAACTGTCAACCACAAATACAATATCCAACAAAGCTGTATTTTGAAAATGAAGGAGAAATAAATGAATTCCTAGTTAAGAAAAAACTAAAACAATTTGTTGCTAACAGACACATCTTACAAAAAATCATAAAGGGAAGTCTTCAAGAAACTAAGTAACCTCAGATGGCAATTCAAATCTGCAAACAAAAATAAAAAGCACTATGCAACTGTAAATGACAGTATAAATGAATATTTTCTCTTAACAAACTTAAGAAACAATTGTATAAAATAACATGTACATAATATATTGTTGGACATACAATCTATAGATGTGTAACATAAGGGAGGTGGTGGTAGCAAAGATGTATTGGGCAAAAGAAATGATTCTCAATGATAACACAAAAGCACAGGAACAAATGAAGGGAACCTGAATGGATAAGTAAGAAAGTTAATATTACAAAAGCTATAAATACATACTTATTTAAATTTTTTAAAAAATGTCAGCTTCTTTAAAAGACAAACTTCTATGAAGTAATTATTATAATAATACGTTTTTGGCTTAATAACATTTAAAGATGTAATGTGTATAAAAATAATGGAACAAATGGAAGGATAGTAAAATATAACTTTATATGAATAATATATCTATATCAGACAAGAATTAAGTTAGATGAGTATGAGTCTAGGACTTCTATGGTAAGCTCTATAACAACCAGAAAAGAAGTCATAAGAAATATACCTTTAAACACATTAAAGGAATTAAAACGCCACATTAAAATATATTCTCCTAGTGCAAATGAAAGCAGTAAAGTAGAAATAGAAGAACAAAAAATATAACATATGAGACATAAAAATTTAAAAGTAAAGTCCAAGACATAAATCTAACTCCCAAAATAAGAAAATTAAAAGTGAATAGATTAAATAATCCAATCAGAAAAGCAGAGATTGCAAGTTTTGATTTAAAAATATGATTCAACTGTATTATGCTATGTAAGACTTTAACTTAAATAAGTTCATTATGTTAATAATAGAAAAATATGTATTATGCAAATAGCTACCCCAAGAAAGCTGGAGGAGCTATGCTAACAAGCAGACAAAGTGGACTTTAAAACAAAAAATGTTACTAGAGATAAGAAGAGACATTGTATAAAAATTATAGGATTCATACAAAAGGGGAATATAAAAATTATAGGTATGTATGTGCCTAATAACAAAGCACTAAAATACATAAAGTAAAAACTGACAGAAATGAAGAGAGAAATAGAAAACAACGATAGCTGAAGCAACATTCTACTTTCAATGATGGATAGACCAGGCAAAATATCAATAAGAACATAGAAATGAACAACAACACATATATCAATTATATATAACTGATATTTATAGAATGTTCCACACTGAAAAGTGCAGAAAGTATATTATTCTCAAGTACACATGGGATATTTTCTGGTATAGGTCATACACTGCCTCCAGAAATAAGCCTCAATACATTTAAGATAACAGAAATATTACCTAGTGTGTTCTCTAACAATTGAACTGAATGTGAAATCAATAACAGAAAGAAATTTGGAACGCTTACAATATTTGGAAATAAAATAATGCAACTATTTTATTTATAAAATAAAATAACTAAAGAGGAAGAAATAAAAAGGAACATTAGAGAATACTTTGAGATAAATAAAAATGAGGATGCAGCATACTTTAATTATATAGAGTGAAGCAAAAGCAGTCTCAGAATGAAAATTATAGCTGTTAAATGCTTATATTAAGAAAGATGAAAGATCTAAAATTGGTAAACAAACCATCCAGCTTAAGGAACTGGAAAAAGAAGATCAAACCAAACCCAAAGCTAGCAAAAATAAGGAAATAATAATGATTACGGCAGAAAATAATAAAATAGAAAATAGAAACACAATAAAGAAAATCACGGCTGAGCGCATGTCTCACGCATGCCATCCCAGCACTTTGGGAGGTCGAGGTGGGCAGATCACAAGGCCAGGAGATCGAGACCATCCTGACCAACATGCTGAAGCCCCCTCTCTATTAAAAATACAAAAATTAGCTGGGTGTGGTGGCAGGTGCTTGCAATCTCAGCTACTTGGGAGACTGAGGCAGGAGAATTGTTTAAACCCAGAAAGCGGAGGTTGCTGTGAGCTGAGATCACGCTACTGCACTCCAGCCTGGCGACAGAGCCAGACCCTGTCTCAAAAAAAAAAAAAAAAAGAAAAAGAAAAAAGAAAAGAAAATCAATGAAATCATAAACTGGCTATTTGAAAAGATAAATTGTTTAGACAAACCCTTACCATCTGACTGGAAAAAAATTGAAGAGAAAAATTACTACAGTCAGAAATGAAAGAATATTCTTTACTATGGATCTTGTAGAAATAAAAAAATAGTAAGGAAAAGCATGAACAGGACATCCAAATGGTTGATTAAAATGTGAAAGATTCTCATGCTCCTTATTAATCAGGGAAATACAATTTAAAACCACAGTAATTTATAACCATATAGTTGCCAGAATGGAAGATAAAACAAAACAAACATCAGCAAAAACTGACAAGACCAAATGATAGTAATATGGCAGGACAATCATTATTCTAGATAGCAGTGCAAAGCAGAACAACTAATTAAGAAGGCTTATTCACATTATCTACTGACATTAAAAATATGCGCATGCTATGACAGAGCAATTTCACTCCTAGATATATATCAAAGATGATAATATGTGCATGCATTTCAAAGACTTGTTCTGGCACACACAGTTTTGCATTTTAACAAAAAAAAGAGCAATACAAAAGTTCAGAGTATAGATAGTTAGTGGTATATTGATATAATGAACTAGTATACAGCCATTAATGTGAACACATTACAGTTGTACGTAGTAACATGGATGGATTTCAAAAACATCATGCAGAGTAAAAGGAGCCAGGCACAAACAAATACACATTGTGTCTTTTTTATTTTATTTGATATTTATTTATTTATTTATTATTATACTTTAAGTTCTAGAGTACATGTGCACAACATGCAGGTTTGTTACATATGTATACATGCACCATGTTGGTGTGCTGCACCCATTAACTTGTCATTTACACTAGGTGTATCTCCTAATGCTATCACTCCTCCCTTCCCCCACCGCATGACAGGCCCTGGTGTGTGATGATCCCCACTCTGTGTCCAAGTGTTCTCATTGTTCTATTCCCACCTATGAGTGAGAACATGCGGTGTTTGATTTTCTGTCCTTGCAATAGTTTGCTGAGAATGATGGTTTCCAGCTTCATCCATGTCCCTACAAAGGACATGAACTCATCCTTTTTTATTGTGTCTTTATTTAATGCTGTAATAAATAGTTACAATGACAGGGAGCACAAAAATTTAGGCTTATGGATGCATGTTTAATTAGAAAAATTATGAATAAAAATTAGAAATAATTACATGGGTGTAATCAACTGCTCCCTTCATTCAATTTAACTAACTTGTTTGGCCCAATTACTAAAAATACCTTGGATGATTGAAAACCTCTCTAAACTTCTTTTGCAAATAGTTGTACCACATCTATGTGACTTTACTTTGTGAATTAACTGCAAAAAATGATGATTTCAACAAAAATAAATAGTTGCTATCTGACTTATTGTTTGGAGTTTTTAATTTTTAATTTTACCTTAATTTATTAAAGTAATATAAATTTAACATTGCATGTTCTCACTTATATGTGGAAGCTAAACAAATTTGATCTCATAGAAGTACAAAGTAGAACAGTGGATACTGGAGGCTGGGAAAGGTGAGAGAAAGTGAGGGACAGGGAGAGATTTGTTAAAGGATTCAAAATTACAGCTAGATCCAGGAATGAGTTCTAGTTCTAGTCATCTGTACCATGATGACTACAGTTAACAATCATATATCATATAGTTTCAAATAGCTGAAGGAAGGATATTGAAAGTTTGTGATACAAAGACATGATAAATGTGTGAGATGATATTCTAATTACCCTGATCCAATCACTATGTGTTATATGCATTGAAGCATTGCTATGTACCCCATAATGTGTATAATTATTATGAGCCAATGAAAAAAAGTGACTGCATGTATAATATTGTAATACTTTAAGATATAAACAAATTTGGCAAAAAATAAATTTAAATGCACAAACATAAACCTATATCCATATCTACACATGGGCTTGCAAATATTTTTTAATGTATTTGAGATCATTCTGTAGGTATAATTTTGTAATACTTTTTATTTTTAAAATAAAAATTTTGCATAATACTGCTATGAATAATGTTCAAATATCATTATCAAAGTTTGTATAATAGTTTAGGACTGCCTCTAAGTCTCCTAACCTTTCCAATATAATTTTTTTCTATATTTTCCTTCTATATTTAGCACTAGAATGAGTATCACTTCAAATTACAACATTCTCTGTATTCATGATTATTTATTTAATTTCCAGGGCAGAACCACTGTGTCATTTCAGCTTCATGTGAACTCTTTTTTAAGACTTTTGACATTTATTGCTAACATGCTTTCTCAACAGTTTTAACATGCTCACCAATAGTGTATCCAAGGGTGCGTTATTTCCTATCTCTTTGTCAGCATAGATGTTTCACAAGTTTAAATTATTTGAAAGATAGGAAAAGGCATCTCATGGTTGTTTTAATTTTCACTTATTTGAATTACTGGAGAGGTTAAATACTATACCATATGTTGCAAATTTATATTTCCTCGTTTAAAATTGACCCTTTATAACCTTTGTCCATTTATCTAATTTGACTCAACTGTTTTTTTCTATGGTTTCATACAACTTTTTATATAGTAAATGTTTTTATTTACAATAAAATATTTATTGTGTCTATTTTTGTATAGGCTTTATTTTTCCCCTGCTGTATTTATCTGATAATTTATCTTCCAAAGAAATTTGAAATCATTCTTTTCCTTGTTGAGTAACCATTTTCTTTTTTCTGAGATCTTATTTATTCAAAGATTTGATGTCTGTCTATATTTCAATTTATGTTTTGTTCCTTAAGGGCTTAGTATGATGCCACTAGACAATTTATTCTTTAATTTATTATGAATCTTTGTGGTTTAACTGCTTCTCTTTTGTCCCCTATAGAAGCCTTAGAAAAATCAACTATGATATATTATAATTAGACTATCTCTCCATATTTTTAAGCCAAAAGAGATCTCTATAAAGAATATTGGGTAAAATTTGTCATTTCACTCCATAATAAATTCATTGACTCATTCATCAAAGTTCATCAACATTTACCAAATGCTGGGAATTTTTCTACGCAATAAAAAATAGATGAAAAACAGACAGAAGACTTTGACTTCATGGAGAGTCCGTTTTTAGTGAGAATGGACAATATAAATAAATGAATAACATATATAGCATCCCTGGTGGTCATAAATACTATGGTGCAAAGTAGAGAATGACAACATGGCATTAGAGAGGGTGTGGGTGTTACTGCTGTTTTCAGGTAAAGGAAAGTCTCCCTGAGGGACATTTGATTAGGTACATGGTGCATGTAAGGAGTCATGGCACAAGAGCACTTGACGAAGAGGGAGCTGTAAGTGCACAACCCGACAACAGGAACAAGTTTCTCATATGAGGAGTAGGGCAAGAATGCCACTGTGGCTGTGCAGGTGAGTGAGAGTGAGAATACAATAAGACTGAAACTGCCTTTGTAAAATTATGACTGAGACAGTGAAAGAGATGTAACTTAACCAACTCCATCTTACTTCTAACCTCCGAGTTGTCCTTGTTCATTCTCAGAAGTAAGTGAATCTAACTTTGGGAAGAACTTAGTTTATAGTTAAAAACAAAGATGATAACAGCCCTTTCCCAAAACAAACTTCCTTCTTGCCCAGGAACTAGACTACTAACATTAGCCACAAGATTAGAAATTATGGTTTAGGAGCCATGCAGCTGGAGGCTACAAGATTCAGACCCTCCGTAAACAGCTCCTAAAATCAGTGCTTGAGATGTTTTGCAGACCTTGAACTTGGTGGATCAGCTGGCTCCACCCAGATCTATAAACTGGCTCTTCTGATCTCAGGAGTCAGTTCCAGGCTGGAACTGACTCAGAGCAAGAAGACAGTGACGCCCTATGATTTCATCTCCAACCCAACCAATCAGCACTCCTCAACTCACTGCTCCTCCCCACCCACCAAACTGTCTTTAAAAACTCGATCCCCAAATGCTTGGGAAGACTGATTTGAGTAATAATGATACTTCGGTCTCCTGTAGAGCCAGCTCCGCGTGAATGACTCTTTCTCTATTGCAATTCTTTTGTCTTGATAAATCGGCTCTCGTCTAGGAAGCAAGCAAAGTGAGTCCATTCAGCGGTTACATTGCGGTTGCTGATGCTCTGTTTCATTAAGGCAATAAAATTGGGCAATTTCCAGGGATCTTTCTGAAGAATGCCCCCACACAGGTGAAGTCTCCAGGCCACCCTGGCCTTGAAAACAAACATCTGTTTCTGAAGAGCCCATGCCCTTTTCATTCAGTGAGATCTGTTTCTTATATTGCATTAATCATTTTTAGACCTTTTTCTGAAGTTACACAACTGAGTCATGAGAGGGGCACACAAAGTTGCAAAGCAGGTGTGCATGCACGTGCACACACACACACACACATACACACACATTTTGAAAACATATGATGCCTAGCTACTTGGCTTATATTTTTATGCACTGAAGTAGTCATCATGAGAAAAAAATAAAATTTCTTGTGCTTTCTTAACACTTTTTTTCTTTACCATTTCCCATTGCCTGTATTTTGAATACATATAAAAAGTATTTCAAACTTTTCAGTTCTTTGATCCTCTAAAAACCTTAATTAAAATTTGTTCCAATGTGATTAGAATATGTTTGTTTTCCCCATTCTCCTCCTTTCAGGTACAAAGGTATTATAATCTTCTTAACAATCACAGCCACTCCTCCTTATCTCCTAAGAAAAGGAGAATTCCACTGATTAGTTCTGCTTGACCTTTATTCCCAAGGCCTCAGATGCATAAAATGTTACACTGTCTTCTGAGGAAGGGTCTTCTCCCTGCAAATTAATGGGAAATTCTGTCTTGTTAACTATTAAGCTAAAGGGCTATTTAAACACCCTTTATCCAACTACCTGTCAGGTACTGTTTTATACATAATATGCCATTAATCCTCACCAGCTCTCTGATGTCAGTATTTTTCTCTCCAGTTTACATGTGAGAAACGTATGGCTCATAGAAACTAAATAGCCCAAATTAATAGGTGGAAATATGAGGACTTAAATATAATTATCATAAAAGCAAAGTTCCCCACATCAAGATGTATCGCAAATATAGAAGCATTGCCTCATTTATTTAAAATTATATGAAACCAGAATTTAATATACTCAAGAATTCATGATTGATACCCAATAATAGATGGCTATCAGGCAGTCTAGGCCATTCTGGAACAGCAGAATATAAATATGATAAACTCACCAAGAACAATGGGTGTCTTTAATCTTCACTGCTGTGTCCTAGGCAAAGCTCTAGATGCTTAGAGTACATACATCTGTTAGACAGAAATATTCTTCTTCTTGGGGCCTATAGTCTAGTGGAAAATGAACACACAAAAGGGAAGATGAAGACATGCCCTGAGGCTGGTGTTGCAGGTTCTTCCCGAGGATGCTCTTGTGTTGAAACCTCCCCTCACATAAGACCAGTCCATTGAGGACTGTTTCACAGCATTTCTGTGCCATGTCATTGCTTTTTCCTGTATACAGTGGTGTAGATTTTATTCGTATTTCCTGCCTTCCTTCTTCCTCACAAAGTTTGATATCACTGCTACCACCACAGCTCAGCCACTTCAGAAAAGCCTCTAATTTGCCTTTATCCTCTTCTACTTCAGTGGTTCTGTTGTTGCTATTAATAGTGATGGCCACCATTACCTGGTTTATTTTTGTGCTAAGTGATTTTCTATTATTTATTCAATTCTATTTTCTCAATTACTTTGTTAAGTTGGCATTATAATTTTTATTTAACAGTGAAAAAACAGAAACAGAGGAAAGAACACACAGAGAGTAAAAACCAGGCTTGGCACTTTTACTGTGATCTGTCAGATCCAACAGTACACTCTATATCCTAGAATGTATAAAGAAATATTACTATTTCTAGACAAAGTGTTTTACCTCAGTTAAAGAGGACATGGTTTTTAAGAAGATATTCTTAAACATGCATTTTTATTAATGCACTCTATTTACAGAAAAATAAGTGCAAAACTGGATGAACTTCTACAAGATGAATACCACCATCACCGCCATAACCACCATAACCAACATTCAGATGAAGAAAAATAATATTATCAGTACTCAAGAGCGCCATCATGCTTTATTCTATGGGTAGCTGCCATCCTGAGAAAGAAGAATGTTAAGTAATTTTGGCAACTGAGGCAAGCTAGTGTTGTGAGGGGCTCAGATCAATAAGGCTTTTCCTAGATTTCATAGTGCAGGCAGGACCTGGTGCTCATCCACTCCATAGGGCAGTCCTCGGCAAAGCAGTTGGCATGGGATCCATTGCAAAATCCACAGAGCGTAGAATTAACAAAGGCAACTTTTAAGGATGACAATTGGAGAATTTGCAAACCGCATAATGACCAAGTCAAATGGAACCTGGCTGTGGGGCCATAGTTGAATTTTTGCATGTTGTGATGTGTTTCCTGTCCTCTACCAACATGTCATAAAACCCATGCTACCACCCAAGGCCAGAATCCCACAAAATGTAGACAATTTTGCCACACAGAGTAGCATGTTCTACCCTGGGAAGTGTTTACTGTGTGCAGAATCAGAATCAGTGCTGGGATAGGTAAATGTTTCCTAATAAAGAGCAGCATTATTACTAGGAAAGAGCCTGGAAACTCTGCAGAGAAATTTTTAGGAAACCACAAAGTATTCTCAACAGGGAATATCTTAAAATGAAAGTATTAGTTGGATGCATGTTTTTTACTTTTCTTTTTTTTCTTTTTATTTGTCAAGCTGCACTCCATTTATAACTGCTTGTGCTTTGATTCAATTAAGTTTGACAAGATTAATGTCTTTGGGGTTCAGAGAGGCCGAGTTGTGACTACATACTGCAGCTGGGGCATAAAATATAAAGATTGCTAATAAAAAGCCAGGGCTTAGAGAAAAATGTCATTCCATGTCAATGCTTTCAGGTTAGGTTGGGAAACAGCAATGATCTTGTTTACATGACTTTGTATCTGTGTTCATAGTGATAGCATGAAAAAGAGACTGACAGAGAGAGAGAGGAAGAGAGAGATACACACATTGTACTCAAAGACAGAGAGACGGTACAGGATCACATGAATAAGTCTTTAGAGTATGCATATTATACTCTAGGCCATATGGCATAACCTGAGATTAAAATGGTCCTTTCAAACTAACGGTGGGGAACCCAGCAAAACAAATATGTTTTCTATACAATATATCATCTATTCTGGGAGGTGATGGTACATGGTGAAGCAAGAAATGCACCTAAAATAGTCTTTCAGGTGAAGAAGAGGTAGGACACCATTCCAGACAGATGCTGCAGCCTAAGCAAGGGATCCAAGCTAAAAGTAAATAAATAAATAAAGAAAACCAAATGCGTGCGCGCACACACACACTACATTCAAGAAACTCCACATAAAGTAGTGAATGTACCTCACAAAAGCCTTAAAGACTGCTTGCCAGGTCAAGGGACTTCGGATTATCTCAGAGGTTCTGAAGGCCACCATGGTGAGATTTGAGCATTTGTGCTCTAATAAAGTATCTGGCAAGAGTGTAGAGATAGAGATTGAGGGAATCAATATTTGAGGCAGAGATTAAAGGGTGACCACATCTTAGGCACTGAGTAAATCAGTGGTTTGGAACAGTTTTGCAGTGAAGGGGCCTATTACAAAAATTTAAAATCAATATTTATATGTTTATCAGTCACCAAGTGTTTTCCAAACATATTCGACCAAATAAATATTTGTGTGTATTTCTGTGTATGTATTTTCTAGGTAACATATAGTAGCACAATTCTTCAGAAAGACTTCAGGAATTCTGATATATTAGAGAACTAGAGGTCAAGCTTAAAAGACACCATGGAGTTGAATTTATTGCAGAGGGAAATTCATCTTACCGCCGGAAGCATAGTTAAAAACTATATGCTGGGATTCTGGGAAGATGGCAGTGTGGGAAGCACCAGAATTGTGTCTTTCCATCTAGATAGCAACTGCATAGGGCAGAACCTGTCTTAAGTAACTATTGCATTTTGGGACTCTCAAATTTACTAAAGGCTTGCAACCTCCAAAGGAAAGCTTGGAAGGTAAATTGTGGTTAATTTGGGGCACTTTCAGCTTTTAGCACACTGGCAGCTACCCATCCTCTATTCCCAGCCCCATGGTAGGCAGCTGTGTGCACGTTCCTGGAGCAGGCTGCACACGGCTTGTGGGAGGCAGGTGATCAAAAAGAACCCCACCCTTAAAATTTCAGAATCTGTGCTATAATCACTGATCACAGAGGTGCAAAGAGGCAGGCAGCCACAGTTATTGCAACTCCCCCATTCTTACAAGCTCTTCCCTCTGTGGTTGAATAGACCTCCAGGGAATTTAAAGGGCAAGCATTCTTTATCCCTTACTTTAATTTTTCTATTTTTCCTCATCTAGGATCCAGACATCAAAGACTGCAAAATTCAAAAGCAACTGTTTGGTTTTGTGGAGGGGCTTTAAGATGGCAGATGTGAACTGCCCAGCACTCACCTCCTCCATAAAGAAGTACCAAAGGAGTACATAAATAACCACACATCAAATAGAGCTTCTAAGAGAAAACTGACATTCAGCAGGGAAGTGGCAAGGAACTTTTGAATCACTGAAGGAGATGGAAGCAAAGTAGCTGACCTGGCCAGGACCAGATTAAGGCCAAGAGGAATTCTCCAACGTGGTGAAAAGGTAAGTAAGAGATCCCCAGTGGTCTACATGTCCATGTGGACTCCTACAATCCTAGCCACAGTAGAGCTTTTCAGTCCTTGTGGGCCCTGAGGCTAGTATAGGCAGCAGCCTGGGGACCATGCAATGGCATTGTTCTAAAGAGGAAGTTTGTACTGGGGTTCCACACAACCCCTGAGACCTAAGCATCTGTGGCATTGTACTATTTTGAAATTGCATCCCCACTAAAATATGTTTTGCCACGGGGCCCAGCAGACCCTGCATCTTCACATTCCTGGAGCCTCAGTGACATCCCCCAGAGCCCGACTGTTTACCCGCAGGACTGCAGCATCATAACTCCAACTGAACCCAATGATGTAGCCATGTCCCCAGGACCCTAGCCTACACAGTGTTCTACACCCAAGGGAATGAGCAGTGCAGTGCACAAGTAAGACTGCCCCCAGAACAAAGGGAGCTGAAGAATGTGCTCACTTGAGCCTCAGAACCATCTGCCCAGGGCTGCTGCCACAGACAGCAACCCTGCCCCCTTCAGCAGCAAGGTCTCTAGGGCCTGGTGACTGGTCCACTCTAGCACCATTTTGGGTTCTGAGAAGAGGTCTTTCCTGCCTACTACTGCAAGCACCTGTGCACACCATATGAAGACCTGAGGACAAGTCCATGCCACTTGACACCACAGTCATCAGTGCTTACATACATCATACTGGGGCCTGGAAATCGAGTCACTTTGTCTACCACTTCCATTACACATGCACACCTTCCAGGGACCTACGGAAAAGCTTATTTCACCTGCAGTTGTTGTCCATGTGTATTGTCTGAGGGTCTGGAGATAAGCCTGCCTTGCCCATTACCACTGACACATGAGCAAACCTAGGAGGATAAGGACAGTCTCACCCTGACTGTCACTGATGCCTATTGGTGCCATCCAGACATGATAATCAGTCTTCCCATTCTGCTGCTGCCAAGCTGGCACTTGTACATGCTGCACAGGGGCCCAAGGCTGAGCCTGCTGCCACGACTAACACTGCTAAGGCCATGCATGCTACCCAGGGGAACAGAGATTCACCTACCTGGCCTACCATCACTACAACTGGTGCCCATGGAATGACCTAAACTGTGTCACTGTACCCAGCAAAAACCTTGCCACAGCCTCCACTAGCACTGCATCCTATCCATTGAGCAACTCACAGACAACACGGATGTTAATGACAGTTGAACAAATCATATAGAGGCTACACTATTGAACCCACTAGAATCAAAGCAAAAGCATCCTACCCAACCAACACTATAGGATACAACCATAGGAAACAGTATTTCCCTGAGAAAGCTAATCCAAAAAACGGGAAGAAGCCACTGCAACAACAAATGTACAGTTAGAAACGTGAGGACATAAGAAACATAAAAAAGGAAGGAAACATGAAAACTCCAAAGACACATGGTAATTCCACAAAAATAGATCCCAAAGAAAAAAAAATATATAAGATGGCTGCAAAAGAATTCAAAATAATAATATTTAAGAAAATTTAGTGAAACTCAAGACAACAAGTAAACAATTCAAAAATTAGGAAAACAATTCATGATCTGAATGGAAATTTAATGAAGTATTAGATATCATTAAAAAAAAACTAAAAAGAAAACCTGGAAATAAAAAATAACATAAATGAAATAAAGCATATACTAGAAAGTCTCAATAGTAGAGTAGACAAAATAGAAGAAGTAATTTCTGAACTGACAACAGGTCTTTTGAAACGACCCATTTAGAGGAACAGAAAAAAAATGAAGAAGAGAATAGCCTACATAAAAAATGAAGCACTATAAAATAACCAAATTTCCAAATTTTATCCTTCAGAGGAAGAGATTAGAAAAGACATAGAAATCCTATTTAAAAAATAGCTGAAAGTGTGCCAAGTCTTGAAAGATATACAGACATTTAGATAAAGTTTGAAAATACACAGATATATTCAACTAACAAAGGACTCCAGCAAGGCATTTATACTCAAAGTGTTGTAAGTCTAAGACAAAGAGAGAATTCTAAAAACAGCAAGAGAAAGCATCAAATTATGTATGGGGAAATTACCATTAGACTAGCAGTGGATTACTCATATAAACCCTACAGGCTAGAATAAAAAGGAAAACATATTTAAAGTGCTAAGAGGAAAAAATAAAAACCTGTCAGCAGAGTTATCCTTCCAAAATGAAGGAGAAATAAAGCTTTTCTCAGCCAAGCAAAAACTGAAGGAATTCATCATGACTAGATGGGCCCTACAAGAAATACTTAAGAGGGACCTACTTGTGGAAGTGGAAGGCTGACATCTACCATCATTAAATCACATAGAAGTATATAATTCACTAGTACAGCAGGCACACAAGTGAAAAAGGATAGGAGTCAAATGAAATTACAACAAAAAACTTTACCAAATTATAAAGGTAAATAAAAAAGGAAGAGAAGAAAAGAAATATATAAAACAATAAAAAAACTAGTAACAAAATGGCAGGTGTAAGTCCTCACCTATTAATAATAACATTAATTATAAATATTTTTAATTCCCCAACTAAACAATATAGACTGGATGAATGAATTAAAAATATAAGATCCAACTATATGCTGCCAACCGAAAACTCACTTTACCAGTAAAGACACAGATAGACTGAAAGAAGTGAAGAAAAAAAAAAATCCATGCAAGTGGAAACCAGAAGTATGCAGGCATAGCTATACTTGGATAGAATGTAATTTAAATAAAATAGTATTAATAATAAAATGACAAAGGTTATATTACAACTACAAAGGGGCCATTTCAGCAAAAAGATATAACAATTGTAAATATATATGCAACCAAAATAAGAGCACCAGATGTATAAACTAAATATTACTGTAGCTAAAGAGAAAGATAGAACCCAATACAATAATAGCTGAAAACATCAACACCCCAATTCAGCATTGGACAGATCATGTAGACGAAATCAACAAAGAAACATTGGGTTTAATCTGCATTACAGACCAAGTTGACCTAATAGGCATTTACAGACTATTTCTTCCAATAGTTACAACATACACATTTGTCTCATCAGTACATGAAACATTCTCTAGAATAAGCCACATGTTAAGCCACAGAACAAAACTCAACACGCTCAACAAAGTAAAAATAATATCAAGTATCTTCTTAGACAACAATAAAATAAAGTTAAAAACTAATACCAAGAGGAACTTTTGAAACTGTATAAAGACATGGAAATTAAACAACATGCTCCTGAATGGCAATTGGATCAATAAAGAAATTACGAAGATAAATTTTAAAAATATTGAAACAAATTAAAATGAAACTACAACCTACAGGATCTAGCAAAAGCACTGCTAAGGTGCAAATATATTACAAGGAAGCCTACGTCAAAAAAATAAAAAGTTCTCAAATAAACAAGCTAATAATGCACCTCAACAAACTAGAACAGCAAGAACAAACCAAACCCATAATTAGTAGAAGGAAAGAAAAAAAAATAGTTATCAGAGCAAAACTAAATGAAATCGAGACTTAAAAAAAATACAAAGAATCAAGAGAATGAAAAGTTGATCTTTAAAAGATAAACAAAATCAGTAAACTATTAGCTAGACTAGTTAAAAATGAGAAGACCCAAATAAAATGGGAAATAAAGAGGACATGACAACTGATACCACAAAAATATAAAATATCATTAGAGACTAGTATGAACTATTGTATACTAATAAATAGGAGATCCTAGAGAAAATGAATAAACTTTTGGATACTAATCCCCTACCAAGATTGAACAAGGAAGAACTAGAAAGCCTGACAGACCAATAACAAGTAACAAGATTTAATTCGTAACAAAACATATTCCAACAAAGAAAAACTCTGGACAGATGGCTTTGCTACTGAATTCTACCAAACTTATAAAGAAAAATTAACATAAATTCTTTTCAAGCTACCCCCAAAAAATTGAAGAGTAGGAAATTCAAACTCATCTATGAATGCAGCATCACCCTGATACCAAAACCAGTAAAGGACACAACAACAACAACAACAAAAACTACAGGCGTTTAGGTTACTCTCAAGCAAACAACCTAAGAATGCAGCTCAAGGGACTATGGTAAACATAGATGCAAAAATCCTCAACAAAATACCAGCAAACCGAATCCAACAACACATGAAAAAGATAATACAGTGTGATATAATGGGATTTATACCATGGATACAAGCATGGTTCAATATAAGCACATCAATATATGTGATACATCAAATAAAGAGAATGAAGAACACAAAAATATGATCACCTCAATAGATGCAGTAAAAGCATTTGAAAAAATTCAATGTAGCTTCATGATGAAAACTCAACAATTAGGTAAGAATTAGCATACCTCAACATAATAAAGGCCATATATGACAAAACCACCGTTAAACCCGTACTGAATGGGAAAAGGATGAAAGCCTTTTCCTTAAGAACTGGAAGAAGACCAGGATACAAACTTTCACCACTCTTATTCAATACAATACAGGAAGTCCTAGCCAGAGGAATCAGAAAAGAAAAAAAATAAGAGGCATCCAAATTGGAAAAGACAGAGCCAATGTCCCTCTTTGCAGAAAACCTGATCTTATATACAGAAAACTCTAAGAAAACCAACAACAAAACTTAGCACCAATACATTCAGTAAATTTGCAGGATACAAAATCAACATACAAAAGTCAGTAGCATTTCTATATGCCAACTAAAAACCAGATGAAAAAGAAATCAAGAAAGGAATTTCATTTACAGTAGCTAAAAAAAAAAAGAAAACCTATAAATAATTTTACTCAAGGAGGTAAAAGACCTCTATAGTGAAGACTACTACAAAACACTGAAGAGAGAAATTGGAGAGTACACAAACAAAAGAAAGACATCTCATACACATGGATCAGAAGAATTAATAATGTTAAAAATACAGCACTACTCAAAACAATCAAGGGATTTGATGCAATTCCTAACAGAATACCAGTGGCATTCTTCACAAAAACAGAAATAGCAATTCTAAAATTGTTAAAGCAATTCTAAAATCTCGAAAGACCCTTAGTAGCCAAAGCAATATTGAGCAAAAAGAGCAAAGTTGGGAGCATCACACTGCCTAATTTCAAAATATACTACAAAGATACAGTAACCAAAGCAGTGTGGTATTGTACAAAAATAGACACACAGACCAATGAAACAGAATAGAAAGCCAGACATAAATTAATGTATTTATTGCCAATTAGTTTTCTACAAATGCACCAAGAACATACATTGGGCTAAATATATCTTCTTCAATAAATAGTGCTGGAAAAACTGGATATCCATATGCAAAATAATGAAACTAGATCCCTATCTCTCACTCTATACAAAGATCAAGTAAGAGTGGATTAAATACTTAAATATAAGACCTGCAACTATAAAACTACTAGAAGAAAACATAAGGGAAATACTTCAAGGCATTGGTCTAGGCAATGGTTTTATGGTTAATACTTTAAAGCTTCAGGCAACAGAAACCAAAAAGAGACAAATGAGAGTGTATTAAACTAAAAAAAAATCCTGCATGGCAAAGAAAACAATCAGCAAAATGAAAAGACAACCTGCAGAATGGGAAAAAATGTTTGCAAGCTATTCATCTGACAATAGACAGATATAGAGAAGATACAAGAAACTCAAATAATTTGATACCAAAAATCAACTCCATATAAAAAAGTGGGCAAAGGATGTGAACTAGACATTTCTGAAAAGAAGACATACAAACCATCAACAGGTATATGAAAAAATGGTCAACATGACTAATCATCAGGGAAATGAAAATCAAAACCACAATGAGAAATCATCTTACCCCAGTTAGAATGGCTACTATCAAAGAGAAAATAAATAAATGCTGGCAGGAATGCAGAGAAAAGGGAATTCTCATCAGTGTTGTTAGAAGTGTGAGTTAGTACAGCCATTACAGAAAACAGTAAGGAGTTTATCAAAATACTTAAAAATAGATCTACCATATGGTCCAGCAATCCCACTACTGGCTACTTATACAAAGGAAGGGAAATCAATATATCAAAGTGATACCTGCACCTGCATGCTTACTGCACCATTACTCATAATAGCAAAGTTATGGAATCATTCTAAAATGAAGTAATGACAAAAAGATCAACTGCATATACTAAGTGACTGTGCATGTCCAGAGAAAGACTCAGGCACAGAAAAAGCCTGAGAAGACCTTCAGTTAACCCATTAGGCTTATCCTTAGAACAGAAACAGCATACAATAATCAAACAAACAAACAAAACAACAGGAAGCCCCCAAAAAGGAGGGAATGGGGGAATCTAATTTCAAGACTTACCACCTTATTATATTTAAATGTCAATTTTCAACAAAATTCACAAGGTGTATTAAAGTTATGAAAGTATAGAGCATTCAAAAAAAAAAAATAAATGAATCAAAAGAAAATGTTCCTAAAAGAAGACTTGATGGCTAGTCTCTTAGACAAAATCTTGTAAACAACCATCTTAAAAATTCTCAAAGAACTAAAAGAAGATGTGGAAAAGTGAAGAAAACAGTGTAAGAAGAAAATTAAATATTCAATAAAGCGAAGCCCTAAAAAGTTTTCAAAATTGATTTCTGTAGCTGAAAAGTACAAAAATTAAAAAAAAAAAAATTAACTAAAGGCATTTAAAGGCGGATGTGACGCCGGGCACGGTGGCTCGTGCCTGTAATCCCAGCAGTTTGGGAGGCCAAAGTGGGTGGATCACGAGGTCAGGAAATCGAGACCATCCTGGCTAACACAGTGAAACCCCATCTCTACTAAAAATACAAAAAAAAAAAAAAATTAGCCGGGCGTGGTGGCGGGCACCTGTATTCCCAGCTACTCTGGAGGCTGAGGCAGGAGAATGGCGTGAACCTGGGAGGCAGAGCTTGCAGTGAGCCGAGGTCGCGCACCTGTACTCCAGCCTGGGTGACAGAGCGAGACTCCATCTCAAAAACAAACAAACAAAAAAACAACAAAAAAAAGGCCGATGTGAGCAGGTATATAAAATAATCAACGAATATGAACACAGGACTATGAAAATTATCAAGTATGAGTATCAGGAAGAAAATTAAAGAAAACTGCATAGAGCTTAAGGGAACTGTGGGACACCATGATGGAAACCAATGTGTGCACTGTAAGAGTCCTAGAAAGAGAAGGGAGAGACAAAGGGATAAAGGGAATATTTGAAGAAATAATAGATAAAAAAATTCCCAAATTTGATAAAGGACATGAAGAAAACACTGAAGAAGCTCAACGAACTCCAAGTAAGATGAACTCAAAGATACTCACACCGAGACACATTATGATCAAATTTGAAAAGAGAGAAAATTTCAGAAGAACCAAGAGTGAAGCAATTTATTACATACAAAGTACCATTAATGAGATCATCAGAAGATTTTCCTCAGAAATTTTAGAGGCTAGAAGGTAAAAGTCAACATATTCAAAGTACTGTAAGAAAGAATAAGGAAAAAAATCCTAAAACTGTCAACCAAGAAACCTATAGCTGGCAAAACTACCCCACAAAAGTAAAGGAGAAATTAAGACATTCTCAGATAAACAAAAGCTTTTCACTACAGATAAACTTTATTTCCACTACACCTATCCTGCAATAAATGCTTAAGGGAATCCTACAGGTAGAATTGAAAGGATACTAGACAGTAACTTGAAGCCAAATGAATAAAGAACACAAAGGTAAATACCTGGAAAATTTTAAAATCTAGTACTATTGTAACAATGGTTTGTAACTACACTTTTAGTTTTCTATGTGATTTAAGAGACCAAAAATTTTTTAAATACAATTATTAGTATAATAGCTAATATTATTGTGACTTTGGTTTGCAAATATACATTTTGCTTCTGACAAAATTTAAGGAATAACACATGTAAAATAATCATTAATAGTCATTTTCAGGCACACACAGTAATTTTGTAATGTAAAACAACTAAAAGGAATGGAGATGAAACTGTTAAGGGATAAGAATTTTGCATATTATTGAAGTTAAACATCAATAATATGTAAAGATTAAAATTAGAACATTATAACTTTAAGATGTTAAATGTAATTGTAATGGTAACAACAAATAAAATAGCTATACAGTATATACAAAAGAAAATAAGAAAGACATAAATATTTCTTTACAAAAAAACCCCCAAAAGACAATAATTTACAATAAAAGGAGAAAAAAGGTATAAGGAATATAAAAAATAGAAAAATAACAAAAGTAAAATCCTTCCTTTTTAGTAATTGCTTTAAATGTAAATTGCTTAATCTTTTAAATCAAAAGACAGATATTAGCACAATGAATACAAAAACATAATTCAACTACTTGCTTTCTACAAGGGACTTACTTTAGATTCAAAGATGCAAATAGACTGAAAGTGAAAAGATGGAAAGATATATTCCAAGCTAATAGTAACCAAAAGATAGAAGGAATGGTTATACTAATACTCGATAAGACCGACTATAAATCAAAAAAGGTTAAGAGATATGAAGGACATAATATAGGAATAAAACATTCTATACAGCAAGAAGATATAACAACTATACATATTCATGAACTTAATGGCATTCCATCAATATATGTAAAGCAGAAACTTATAGAACTGAAGGAAGAAATAGTTCTACAATAATAGTAGGAGACTTCAATATCCCACCCTCAATAGGTTAGCAAAACCAGACAAATGATAAGTGAAGAAACAGTGGATTTCAATAACATAATAAACAAACTAGATCTAATAGATATATCCGCCACACTCTATCCAATGATAACAATCATATTCATTTTTCTCAAGGGCACATAGAACATTTTCTATCATAGACCATATGTTAGGTCACAAATTAAGCCTCAACTGATTTAAAAAGATAAATATAAAATGTATCTGTGCCTACCAAACAGGAGAAGTCAGTAACGGAAGTAAAACAGAAGAATTCAAAAAATTGTGAATGTTAAGCAACACATTTTTAAACAGTCAATTAATAGAAGAAAAAAAATCACAAGGGATATTAGAAAATATTTGAAGATGAATTAAAATGAAAACACAAAATTTCAAAACTTATGGGACACAGTGGAAGAAGTACTAAGGGAGGAAATTCATAGCTATAAATGCTTACATTAAATAACAAGAAATAAATCAACAACCTGACTTAACAACCTAAGGAACTAGAAAAAGAAGAACAAGTGAACCCAAAAGCTATCAATAGGAAGAAAATAATAAAGATTAGAGCAGATGTAAATAAAATAGAGCACTTAAAAAGATAAAATCAATAAAACAAAATGCTTACTCTTTGAAAAGATCAACAAACTAGATAAACCTTTAGCTAGAGGGACTAAGAAATATAACAGAAGACTCAAATTACTAAAATTAAAAATAAAAGTGAGAACATTGCTACTGATTTTACAGAAATAAAAATAATTACAAAAAAGTATTATGAAAAATTGTATGCCAACAAATTTGATAATTTAGATGAAATGAACAAATTTCTAAAAACACAAAACCTACAAAGACTAAGAGGAAACAGAAAATTTGAATAGACCTATAACTAGTGAGAAGATGGAATCAGTAACCAAAAATCAACTAATGAAGAAACGCCTTGGACCCAATGGTTTCACTGGCAAAATCTACACCTTTAAAGAAGAAATAACACCAATTCTGGAACAACCTGACTGTCCCATCAATGAACAAAGAGATAAGCAAAATATTGTATATAGCTTATTAAAATTAAGCTAATTCTCACATGTGCTACAACATGGATGAAGCTTGAGAACATTATGCTAAGTGAAATAAGTCAGTCACAAAAGGACAAATGTAGCATGATTTCAATTATATGAGGTACCTTGAGTAGTCAAAATCATAGGTATACAAAAAGAATGGTGGTTGCCAGGGGCTTCAAGGAGGGGAGAATGGTGAGTTATTGTTTAATGGGCACAGAGTTTTAGTTTTACAAGATGAAAAGAGCGATGAAGGTGGATACTAGTAATGTTTGCACAACATTATGAATGTATTTAATACCACTGAACTGTACACTGAAAATGGCTAAGATGATATATTTTATGTCTATTTTACCACACTGAAAAATGAAAAAATAAATGCATGTCCTCCTGGAAGAAACAGTGAGTTGGAGCCAGACAGATTGATCAGTTACAACTCTGTCACCAGCAACTCTGTGACCTTGAGAAAATCTCTCAAACTCCCTATGCCTTAGCACCTTCATATGAAAAATGACATAGAAAATAATATCTATATCATTGAGTTGTATTGAAAGCTAAAAATATACCTTCAGTGTAAAATCCCTAGACAGAGATCTTGCACTTATCTGGAGCTCATGCATTATTAAAGATAAAGCATATGGATTAAGAGCCAAAGGACTTGATCTTTTCATTTAAAGTAGGGCCTGACTTAAGGAGATACAAGAAATGATTATGTATCCTGCACAAAATATGAGGCAAGGATGTCTGAAAGTTGTGACTGACAATAAGGCAGCATATTTTAAATTAGAACAGGTCCCCAAGTCCAAGACCTATTACTGCTGCCTTTAAAAGCAAACAATCCATTTGTTCACACAGTGTAATCTGAAGGTCCAAAAGAGCAGTCTGATTACATAGTGATCTCTAGCAATGTCAAGCATTTCTTTAAAAGGAAACAGCGGTGTTTTTGAAATAAAGAGAGATAAGAATAAAAACTATTTACTATTTACCTGAGTGGCACCTTCTGTGTGTCATTTCAACACCATGACAACTTTATGAGTTACACGTGGCTCTGTAAATGTATAAACACATCTAAGTGAGGCAAAGTAATTGGTCTAAGACCACTCAGGTAATAAATGGTGGAACCAAAATAAAATGGTGTTCAATTTTACTGCAAATATAACAAAGACATAAAAGAACTCGTAATTACAATATGATTATTTAAAATAAAATACAATAATAAAATAAAGAATCTCAAACCTCTCTCTTGGAGGATCTGATTCCATAGGTTTAGCACAGAACCTGGGAATCTGAATGTAAAAGAAACACATTTTATTATCATCTGAAAAGTTTGGGACACACGTTTACAAAATTGTTTTATTTTATCATCTTATTGTGAGTTGAGGAAGTAGCAAATAAACTCCTAAAGGAAATTAAATACTGTGTTTACTTTAGTGACATTTAGCCTACAGAAGAACTGTTCTTACGTTATCAAAGTCAGATTTAAAGTAATCAATTACTCAAATACTTTTCTTACTAGATACTGTGACAAACATTTTACACTTTGCTTTGGCTGTTGGGAAGGTCAGGACTGAGTTTTTTTCTCAGTGTTGACATGCAACGGTATGAATCTCTTCTGATACCATTCTAATATTCTACTTATATTTTCCTTCCGTTTTATATCTTTTTTATTTTAACTCAATTTTATTGTGTGCATATATGTATATATATAAATATACATACACATATATGATGTATGTTTATTATATATTTAAATATTGTGCTCACAAGAATATAAATGCATGCAAACAAACATTTATAGAAACAAAGACTTCATTACAGTGAAAGCATAGTAATGTCAGATTTACTCATTTGAGAACAGTTCTTCTTTCATTGGGTAGATCAAGGAAGCAACCAAAGAAAGGAAATATTAGGATATTGGGAAGAGGCCCTTAGGGAGACTGGGTGTCAACTTCTCTCTGCCACAGTTTATCAGAATCAACCTAATTGATAACATAAATTTCTTCTGACACAAAAAGACTTAAAAGCAAGAAAATAATTAAATAATTAATAAAAATAAATAAAAAATAATTAAAATAATTAAAAAGGCAAAGGATGTTAATAGACATTTCATAACAGAAAACATACAAATGGCCAATTATATAAAAAGATCACCAATCATCAGAGAAATGCAAATTTAAACTACAATGAAATACCACCTCACACATGTTAGTTTGGCTATTATCAAAAAGACAAAAGATAACAAGTGTTGATGAGAATGTGGGGACACTTGCATCCTATTTTGGAAGTGTAAATTAGTACAGTATTTATAGAAACAGCATGGAGGCTCCTCAGAGAATTAAAGAAAGAACTACCATATAATCCACTACTGTGTGTATATTTAAAGAAAATGAAATCAATGTATTGAAGAAATATCTGCATTCCCATGTTTATTGAAGTACTATTCACAATAGCCAAAGGATGAAATCCACCTAAGTGACAGATGAATAAAGAAATATTTGTGTATATACAATGGAAAACTTTTCAGCCTTAAAAAAGGAAAGAATTCTGTTATTTGTGACATCACTCATGAATCTGGAGAACACTAGGCTAAGTGAAATAAGCTAGGCTCAGAAAGACAGATATCACATGATTTCGGTTACATGTGAAATCCAAAAAAGCCAGACTCAGCAATGAGGATGGGGAGATGTTGGTCAAGGGTATAAGATTCTTGTTTGATAGGAGCAATTAGTTTTTGAGATCCATTGCACACAAAAAAATGGTAAGTATATGAGATGATTGATATGTTGACTAGCTTAATCAATCCACAACATATACATAAATGAGATAACACATTGTACCCCATAAATGTTTAAAATTATTATTTGTTATTGAAAATAATACATACGTAAACTACACTGAAATAACACCTCACAAGCAAGAGGTATCGGCCTCTTGTCACATATATGTATGTATTATTTTCAATAACAAATGATAATTTTTTACATTTAAAAGTTACATATATATTCTGTTTAAATATATATATTCTGAAAATATATATACATATATATTCTGAAAATATATATACATATATATTCTGTAAATATATATACATATATATTCTGTAAATATATATACATATATATATTCTGTTTAAATGATATAACTTGTTTAAAGCATCCATTCTAATATATAACTGGAATCAAATATTGTCCATTGGTTAATTCTCAGTATATCAGCTACAGGTAACTAATTTCTGTGTCATTCCGATTTTTTTTCACCAATAAAGAAAAAAATGGATGATGTAATCAACACTTGCTTTCCATGAACTCTTCTTTATTGTCAAGAAATTCCTCCACTTGAGGAAATTTTGACCAAATAATAAGATTTGTCTGGTTGTCTCTTTCCCTGTGGTTACAATGAGCTAATCCTTGTCTCAAATTATTTTTCCTTACAAGCAACTCTTTCTGTGGTATGATTGGAGACATGAGGATTTTGCTCTCAAGTTCAAATTAGTGAAATCTGACTGAATAGCAAATATTCTTTTTACAATTAAATTGAGAAGTACTCAGATAAATTTAAACATTTTCTCCAATGGCAAATATTAAAAAAAATAAGAATAAATTCATTTTAACCAAAACCAGGGAACCTACCATGAGTTGTGAGGGTCCTTTGCAGGAATAAGAAAATAATTAAATGACACATTACTGGTTTGTAATCGCTGCAGATGTTTTGAATAGAGATGCGAGAACTGAGATGTAATTAAATATATGTCATTCTTTTATTAAATTTCTGGGTTGCTGATGAAAGGCTCATCTTACCTGGTAGTTTAGAATTTCAGAATTTTTTTAGGTTATTAGAACACATTATGTGGAGAAGAGGCAAGAGTTGAAGAAATGTACTTTATGACAGAAAACAAACATGATAGAGACCAATGCAAAATCGACCAATTAGACATTTTTATGAGTTCATAAAATGTTACAAAAAAGGTAACATTTTGTAAAAGAAGTAGAAAATCTATTTGTTGTTTTGAATTAATTGTGTACCAAAATTGTGAAAAAGTTGGCTAAGTACATCCAAGATGCTTACCAATGACATGGACTTAGCTTAATTATACAGGAGAAGAGAAATGAACATTTATCGAGTGTTTACAATAGACCATACATTATACTAGGTGATTTCACATGTCTTGTTTTACTTCTAATACTCCTGTTATAAATGTTATGAATCTCAGTTATTCAGGAGATTAAGTCATCAGAGAAGTTTCCAAGTAATTAAGTCACAAAGCTAGTAGGTTATGGATGTTGGATTTAACTACCCTCACCACTCATCTCTTCCTAAAGCCTCTTTCTCATACTGCATTAGGTTATCACTATATGAAGACTACATTTTTGCTGTTATTAAAAAAAAATCAACTATTTTCCTTTGGTCCAAAAGTTTTGCCAGAATTTGTATTATTGCTGCTACAAAATTGATTCAAACATATAATCATTTTGACACTTTGTTACTAATTAATTTGGTATTTTTTCAATGATGAAAATCTTAGTAAGTTTACTAACTTTTCACATAAATGGCCTAGAAATAGTACAATCTGAAATAACATTCCTTTTCTTTCTCTGCAGGTTTTATGCCCAGGTCTATCAAATATCATGTGTGAGTCACCGTTCCCTCTGGTGCCATACTTGATATTGTTTTGTTCTCCTAACAATTTCAAAGTATAAGCAAGAGGTATCAGCCTCTTGTCACATAGGCCAAAGTACAAACAGTACTTAGCTTCTCTAAGCAGTATGTATGATAATTTATACAATATCCCTGGTACGTTTCAGTCAATATTCTGTTATTAGTGTTTACTATATACTTTTCTAAATATTTTCTAGTGCCTTCAACTTGTCTTTGTTCCAAACCCCAGTAGGATCAGGCAACAAGTCAATTTTCTGCATATTTGATGAATACATTTTAAACAATTATAGAAAGTGAAACATATTTCATACCATTCAACCTGACATTCTTCCTATATCAGTTTGATTATATGGATGCAACCACTCTCTCTCCCTTCTTTTGTTTTTCTCTTAATGAAAACTAGAATCAAACATGGTGCAGATTTTCTAGAATGTCTAATGCAGGAACGTACAGAATTCTGAGATGAGAGGTGTATTCCTTTCCAAATCAATGAGCAAAACTAAAGAGAGTATGCCTGCATCATTTCTCACAGGACACAATAGGGGCTGATACTAACTGGAAATCTGGTAACAGGTTTTTGGTGTTCACATTTTAGTGTTCATTATAAAGCAACTGCTGACACAAATCAAGTCCACTTACTGCTTGGTCAATAGGTCATCAGGAAAAAATCAGCTCTGAAGCTCTGTTGGCTGATTGAACTTCTGTAGGTCCTGCTACCAATCCCGAAAGTAACCATTGGTGATCACTTAAAGTTCGGGGAAGATGAATTTTGAAATTGGTCCTATTCAAGTGCAGAAGAACCAAAGAAAGAGCTAAACAGAAGAAACCTGTGAACCTGTGTGAAATTGAAAATCCCTGGATGGGAACTGCACAGTGCTAATCGTTATCTTCGGCCAATCAATTGACTCTGTGTTTACTAGATATTTGTCTTATTTCTGAATTCAGTATATCTTCAGCGTTCCCCATTTGTCATATAATTGTTATTGTTAGTTTTGGACAAATAGTATTTGCTATTTTTGAGGATGCAGCAAAATTCTGATCTTTCAAATCTGGAGTAGAGGCAAAGTTAGAGACTGCACAAGGCCCTAGACACCATTTTGGTAACATTTGCTTTTGTTCTTGACTCAAGCTATCTTCAAGAAGGCATTTACTTCTCAGAACTCATGTACTGACATGGAGTATTGCAATAACTCCAACAATCAATAAGCCTGCTTCTAAGGTGGGCTGAGTGCTTAAGCACTTCACAGTGATGGGGTTAACCTACCCCCCCAAGTGCATTTTAAGACTAAGTTTTCATGAAAATATTCATTTTCAAAAAGACACTTATAATCCAACCAAACATGATGAGATTTTTTCCATTAAACACACATAAAAATATATATCTGAAATAATCCACTTTATATAATGAATTGTACAAAATTGTTTTAACACAATTTTTGCGTTAAAACAGTTTTTAACAGTTTTAAAGCAGTTTTACAACACAAATTATTGTGCCGTAGTAGAAACATTGAGTATTACAAGGTAGCAATCAATGGGAACTCAAATATATAAATATTTTTAAAATCATAACAAGTTGTACTGCACACTTGAAATTTACGTTGAAATTAAAATGAAATTACTTGGCTGGCTCCATTGTAATAAGGTGAAACAGAGAGCACAATAGTTGTAAATTTCCTTATATAACAAATGTCTATTAAACAATTTTTAAAGTAATACTAAAATAAGAATACATACGTGGAAACCTATGGAAAGACAGTGTTTCTTCATTTTTTATGTCAATACCCTTAATTGTTGTTATCACTGTGTTTTTTTCTCATCAGACCTAAGTCATCCATGAGGCCTCAATGGCAAATGAATAAATAATGTTTAAATTCCAGCTGTAATTGTGCCAACCTCTAATCTTGCTGCTAAGCCAGATGGTGACTCGCAATTCGAAATAAGAGTGCATAACTGAAAGAGCATGTACCTTGGAGAAAACTGACCTTAGTTCCAATCCTAATTTCACCACTTATTAACTGTGTAACCCTGAGCAAATTCCTTTAACCCTCTGACCTCAGGGCATCCATCTCTAAAATGGTTATGGCAATGACCTCACAGGATTCTTGTAAAGCTATAACGAGAGAAAATATATGTAAAACAAACCAATGCAGAGCAAAGTCCATAACTGGGGCTCAGACTGGCCTTTATTTGGAAAATAAAGAGGTGAACATGCAGCAGGGAACCAAGGAAACATGAAAATGGTGGGCTACACAGTGTAAGCACAACCAACCTGGACATCTCGCTCTATTAATGACCTAAAAGAGAAATTTTCTTTTGTAGTTTATGAAGTTTCTCAGCCTTAAATTCTCATCTCCTATAAGAATACACAATTTCTCATCTCTCCCCTTAAGCAAGGGATTACTCTTTCTTTTTTATTCCCATTTCATGAGGAATATGATGCTATTATTAGTTTTATTTATTTCTACCTTATACTATTAATATATTGTTTAAATATTTTCTGTAATCCTATATTCGGTTATTGAGAGAGGGGCCTTGTCCACGCTATCTCTAAAACAGTATACAAGGCTGAGTGCAGTGGCTCATACCTATAATCTCAGCATTTTTAGAGGCTGTGGCAGGAGAATTGCTTGAGGACAGGGTTTAGAAACCAGCCTGAGCAACATACTGAGACCCTGCACAAAAATACTTTTTAAAAAATTAGCCAACCATGGTGGCACACACCTGTGGTCACAGCTACTCAGGAGGCTGAGGTAGGATGATCATCTAAGCTGAAGAAGTCCAGACTGCCATGAGCCATGATCATGCCACTACACACCAGCCTGGGAGTGAGACCCTGTCTCAAAAAGTAAAAATAAATAAATACATAAAAATTAAATAAATAATACAGTATACACTTACTTATACCCTTAATCTACTCCAAACTGCTCTCATCACAGGCAGCAGAGTGATAAAAGGTAACAGAGTTTCTCCCCAATGATATCAAATATATGATGTAAACAAATGAAATCATTATTTCTCAGTCACAGGAAAAGACCTGTGCCAGAAATGTGGCCCTTAAAACTAGATATCTCTTGGGAAGCTTTCACAATTTGGATAATTTTCTCAATATCTAAGGCCTTCCTCTGCACCTTGTTACCTTATATTATGTCATAAGAAGGGGAGTGAGTCTAGCTCTCAAGAGTAGGTACGTTTGGAGACTGTTATTTTAAGTGAAGTAACTCAGGAATGGAAAACCAAACGTCTTATGTTCTGCTGATATGTGGGAGCTAAGCTATGAGGATGCAGAGGCAAAAGAATGATACAATGTACTTTGGGGATTTGCGGGGGAAGAGTGGAAGGGGGTGAGGGATAAAATACTACAACTAGGGTGCAGCGTATACTGCACCAGTGATGGGTGCATAAAAATCTCACAAATTACCGCTGAAGAACTTATTCATGTAACCAAACACCACCTGTAACCCAATAACCTATGGGAAAAAAAGTAGATAAGTCTTAACAAATTTTACCCAGGTATAAAAAGCAGGATGCAAATTTATTCACTTACAAAAGGACATATTATTATGAAGATCAAATATTTGAAGTACTCACTTCAGTATATTTTCCTCCTCTTTTTTGCGTATGAGAAATTACAGTCATGAGAAAACTAAGAATAAAAGTTGCCATCATTAATGTCCTTTTCTACTATGCCAGCCTTGAGTTGCTTTGGAGATGTGAAAACAGGAGAAGAAAATAGGGATGGGGATGAAACAGAGGCCCATGAGCAAGGATAGTTTGCTGCCTCCATTTCACAGTGTAATGGTCTTTTGCAAGGAATCTGAAAGTTTTTCAGTGACTGTCTCTTTTCCGTGAAAAATGGTGTATTGGTCCCACCGATCATAGACTCACTCTCTCCCGTGCTTCTAAGTTTCACCAATTCTTCTTCTAATTGAAAACTATTTTTTCTTCATAGGTAGTAACACAAATTGCATTAAATACTGATAAGTTGAAGGTCATTTAAATCTTTAAGTAACTTTGTAAATCTGTATTCTGGTCCTATTTGTGTAGAAATAATTTTATTTTAAAAGAGACTGTCTTTTATAAAATTAAAAATAGCTACTTTTTTTGACATCAGGTGCTGTTTGCAATAGTTCTCAAGTGCTGTGATATGTATAATTGGCAGTGAGTGTGCACACACACACACACACACACACACACACACTACTCTGGAGGCAGAGAGCAAGGCATTCCTGAACTCCATGTGTTTCCTCTGTTGGACAGAAGCCTTCATCGGGCCCTGCACCATTGTCCCCATCATGTTCTTCTGAATCCCACAGGACAGAGGAGGCGGAGCTATCAACCACAGTATTTTGATCGCTTTTCGTTGAATCTTTGTTTTTGATAAATAGGACTACCCCTCCCCATTTATTTTGTTTATTAGTGGCTGTGGTGCATTTTAAAAATATTCACTTATAAAAATTGCCACTTCTTGAAGTTATTTCCTTTACTCAGGCTAAAGAGATTTCATTGGTTTGAAGATCTAGGTAATGACTCCAAGGATTGAGAGAACTCCCCCGCCCCAACCCAGCTGCAGACCTAAGTATCATGTTGGTTGTGATCCAGATTTATAACCATGTTTTTATATTTCCCTTCATATCCGAGACTAATAATACATGCATGTGTACACCAAGATAGACAGCATTATGTAATAAAGGATAGCAATTATTATATATACATTTGCAATATGTATGGGATAGTAAAAATGATCAAAATGACCATACGCTGTAGCAATTTCTAGCTCTAGCTAATGCTTGTCATTTAAGGCTTATGTAATCACACTCAACATTCGCCTTCACTCTTGGAGTGCCTTTAGCACACCTGCTGATATTATCATGTAAGATATTATGTTTAATAATAAAAATAAGGGGAAAGGTATTAAATGGGAGAAGAAACCAATTAATAATGAACAAAACACAAGCTTACTTTTATTGCACTTTTATAGACATTATCCTTAGTGCTAAGGGGTTTACAGGAAGACTATTCAAAGTAGCTCAGAATTGAGCTTTTGGGTCAGAGTCAGCGACTCAGCATAGAGTTTGTCATCTAGTCTATAAGGTCCTCAGAGATGCAAATTGTAACTAGGGAATAAGGATTGCTTCATTTTGATAGTCTGTGCTCATTGACTGCATATAAATGTTGTGTCAGAAGGAATTAATGGGCTGGGTGATTTGATGAACTCTTTCCTTCTAATTCTATTCTCAGCCAGGAGTCAGAATAATAAAGATAAAATATCTACTAAGGTCCAAAGCCTCTTTCCTATGTTTCCTCCTGTTATGGCTCACCTGATTGTTTACCATGGTTTCTAGGGAAGATATACTGAAAACAGCAGAGTTTTGAGTATTTACTGACTCATAGGCATGAAGATGGCCCAGGACAACTGACACAGTGTTCAATTTTTACATATAGAGTGACACCAAATCTCCAAGTTCTGGAGTATACCCAGGCTGTGTCACTTCTCTCCTTACTTGACCTGATTTATGTAACTACTTCTTCAATTCAAGAAACTTCCCCAAGCTGCAAAGCCTCCTATATTCTCACAGGTTTCACCCAGTCATCATTTCCAAGTCTTGGTCTAGTTATTTTGTGTTTTACCTGCCTCTGTCTAATGCATTCTAAATCTGCCTCTGTCTAACTCTGAAGTTCTCTGGGTTTTCATTTGATTGTGGGTCAGACTGGACAGAGTAGTTTGATGCAAGCATATAAACATAAAAGAGGGAAGCTCTGTCCCCAGGGCATATGAGAGGAATAAAAAATGACCCTAAGCAGATTAAGCCATAGAAGCTTCATTTTTTATTTTATTTTTTCCTCACCGAAGACTCCATAGATATACTTCAGTTTCATCAGATTTATTGTTTTGATAGTTTTTCAAGCTTCCAAAATGTTCTAATATTTTCCCAAGCCAAACTTGTTCCTACAGGAAAATTTGAGCATTCTGGTAAAATTATTATTTAGAATAGTCCTAGTGAGTTGATTGCAGAAACCACAGTACAAAGGAGATAGGGTCACCTTTGTTCAAAATATTATCTTCACTTTCTGCTTTACTGACTGTGCCAGGAAGAACCCAGTAGTTCTACAGTTGATTAACACTGAGATTTTCCTGACACCAGTTTTCAGGCTTTTGAACACCTTAGATTCTACAACACTTAATTCCATGACTGAGAAAAAGCATTCCAGCGGGAATAGAAAGGAAAATATTCATCTTTTGCTATTTTAGGAATCATATTCACATTCAAAGCACTTTCGAACACATTTCCTTTCAGAAATCTTCCACATTTTCCTCAGGGGCCTGCAAGTGTTTTTAATCCCAATTTTACAGATGAAGAACCTGAAACCCAAGGTTAAGTGACTTTCTTGCAGCAGCTCTGGGAGCCAATGTCAAGGTCAGACTTCCATCATCTACGTGTGATTGCTCAGACCACTCAGCCACGACGCTTTTGGGGCATAACACAAATGCTTGGAAAATGGTTTTAACTGTTGTTAGGAACACAAACATTCTGAACTGTGTTCTGGGTCAAAATGGACTTTTCAAAATGCCTGAAAAATGTGGGAATAGTGAAGACAGAGTGATTGCTGCTTTATTTAGCTAAGATTGCTACGACAGTCAGTAATTTTGTTGGTTAATTTACTCATCATTTATATCTTCATGCGTTCATTCAACAAGCATTTTTTTGCAAGCAATAAATGTATTATGAGTTTAGTTTCAAATATGTGCACATATAACTGTCATACATGTATGACACATTTTCATAGCTATTATTTGTAGTAATTATTTAGTGTTAATTATCTGGTAAATGAATCACATATATTATCACATATATTCAAGCATATATCATCTCATTTAAGCATTAAGAAATGATGCTTAAAGATTTTATTGTTGCATTTTTATAGGTGAGAAAGTTTCCAAATCATACAGCAGCTGACTTTGTGAGTCAATATTCAAACCTAGGTTGGTGTTGGAAAGAAGCATGGATTTTTGTATCAGAAGATCCTGAATTCCAACTATAGTATCTTAGCTTACTAAGCTGGTTACATATAGTGTTACTTCAACTCTGTGAGTTCAAATTTCCTTTCACTGAAAGTGAACATTTTAATGACTAATACTGTTGTACAATCATATGAGATTCTTGTAAAAATTAAGGAAAATGTGTTTTTAGTTTTTAATATTTTTTCCCAGTAAGTTAAGGCCTTCCTCCTAAAAAATACCTTAAAATGTTTGAGTAAATCTATTTTTAGAAAAATCTTAAAAGTGCAGGTGATTTGGTAAGTAAATACAGGTTTAGTATCCCCTATCCAAAATACTTGAAACCAGATGTATTTTAGATTTCAGATTTTGTTGGATTTGGGAATATTTTCATATCCATAATAAGATGTCTTGGGGATGAGACCCAAGTCTACGCACAAAATTCATATTTTTTTATATACACCTTATACACACAACCTGAAGGTAATTTTATACAGTATTTTAAATAACTCTATGCATGAAACAAAGTTTTGACTACAACCTATTATGTTAGGTTAGGTGTGGAATTTAACACATGGTATCATACCAGTGCTCAAAAAGTTTTGGATTTTTGGATTAGAGATTATCAGCCTCTAGGAACCTTTCAGAACAACGACCAAGTAAAGACAGAACTCTAGAATGACAAGCTGAATTCACTGTTGGCTTTCACTTCAAGCCACGTAGTTGAGACTTGGTCTTAACAGATTCACGGGGAAACAGAGCCGATGAGTAAATCTATGTCCTATACACAGTAGAATATCCAAGGAGAAACCGTCTTAAATAAAATGATGAGAATAAAGAGTTACACTTCATTAAAATTATGAACTAAACACATTCCCAAATGAAAGTAAACAACATGAAAATATAATATTTTGAGAAAGAATTGGGGGGGTAAAATGTGACCAAGAATTTGAAACGAATTGTTTACAGCTTGGATGGCTAAAGATCTTCCAAGCTGAAATTTTAATTTGAGTAATCTTAATTAGTGTGACCCTACGCACTGACAAGAAAAAAATATCAAAACTTTCTAGATCAAAATAATTTCATTCTAGGTCACAAAATGTAAAACAGAAATAGGTAACATACAATAAAAAGTAACTATGTCCACAAGGAAATAAAAAACGCCATGCAAGAAAACCAACAGAAACAAAAGAAAAGGAATGTTGAACCATAAGTATTTCAAATACGGCTCTGTTAAATGTGCACACGGAAAAAAAAAATGTGTGCTTCAAAGTATATGAAACAAGAAACTACAAAGAAGAAGTTGATTGGAAAAATAATCAACATGATTACCAGAAATTAACTAAGAGCATAATTACAACTAATACTCCATAAATTGGTAGATTTTGAGAATGTTAGGTTAGCCTTCCCAAATATAATAATTATAAAATCTAAGTAAACATTTTTAAAGCCCTATTTGATAGAACTGGAGATTAACTAAGACAGTAGTAGACTTTTGAAAGGAGAAATCAGGCAGGTGCGATTTACAACTTTGTGTTTTTTGCCTTAGTACACAGGCTATAGAAAACTACTGTGGCCGGGCGCGGTGGCTCACGTCTGTAATCCCAGCACTTTGGGAGGCCGAGGCGGGCGGATCACTAGGTCAGGAAATCGAGATCATCCTGGCTAACTTGGTGAAACCCCATCTCTACTAAAAATACAAAAAAAAAAAAAAAAATAGCCGGGCGTAGTGGCGGGCGCCTGTAGTCCCAGCTACTCAGGAGGCTGAGGCAGGAGAATGGCGTGAACCCGGGGGGCGGAGCTTGCAGTGAGCCGAGATCGCGCCACTGCACTCCAGCCTGGGCGATAGAGGGAGACTCCGTCTCAAAAAAAAAAAAAAACAAAAACAAAAACAAAACTACTGTTTTACTGGTTTGAAGTATCAGAGGACAATTTATGGCTTTCAGAATGGCCAGAAAATCAACAGGATTGGAGATCCTAGAAAGGAATCAACCATACAGAGATTGGGCCTCCAAAATCCGATGATAAAATCCACTTATCAAATCATTTGCTGATTGTTAAATTATGCATGCCTAGGAGTGACGACACAGAGCCCAGCATAAAGAAACTAAAGAATAAAAAAACTGAAGAGAGATTTCAGCTGTTGGTTATTGCAGGTAAGACAGAGTTTGGAACTTAAATCAAGTTAAATTAATTACCCTGTAGAACATTAACAACTAGAGAATTCTTTATCAGAGAAACACACCAGAACCTATAGTATCTAAAACATATCTAATATGACATCAAAAAGTATAAAGCACGCAAAGAGATGGGAAATATGACAAAAGAGTAATTTTTATAAAGACAATAGGCATCAGTCTCATGAAGATCCAAATTAGTAGTTAGCAGATCACAACTAGAAAGCAGCTACTAGAAACATATTCTAGAACTTAAGAAAGATATATGTTTAATTAGCCAACGTGTAGTGACTCACACCTATAATCTTAGCACTTTGGAAAACTGAGGCAGGAGGATTGCTTGAGCCCAGTAACTCAAAATCAGTCTGAGCAACATAATGAGACCCCATCTCTACACCCCACCGCCAAAAAAAATCATAAAAATTAGCCAGGCACAGTGACACACACTTCTAGTCCTAGTTACTCAGGAAGTTGGAGCAATGAGGCTCATCTGAGCCTAGGAGTTTGAGGTTACAGTGAGCTATGATTATGACATTGCACTCTAGCCTGGGAAACAGGGTAATATTTTTTTAAAATTAAAGATATATGTGTAATTAATGTATAGGTAGAGAATATCAATAGAGACTTGGAAATGTATATTAAAAAAACGAACTGGAAGTTTCATAACTGACATGCTAAATTTTTAAAAAGTTAACAAATAATTTTAACAGAAGATTTAAACGGCAAAAAGAGAGCCACGATTATTAAGATAAATCAAAAGAAATTATCTAACATGAAAAACAAAACACAGGAAAAAATATAGATGAAAGAAAAGCCCCAGTGTGCTTCAGGACAAGATCAAATTATTAGATTGTGTATGTTGAGTCTTAGAAGAGCGATAGAATAAAGCAGAAAAAAAGTGATTAAAAATATATTCTACAACTTCCCAATATTGATGAAATATATCAACTTAAAGAGCCAAGAAAAAAAATATGTACTTCAAAGAGCAAAATATGATAAAATTAAAAACAAAACCAACTCACATCTAGTTATATCCATGAAGTCCAGGCATTAAGAGGACATCTTGAAAGTGGCCTAAGGAAATACAGCAATTACATACAGGAAACAATGATACAAGTGATGGCTAAAACCCACTGGAAATTATGCAGGCCATCAAATGTTGAAACAGCATCTCGAAAGTGATGAAAGTAAAAGTAAAACAGTCAACCTAGATTTTCATACACAGTAAAACTGAATTAGAGGGTGAAATAATAATATTTCAAAAAGAAAAACAGAATTTATTACTAGCAGTCAAGAATTACTAGAAATGTTAAAAAAATTACTCAAAATAAATAATTTTACAGAAAAAAGTTACTAGGTGATAAACTCAAATTTACTAGAAATAATAAAGAATAAAATAAATATTAAATATATTTGAAATATTTAAGTGTCTCTCTTCATACATAAACATATATATTTCCTTTTTATTTTTTAATTTTTTTAAGCCTATGACTGTATTAGTGTTTAAAGCAAAAATATTTGTACTATATTTTGAGGTTTATAATGCATGTCCATGCCATATATATGCATATTTGGTGAAAAACTTTCAGTTCTTCAAAATTGAGTAAGAAACTGTTATCTGTGGGGTTTTTATATAGGACCTTTATCATATTGAAGAAAGTTCCTCCTATTCCTACTTTGTTGAGTGTTTTTTAATCATAAAAGTGAGTTGAGGCTGGACGTGCTGGCTCATGCCTATAATCCTAGCACTTTGTGAGGCCAAGGCAGGTGGATCACCTGAGGTCAGGAGTTCAAGACCAGCCTGGCTGACATGTCGAAACCCTGTCTCTATAACACAAATGTCCAACAATGATAGACTGGATTAAGAAAATGTGGCACATATACACCATGGAATACTATGCAGCCATAAAAAAGGATGAGTTCATGTCCTTTGTAGGGACATGGATGAAGCTGGAAACCATCATTCTCAGCAAACTATCGCAAGGACAGAAAACCAAACACCGCATATTCTCACTCATAGGTGGGAACTGAACAATGAGAACACATGGACACAGGAAGGGGAACATCACACACTGGGGCCTGTTGTGGGGTGGGGGGGAGTGGGGAGGCATAGCATTAGGAGATACACCTAATGCTAAATGATGAGTTAATGGGTGCAGCACACCAACATGGCACATGTATACATATGTAACAAACCTGCACGTTGTGCACATGTACCCTAAAACTTAAAGTATAATAATAATAAAATTAAATTAAAAATTAGCCAGGCATGGTGGTGTGCTCCTGTAGTCACAGCTACTCAGGAGACTGAGGCAGTATAATTGCTTGAACCTGGGAGGTGGAAGTTGCAGTGAGCCGAGATCACACCACTGCCCTCCAGCCTCGGCAACAGAGTGAGACTCCATCAAAAAAAAAAAAGTGAGTTGAATTTTGCTTTTTCTGTATCAATTGAGATTGAGATAATTATGATCATTAAAAATATACACATACACACGCACACAGACACATACACACTGAGTTGACCCTTTAACAGCATAGATTTGGAGTGCATAGGCCGAATTATACATAGATTTTCTTCCACCTCTGCCATCCCAGAAACAGCACGACCAAACCCTCCTCTTCCTCCTTCTCTTCAGCCAACTCAGTGTGAAGCCAATGAGAATCAGGATCTTTATGATGATCCATTTACACTTAATAGTAAATATACCCTTTATGATTTTCTTAATATTATTTTCTTTTTTGTAGCTCACTTTATTCATATACATATGAAATATGTGTTAATTGACTATGTTTGGTCAATAGTAGACTATTATTAGTTAAATTTTAGGGAGTTAAAATTATCCATAGATTTTGGACTTTATGGAGAGTCAGTGCCCCTAACAAATTGAATTCAACAATATACCAATTAGATTGGAGTATATAACCAAGTGGGATCTATTCTTGGAAATACAAGAATAATTCAACATAAAGACAGATATAGATACAATGCAATAAAACAGAAAGCTCAGAAATAAAATATTTTATATATGGTGAAATAATTTCAGACGTGAGTGCCAAGACTATTTAATGGAAAGATCACAGTCTTTTGAGAAAGTGGCATTGGGAAAGGTTGTTATTCACATACAAGAGAATGAAGTTGAACCCTTTATACATATATAAAATTGACTAAAGCTGGATAAAAGAGCTAAACATAACAGCTAGAGCTATGGAACTCAGAAGAAAACAAAGAAGAAAAACCTTTGAGAAACTGGATTTTGCAATGATTAGTTGAATATGACAACAAAAGCACAGGCAAAAACATCATAAATTGAAAATCAAATTTAAAACTTTTCTACATCAAAGGGCACTACCAACAAAGTAAAATGGCAACTCATGAAGTGGAAAAATATTTGCAAATTATATATCTAATAAGTGATTAATATAAAGAATATGTAAATAACTTTTACAACTCAATAACTAAAAACCAAAAATACTAATTAAAAAATGGGAAAAGGAGGGCTGGGCGCCGTGGTCACACCTGTAATCCCAGCACTTTGGGAGGCCAAGGCGGCGGATCACGAGGTCAGGAAATCGAGATCATCCTGGCTAACAGGGTGAAACCCTGTCCTACTAAAAATACAAAAAAAAAAAAAAAAAAAAAAAAAAATTAGCCAGGCGTGGTGGTGGGCGCCTGTAGTCCCAGCTACTCAGGAGGTTGAGGCAGGAGAAAGGCAGGAGAATGGCCTGAACCCAGGAGGCGGAGCTTGCAGTGAGCCCAGATTGTGCCACTGCACTCCAGCCTGGGCGACAGAGCGAGACTCTGACTCAAAAAAAAAAAAAAAAATTAAAAATGGGCAAAGGACTTGGAAAGACATTTCTCAAAAGGCAATGTCCAATTGGCCAATAGGCTCATGAAGGGCAAAGCATCACTAACCATTAGGGAAATGCAAATCAAAACCACAAAGAGATACCATTGTATATCCATTATGGAGGCTGTGGCTAAACAACAACAACAACAAAAAAAACCCTGAAAATTACTAATCATGAGAATGTAGAGAAATGGTGGAATTTGCATTGCTGTTAGGAATGTAAATGTTGCAGCTGCTACTGACAAAAAGTAGGAAACATTCTCCAAAGAGTAACCATAAAATTAGTGTATAATCCATCAATTACACTTTTGAGCATATACCCCCCAAAATTGAAAGCAATAACTAGAATAGATATCTGTACACTTGTGTTCTTAGCAGCATTATTCACCATAGCCAAAACATGGGAAAAAAAAACCCCAAAAATATATGAATAGATGAATGTATAAACAAAATGGATGTACATTATTATTATTAAGGGAATATTATTCAGTTTTGAAAAGACAGAAAATTGTGACACATGCTTCCACATGGATTATCCTTGAAGAAATCATGCTAGGTGAATTAAGCCAGTCACAAAAGAACATATATTATATGACTATACTGTATGGGGCACATAGAGTAGTCAAATTCACAAAGACAGAAAGTGAAATGGTGAATTCTAGGTACTTGGTGGAAAGGGATATAAGGAGCTATATGACTTAAATGTGAAACCCAAAACTATAAAAACCATAATAGACTACCTAAGCAATACCATCCTGGGCAAAGGAACTGGCAAAGATTTTAAGACAAAGATATGAAAAGTGATTACAATGAAAACAAAAGTTGAAAATGAGACCTAATTGAAGAGCTCTGAACAGCAAAAGAAACTCCCAAGAGAGTAAACAGACAAACTTACAGAACAAGAAAAAAAAATTGTAAACTATGCATCTGACAGAGGTCTAATTCCACCACCTATAAGGAAGCTAACTAAGTTTATAAGAAAAAAAAAACCTCATTAAAAAGTGGGCAAAGAACATGAACAGACACTTTTCAAAAGTAAACATACATGCAACCAACAAGCATATGAAAAAAAAGCTCAGTATCACTGATCATTAGATAAATGCAAATCAAAGATACAATGTGATACCATCTCACACCAGTCGGAATGGCTATTACTAAAAAGGCAAAAAATAACAAATGCTGGTGAGGTTGTGGAGAAACAAAAATGTTGATATGCTGTTGATGGGAGTGTAAATTTGTTCAACCACTGTGGAAAGCAGTGTGGTGATTCCTCAAAGACGTAAAAACAGAACGAGCATTTGACCCAGCAATCTCATTACTGAGTATATACCCAAAGGAATATAAATCATTCTATGATAAAGACACATGCATATGTATGTTTATTGCAGCACTACACACAATAGCAAAGACAAGGAATCAATCTAAATGCCCATTAGTGGAAGACTGGATAAAACATCATAGTACATGTATACTATAGAATATTATGCAGCCATAAAAGAAGAACGAGAACACGTCTTTTGCAGGGGCAGGGATGGAGCTGGAGGTCATTAACCTTAGCAAACTAATGCAGAAACAGAAAACCAAATACCACATGTTTTCACTTATAAGTGGGAGCTAAGTAATGAGAACACATGGACATAAAGAGGAAGAGGTGGAAGGTAGGAGAAGGGAGAGGGGTAGAAAAAATAACTATTGGGTATGAAACTTAACACCTGGATGACAAAATAATCTGTATATAACCCCCCATGACTCATTTACTTATATAACAAACCTGTACGTATACCACTGAACCTAACATAAAAGTTAAAAAAAACCCAGAACTATGTTATTGTTCAGTAATTACATTAAGTGTAAATTGGTTAAACTTACAATTAAATAATCTAGCCCAAGTGTATGCTTTCTAAAAGAGACTGACTTAAATGACACACATAGATTCAAAAACAAGTTATTGACAAATATATTTTGTGCAAATAGTAAGCAAAACAAAGGCTGATGTGGCTGTACTAATATCGGAAAAGAAATGAACTCAAAATTGTTATGAGACAAAGAAGGATTTTATTAATTGACAAAAGGGTCAATATAACAGTTATAAAAGAAAGGTGCAAAACAGCAGAGCCACAAAATATGTGTGTTAAACATTGAAGGAATGAAAGCAGAGAAAGGCAGGTCTACAATAACAGATTGAGACTTCAATAACACACTTGCAATAATGAATATGACAGAAGATGATTATAGAAATAGAAGACAGAAACAACAGATGAACAAAACTAGATAAACAGACAAGTAGAGAGCACACTGCTCAACAACAGTGGAACATATATTCTTTTCAAGAACACACAGCATTCTCCATAATATACAATATTAGGCCATAAAATAAGTATCAATATATTTTAAAATATTTAAATTATAAAAATATATAATCCAAGCATAATTGAATGAAGATAGAAATCAATAACAAAATGAAAAAAATTTAAAAATTATAAATATGTGTGAATTAAACAATTCACTCTTCCACAACAAATAAGTCAAAGAAGAAATTGCTAAAGAAATTGGAAAATACTTCTTATAAACATACATGAAAACACAACTTGTCAAAATTTATGATATGCAATGAAAGCAGTGCTTTTACAGAAATTTAAGCTGTAAATGTCTACACTAAAAAGAAAAAAAAGAGAGACCTCCAAATACTAACCTAACTCTAATGAACTAGGAAAAGAACAGCTAAATATAATCAAAGCTAACAGAAGAAATAAAATAATAAAGATCAGAGTACCGATAAATAAAATAGAGAATAGAAAAGCAATAAATCAATGAAACAAAAATTCATTTTTTATAAGATCAATGACACTGATAAATCTTTCACTAGACTGACTGAGAAAAATTATTAAAACCATACGTGAAAATGAGGATACCTTACAGGAATAAAAAGGATTATAAAAAGTACTTTAAATAATTGTAAAAAACAAGTCAGATAACCCAAGTGAAATTTTAAAAATTCTAGAAACACACATTATAAAAAATCAACTTGAAATTGAAAGTCTTAACAGAACTACCAGTACAGAGATTGAACAAGGCATAAAAAAAATCTCACAACAAAGGAAGATCCAGAAGCAGATGGCTTCACCAGTGAATTCTAACAAACATTTAAACAACTAATAATTAATACCAATCCCTCTCAAAATCTTCCAAAAATACAAAAGGAGGAAATAATTCATAACTGTATTAGTCCATTTTCATGTTGATAATAAAAATATACCTAAGACTGGAAAGAAAATTAGGTTTAATGGACTCACAGTTCCACATGGCTGGAGAGGCCTCATAATCATGGCTGAAGGTGAAAGCACTTCTTACATGATGGTGGCAAGAGAGAATGAGGAAGAAGCAAAAGCAGAAACCCCTTCTTCATGAGATTTATTCACTACCAGGAGATCAGTATGGTGGAAACCACCCCCATGATTCAATAATCTCCCACTGGGTTCCTCCCACAATATGTGGAAATTATGGGAGTACAATTCAAGATGAGATTTGGGTGGGGCAACAAAGCCAAATCATATTACTCCTCCTTTGGCCTCTGCCAAATCTCATGCCCTCACATTTCAAAACTAATCATGCCTTCCCAACAGTCCCCTCAAAGTCTTATCTCATTTTAGCATTCACTCAAAAATCCACAGTACAAAGTCTTATCAGAGAAAAGGCACATCCCTTCTGCCTATGAGCCTGTTAGTTACTTCCTAGATACAATGGGGTTAAAAGTATTGGGTAAATTTAGCCATTACGATGGAGAGAAATTGGCCAAAACAAAGGGGATTCAGGGCCCAAGCAAAACCAAAATCCAGCAGGGTGGTCACATTTTAAAGCTACAAAATGATAGATCGGCTCCCATGACCTTGGGCAGCTCCACCCCTGTGGCTTTGCAGGGTTTAGCCCCCCTTCTGGCTGCTCTCACAGGATGGCATTGTCTGTGGCTTTTCCAGGCACATAGTGCAAGCTGTCAGTGGATCTACCATTCTGGGGTCTGGAGGATGGTGACCCTCTTCTCACAGCTCCACTAGGTAGTGCCACAGTAGGGACTCTGTGTGGGGGCTCCAACTTCACATTTCCCTTCTCCACTGCCCTAGCAGATGTTCTCCATGAGGGTCCCGCTTCTGCAGCAAACTTCTGCCAGGGCATCCAGGCATTTCCATACATCTTCTGAAATCTGGTCAGAGGTTCCCAAACCTTAATTCTTGACTTCTGTGCCTCAGCAGGCTCAACACCACATGCAAGTGGCCAAGGCTTGGGGTTTGCACCTTTGAAGCAACAGCCTGAGTTGTACCTTGGGCCCTTTTAGCCATGGCTGGAGTGGCTGGGATACAGGGCAACAAGTCCCTAGGCTGCACAGACTTGAGGGCCCTGGGTCTGGCCCATGAAACCAGTTTTTCATCCTTGGCTTCCAGGGCTGGCATGGGAGGGCCTGCTGCTATGGTCTCTGACATGCCCTGGACACATTTTCTCCATTGTCTTGGTAATTAACATTTGACTCCTCATTACTTATGCAAATTTCTATAGTTGGCTTGAATTTCTCTTCAGAAAATGCGTTTTTCTTTTCTGTTGCATCATCAGACTGCACATTTTCTGAACTTTATGCTCTGTTTTTTTTTTTAACTGAATGCTTTTAACAGCACCCAAGTCACCTCTTGAATGCTTTGTTGCCTAGAAATTTCTTCCACCAGTTATCCTAAATCACCTACCTCAAGTTCAAAGTTCCACAAATCTCTAGGGCAGGGGAAAAATGCCACCAATCTCTTTGCTAAAATATAACCAGAGTCACATTCACTTCACTTCCCAACAAGTTCCTCATCTCCATCTGAGACCACCTCAGCCTGGATTTAATTATCCATATCATTGTCAGCTTTCAGGGGTCAAAGCCATTCTACAAGTCTCTAGGAAGTTCCAAACTTTCCCACATTTTTCTATCTTCTTTTGAGCTCTCCAAACTGTTCCAATGTCTGCTTGTTAGTCAATTCCAATGTCACTTCCACATTTTCAGGTATCTTTTCAGCAGCACCCCACTCTACTGGTAACAATTTACTGTATTAGTCTATTTTCATACTGATGATAACTACATACGCAAAACTGGAAAAAAATAGGTTTAACGGACTCAGTTCTGCATGGGTGAAGAGGCCTCACAATCATGGCTGAAGGTGAAAGGCACTTCTTACGTTGTGGCAGCCAGAGAAAATGAGGAAGAAGCAGAGTGGAAACCCCTTATAAAATCATCACATTTCCTGAGACTTATTTACTGCCATGTGCAACTATTTCTTGCTTATTTATACTGGAGATCTTATTTGCTGAGTATTTGTTATAGTCTGGGTATTCTCAATATTGCACATTATTCTTAAATCAGAAAGTTAGTGTTGTTATCCTCTTTTTACTAATAAGAAAGCTAAAGTCTGCTGAAGTTAATTAAGCATGTTTATGATGATAAAGGAGCTTTTGCAGAAATGACCGTTTATACTTTTAAAGACTGCATTATATATCTTAATTTATAATTGATACATATTTTTAAAGATAAAATTTAAAACATTCTTGTGTCCTCAGGAAACTTTCAGTCAACTTGGAGAGATAATAATGATACTCATGTATCATTCATTATGAGTCACGGGTAAGTTATGGGTAACTCCTATCATCTATGAGTCTTGATTTACTTATTGGTAAAATAAATCTAAATATCTTCCTCACTCCATGCACAGGTTTGTAAAAATGCTTGCAAGTTTATAGTAAATCACAAAATTAAAGTTATGAATTATGAATTCAATAAGGACCAGAAGACCATTACATTAAACTGAGAAAAAGAATAAACATAGTCATTAAATACCTCCTGGTGCCTGGCAATATGCTAATAATAATATTGATCTTCAAACCAGTCTTAGAAAGTAAGTATTAGAATATTAACTTTACAGAGGAAACAGTAACTGTTGAGTTGCTAAGTAGTTTGTTCAAAGTGGAAAAGCAAATGGAGTTGGTGATATAAAAGGTTTGTATTTCTTGCCAAAAATCTCAAACTCCTTCCGCAGCCTCCTCTGAAGTTAGAGAACAGGTGCTTGAATCCATCTCAGCCACCAAGGTCCTCCATGCACAGTGATTTATTTAACTTCTCAAAGCCTCAGTTCCCACACCTCTTGGCTTTGTATGAATCTATGGCCATTTTGTTGTAAATTACCTGTAGAATACGATGTTCAAATTTATTTTTCTGTACTGGTAATGCAAAGCATGTATTGGAGAGGCAAGATATTGAAGATAGAGGGGTTAATAAAGAGATTGTTGAAGTTATGCAAATGTGAGGTGATCAGGGTTGATAGTAAGAAGTGACAAGAGAAATAAGACAGAATAAATGAATAATAAATACGCTAGAGAAGAAGAAATAACAAGGCTTGATGATATGAGAATATAAGTAAGGGATAAAACATAGAACAGTTTTTAAGTTAGTCTCAAATTATTTTAATTAAGGAACTAGCTTAATGGTTATAGGTATGAGAGAAAGCGTTAGAATGAGAAGAAAACTAGTTTTCAAATATGAAATACATAATTTCCAACTTGAAAAAACACACAAGTTTGAAGGGAAAACATACAAGGAAGCAATTAAGTGGAATGTGATGCTATTGTTTCAGAAACGTTGGTAAAGGCACTGCTGTGTATCGTGAGTCCCCATCTTCGGATGAGGAATAGTCCATTACCACTCTCCTTGCTCCATGTCCCACAGGAACTGTAAACCCCACATCTCTGTTTGCAGATGACTACAAATCCCACCAGCCTCGGCCAATCAGACTCGCTTTCTTGGAAGTTTGATAGAGGAATGCAGAAAGCATAGACTAGGCAATTAAACACTGTGGTTATGTAACCCTGGGGCTAGGGCAGCCATGTTGGACCAGAATGTAGAGATACCTGATTTTTCGTAAAGGAAAAAGAGAAGAAGAGAGGAAAACAGATTCATGGAGAAAACCAGAGGCAAGAGATTATTTAACCTAGGTGGGGAGGGGAAGACTAAGAGAGGATGAGAGAGAAAATCCCTGGTTTTGGAGGTTTTTCTTTTCTTTGGTCTCTTGAAGACTCTATTACTGTCTCTGCCTTTGATTTTCTTGTGATAACCCTACAAATGTCAAACCGATTTCCTTAATTTTGCTTAAACTATATTGAATGGGTTCTACTTTGCAACAAAAAACTTAGACCAAGGTTAATTATTAAAAATAAGTCCTACAAGGACTACTGAAAAGAGAAATCTGATTTGATAATAGAGAACAAGGAAAGACTGACTCCATATAAAGTAACCTGAAGTGAAATTTAAATAATGAGTAACCATTTGACAAAGTGTATTTCTTTCCATATGTGGCCCCCAGAATTGCTTTTTAGAGTATTGAAAAACTGGATAGCATTCAGGGCCATGTGGAAAAAAGCACTTTGCCATTTCCTAGCCCCCTAATCTCAAAAGAATCTGACCCTAATGATGCTGAATTTAATTTGATAACAAAGAGAATTCCATGTAAAGTAGAAAAATATTAATTATTAACATGAATTTTCCTGGAAAGGTGATACAATGTGATACAATAGATAGTATAAAGGCGGGGACAGGGAAGATATAAAAACTTGTGGTTTCCTGATCTTGGCATAGGCAGGATCACCAGCATCCGACTTGGGCCTGTAGAGTTCAGGGGGAGTTCTAGTGGAATGTACTGCAAATGCTCTACTCTTGGATGGCTCCTCTGCCTCCTATAAGGACTTTTGTCTTTAGGTAATACCATACTTTGTGATGTGTGGATCTGTGTCCTTCTTACCAATTCATTGGCCAGTCATAGCACCTTCACACAGTTCATAACTCTCACTTCTGCTTCATAAACCATATATATTAGAATTTTGCAGTGTGAACAGAAATGTTCACTCAATACCACAAATATAAATGTGTAGGAAAAGGTGATTCTTAGTTAGTATGAAGAAAAATATAAGTCAAAATAATCAATGTAGGGATGTTCAGAAACTGTGCATTTGTATTCAATATCTCTTTTCCCTCTTCTACTGATATGTTTTCTGGGAAGAATGAGGTGAAGCCTATAAAAGACTTCCACTGAGCATCATAATTCTTAACTATAATTTGTTTCTCTAATTGGAAATATTAGTCCTTTTCTTTCAAGTCTACATCAACATTCCACTTGGCAATAATTTCTTTCAATTAAAACACAACTCCTATATCTCACAAATGAAAAATGCCTTTTTTACTTAGCAACAACTCAGAGGTCTTTTTGTATTTACCAAAGTTTATCTCCCTGAAATAGTAATTCTTTTGAGATTGGACAATTTATTTATGCATCTTTTAGGCATTAATAGATCAAAAGAAGGATATAGAGATTTCAAAGGTTTATAGCATGTATTTTTCTTAAAATTCTAGCTTAAAATTTAACATATTGGCAATTCATATTTCTCCAATTATTTTCCTAAGCCACATCATCACCATCATAAGCATTTTCTTAGTTTTCATAAACACAAAGCAAGGAAATTCTTTCTATAACTCATAGTTCTGTGAATATCTAAAGCTATTAGGTCATCTTGAATGACAGGTTTGCTGCTCCTCTACTCTCTATTACACAAGATGACTTACGTTGAGCTGTAAATAATATAAAATCTGAAATAGTGTGTTATATATTTTCTAAGCTATCTTTGATTAAGCTTAAATGCATTCTTATTTATTCTGATAAGATAATTTGGAATGCAATTTTAATTTTACTGCTCATCTCTTAATGCAAACTAATGTTTGCTTAAAGTTTCAAAGAAAAAAAAACTTTAGTTCCTTCCTTCATTCCCATTTGTGTTCCTATGAGGTTCAAATGCTGAAGGCAGAAGGGTATTGTTGTCAGATCTCAAACCCAAAAAGCCAATCTGCCAGTATTTCAAGAAAGTGTAGTAGGTGATCAATCCCGTTTTTTGCTTACTTTTTCTCTTGTCTGAATGGATATGAACTAGTCCTGATCATGATGGAAGGACGAAAGCACTATGGTTTAAAAGAATATGTTGCTCAAAAATTCATATGCTGGAACTTAAAACTCAAAGTGATGGTATTAAAAAGGGAGATTTTGGGAGGCGATTAAGTCCTGAGGGCTCAGCATTTGTGAATAGGATTAATTCCCTTATAAAGGCCCTGTTGCCCTTCTGCCTTTCTCATAGCATCCATCTCTTCTGCCATGTGCAAACACAGCAAGAAGGCCCTCTCAAGATATGAAATGGTAGTGGCTTGATCTTGGACATTCCAGCCTCCAGGACAGTGAGAAATAAATTCCTGTTCTTTATATACAGTCTGAGGTATTTTGTCATAGCAGTGGAAACAGTCTAAGACTAACAGTATTTTCCTTTTCTTACAAAAGGAAAAAAGAGATCCTGAGTTCTACTCTGATTTCTTTTTATACATGCTAGTAAAAATTATGCAGAAATGAAATTTAAATAACTATTTGAAAGCCTTGTAGTAGGAAACTATCATCGAACCCTGTGACTCACTTGATTATGTTGTTGGTTATATTATTGTTTTAACTGCTAGTGTTTTGTCTTTACAAATGAAAGACTTAAAAAAATACTTTTTTTTCTCCAAAGTCTTCTTGACCACCTCTTCTCAATTCCAGATGAAGTGTGGGTCTCCTATTGTAATTTTATCTCCACTTGCTTCTGTAAGTGCCTTGAGGTCATGAACGGTGATTCATCTCTAGATTAGAGGAGTAGATGTTCAACATATTTTTAACAAGTGAATGGTGACAGATGAATTTATGCTATGAAAAGACATGTTTAGGAGGACTGTCAGAGAAATTAAAGAAGAAGTAAAAGCCTTCCAGCTTATTGAATGGAAAAAATATTTTCAAATTATATAACTGATAAAGAGTCAATAGCCAGAACATATAAAGAGCTCCTATAACTCAACAACAGAAACCAGCCTGATTTAAAAATGAACAAAGAACTTGAATAAAAGTTTCTTCAAAGATATGTAAATTGCCAATAAGCACATGAAAAGATGCTCAACATCACTAATCATTATGGAAATGCAAATCAAAAAACCATAGTTAGATCAAATCTTCATATTCATTAGAATTGATATAATCAGTTGATCAATCAATAACAAGCATGGGTATGGACATGGTGAAATTGGAATCCTTGTGCACTGTTGTTGTGAATGAAAGATGATACAGCCACTGTGAAAGACAGTATGTTGGCTCCTCAAAAAAATAGAATTATTATAAGATTCAACAATTCCAGATCTGGGTATACACTCAAAAGAATTAATGAAGGGTTTCAAACAGTTACGTCATAATTAATGTATGTTCTTTTGATTATTTTATATAAGCACATTTTTGGAATTCTTAGTTTCATTCCTTCTTTCATTGCAGATAATCCAATAAGAATGTATTCCTTTGACATGAAATAACTCCCTTAAACTATGCTTATTGCAAATAAACTAGTGTCAAACTCTCAGATTTTATTTGAAAATATGTTTTCTTACATTCAATATTGAAATATATTTTCACTGCCTGTAGAATTCTAAAGTATACCTCTATAATAAATGAAAAAGTTATTCAACTGTCTCTTGAGTTCTGTATTTGCTGTTGATGTCTTTTATCAATCTAAACATAAGTCCTCATTTTTTTCTAGTTGTTCTCAATATATTTTTGTCTTTGATATATTCTGCAGAACTTGGGATTTATCAGACTTTTAAGTTTCAAAAATCAGTGTATTTTACCAGTTCCAAAAATGTTATTTTTCTTTTTCTTCATTTCTAGAAGCTCTTTTTTTTGTCAGAATATAAATTGTTCTATTTCTTATAAGATGATACTTATTATAAGTATCATCTATTACATATTTAATAACATTATTTTTATGTTATGTACTTAAATTTCCAGCCTATAATATTTATGGATCTGAATTTGTAATTGATTACATTTGTTAACACTCACTTATAATGATTTTTATTTTTCATTGTTAAATGGTTTTCAAGAATCAGTCCTGTATTCAAAGATAATATTTTCAGACAAAATTTATGTTTGTGTCTGTCAGGTGCTGAGACTTACCTGAACTAGTTCCAAAAGGTATTTTAAATAGCATATACAGTATGAATCCTACCCCTACATTTCTGGAAATGCCAGCTTATAATTTTAAAAATATATGCTCAGTGAAGAGTTTTGTTTTTTAATTTTCCATAAAGAACCAAGACCCAGAAAAGATAGTGTCTTTCTGTAAGTTTTGGATGCATATATTTTCTTGTTCACCCCCTGAGGGTAATACCATTTGGAGTCTTAGGTTTATTTAGGAATCTCAGTTCTGAACTCCCACTATAGGTTGGTGGTTATAGGGGGGTGGTATATTTTTATCGTCTACATTCTAGAACCTTATAACAATTGTGTTTTGTCTTATAGTTCCTTAACTTCTACTGTTCCCATTGCTTTAGCACTATTTCAGCTACACTTAAAAATGGTTTTTTTGTTTTTATTTTTATTTTTTGGTATTGTGCAATAATTTTCAAGGATTTTCTACTAAAAGTTGCATCTCTACTTATCTATCAGAGTTCCAGAAGCAGAAACTATAGGTAAATGTATTACCCTGCTTGGAACCTCATAACAAAATACCATAGATTGGCTATTTATAAACAACAGAATTTACTTTCTCACAGTTCTGGAGAATGGAAGTCCAAGATCAAGGTGCTGGCAGGGTTGTTTTCTCCTCAGGCATCTCTCCTGGCTTGTAGATGGCTATCTGCTCACTGGCATTCATCTTGGATTAGAACTCTACCCTTATAACCTAGTTTAAATTTGCCTCTTTAAAGACCTTCTCTCCAAATACAGTCATGCTGGGGGTTGGGGCTTCAACATATACATTTGATGGGCTGTAATTCATAGTAGTAATACATTTTTAATTGCAGTTCCCTCACTTTTGGCTTATTTTTATTACTCTTACCTATGCCAATTTTAAAATTAAACATTTAAGTGCCTTGAGAGCTGTCTCCATTTCATTAGGGGTATTTTATTTTATATTTAAAGCTATTATTGGGAGTAATTAATATGAAATATTTACTGTTTAATATGGACAAAGTGAGGTCATTTTTAAAATCTAAGATCTTGAGTACTTCGTTGATATTGCCTTAAGGTATTTGTTGATTTTTGCTTCTGTGACTTCCCTAATGACAGGTGATAGTAATAGTGTGTCCTCAACTCCCAGATGCAATTTACTCTTTAAATTCCAACAAGAGACTCAAAATTACAATTTTCTAACGAGCTCACCCTCACATTTATAACCAGTGAGAGTCAAGTTATTTTTAAATGGAAAATATATTAATTAGTAGAACTTTAACCCCACAAAATTTACCCAAATTTGAATCATAAGACAGTTTTCTAAACCCTACAGTTATAAAACATTTGAAGAAAGAGTTTAGATTTACTGAGGTGAGAAAATTTCTGAAAATAAGGATAGCCTTTTTTAGTTTACGTTGAATCTTATCTTTTGGTCAGGCTCTTTGGGCTTGCATCTGTTCTAAGCAGTTAATTTTACTAATGTCTTTACTTATAAGTTGTTTAAATCAAATACATATTAAAAGAAGCTTTGCTCCCTCCTCACTCTTGCTCTTTTAGTACTCCATTCTCAGGCTCTATGAGAAAAAATCTGCCAAAGAATAGAGAAAGGAAACATGTGTGTCCTTACCCTCCCAAAGCTGCATCAGTGATACTTTCATGTAGCAGCAAATAATTCTGCTCTCCCTCATGTCAGCCAAAACATTTGTTTTACCTTCTAACTTTACCTTTGAAAAACTTTAAGTATTCCCTCCAAGCCCTCTGATCTCTAAGGAACTTAAAAATAAACTAATATATCATTAGTTGTGCCCCAGAGTGGTTTCTATTAGCTTTAGGTTCAGGTTTGCATTACATTACTAAGAAAAAAAATTCAAGGAACCTGGCCAGGTACCACATACAGTGATTACTTCATCACTTACTAATCTGTGGCCATGGGCAAATTATTTAATATATCTATCTATCTATCTACCCTTATAACATAGTTTAAAGATGTAAATTTTTTTCTCCTCATTTAATCTACTCATAGTATTTTACATGCAATGCACAATGTATTATAAGAGTTAATGGCTGATTTACAAAGTACCTTATATTAACATTGCATACATTTAGTATTCAATATGTTGTAGCTCTTATTTTATTTTGTACATGAGTTCTGTTTTGTTCACTCTTATATCCTCATTGCCTAGAAGAGTTATTGGCATATAATGTACATGCAGTATATTTTTTGAATGAAAGAATGAATTATAATTACTTTAAACAAATAATACTCTCCTGTGTTTCTTTTTAAGGCCAAATAAAGGCTTACTTCCTCTATAGAGACTGTCTCTCAGTCTCATTCCACATACAATTTACCATGTTGTTTCAGACTCTATTAATTGTCTTCTGGTTGTTTTGTTTATAAGTCATTTATACTCCCTCAAAGTAATTTGCTTGAGTGCGAGGAATAATTATTATGTTATATCTCTTCTGTGTTGTATACAGCACTTAACCAATGACTGGATGCGTGATAGATCCCCAAGTAAATGCCGTCAAACCTTGGAGATGGAATGAGATTTAGGGGCATTATGCTAAATATCCATCCAGTTCAACCAGGTTACATAAATTTAATATATTTTACTCCCAGTTCCAGGTTCTAGCTGTCCAAATAAAACAAGAACTGTCTCGCTAATCAGGAGTGAGATCTGTATTCACATGTTCAGTGAAGGTCAAGCAGAGTTAGTCTCCAGTGACATTGATAGATCACCTAGAGGATGTTTGGACAGTCTGCATTAATCTGATTTCCGACAGAACATATTCCCTCCCTTGTCTAGTACCAATGAATTAAATTGCAAAAAGTAATATATCTAAAGTGAGATATCTACAGAATTATCTGAAAGCCATAAGACATTATGTAACATATTTATTTCAAAATTAGGTGAAATTCTTATGTGTATTATATTTTTTTTCTCTTCGTCAAATGTAAAATGGAGAGTGACAGGGAAATAATATTCCCATGCAATTTTGATGGCTTCCCTTTCTGTGGAGCACTCTTCTACATTTCCAGCATTACACATTAGATATTTCATGCTTGCCTTGACTGTGTACTTTTAAGCTGGTAATTTTGCCTCAGCTCCTCTCTCACTTCCCTTGCATAAACCAGCACCAAATAAATACAGTTGGTCCTCATTTTTCACATACTGCATATTTATGGATTTGCAGACTCACTAAAACTTATTTGTAACCCTCAAATCAATACTCACAGTGATTTTTTGGTCATTCTCAGACATGTCCAGAAGGGCAAAAATTTTAGTTGCCTGAGACTCACATTCCCAGCTGAGGTAAAACAAGGTGACACTGCCTTCTTATTTCAGCTTTCACACTGTAAACAAGTCATTGTTTTCAGCATATTTAGTGCCACAATCTTCGCATTTTTGTACTTGTTAGCGATTTTACTGTTTCGATAGACCCCACAATTTAGTGCTGAATTGGTGTCTAATGATTGTAAGCATAAGAATGCTGTGATTTGTCTTACAGAAAACACGTGTTAGATAAACTTCCCTTAGGGATAACTCGTAGTGTTGTTGGCAGTGAGTTCTATGTTAAGTAATCACAATCTATATTAAATAAGATTGATTTTAAATGAAATAGACCTAAAACAAGGTTATGTATGCATCAGCTGATGAAAATGTGTGTCCAGTGGATCATAGGAACCTAACCCTGTTTTTCTTCTAGGAACTATGATTCAGTATTAATTAGTTCAGTGTTTGTAATGACTTTATAGAGCATAGCTACCATAAGAAGTAAATAACTGCATCCACTTTTATTCCACTTGATAAGAATAGTTGACATATCTGGTTGCCTAATCAAATACTCCAATTTCTTCCTTACTAGCAAAATTCTAATCCATACACATTGGTTTTGAATTTAATAACTCATTTTCTCAATGATTTACTTACTTTTGATGTCCAAGTAATATATTTATGATCAATGTGATATAGCTGGGAATTCAATGTCAGTGGTAACTTCTTGGAGTAATCTATGTATTCCTTGACCCTCCCCACTTTATATTTCTGGTTAGCATAAAACAGAACAGCTGGTGGTGTGGCACTCATGCTGCAAACAGGAAGCAATGAGCAGGATAGCAGAGGCTACAAGGAATGTTGGAGCAGAAGATCTGGATCTCTGAGTCTCAGTCACTGTATTTACCTTGACTGCTTATCTTGGGTTATGCATGTAAGATAAACAGCTCTGTATTTTGCAATGAACACATTATTACTGCATATATTCACCTTTCATTCTACTTCCCAAACATTCTTGATTATTCTGTAATCTTTTTTTTAACCTTTTTTTCTCTATGTCTTCCAACATACAATGATGTTATAGGAATCATCTATTCCTCCTAGATTGCAACTAGCCCCCAATTTCTGGACAAATTGTTTGTAATCTCCCTGAGGGGATCTTCTGACATTTCAATCTGCTTTAGAATTCCATTCTACTATATAACCTTAAAGACTTATAAGGCTTATACTACACATATATTTACCAAAGTTTTTGAACTGAATATTCAATATTTCTCCTTATAAGTACAAAGCATTTTAGGAAGAACAATGCATTCCCCATAAATTATGGTAAGAGAGGATAGTTTGTATTTATTAACTACTTATTATTACTTACCAGGTCTTGTAGATATATAAGCATATTGAATCTTCACACATACACATACACATAAAACAAACAAACACAAACTTGTGACTTAGGCATTATCTTGATCATTTTGCAAATAATGATGCTGAGATAAAAAAAAAAAAAAAAGAAAAAAAATCACTTGTTAAAAGTTCCAGAGATGGTATCAGTTATCTAATGCTATATAGGAAATCACTCCGAAATGCGGTGGCTTAAAACAATGTTAATTATTTGTCATCTGTCACAGTTCTTTGGTTTAAGAACTCACAAGTGACTTAGCTAGATGGTTCTGAAGTGGGGTCTTTCACAACGTTGCAGACAGATGGCCCCTGGGGCTTTCGTTATCTGAGGTCTAACTGGGCCTCATGAATTGCTCACATGGCTGTTGGCAGGTACCTCAGCTCCTCCACATGGGCCTTTCCACAGGGTTGCTTGTGTCTTCACAGAATGACAAATGACATCCCCCACAGTCAGAAATCCAAGAGTCCGACGTAGAAGGTGCAATGCCCATTATGACCTAGACTTGAAAATCTCACACCAATAAATCCAGCAATTAAACCCCAAACATGAAATATAGGGAATCAAAGATCACTAGACACTATTGTAAAGGCCGATTACCATAGAACACCAAAAGTTGAAGACCCTTAATTAAAGAAAAAAAAAAAAAAAGAACTGATTCAAATTCCCATACACATTTCTCTACACAATGTCATTAGCCCCATTACAACATTCTGGATCCCAGGAAAATTGTCATGGATGTAGCTACATTGATTAATTTATTATGCATAATTTCTGACAATAACATGTAATAACACAAACTTGCATTTGTTCATCACTTAAGAGATTAATGTATATTAATTAATGAAAAAAAGGTAACTTGCTGAGTCTGGTATCTTACTGACCATACTCCTCCAGACAGGAAGTTGTGGCCTTGTACAAGGATTGGCATAGCTTGCTTCTCCACTCAAACATCATCTCCTCTTCAACTTTCTTTGTTTTTCTAGTGGAATATAATAGGGTTGAAACTGGGGAAAATTTAGGACAAACAAATTCAACCTCTTTAGATTATTACTTATTAATATAAAGGTAATTTTATGCTTATTGGAAATCACATTATGATGACGATGACATGAACAAAAATAATGATGATAATAATCATTTATACTACCATAACAATCATTATATATGTGCATTGTATGCTTCAATCTTTATCCTCTTATATGTTATTTCTATGAATTAAGTCTTATTATTCTCATTATACAGACTAAACTTTGAAGCATTAAGGAATTTAGCTAGATAGTTGAAGTGCAAAGCACAGAATTTCAAAATCCAGGCCATTTTACTCTATCCTTATGCTTCTCTAATACATTGTTTCATGCCCATATTGTCAGAGTAATTTTCCAAAGCAATTAACTCATTTTTCTTCATCAGATAACCAAAATGACACCATGTTCATACAGCCTTACCAAAGACTGAGGTATTCCAGATAAAATCATTTTCCAGGTGACTGAAACTTGGAGTGCCTAAAATTTATTTTAACCAATTTGAATGGAACTCTTTCTCGATTTATTTCACACCTTTGTGCCTCTGGAATGAGTATATGAAATCTCTGATAACCTTTCCTTGATAAAGCAGGAATCACTGTGATTTCTACTCTTGCTCTGGACTTTCATAATGGGACAACTTTCAGATTAACTAAGCTACGTAGGGTTGTTTATTCAAAAATTAAAGGGCTTAAGAAAATTCTAAGAGAGAAAAAGAAAAAAAAACCCCAGGATCTCCAGATAATGGTTTCATATGTATTCTATAGCTGGATAGAAATATATATCAAAAAGTTTGTCTTCTTCCTCTGTTTTTGAGAGACAGCTATCACTTTTTACCTAGCTCAGCTATTTCCTCTCTCTACAGTACCCAAATTTCCACCACAAAATATATTTGAAATATATAAACAAAGGGAACACATTTGCTAGTATTGTGTCTTAAACAAGAGTAGGTATTGCCATGTCTTCTGTGGTAGAGTGGGCTCATGCTAGCATATGAGTTAATCATACCATGTTTAGCTTCTCAGTGGCTATGAATATTTTTCCATTGTTCTCTGAAGTGTTTTCAGGTGTGATCAAGGCTGAAGAAACCATTAAATAATTTGGTTTATATTGTAGTTAATAATATCACTGTTGGATGTCTACAACACTGAACATAAGGCAAATATTAAACATGCTCCCTGCCATTAACAGAATGATTAGTTTGTCTTCTGGGGAAAGAGAAGGAAAATCATATTTATTGAACACTTGACATATGCCTGCGTGCTCAAAACAAGTTAGTTAAGTAGCATTTGCAGTTTACTTGTGTATTTAAGGAATGTGTCCAAGGGCCCAGAACCTGGACTTTACCCAAGCTATCTCTGACTTCAAAACCTGAGATCTTATTAATTTCCTATTTTACCTGACACTAAGATTATGAAATAGGATTATCAAGTATAAACAAAAGAAGTACTAAATAGTATTGATTCTAAAGTGTTAGCAGTTATAAAGCTTATCAATAATTTAGCAAGTTTTTAGTGGGAGATAAATGATTCAGCAAATGTACCTATTGACAGTAAGATACATCGGAGATTTGAAAATATACCAATGTCAAAAACACAAGTTAGAATAGGAAATTTAACAATATGGGAATATTATTGACATGTGACCATTGGTAAAAAATATGCGATAGTTAGAGTAAAACATGTTTTATATGATTTTGGGGAAAGGGAATAAATGATGACTGTTTAGAGATGGGATTTATTGGAGATACCATAATAAAGTTATTTTAGAACCAGAATTTGATAGATTGATAATAAAAGAATGCAAAGATGAAATGGTTAGTGTTGTTATTACTAATGAGAAAAACAACTTTCACTATCTGACATACATCGTTTGTCTCCTAATCCTTGTCTTAAAGGAAAGGACAATGTGAAAGAGGCTCTAGAAAACATTTCAAAGGCCTTCAGAGATCTCCAAATACTCTCCAAATATACTCTGCTTTGTGGGAACAGGAAGAAGCTTTACAAAAATGACACAACCTGTCAGGCAAACCAAAATGCATAAGAAAAGAATCAACTGAGCAATTGATAACTTCTAATTATTGGCTAGTTTTCAAATCTTCAAAACTATCTACTTAACGTTCTCTCTGTTGACTTTCTGGGGGCGAATCATTTGTTGGGGCACATTTCTCTCTTTTAAATGAAGAGTTAGTAGCCAAGGTTTTGGACATGTGCGTTTGAAACTGTGTGAAACCTACACTTTAGGATCTAGAAACAGATTTTCCTACGCTGGAGAGAGATTTTAACTCTCCATCTGGCAACAGACCAGATGCTGTTTGTTGCAACTGGCAGAACAGGAACAACTGATTTATAAAAAATAAATAAATAAAAAATAAGATGCTGAGTTCCTTTTTAGTTTACTCATGCTATGAAAACAGTTTCAGAAAACAGTCAGCATGAGGAGATATAGCAAGTAGCGAACAGTTTATACTAAGGTAGACAAAGTCTGCCAAAATCAGCACATCTACTTAGTAAGGCCAAAACAATCTGATTCATTTTATGGAAGTTTTAAGTCTTTTATTATTTGTATGGGGGAAAAGTTAATATTTTAACTTAGATTCACTTTTAGAGCTACTACCAGCATAGATAAAAATTTATAGTTTCACAGCTGTAGGTTTTTTAGATTTAATTAGAATAACTGTTCCCTTTATGCAACAACTTTCTATGAAGGTAGCCTGAGCTGATTTCAATTAATGTGCTTTAAATAATTTTTACTGTGTTTCCTGCTGTGAATAGCTAAACAGAAGTTTTGTAGTATGTAATTTTAAAAAAGAATTTTTCCTCCCTGTAACTGAGTTTGTAATTTATTTTTTCTATCATTAGCAACAGTAATTTATAAACAAACACTTTTACTAGGAGAAGAGAGGTCAGTATGACCCTGTGTGTCAGTCCTAGGTTTATTGGAAAATGTGTGCTCAGTATTTGTAGACTCAAATGAAAATATTTTATAAGGCCTTACCTTTGCCCTTATAAACATCACAAAATAGTTGTCAAAGCAATGTAAAAAAATAACAACAGATGATGCATGTTTATATGCTAAATTTTGTGAAAGATTCTGGAATTGCTGGAATTAGAGGAAAGAGGGATTTACATGAGAACGAAGAGCCAAGAAGTCAGGAACCCACTTGGAAACACCACTCAGCCTTGGAAAAGCCACCCAATTACAGTGGCTGTGGAGGATCCCGACATGGTTTGACTGTGCTTGGGAACTGGTTAGGTTCTTTGGACTTCACAAAACCATTAATTTTAAGTTCACATTTTAAATATGAAATACAGTTAGACAACCATGTGTTTTCTCATGTCTTTTGGTCAAACATTTTATGGGTAAAATTTATTTCAACCAAACTGCGTGAGTAGCAGGGAATAGAAATATTGGTGATTTGATATGAGAAAAAAGATATTAAGCAAAAGAATAAATCATTTTACTTTGCTCTGCTATGAAACGCACCTAGATACTATAATAACAGGATTTTAAAAATCAAAAGCATATAAAGTTTTTTTTTTTTTTTTGAGACGGAGTCTTACTCTGTCACCAGGCTGGAGTGCAGTGGCACGATCACCACTCAATGCAATCGCTGCCTCCCAGGTTCAAGCGATTCCCCTGCTTCAGCCTCCTGAGTAGCTGGCACTACAGTCATGCGCCACCATGCCCAGCTAATTTTTTGTATTTTAGTAGAGACAGTGGCGTTTCACCATGTTGGCCAGGATGGTCTCGATCACCTGACCTCATGATCCACCTGCCTCAGCCTCCCAAAGTGCTAGGATTACAGGTGTGAGCTACCGCTGCTGGCGCATATAAAGTATTTTATTCTTGTTATCACAGGTTCATACTGCTCCCAATTTCCTAGGAAATTATTTCAAATTCTCTACTCTGTTCTTAATTAACCAACATTTTTCTCCTCAATCCTCCATATCAGCTGAAGAATTGCTTGCTATTCCTTACAGGGGAACTTCCATAAGCTCCCACCACATCTATCTCCTGCATGTACTGGGCCAACGTTGTCTGTCTTCTTTCCAGTTACTACTGTGTTTATATTTGTGTCTCTAAATAACACATCAATGGTGTTGATTTGTTAGCTTTATTTGTCAGTTTTCTTCCCAAATATAAAAAGATACATTTTTACATCTGCCCTTAATAACACACACACACACACACACTCACCCTACTTTTCCTCATAGCCATATCCCCCTAAGAGAGCACTACACCTTATCAAATGCTTTTCTGCCATAATTGAGATGGCCTTGCGTGTGTGTGCATTTACGTGTCTGTGTGTGCATGCGTTGTGTGCTTTCCCTTCATTCTGTTAATGTAGTGTATTATATAGTTTGGTTTTCTTGTGATGAAACATCCTTGAATGCTAAAAATAAATCTCAATTGCTTATGGTGTATAACCCTTTTAATAAGCTATTTAATTTTGTTTGCTAATATTTTGCTGAACTTTTGCATCAATATTTGATACGGTTAGGCTTTGTGTCCCCACCAAAATCTGATCTTGAATTATAATCCCCATAATCTCTAAGTGTCAATGTGTCAAGGGAGTTCCCAGGTGGTGGTGATTGAATCATGGGTTTCCCCCAGGCTGTTCTCGTGATAGTGAGTGGATTCTCACGATCTCATGGTTTTATAAGGGGCTCTTCCCACTTCATTCATTTGCATTCTCTCTGCTGCCACCTTGTAAAGAAGGTACTTGCTTCTTCTTTACCATCTGCCATGACTGTAAGTTTCCTGAGGCCTTCCTAGCCATACAGAACTGCGAGTCAATTAAATCTCTTTCCTTTATAAATTACCCAGTCTCATGAAGTTCTTTATAGCAGTGTGAAAATGGATGAATACAGTATTTATAAGGTTTATTAGTCCGTAGTTTTCTTTCATTCTAGTGTCTTTGGCTTTCATAGCAGAGTAATGTGTTGGTCTCAGTAGAATGATAATGTGTTGGTGTTAATTCTTTAAATGTTTGGTAGAATTCACCATTGAAGCCATCTGGTCTTGAACTTTTCTTTTTTAGCAGTTTTTTTTAGATTACCTGTTCAATCTCCTTACTAGTTATAGACCTAATCAGATTTTCTATTTCTTCATGATTCAATCTTAGCAGGTTGTGTGTTTCTGGAAAGTTATACATTTTTTCTAGGTTGTGCAATTTGTTGGCATATAAATGTTTACAAAACTCTTTATAACATTTTATTTCTGTAAACTCAGTAGTTAATGTTTCCTTTTTCATTTTTAATTTTAATTATGTGACCTTTAGTCTTTTGTTTTCATTAGTCTAGTTAATTATTTCTCAATTTTGTTCATCTTTTTAAAGAACCCAGCCCAGGTTTTGTTTTTCCTTTGCATTGTTTTTCTATTACCCACCTTATTTATAGCTTCCCTAATATTGATTGTTTATTGCTTTCTTCTATCCTTGATTTAGTTTAATCTTTTAGAAAATTTCTTAAAGTGTAAAATTTGGTTGTTGATTTAATAATTTCCTTTTTTATGATGTAAGCATTTACAGCTATAAATTTCAATTTTGGCGCTGCTTTCACTGTATTTTATGGATTTTGGTGTTTTAATTTCATTTGCCTCAAAATATTTTCTAGTTTTCCCTGATAATCTTCTTTGATCATTTGTTAGCTTAATTTCTATATATTTTCCAATTTTTCTTCTGTGTTGATTTCTGGAAACATTCAATTGTGATTAGAAAATATACTTATGAATACAATCTTTTAAAATGTATTAAAATTTGTTTTATGGCCTAACCTATAGATCTTTGCTGGAGAATTCTCCATGTGCTCTTAGAAAAATGTGCATTATGCTGTTATTTAGTACAGTATCCAATTGGTAATACTAAAACTGATCCATAGAATTTTTCAAGTTCTGTATTTTCTTATTGATCTTCTGTCTTTTTGTTCTATCACTAAAAATTGGGTAATAAGGTATACCACTATTATTGCACAGCTGTCTATTTTCCTCCTTCAATTCTATCAGTGTTTGTTCACATATTTTAGTGTTCTGATGTTTGGCACATATATAAGTTTTCAATATTCTGATAAATTAATTTTTTTATCATTATGTAATGTCCCTATTTCTCTCTTGTAACAGTGTTTGGCTAAATATCTATTTTGTCTGAAATTAGTATAGCCATCCTTGGTTCTACTTTGGTTACTATTTGTATGAAATTTCTTTTTCCATCTTTTCATTTTACTCTGTTTCTATATCTAAAGTTTGTTCTTTGTAGATACCATATGTTGAAACTTTTTAAAAAATTATTTTGCCAATCAATGGCTTTTGTTTGGGAAACTTAAATGATTTACCTTTAAAGAAATTACTAATACAGGAATAGAGGAGCACACAATTTTCCTATTTTGATATTTGTTTCTATAAACTCTATAGATTTATTTTTGCCCAGTTATTTGCCCTTTACCATCCTCCTTTGCATTTAGTTGACTTTTTTGTTTTGACACATTTTGATTACCCTTTCATTTCTTTTTGTGTATATTCTATAAATATTTTCTTTTTAATTAAATGGAGATTACATATAAGTGACGGCAATCTATCTTACACTGACACCACCTTCACTTCAGTGCCATGCAGAACTTGGCTTATTTACAATCTCCCATTTAAGGGACTGGCATCACAAATTACTTCTTTGTCTATCGTGTACCCATTGACATATAGTCACTTTTATTTATTTGTCCTTTAAATCTTGTGTAAATAAAAAGTGGAGTGAGCAAATCAAAATTATAGTGACACTTTGTAATATTTGTTCATGTATTTACCTTTATTGGAAAAATTTATATGTTGATGTAGCTTTGAGTTGCTGTCTAGAGTCTTTTCATTTTAACTTGTACGACTCCATTCAGCACTTTTTTAAGTCAAGTCTAGTGTTGAACCCCCTTAGATTTCGTTTGTGTTGGCATATCTTAATTTTGAAGTAATAAAATTTTTGGATTTTTGAAGAATAGTTTTGTTGAATATAGAATTCTCAGTTGACTTTTTTTCCCTCAAATAACTTTAAATATATCATCCCACTATTTTCTGGCCTACAAAGTTTCTATTAAAAATGTATTGATAACCTCATTAGAGACCTCATGTATATAATGAATCACTTTTCTCTTGCTGCTCTCAAGATTCTTTCAGTCTTTGGCTTTAAAGAGTTTGAATATAGTGTGTCTCAGCATGAGTCTCTTCAAGGTTATCCTACTTGGATATCATTGAGCTCATTGGATTTTTACATGTATGTTCTTTCTCAAATTTTGAAAGGTTTTATCCATTATTTTTTCAAATAATCATTATGCTCATTTCTTTCTCCTCCTCCTAGGATTTCCATAATGTGAATATTGCTCTGTTTGGTGGTGTTCTATAAGCCCTATAGGTTATGTTAACTTAATATTTTGTTATATTTGCTCCTCAGACTGAATCATTTCAAATATTTATACACCAAGCTTGCTAACTCTTTCTTCTGTCTGTTCAAATCTGCTATTGAACCTCTTCAGTACATTTTTCAATTCTGTAATTGTGCTTTCCAGCTCCAAAAATCTGTTTTATTTAAAAAATTTCCATCTCTTTGTTGATATTCTCATTTTATTTATATATTGTTCTCCTTATTCCCTTTAATTATTTGTCCATGTTTCCCTTTAGCTCTTTGAACATGTATAAGACAGTTATTTAAAAGTATTTTTTCAGTAAGTCTCATGCCTCTGTTTATTAAGAAACAGTTTCTTGGGGTTTATTTTGCCATTTAAATAGATTATCTTTCTCTGATTTCTGGTAAGCCTTGTGTTATTTTGTTAAACACTGGACATTAAAAAATGAAAAGCCATCTCCCCGTTGTTTTAACACTGGTGGGAAATACCTCTACTAATTAGCAAGGCCTTGAGAGTTGATGTTAACTCATTGTCAAAGGTTGAGGAAGTCTCGGGTATTTTCTTTGCAGTGTTCTATCTGGGCCTGTGTATGTTAGTTTATTCTCTCTCTGTCTCTCTCACTCTCTCTCTCATTATTAATATCCCCTAGCTTATTTTAAATATCTTAATTTCTCAAATAGTCTCAGCCCAGTCCCTCTTAAAATCTCAAATCCATATTTTTGTTTTTATCCAACAGTTTTCAAACATTTCAGCATCCACCACTGCCTTCTGGGGCTTCCAGACTGAAATCAAATCTATGTTTCCATTCCCCAGCAGAGCTCCAAATTAGGCAAGACAATGGTACTTCTTAGGACAATCCACAGATTGGCCAGAATGTTGCAAATAAGTTTAATTCTACTCCTTTTGTCTTGAGGAAAAAAAACTTGGAATTAGGCCACTTTCTCTTAAATGTGCACAACACGATTTCAAGAGAGTTTTGCTAGAGCAACTCAAAATGCCATAAAATGTTCTACCACTTTAATGTGGCTTTTTCTTAATTGGGTATTCTGTTGGTTATTGTAGATACTTGACTGGTTTTCCAGACCTCTCATAAAGTTATTTCTTAGTCAATCTGCAGTTGTTTATTGATGTGTCCATTTGAAGGCAGAGAGCTTAAAGCTTGTCAATCTGCATCTTCATTACCTGATTTTCTCCTTTTTTTTTTTTCTTTTTTTTTTTTGAGACAGAATTTCACTCTTGTTGCCCAGGCTGGAGTGCAATGCCACTGTCTTGGCTCACTGCAACCTCCGCCTCCTGGGTTCAAGTGATTCTCCTGCCTCAGCCTCCTGAGTAGCTGGGATTACAGGTGCCTGCCACCATGCCCATTTTTGTATTTTTAGTAGAGATGGGGTTTCGCCATGTTGGCCAGGCTGGCCTCGAACTCCTGACCTCAGGTGATCTGCCCACCTCGGCCTCCCAAAGTGCTGGGATTACAGGTGTGAGCCACTGTGCTCAGCCCTCTCCTTTCATTTTTGAAGATAAAGTCTCTAGATTTTAGAGATTTGAAATGACTGAGGTCACTGCTATTTCTGTTTGGATGCCTCCTACAATTGTTATTTAATATTTTTCTTTTCTTTTCTATTTTTTCATTCCAATTGTTTAACAGATTTTATTTTGTTATCTAATATTATGACATTTTGGAATGTTGTTCACTGATATGAATCTATTAATCAATTTTTCTGAATACTTTGTTACATTTTTTAGTCCAAAAAATAACTTTATACGATGGATGATCTTGATAATCCACTATGCTCTTTATTCCTGGTATTTCCTTCTAGAACTACTATTATGTGAAAATTTTAATTCCTGAATAGATAAATTATTAATAAATGTGTTTATTTATTTGTATACATTTATTTATCTCATCTCGTCTTTCCTCCCATTATCCATCTTTCAAAATTTTGTTGCTCTCATTTTCGGGGAACTTCAGCTTCCAATTATCCAATTCTGTTTTTCGTTTATTCTACCATATTTTTAATTTCTAAAAACTTTTCCAGTTACTACATATTTTTAGCACACAGTTCACTTTTTAAGTTGTCATATCTTTTAAAAATATATTTACAAATATTCATGGTGTAGTATTTAAAGAACTATTTCTGGGACAGTAGAAGTTGCACTTACTTTCGTTTCTTTCTTTTAAATTATGTGCTTTCATCAGATTGTTTTCTATGTTTAATAATCTATGTTATCTATGTTTAAGTTTTTACAGCTTCTTGCGGACAAATAAAAGTGTGATTATCAGAATTTTGGTGCTAAGTGAAGGAGAATACTGTAGGTTTCACCGTGCATTACCCACATGTATATCTAATCAATCTCATTTCAGTATGCTACCCTACCTTCAATCATACATGAAATTGCATGTCTGAACACCCTTCCGGAGAATGTATCTTTTGCCTGATAGATCTGATTGTTATTAAAGAAACTTTTAGCTATTTCCCCTTCTTTTTGCCCATCTCTTTACTTCCAGCAGTAAGTGGCACTGACAACGCTTGCCTTTTCAAAAGAGTGCATCATTAACTAAGTTTATTTCTCAGCTTTCCCTTAGGGTTTGGGATTTCATTTCTTATGTATCAGTTAAAACATTTTAGTATATGTTCTCTTCTATGTGCTATTCAAATAAACTGTTGTTTAAAAACTTTTGCTTCCCTCAAGTTTTCTGTGTCTTTGTATAGCTATATATTTTCACAAAATCCTCTTGATGCCATAAGTGGTGTGTTGGGAGATTGTGACTGTAGATAAATGTGTCCAATCTGCTCTCTCTAATCAATACACATTTTTTCCATGTTTTCATTTACATACTCCAAACTGACCTTCATCCTCACAACTCAACCACAATTGCTCTCTGCAAGGTTGCTGAAAAACATCATCTTACCCACGCTAAGGGTTAATTCATGCCCTTTAGAAACAGTAATGTGCTAGACTTCTTCCTAAATTTCAAGTTTGCTATGTATTCAAATTTAGAAATTAAGAAGATAATACAACACTGTGAAGAGTTGGGGTTAATTATGCACATGTAAAATTGCACACATTAGATCTGTGGTTTTTGTTGCAATAACATAAAAAGAAATTGGCAAATTCATTTTTTTGGTACATATTGCATAAGAGCCCACTTTTCTAGATAAGTTGCTATATGCTAATGATAAACAAATGATCAATTTTGGAGTCCATAGCCCTGAGATAACACAACTATATAAATATAAAATTAGGAATTCTATAGGAAAGTGAAAAAATACTTCAAAATATCATAATACAAAAAGAAGTTAGCACTATCTTGAAGTTAGAGAATGCTTCCTGAAGATATTTTTGTGGTGGGTCTTGAAGTATGAGAAACCATTTGCCAGGTAGACAAGAAGGAAAGAGAGAACACATGAAATGATAGGAACTGTGTTACAAAAATATAAGATTTTTTAAATAGCAAAACTAATATTAATTTAGTACATTAATTTAAAACATTAGAAACATTGAGAATTAAATAATTGTATTTATTTTTAAAACCTTTAAAAATAGTGTTTGCTCTCTGTTATGTAAATAACATAGATTAGGAAATGGAGTGAATATCTTTTCTATGTCTATGGAAACTGTTTTATCCTTTCTGAGTTTGGATTAGCTTTCAGTATTTTATTCTTTGTTTTGTTTAGTTTTGTTTTTTTGAGACAAACTGTCACTTTGTTGCACAGGCAGGAGTGCAGTGGCCCGGCCCTATCTCGGCTCATTGCAACCTCTGCCTCTCTAGTTCAAGCAATTCTCCTGCCTCAGCCTCCTGGGTAGCTGGGATTACAGGCACCCACCACCACGCCTGGCTAATTTTTTTGGATTTTTAGTAGAGACAGGGTTTCACCATGTTGGCCAGGCTGGTCTCAAACTCCTGACCTCAGATGATCCACCCACCTTGGCCTCCCAAAGTGCTGGGATTACAGGTGTGAGCCGCCATGCCTGGCCTGTTGCTTGTTCTTTTAATGTCTAATAACTCTTGAGAGTTCCTTTAACATGAAGTCTTTTGCTGTTATCCCTTCCTTTGAGGCGTCTTCCTCCTTTTTGTCACAACTGCTTTCCTCATTGATGTTGATAAAGTCACCTTCACTAAATTTTTCAGGCTGCAGATTTAGTTTCTCACACGACAGCAGTGTCATTTCCATGGTCAGCTATTTCTTCCAATACAACTTAATGTTTGAATCAATCAAATTTCACTTCTAGTATTATCACATTTTGTTGTTTTTTAAATTTCCTTTGGCTACGCTTTCATTTTTATTGGTACATTGTCTTTTTTAATTGTCTATTTTTGTAAAATGTCACATGGGTTTGTTACTGAGAAACAAGGCAGCAAGACAACTACACATTTTCTTATCTATGCACAAGCTGAATAACACGCTCAGTGATCAATGAGAGTATACTTCAGAAAACTGACCTGATTGGCCATTGATCCTGCTGTTTATTTGTTATTTACACAGTGATGTGTGCATCGAAGAGTGAGCAGGGAAGTTTGTACTTCATGCAATTACTCAGTGTCAATATATTACAGTAATTGCAATTTGAACCATGTGGGTGGGGACTGGTGGTGTTAAACTAAACTGTGGTAACTGAAATTTATGCATGCTCACTTCATATCAAGTGAAGAGGGCCTCTAGAAATATTCAAAGGAGCTAGAAATGGGTACATACAGAAGATAGGAGGTGTGGGAGGGTGCACTTAAGGAAGTGTCAACACGCTACTTGGATTTTGGGACACCATTATAACCATTTTCAGTTATTTTCAGTAGGTCTTGCTCTCACACAGGGGTATAGATCTCGTATGCCTAGGGATGTCCACTTTACACAGTGTTTTGATAGATAAAATATGTATTTTATAACTTTTTGTCTAATATTAAATGCAGGCCTGTGTGACTAGCTTTTATATTAATGAGTTGCCAATAGCTTTAAGCACTAAAAATTGCAACAAATTATAACACTTATAATACTAAAATATTATCACCTACAAAGATTGTATTTTATATTAGATGGCACTACTTAAATAACTGGCATATTTGTAACAATCAGACACAAAGCACAGATATAAAAGTATTTAGTTTATAAGTGAACTCTGACAACGCTTTTTATGGCTGTTTCTGAGATTCTCCTGGCAGTTGGGGTTTCCTTCTGACTTCTTGCTTTTAAGCGGCTTCTACCTATGTAAAGAGAAAAGGAACCCTCTATGGGAACAGGCCTTTTAGCTGAGCTTCTCCCTTCAATAGAAAGTGAAGCATTTTTGTTGTTGTTATTGTTGCTGTTGATTTAGGCCTTTTGAATTGATGCTTTTGAAAGACCCCAGGAAAACTTATATTCTCCTCTAAGTAACTCTGCAGGCTTCTTGAATTCCAACCAAGGCGAAGTGTTGAAAGAGATGTGAGATCAAGAGCTTCCCCATTCATTTGAGAAGGTGCAGCCCAAAGCTAACACACAGGCAAGCGAGAGAGAGGAGGGTGCCTGCAGCTTTGTTGTTGTCTGCCTGTCAATCATTTGCAGCTGTGATCCAACCTCAAAAGGAAGATTGGGTCAGAGAAAGCCCCAGAGCTGGTATTCCTAATGATTTTTGAATTTAGAGTTTAGATTCCATTTACTCACATGATTCCATTTACTCATATGATACCAACAGGAGAAAAAAATGGACTCAAAGTGTCAATTCAGAGTGATTATTAAAAAAAGCACAGATTAGATCAAGTATACTACAAATTTTGGTGTTTTCTCCCTTATATTGTTTAGAAATATCTTCTAGAGAGAAAGAAAAAAAGAACTGAAAAGAAATAACCTTAAAGGGTAATTTGAAAATAAATGGACTTTGATGGGTTCTGCACAAACAAGTGAACATTTATGATTTGCTCATTTGTCACTCTGGACTCTATTTTTTTAATTATTTTTAGCCGTGTCTTGATATTTAATAGTTGTGTGTTCCTGAACTGAATCTTCAGAAAAGTATAAAGAAATAAAGGAACAAAATGCTAACATTTGCCTAACCAATGGCCCAGAAACCGTCGCCTTGGCCAGACTGTTAAAATTATGAAACACATGATGTGTTTTACATTTCCATTCCCGAGTGCAGTGTCCTGTCATATTTTCTCATCATTGTTTTCTACATGGCTATTTCTGGCCTTTCTATATGTCTTCTTAGCAAATTAACATTCATCTTTTTTCATCACTTGAAAGAAGGTGGCAAATCAGCATTTCTCTCTAAATAAATTCTAACTGAGAATGTAAAGCAATATCTTTTTTTTTTTTTGCTCTTTTATTTCTTTATTATGATAACACCTAAAAGATAGCGGAAACTTTGGAATCCTTTTTTCAGGAGGTACTCTGTATTTTTAAAGAGGTTTATAACTTTCTATGATTTTCAAAGTCTTTGTTTTATACATTTACTAAGACTGGCATCTTTTTCTATCTTTTCTAGCCTTTTATACAAGCATATCTTTTATTTTAGAAAAATTAAAATTTTATTTCAAAGGCTATATTTGAAGCAAGAGAATTGCTAGGAAATCATTAAATATTTCAGGATTTTTTATGTCCTGAATTTTATGCTTTTTCCATTACTGCAGTAGTTAAGTGAGTTTTCTCTGGGTTTTTATTTTCACATCTAGTTAGAAAGTTTACATTGTGAAAAGGACATGCCCTCTAAGATGGTTCTTAATAAATAACTGATATTAATGGAGAAACAGAGATATGCCTCAAGTACAAAGACTTCTCATGTCTTCTTTTTGCTAAGAAAAGAGTGATGAAAACCTGAAAAATTATTTTTTGGAAATGCTGCTGCCAAACCTGATGAGACCAGATCTTCAATTTGGTTCCATAAACTAATTTGTTAGCAACCCTGCACCAGGGCTTGATGAAATTCCTGGGAATTGGAAGTTAAGTAAGAGGCAAGAGCAGGGAGAGCTAGTTAGTAGCTGATTATAGACCAGTGTCTATAAAAGTGCTATAAGTGAAAGATCAGGAGAAATCACACAGAGAGACCTCCTTCTCTCCACAGATAAACAACTATTCTGATTTCTTAAAGTCACAGATTAGTTTCAACTTTCCTAGAACATCATGCGAATAGAAGCAGACAAGATGTGTATTTGAATCTTGAACAATGAGGAAGTTAGGTGAGCCAACACCCTGCAAAATAAAAATTCTGAGTATAACTTTTGACTACCCTAAAACTTAACTACTAATAGCCTATTGTTGAACAAAAGCCTCATGGTTAACAAACTGTTGGTTAACACATATTTTGTATTATACATGTTATATACCATATTCTTACACTAAAGAAATCCAGAAAAAAGGAAATGTTTAAAATCATAAAGAAGATAAAATATATTTATTATTAAGTGGAAGCAGATCATCATAAACGTCTTCATCCACATCGTCTTCACGTTGAGTAGGCTGAGGAGGAGGAGGAAAAGGAGAGGTTGGTCTTGCTGTCTCTGCCTTCTAAAGAGACAGAAGAGATGGAGGAGGTGGAGAAGGTGAAAGGGGAGGCAGGAGAGGCAGGTACACTCTGTGTAACTTTATGAAAATATATCACAACTTTTATCTAACCTTTTTGCTTTTTCATTTCTCTAAAAATATTTCTATATGGTACTAATTCTTTCACTGTTTCCTTTAATTTCAGTACCCACATCATACAAGGGTCCATGTCATAAGAGAAGTCAAAAGTCAGAAGCCTTGTGCCGAATTATCTCATGTTAATTTGTTTTCTAGCATTGCTTATTCTACATCTTCTTCCTCATCATCTGGCACTGATTCGAAAGCAGTCGTCATCAAGTCTTCTGTTAATTCCTTTTGTGTGGTGTCTATTAATCCTCAAATTTCTCCACGATCCTTATCTTAAAACATTTAATCATCTCCCCCTTCACCTTTTTGTCATATCCACAATCTCTTTCATGAGTTCCTTGATTGGCTTAGTCATAAATCCTGTGAAGTCATGCATAACACATGGACGGTTTTCTCCAGCAGTAATTTGCTTTTTCAGACTTGATGGCTTTCACAGCTTTTTAAAAAAATATAACAAAGATGGTATTTTCAATTCATTAATCCTATCAGACTTTCATGATATTCTCTTCATCAGGGTTCTCTTCCATAATACTGACAATTCTTTCCATTGGGTACCACATGTAATGAGCCTTAATGGTCCTTAGGACTGCCTGATCTACAGGCTGAATTATAGATGTTGTGTTTGGGGCAAATAGATCACTTTAATGTCTTTGGTGCTGAAATCAGAGTTCTGGTTGGCCACGGGCATTGTTCAATATCAAAAGAAATTTAAAGGGCACTGCCTTACTAGTAAGATACTTTCTGACTTCAGGGACAAAGCATCAATGGAATCAATCCAGAAAAAGGATTCTCATTGCCAAAGCCTTCTTGTTGTACAATGAAAAGACTGACAGCTGGTGTTTATCTTTTTACTTTAAGGCTCAGGAATTAACTGCTTTATAGTTAAAGGCAGTCCTCATCATAAACCTAACAGCATTTGCACAATAGTTAGCTTATCCCTTCCTGACTTAAATCCTGGTGCTCACTTCTCTTCCTTACTGATAAATGTCTCTTGGGGCATTTTTTCCCCCCAGAATACAGCACTTTTGTCTGCACTATAAATCTGTTCAGGCAGATGTGTATCTATTTTCAATGACTTTCTTAATGTTGTCTGGGAACTCGTCTGCTGCCTCCTGTTTAGTAGAATGATTTCTCCTATTATCTTGCCATTTTTTAATCGAAGCCTCTTTCTAAAATTATCAAACCATCCTTTGCTGGCATTAAATTATCTAGCTATAGGGTTTTCACCTGTCTTTTGGTTCATCATATAATAACTTTACTTTTTCTCAAATTGAAGTCTAATATATATGCATTTGTTATAGTAACCCGGGACCCATATAAAAGCTACATTTTCAATACAAGATAAAAGTCATTTTGCAAAAACTGCATTTTTTTATGCCTGCTGGTGCAGCTGTAGCAACAACTTTACTTTTTTTTTCCATTTTTTTGAGAGAAGATGAGAAGGCACAGATGTTAAGGAGAATGCCATGTGAAGACATAGACAGAGATTGGAGTTATGCTGCCAAGGAATATCTGGAGCCATCAGAAGCTGGAAGAGGCAAGGAAAGATTCTCCACTGGAGTCTTCTGAGGGATGCCAACAGGTTGTTTGACTTCTCACCTTCAGAACTATGAGAGAATAAATGTATATTGTATTAAGCCACCAAATTTGTAGTAATTTATTATGTCATTCCTAGGAAACTAATACAGAATCTAAGAATGGGGCAGATATTTAAAAGAAGACAGGCCAAGATTAAAAAGCAGAATACGCTGCCACTCTCTTGATATTTATCCCGCCTTTCTTGGTCTGTTTCCTCATTTGTAAAATGAAGAAACTAACTAGGATGATATTGAAGTTGCTCTGACATGTTTTCTAATTTCCCAATGTAATGATGAGGATGATGATTTCAGTTCTTCCTCCAATATAACTTGAGTAATGCTTACTGCAATTTAAATTTCAGTTCTTGTTCTATTTTAAAGAACAAATGCATTCCGTCCTTTGTCTTATATTCAATCACATGGATGTAAGGTATCAGATTCCTGTCTGGCTCACCTATGTGTATGTGTGCTTGTATCTTTCCATTCCAATGTACAGATAACAAGTATATCCTAAATTGTATCGATTTAAGTATTTGCTAACCCAGTATCAAGGCCAATTTTATAAGTCACCATTTTCTCAAGGAAATAGATGTCCACAAATATCAGAGAAAAGTATATAAATCCCTTTGGTGAACATTCTTAGTGGCCAAACGCTCAGATTGCTGTTCATGGTACAATGATCTAACAGTGCCTGCAGGGGAACTTTCTCTTCATCTCTTGCAAAAAGGTGGCACCAACAACACTGGTAAACAAGAAGAGATATATTAAAGGCCAGAGATTACATACAAACGCAGTGATATTTCTATTCACACATAAGCATTTGTCATAAGGACACTTTTTATTTTGCTTTTTTAATTTAATTTAATTTTATTTTATTTTTTATTATACTTTAAGTTTTAGGGTACATGTGCACATTGTGCAGGTTAGTTACATATGTATACATGTGCCATGCTGGTGCGCTGCACCCACTAACTCGTCATCTAGCATTAGGTATATCTCCCAATGCTATCCCTCCCCCCTCCCCCCACCCCACCACAGTCCCCGGAGTGTGATATTCCCCTTCCTGTGTCCATGTGATCTCATTGTTCAATTCCCACCTATGAGTGAGAATATGTGGTGTTTGGTTTTTTGTTCTTGCAATAGTTTACTGAGAATGATGATTTCCAATTTCATCCATGTCCCTACAAAGGACATGAACTCATCCTTTTTTATGGCTGCATAGTATTCCATGGTGTATATGTGCCACATTTTCTTAATCCAGTCTATCATTGTTGGACATTTGGGTTGGTTCCAAGTCTTTGCTATTGTGAATAATGCTGCAATAAACATACATGTGCATGTGTCTTTATAGCAGCATGATTTATTTTATTTTGCTCTTTTTAAATGATTACCTTTCAGAGTAGAACTGAACGCTGGCCATCATTTATAGAATGACTGCATATTGAATGCTTGCTGTTTATGTGTTAATAAGTGCATCTATATGCCTATATATTGTGACTCCAACCTTTCAGAACTCATACTGAGAAATAAGAGCAATATATGAGGCACTTTAAAATTATGTTCCTCTGATTTTAACATCTGTGTTTTCTTTTAATCTATCCCACAGGCTGCTTAGTTGATTCAAGAGAAGACTATGAGTAGGGAGAAAAGTTAAAACCCAGTCCCACAGATTAATCCAATAAAGAATAGAAGAGAAAATTTAATTTCAAATTTTGTTAATCAGAATTACTTGGGGACTTGTTAACACAGAAGTCACTGAGCCCCAATTCCAGAGTTTCTGAAGTCTGGGGAAGGCTCAAGAATCTGTGTTTCTATTAAGTTCACCACTGATGCTGATGCTGCTGGTCTGAGTGAAATACATGGAGAACCACTGACAATGACCTCAGAGAACATGTGTACACTTCTGAATATGCTTGAGACCTTAAGATGTCAATATGGTAGTGGTTTTAACTTGGACAGGGTATCCAAAATGTGATATAAGTGCTAAGTCTTACCCATCCAGAAAGTAGAGTTGAGATTGTTGATAAGTTTCTATCTCAGGTAAGTGTCACGTAAGGAACTAGGGTTGGACTGAATGTGTAACAATGAGGTGAGCGCATCGACTCGAAGTCCAGGTGGGAGATATTGGGGAGGGAAGACATGCTTGAAATAAATCCAGGGGTCTGAAATGTTCTACTCCTTCTGAGTGGAGATAAGTGTGGCGCACAATCTTTTAAATATACAAAGGACAGAAACACTGCTAGAACATAAAACTGAATACTCAGTACAACAAGGGAAACATCTATAGTGGACTCATCCTGCAAATTGCAAACTTTCCTATGAGTGACCCTTACAAGGAAGCTTAACTTTCAGGGGTTTATCTTGATTTCTTTTGGTAAGAAGCTAGGGTGTAGAGTTAGAAGGTGGATTTCAAATGCAATAATTTCTCTCCTTATCAATTTGCTGGCCTTGGTCATGTTGCTTGATCTCGCCTATCTTTCAGTAATAAATAAAAACTCCCTCTGCGATATAATTTATGAATGAAATAAATTATCAAATATAGTAAGATACAAAGGTACTTTTAGAAATTTTATAGGAGTAACTGTAATTTTATTTTATTATTTAGCCATGCTTGTGCGTGAGTATTTTTAAGTACCAGGAGTTAGGGTAAGTAACTACAGCTACAACCACAGGGTGAACGTATTAGTTTTTTCTTGCTTTCTTACACTGAGAAGAGAGAAGATTAAGGACAGACATTTTGTGGTTTATTTCACCCCCATTCCCAATTTTCACAAGGAGTCAATACCATCCTTTAGTGGAGTAATAAAATCAACATGACATTCACAATTTACTAGGCAAGCTGAAGTACTTTCCTAGGGGGGTTTCAGTAATGAAATACTGTCATTCACTTCATCAATCTCAAAATCAAATTGAAGGCCTAGGGGAAAGTATCCCTGAAGAATTAACATTTTTCATGTTGCATATCTGTATAATACAATAATTTTTAAAGTAGAGGCAATTTTTTCCTGGGTGTCATAAAATAGGGAAAGAAGGTAAAATGGTAAATTGAAATGAGCCTGAAAAGTCCTGTGTTCAGCATCTTCCAATTTACATTTCTATGGTCTGTTTATAATGGTTTGGAATCCTTCACTGCAAAATAATTGGTATTTTCTTTTATAAGGTAGTTTTCTACTTCTTCTAATGATTCTCATCTTGTTAGTGATGGTTGAAAACAGGTTCCAAAACAGACGATTTCATAGCTTTATTCTTTTTCACTTTAGTGAGCCCCTTACGATTCTGCACAGGGTAAGCATTTGACACCTATCTTCCAAAATCGCAAGGCTAGCAACAGCAGACAGCAAACACAGCTCCATACTATTTCATTCAATCCTTTTGTGAAGGATTCTGAATAAATAAGGGGCTCCTTGAATGACCTGCCTTCATATTCTTCGGAGAACAGGGCAATTCTCCCTTTGTTTGAAAATACAAAACCACTGTGGACGATTTTGGAGTGTCTCATGGTAACACAGAGAGGAAAGGAGGCTGCCATTTTCTTCTTTCTAGATTTGCGCACAGTTGGTGTTTGAAGAAAGTTTCCATTTCTGAAATGTTAGTACTGACAGAGTAAAATGAAAGGGAAAAGGCACAGAGCCTGCCCTTGAGTTGCTCATAGATACAACAGAATTATTTTAGTTTACCAATGTTTCTAATATTATTTGATACTATTCTTAGGCTGAAAGATATATGTATAGACAACCCTGGAACTTTATTGAGTGCTACTTTTATTGTATGAAAGGAAGGGAAAAAACATATGTTTAAAATACAAATTATTATTGTCAGCTTTTCTCAGTTAATTTTTATGGGATGCCTAAATTGAATTGTAATCATCATTCCTTCCTATGTATTCATTATACCCTTTTCTAAAAAGGACATCGCAGTCAAAAAACTCTACCTCCCCTCCTATTTTGAAATACCAGGAGTTAGGGTAAGTAACTATAGCTACAACCATGTCATCGTGAACCATGTCATCCTCCTGCAGTCTCAGGTCAAACTCCTCATCTCTACCTTCAGAGGAATTACCTTCTACATTTAAAATAGTTATTCTTGCTCACATTTAAGTGGTAAAAATTAAGTGATAATAAGGGCCCATAATGAGAGGTAGTCCCCTTGTTCATCCATCTGTTCTTCCAGTCAGGATCCTTAGAGGAGGCCAATTTTTATTTTTGAACACTCAATAAATAGTTATTAATTTTATTATGTTTGAGGCACTTCTCCATTCACTCACTCAAAAATATTACTTGAGTCACAAATATGACAGCCCTTGTGCTAGGCACTAGTGATTTGAATTTGAAATAGACAGAAAACAGACATGGCGGTTAAAAGCTGCAGACCATGAGTTTTCAAGCAGCCGATGTGAAGGGATAGATCTCTCCCTGCTCCAATGTATTTCAGACTGGTGCTATTTTGTGCAATATAGTACCAAAAAAATGAAATAAAAAATAAAAATTACAAACCAAACACTTAATTATTATATTCAACAAACAAAACTATCACTGTCAAATTGCTAGGCAAGTTTCTAAGACCTTAGTTGCCATTTGCTCATCAAGACAGGTAACTTGAAATTTCTGGACTGAAAAAGCAGGGGAAACACATTTGAGAAGCATCTGTATAGGTTATGAGACACAAACACAGCTGGGGACCACTTTCTTCTAATTCCTCTTACCTTTTGGTATGTCTCTACCAGCACCCCTCAGGCTGCTGAGAACTGCCCTTCTCTTCAGAGGTAGCCTGGCTGGGTCATTAAAATGAGGGACGCATTCAGGTGGAGGCTTTCAGATGGGACTCAGGAAGGTCTCCTGGTGGAGCCTGGCACCATTCTGTTAGGGATTCACGGGCAATGGAAGCAGACACTTCTCATCAACTGCAAATAATATAATTTGTACCTTCATTTTTTTCTTCATGAACTTCAATAATTATACAGATTTTTAAATGAAATTCGAAAATATAACTTGCTAAAATGTTGTCTCCTTTTCCTCAGTTTGCAAATGTATACTTATATCTCTACCTTGTTTTTCTTTTAGCTACCTTCATAACATAACACACACCTATTCATGGAGATTGGACACATATATACTTAAGCCTATATTTCTTATTCCATCAATTTTATGTCTCAACTTCTTTTACACATTGGCATATATTAATATCTTAAATTATCTAAAGCCCATTCGTTCTCTACTACTACCTGTTGACTTTTGTGGGCTGCATTTTCATAATATAAGGATGTCACTATAGTCTGCTCTGTAACCATAAAGTTTTCTGTATTTTTTCTATATTTTGTTTCTAACAGATGAAAATCATTTAGTAGTGATTTATTATTAATATTATATAAATAATGTTCATATTATAGTCTAATAGATTCATGAGTCAGTACTCATGCGTTTTACAATCATCTATGGATTTTATTTTTTGTGCACTTTAGCTTTCAATGTTATTGACAAAACATCTTATAGCAAAATAATTCTCATTCTTCTCTCATCCTGGACACTTTAAAGATATTATTTTATTGTGTTATACAGTTGAAACTTGTAATATAGGGTTTATGGGTGCCAACCCCTCACATTCTAAAATCTACATATAAATTTTGACTCCCCCAAAACTTATCTACTAATAGCTTACTGTTGACTGGAAGCCTTGCCACCAATAAAATAGTCAGTTAACACATATTTTGTATGTAATCTCTATTATATACTGTATTCTTAAAGTAAGGTAGAGAAAAGAAAATGTTCTCAGGAGGATCATAAGGAAAAGAAAATACATTTACTATTGACAAAATATAAGTAGATCTTCATAAAGTTTTTCAAATTGAGTAGGCTCAGGAGGAGGAAGAAGAGGAGAGATTGGTCTTGCTGTCTCGGAGTGGCAGAGGAAGAAGGAAATCCACATATAAGTGGACTCACACAGCTCAAACACATTTTGTTTAAAACTCAATTGTATTTCCTAACAATATGTTTAAGTGATAATTTTTAAAAAATCATTTACCTTCATGCGTATTCATTATCCATTCTGTCTCAAGGATTATATCTTTTTCCAATTAAGGAAATGCTTCCTATAGTCACACAGCCATTTTTGTTATGTGTGTGTTATTATAACCACATAGGAATTATTACAGCTACATAGTGATTTTTCCTCAGTGCCTTCTTTGTTGTTTCGTCCTCTAATTTCCTATGCTGGAATCATTCCTGATCTTTGCGTCTCTTTTTTTCCCTCTCATATTCTGTTTCTTTTACATTTATTTTATTTTCCAAACTATTTTATTTGCAAGACTATTCCTTGTTCAGTGTGCTCACTGAAGTGTCCATTCTTTTAGTTTGTGTTCAGCTGAAAGACTATTCCTTGTTCAGTGTGCTCACTGAAGTGTCTATTCTTTTAGTTTGTGTTCAGCTGAAACGTTTTGACACAGATTTCCCTCCATGTGCTATTCAGTTCAATGAGTATTGACAAATGCATAATGTCATATATCTACAATTATAGTATTATACATAATAGTTCAGCCTTCCTAAAAATCCTTTGCCTGATCTAACTCTTGTTCTCTCAAATTATTCTCTGTCCTCTGGTAAAAATCTTACCTTCTTTACCTTAGCATTTTCTATTTAGTGATGACTTTCAAATACATGTTGAACCTTGTATGTTCACTTATATTATAATGAGGGAAAAGCAAGTAGGCCAAGGAGTTGCAGATATAACCCAGCATATAGGCTGATTAGCTTCGCACTAGTGGATGAGTACAGTGATCCTGGAATTGTCAGAAGAAGAATGTATTTAATCTGGATTCCAAAACCCATAGCCCATATTTCCATTTACATAGGATAGTTCAGCTACATCCTCAGCCATAATCCAACATGTTAATCAACTGGGCCTTTTGTTTCAAAATATTGTTGAAATGCGTCATCTACTGAAGGACTACCTTCCCATTAAACCTCCTGTGTGATTTTAAAAGTTTTTAATTATTTTTTGTTATCTCAATAAGATCTTAGTGGCCATGAGACGCAGTCATACGTACAAAGTCTGCTACAAGGTAAATTAAGTAATATTTTCTATACCAACACTTATGTTACTTAGTACTTCACATATGCTACCTTGCAGTATGAATATTTTTACTGCCATCTTCCATTTCCTACATGAATTAAAAAATAAAAGCTCTTATAAATCAAGATCTATGATTTATATATTAAGATTACATGTATATCATTTGGTAAAAGTAAAAAATAGGCCGGGCGCGGTGGCTCACGCCTGTAATCCCAGCACTTTGGGAGGCCGAGGCGGGTGGATCATGAGGTCAGGAGATCGAGACCATCCTGGCTAACAAGGTGAAACCCCGTCTCTACTAAAAATACAAAAAATTAGCCAGGTGTGGTGGCGGGTGCCTGTAGTCCCAGCTACTCGGGAGGCTGAGGCAGGAGAATGGCGTGAACCCGGGAAGCGGAGCTTGCAGTGAGCCGAGATTGCGCCACTGCAGTCCGCAGTCCAGCCTGGGCGACAGAGCGAGACTCCATCTCAAAAAAAAAAAATAAAAAAAAAAATAAAGTAAAAAATAAAAAGACACTAAGGGACTGTTATCAAACAATTTTGCAGTCTCTATCACTTGGAAGTATACCTTTATGTTGAATTGCCTTATAATTTTAAATAAATAATTATTGTCGTTACTTACCTACATTTTTTCAATGGGAAAGAAGGATATCATTATGATAAGTCAACTGTCAGTCTTACGTTCTGTTGTTCTTAGCGTTCAGGTACAGGATGAGTGTTTTCCTCTTTTGCTGCTTTCACACGATTTTTTCTTTCAACATTTTGACTACAGTATGTCCAGCTGAAGAGCTCGTTGCATTTCCTCCTTAGAGTTTATTGAGCTTTTTGGATGTGAAGATTAATGATATTTTTCAAAATGCATATGTTTTTAGCCATTATTTATTCAAATATATTTTTGATTTTGTCTCTTTCCTCTCCTTTTGATGCTTACATTATACATATGTTGGTGCACTTAGTGGTATTTCAAATTTCTCTGAGGCTGTGTTTATGCTTCCTCATTTGTTCTTTTTCCTGTTTTTCAGATTGCATAATCTCTATGTCTGTGTCTACAAATTCACTGATTCATGCTTCTGCCAGCTAAAACCTACTGTTCAGCCCCGCCAGTGAATGTTTCATTTTGGTTCTTGCACTTTCTACTCTAGAATTTCTGCCTGGCTCCTTCTGTTATTTCTATCTCTTTATTGCTGTTCTCTATTTTATGAGACATTGCTATCACTTTCATTTAATTCATTAAACATGGCTTCATATTGTTCTTTGAATATAGGTATCATAGCTTCTTTGACATCTTTGTCTGCTAAATCCTACATCTGGGTACTCTAAAGAAAGTTTCTAGCATGCTTTTTTCTTTCTATGTATGAGTTACATTTTCCTGTTTCTTTGTATGCCTCTTTTCTGTTAAAAATTGGACATATTAGATAACAGATTGTAGCCAATCTGGAAATCAGGTTGACCCACCAGCAGCCCATCTCTCTGTCAAGGGCTTGTTATTATTTGGTTAGTGATCTGGCTGAATTAGTTCCATGAGCTATTTTCCTCTGGCAGTGTGTGGTTTCTGATGTCACTCCTTAGAGGGCCCCACTTGGGCATTTTGTGCACATTCTGTCTGACCATCAGAGATGGCTGTGGTCTTAGCCAGCCTCTTTTTAAGTGTATCTTACTGAAGAGTCCCTTAAGCTTTTAGCTGGGCTTCCTCTTTTAGTATTGTATCCAGCTAACAGCCTCTGTTCTTTGCCAGCTGATTGCTTGTTTGTTTGTTTGTTTATTTATTTATTTATTTATTTTATGACAATGCTCTGGGGGTATAAATTGCTTCACAATATAATCCAATTAAAGTGGGCAACTGTGCATAAGAAAGGTGTTGCCTGTCTCAGAAGCTTGCTTCAATTCCAGGAAGGCTCTTCTTAGCTGTCTCTTTCTCTAGTTCTTTCTGCTTACCCTCTAGCCACGTTAATATTTTGCTTGTTGCTATCACTGTCACGGGGCTATAACCTTCTCTTATTTACTTACCACTAGGTATTCTTCAGGCATAAACTTTTCACAGTGTGTTTCAAATAAAGTCAGTTCCTTTATGGAGCAGAGATCTCCTTTCTTAAAGTATTCCTTGTCCCCTGGGAAGAATATCTCTGCCATTGCACTGGGCCTGGGGTTGGAGACAGTGGCCTGCTTCTCCAAGATGTTTATATACATATACTCTATGAATGAGGTATTAGATGGGGATAATAGCCCATGATCTTCATGGCTTGCCCCTTTCATTGTAGAACCTCTCACTTCCAAGCCGGTTGGAGCAGAGGCAAGGAATGCCCAGTATTTTTGGCCTGGAGTGTAGCTTCTGCCTTATGAATGAGGACTTCATGAGGGAGGAAACTCTGATCCTCTTGCCAGGAACAGAGCTTCTGCAACACAAGGTTGAAGGAGGATGAAAGATTTTGGCTGCCTGCCCTCTCTGGTGTCCCATAGCTCTTGGCTGGGTGCTGGGAGAAGGAGCTTGATTTTCTTGGCCGCAAACACCCACAGTAAAGTTTCCTTCACATTGAACTTGGTATGGGGGTGGCCATGGGAGCAAACCATGTTTCAAATGCTACAAAAAATATTATTGTTGTTCTATCAATATCTGGTAGATTTTTTTGAATAAACGTTTTTTAAAATTTGCTACATGCTTTTTGCAAATATTTTAGATCATTTGAATTGTTATTATTATTTTACTAATAAAAGTTTTTCACTGGGGAGAATGTCCACTGAGCTCCTTACATTGCCATTCTCAAAGTCAGCACATTTTTGACTATGTATATTTTATCTTAAGTACAGTAAGATCTCGGAAGAAATAGAAGAGATTCCTGGGTGTTTTAGTAACAATAAAATGCTTTTAAAAAGCTCAGGATCAGAGCAGGGCCTTGAACTATGAGTTAGGTTATGCTATACAAAGATGCCTACAAAATCAACACAAGTGAAAGATGTCCAGTTAAAGCACTGGATATCTGGACTTCTAAATATTTGTCTTATTGGAAATAATTTAGTTTGTCTGAAATATCTATAATATATCTAGAAGCAATACTTATATTAATCCTAGACATTTCAGGAAGAAATTAGATGTAATTATTTTTCTAGGGTATGTGCAAAATGGATATATGGTTAAAAAGTATGGAATGAATACAGCACATATTACATTCACTTTTCATGGTTGAAGAAAGTTCGCTTAAACGAAAACAGGTGCTCATGTCTGGCCACGATCCTGAGAGCTTGTGCTCTGGGTAGAGGGCACAAAAGACAGTGAGTCCCTGGGATAGAAACAGTGTTTTCTTCCATTTTGATTGCTATTTTTAAAGGGCAATCACCTATTATTTCAGATATTCAAGTTATTTCACTGTAGTTTAGTAGCTTGAGTTTGCTGTATTTCAGTCTGGCACATTCTCTTTCTACTCAGTTTGATAGATTAACTTTCAAAGATTTTTCTTCTTTAATTATGACCACTGATTTAACACATGAAAAGCTGATTTTCCTCATGGCCTCTGTCTCTTCTCTATTTTTCTGGTAGCCCAGCCTTCAACTGATATCTTTGTGACCATTAAAACTGGAAAATCTCCAATGTAATGACTATGCAGTTAATTGGATTTCAATTACTTGGGACTAACCTGGAGTTTTCAGAGTCACAACGGGACTTTCAAAAGTCCTGTTCCCTCAGGCAGTCCAGTTATTGATTCCAAAATACTTACTTCTATGGATTAAAATCAATACTAATTCTTTATCACAAACTCTGCCTCTTCTCTAACTCCTCTTGACTATTTTATGGCTTTTACTTGCCACTACTCTAGCAACAGCAACAACCTTGCTTTTTATACCCACTTTTGAGCACACTGAACATTGGAGAAATAAATTTATCCTTTTGGTAGTTCTTTTGACTGCTTTCAATAGAATTCTCTATCATGTTCTAGCCATAGCTTGTCTGAATTGATTAAAATGTGAGGTGGGGATTCGGCTACAATAACTTCTCAAAGAACAATTCTCTGTAGATTGATGACAATTGGAGACAATATTTCTTTCCACACATTAAGATGCTGGAGAGAGATAGGACTTTAGGTGCGCATAAGTCCTAAGTGATCAGAAACAAAGCTTTAAGACTAAATGGTTCTGAAGTATACATGTTAATATGCAATATTAACATTTATTTTTGTTTCTGGGAAAAATTTTGTCATATCTCAGACAGTAAGGCCAAGGCAATGACTAGTTTGATTATCTTTGTTATGTTAACTATATTACTCTAAGTTCCACCTGATAAACAACTTTCTCCAATAATTACCCTATAAACAGTCTTCTCCCAAATTATTTCTGAGCTGTTTATTTGCCTGGATTTCTGCATGGCACTATGCTCTCTTCATGCTAGAATACAAGGTAACTGTTCTGCTTGAAGGTTTTCTGGGAAAACCTTGGTCCAGACTCTGTAATTTTATGTTATCTGTATTTCCTGCTGAAGGCCTTGATTTTTGATCATTTGGCAGATTCAGTTTAAAATTCAAGTCACAGCACTCTATAGGCTTCCAAAACATAAAGATGGTATGAACACTGGACTAGACCAACGAATTTTATTTTTACCAACAAGTATTTTTTTCCAGTTACAGAAATAGGTGCATGGAATACAAATAAATAAATAAAAAGTATATAAATCTATAATTGCCCTTGGAAGAAGTTGACTTCCAAATCCTAACCCTAATCTTGACAAAGCATCAGTGAGACTTTGCCAGCAAACAAGCTACTAGTTTATCCTGTAACTGAGCTCAGGGGATTAGCAAAGTAGTAAATCCATCATGTGTGTGTGACAGGGTCCAGCTCTGTTTCCCAGGCTGGAGTACAGAGGTACAATCACAGCTCACTGCAGTTTCTACTTTCTGGGCTCAAGCGATCCTCCCCATTCAGCTTCTCAAGGAGCTGTGACTACAGGCACACACCACCACACCCAGCTAATTTTTATTATTTTTAGTAGGTTTTGCTGTGTAGCCCAGGCTGTTCTGGAACTCCTGGGCTCAAGCGATCCTCCTCAGATCTCTCCCAAAGTGCTGAGATTATAGAGGTGATCCATTGCACCCCACCAAATTTGTTTGTTAATATCCTGGAGAGTATTCCTAATCTCCTGCTGCAACCATTCACAACAGGATATGGAAGATAATGTGCCCCCTACACTTGCCAGAAGAGACAAGTCTCATATTTAGTCTCTACTAGGGCTTTAATTCAGCCGTTCTAAGAAGTTCTGCCTAAAATCACTTTTAACCTCTCTTCTTGGGATCCCTGGCTACACATGGAGGATGATTTACTTCTTTAGTTTCTTGTAAGGTAGAAAATCTTTTAAATCACTTAGAATCAATTTCCTCTGGTTAATCAAATAATTAAATGTCTCTCAAGCTGGCCTTAATTCCCTCTTCTCCAATCTTTATCTGACTCATATTGCTAGCATTGAGTAGGCAAAGGAGAAGGGCTGAGTGAAGGGTCATTCTCCAACCAAAAACAATACACCAACCTATTAAAAACCTATAGCTAAACTCAATCACACAGTTACATTTTAAGTTACTGCATGCCAAAATTTCAAATTAAGTTATAAACACATTGCATCAACCACCATTACATATAGGACCCCTGGGGTTCAACAACATTAAGAAATGGTCTGGTGACCAAAGGAATACTGTAGCTCCAAAACACTGTTTGCTTTGAAGCCCTGTTCAGGGATCACTAACATGCACAACGGTAAATGTTAAACAGATAACTGTTGATGAGAATGGGGCCTGTCATTAATATATCCATAAAGAAAGGACATGTATCCATAAAGAAAGGACAGGATATATATGAATTGAGGCAATTAAACTGAGATGCATCAACCATTCGTTTATTTTTGTTCAAGATCTTGGAACTTTTTATTCCATCTATTAAATATGCCTATTTAGTGTCACATGTGGCTGGTAATAGTTTGTCACTTAAAGTTATTTTGATTAATCTATAGTTTTAAATTGTTTTTATCCTCAGTTTTACATTTTGTTTAAGATCCACAAGAGTTCAGTGGTTAAAGATGGGGAAGCATTAGTAATATTAAATGTAAGAAATTAGTGATTAGCATAAAGTTGGTAATAATTATTTTAATGTGCCTCAAGATGTTCTATGAGTACAATAGACTCATTTATTTGATCAGATTTGTTGGCTACCTCAGGATGATCCTAGTACTATGGAAAATTGTGTTAAAAAAAGGACATATAGAGATAATTACATCTATCTTTTTAATGAGAAAACAATTATCCACATCCATAATATGTTATTTCTAAGTGCTACAAACCTCAATCAGAAAATATATTTTTATAATTTATTTAAAAATAGTTAAAGAACTCAGAAAATGAAAGCAGTTTTTGCCTGTCAAATTAAGGTTCAATCTATGTTTTAACATGAGCTTGACTTTGCCAAGCAAAATAGAATTTTATCTTAAATGTATGTCTTCATAGTGCATGCTCACAGAAAAATAATTTAAAGTAGTACTTACGATTAAACATCATGTGCCATATTTTATATAAGAGAAGACGTATTTATTATTTGCATTAAGAAAATAAATATTTTATTATTTTGAAGTTTATATAATTACTAATAATTTATTTACCTTATATATAATTTATTTATTGAACAAACATATATATGTGTGTGTATATACATACATCATAATAGTATAACTAAGTGACAGACTATTTTCAATGCTTTAAAATTTATTTTGTGTGTTTTCCTATTTCTCAAAAAAATTTCAACTTTTATTTTAAATTTCGGGGTACATATGCATATTTGTTACATGGTATGCTGTGTGATGCTGAGATTGGGATATGAATGACCCCATCACCCAAGTCGTAGCATAGTACCTGACAGTTTTGTAAACTTTGCCTTCCTCCTTACTTCCCCCTTCTAGTGGTCCCAAATTATTGTTGCCATCTTTATGTGCACTAGTACTCAATGTTTAGCTACCACTTATAAGTGAGAACATGGGTATTTGGTCTTCTGTTTCTGTGTTAGTTTGCTTAGGAAAATGGCCTCCAGCTGCATTCATGTTGCTAAAAAGAACATGATTTCACTCTTTTTGATGGCTGTGTAGTATTCCATGATGTATATGTACAGTATTTCCTTTATCCAATCCACTGTTGATGGGTAGCTACACTGATCCCATGATTTTCACTATCATAAGTGCTGCTGCAATAAACATATGAATGCAGCTGTCTTTTCGTTAGAATGTTTTATTTTCTTTTGGATATATAACTAGTAATGGAATTTCTGAGTTGAATGGTAGATCTGTTTTAGATTCTTTGAAAAATCTTCAAACTGCTTTTCACTGTGTGTATGTGTTCTCTTTTCTACACAGCCTCATTAGCATCTGTTGTTTTTTGACTTCTAATAATAACCATTTTGACTGGTGTGAGATGATATCTCATTGTAGTTTTGATTTGCATTTCTCTGATGATTGGTGATATGGAGTATTTTTTCATGTTTTTTTGGCCAATTGTATGTCTTCTTTTGAGAAGTGCCTGTTGATGTATTTTGCCCACATTTTAATAAGATTATATGTTTTTTTCTTGTTGATTTCTTTAAGTTCTTTATAGATCCTGGATATTAGACATTTGTCTATGCATAGTTGGTGAATATTTTCACCCGTAATGTGGGTTGTCTGTTTACTCTGTTTATACTTCTTTTATGTACAGAAGCTCTTTAGTTTAATTAAATTCTACTTGATAGTTTTTGTTTTTGTTGCAACTTCTTTTGAGAACTTAATCATAAATTATTTCCCAAGTTTGATGCCCAGAATTGTGTTTTCTACATTTCCTTCTAAGTTTGTAATAGTTTGAGGGCTTTCATTTAAACTTTAACCTACTTGAGGTAATTTTTGTATGTAACGAAAGGGAAAGGTAAGAGCCCAGTTTCATTCTTTTGCATATGGCTTTTCAGTTATCTAAGCACCACTGATTAAATAGTGAGTCATTTCCCCTTTGCTTATTTTTGTGAACTTCGTCAAAGTTTGAATGGATGTAGGTATGAGGCTTTACTTCTGTGTTCTCCATTGTGTTCTATTTATGTATAGATCTGTTTCTGTACTGTCACCATGCTGTTTTGGTCACTGTAGCCTTACAAATATAGTTTGAAGTTGGGCAGCGTGATGTCTCTGGCTTTGTTCTTTTGCATAGGATTGCTTTGGATTTTAGGGCTGTTTTTTGGTTCCATATAATTTTAAAATGGTTTTTTTTAGTTTAGTTTTTTTTTTTTTTGAAAAATGATGTTAACAGCTGGATAGAAATAACATTGAATCTGTAAATTTATTTGGGCAATATGGCCATTTTAACAACATTGATTTTGAAGAATCTGATGACTGTGTCTTGAAGTGGTCATCCTGTATAGCACAGAAGTTCTCCGAATTTGCACTTGAACCTCTATTGCAAGGTTGGGGGAATTTCCATCTTCAAATGTGTTTTCCATGTTGCTTTCTCTGTTTCCATCTCTTTCAGGAATGCCAATGAGTTGTATGTTTTGTCTCTTTACATAATCCCATATTTCTAGGAGGTTTTATTTATTTTTAAAAATTCTTTTTTCTTTATTTTCATCTGCCTAAATTGACTCAACATAGCAGTCTTTGAGTGCTGAGATTCTTGTCTCAGCTTGGTCAACTGTGTTACTACTGCTTCCAACTGAATTATGAAATTCCTATAGTAAATTTTTCACTTTTAGAATTTCAGCTTGCTTCTTTCTTAAATGGCTACGACATCTTTTAACTCTTGGCTGCTTAGTGTTATCCTTGGATTTGGTTTCAGCCTTCTCTTATATTTCGATCAACTTCTATGCTATCCAGATTCTGGATTCTATTTGGCCCCATGTGCTATTGAGCACAGTGATTCACTGTGGTTAAGAACAATTGCTGGGGAGCTAGCAGGGTCATTTGGAGGTAAGAAGACACTCTGGCCTTTGAGCAGTTGACTCTGGTATAAGTTGGTTTAGTTGATTGTCTTTATTTCTGGATGCTTTTAGGGACCAAGGCTCAGCTCAGCACTCCTGGGGTGCATACTCTAATCCTAGGGGCTGGGACTAGGCCTGCAGGTTTGTACTCTGGCCCCTCAAAGTTAAGCACCTACTGTCCACAGGGGCAGAAGTGTTACCACTTCACTGGCAACAACGCCATGAAGGGGTAGCTGGCAAGAGTGCTGTGATAGGGCAGCAGTGGACCCGACATGTGTGCTCTCTGCAGGGTGGTGGCAGGTCTGCACATGCCTGAGAGATTTTTCTAAGTTTTTGTGATAGGCATTTAGCTCTATACAATTTCCTCTTATCACTGCTTTTGCTGCATTCCAGAGATTTTTGTATGCTTTATAGTTTAATAAAAATGAATCTACTGAACAATATCACGAGATAATTACTATCTTATTCTCATTTCATAGTAAATAAAAACAAAATAAAGACTTTAAAAAATTGCCCAATAATTTCTGTATCATGGAACAATAATATTATTTTTAAAAAATATGTTTATAAATAGGATCTGTTACAGTGAGAAGGACGTTGGACCCAAAATTGTTAGGAAAATGTGGATTCTAGGTTATTTTAAATGTCCATTGATTCCAGAAAGTGTCATGATTCATGGATTCTCCAAATGTCTCAGCTGCAAGTAAAATAGCGGGGAAAAAAAAAATAAACACCCAGATATGACATGCTGCTCTGTTTTCTTCCAGAATATTAGATTCTAGATGGCAGGCATTTTTATTCTTACTTGTAGTAATAAGAACTCATCCTTTATTTTCAATAGGCTCACATTAAATATGTCAGTATTGTGTTTAGCTGGAAGAAAGATTTGATAATTTCTTATGAGGAAAAGGAACAACTGGTGTGCTACAGGAGAATTTATTTCTATTTTGCCAGCACACAAAATATCCATGCCTAATAAAAACACTCAAAGTTGGAGTCTAAAAAATTAAAAATTAAAATGATAATATGCACACACACATGCAGACACATACAGAAAATTTGTGATGGCATCTGCCAGTAGAAAAAAGTAATGCAAAGTTTCAGTTCTCCATGATTCTGGAGGAGACTTTTTTCCCACAAAATTCTAATCTAGTCCCATAATGATTTAAAATAGGGACATTTTAACACACACACACACACAAACACACACCCCACCACCACCACCGCCACCGACAACAACAACAACAATGAAGAAGAAGAAAGGAAGAAATAGTTGAACTTCATTTTAGCTGTGTTTTACTGAACCAAAAGAGAGCAAATGAGACCTGTGGCTACCAACATCTAGTCAGCAGACTTTTCACCACGTGATGAAATGCTGCAAAACATTATTTGGTCCTATTTTTATTGCTTTAATTGACTAACTGCTATTTTGGATATACTATTTAACTTCACTGATTTTGTGTTTTTATCTTTCACATAAAGATTTGAAGAATTTACCTCCCCACCTGTTGAAGATTTTGTGCAGAAAAACAAAAATTTAAAAACTGCTGTCTTAAAGAAAATAAAACAAAACCTGATCAGCGGTAGCACTGCTAAGTAGAAGCACTGAATTTTCTCCTGGCTTATTAAAATAAGTTTATATTTTGATTAGGACTAGTGTGAAAATAGTTTAAATTTGTACAGAGAGCTGGACACGCAGTTTTTATGGTACTGTTTGTAATCAACCATCATTACCCATGTGATACATGTAGGAAACACATCTACAAACACTTTAGTCTCCTTTTATTAGTACATTTTAAACAATTGGTTAGCAATGTCCATTATGTACATTATCTTTAGTAAAATCAAAAAGTCCCCATCCTCTGGGAGTTTACACTCAAGCAGATGAAAATCACAGTGATGATTCAATCTAATGCTGCTCAAGTATAATAGACAATAACTGATGCTGAGACGGCCTATACCAGCCACTTCTTAAATGGTAGTTAGATGATGACTGCAAATATATCTGCAAATACATCAGGCTCATGGGATAAAAAACTGGGGGATTTTGAAAATCCACTAAAAAATGATGGACATTTAACTGCTGAGAAATTTCTTGAAGGATGGGAAAGATTTGGTTAGGCAACTATGAGGAGAGGGTCATTTGATGCAAAAGCAAAAGAAACAGATTTGGAAGAGTAAAGACATTAGCATACATATAACATAGTAATGTTATGTCATCTGAGTTTTCTTTTAATAGTTAGGCATGAAGGGTGAAAATATATATAAATATCCTCTCTCCCTCTCCCTCTATGTGTGTGTGTTTAAATCTTTCATTGTTCAGTCATGTTAGAACAGAATTTATATTAATGTCCACTATTCAATTTGGCTGTCAAAGCAAATGACTCTCAGAATTCCCCTAAGTTTCTTTCATGTCTCATCTCCTTAACCTGTTTTACCTATACATCAACTTCAAAGGGAATTATTTCTCTGAGAGAAAGATGAATAAAGTGGGCAAGACTTACATCTACTCAGCACAGTGAATTTGCTAGATTATCATCACCATGGTCATAAACATAAAGTATTTCAGTGAAGAGTGACAGGAAAATACAAGATCAATAACAAGTATACACTAAATCTAAATATCCATTTAGTTTTTGTATGTAGAAATTTTTTAGCAACTGACTTAGCTTTTTCTAAGAATTTCAGTTGCTATTCATTTCAACTTTACAGAAATTAAGCTGTTAGAAACCAGATAACATTATAGTTCCTTGCCAACACACATCAACTTACTCTTTAGTAAATGATGCCATAAACAATATAAATGATTATTTAAGCATTGCTCATAATATCTAAAGAAGAAATTCTGAAAGTCCTTAATCTCTGTCTGGGGAGGTTAAGAGTAGCATGGCTCTGGACATAGATGATCTTGAGTTTAAAATTTTGCTCTGATAAATTCCAGCTATATGACATTGGGTAACTTACTTTATTTTACTTATCTCTGTTTCCGTATCGAATTCCCCTCAGAAACAGGATATTTGTGAGATGTGAATAGAATTATAGAGAAGGTAGGAAGCCCTTGCCTCAAAACCTGTGTATGGTTAAGATTTGAAAGTCTCTGTGTGCTTGTGTGTGTGTGTGTGCATGCACATGTGCTTACCTGTAACATATTTATGGCAGAAAGAGTGAGTATAAAATATGGAAAAGATAATTATGCAGGGCCAGAAATAGAAATCAAAAAAATATATGTAGATTAAATAAACAGAAATTAAAAATGAACAAAAATGAAAATCATAAAGAAATCAAAGTTGCAGTCAAGAAGTAGCGTATCATCTAAGAAGTTAAACTAGGGGAAGGTTGTTTGGCACAATAAATTGCTAAGTTCATAAAATTTTTTGAAGTTTAGGTCATCTGTGATTTCTTAGTGGCAATCACAACTATATTACCACTATGTGATTTCATTAATCAGAATAACTATGTATGACAAAAATCTGTATTATTAACAATTCTCTCAAATGATTCAATACAACTACCAAAGCACTACATTTTGAAAAACATTGTAAATCTCACTTAGAAAAAAAAATCTACAACATATGGTCACATGTGCTATTAAGCAAAATGATTTTTTTTCTTTTTTTTTTTTTTTTGAGACCGAATCTCGCTCTGTCACCCAGGCTGGAGTGCAGTGGCGCGATCTCAGCTCACTGCAACCTCTGTCTCTCAGGTTCAAGCAATTCTCCTGACTCAGCCTCCTGAGTAGCTGGGACTACAGGCACGCCCGGCCAATTCTGTGTGTGTGTGTGTGTGTGTGTGTGTGTGTATGTGTGTGTGTGTGTGTGTGTGTGTTTAGTAGAGATGGGGTTTCACTGTGTTAGCCAGAATGGTCTCAATCTCCTGACTTCAAACAAACAAACAAACAAACAAAAATTTTAATGGGACCATTTGGTGAAGGGATAAGACACCTTGTATGAACTTGGAGACCCTAAGTATCTTATTAAAATACATATTTATATAAGCAGGCTTTATTTTTTAAAAAGTAGCAGTAACAACAACTTTTCCTTTTACTATGTTTGCTAAAACATTGTAGGAAAGACAAAACCTTAAAGAAAACCTCAGCTTTCAAGGTGCTCACAAACTAATAGAGAGAGAAAGTCATCAAGAGTTAATTTAAAACTCAAGCTGCTGATTAGCAGTGCAAGACCACAAGAGAAGAGATGTCACAAGGTAAGCAGTGATTAACTGCTACTTGAATTACATTGACAGTAATTGATAGAGGGCTTCAAAGAAGGAAGAGAGTATATGATGACCCAGAGTCATCCAGAGGTGAACCTGGGCCAGGTGCCTCTCCATTGAAAAAGCATGTGAAAGAATAAAGCACCACAAAAGACCTTTGAAAATTTTATAAGATTAAAAAAACGAAAGTTGGTACTTCCTATGTGATTTGAACAGTGCTAGGTGTTCTATATGCAATAATTTCTTTAAATTTCAGAACTCTAGGAGCTAGATGTTATTGCTAATTTTAAAGATGAATAACCAGGATTTGGGGATAAATAGTTGATGTAAAGTCACTTGACAATTGAATACAGAATATAAATTATGGTGATGACTCTGAATCTTGTTCCTGTTCTATCACATCACACTAACATCTGGCATAGTTGTTTATTTGGAAGAATCAGTAATGTGACACAGGTGATAATGTCAGATCAATGAATTTTAACCATAATTATTTCCACATGTGATACATTTTGATGCTATCAATTTCAATTATTTATTTTCAATTACTTTCTCTTTCCATGTTCTGCCCTCAACTCATTGACTTAATTTTGTTTTTGGCCACCAATTTAACTGTGGTTGAAATTTTCTGCAAGCTCTGTTCTGGGATTTAACCTTGCAGAGATACTTAATAACTATTTTCAGTTTTGTCATTTTCTTATTGTGACATTGCTCACTTTAAGACTATTTGACACAAGATAAAATACAAAGATTTACTTTTAAAAAGACGTGATCAAAGAGAAGAATGGATTTGTCTTTGAGGTTTTATTTAACTTCTGATGCTGCAAACAATATTTAGCCTTAATACACAAATTTCCCTAATGTAAGATAGATTGGTGATATAGTTTGGCTATTTGTCCCTGCCCAAATCTGATGCTGAAAGGTAATCCCCAGTGTTGGCAGTGGGGCCTGGTGGGAGGTGTTTGGGTCATGGGAGTGGATCCCTCATGGCTGGGTACTACCTCAGAATAGTGAGGGGATTCTCAGGAGGTCTGGTTTTTTAAAAGTGTGTGCCACCTTGCCTTCCTGTCTTGCCCCTGCTCGAGCCATGTGATGTGCTTGCTCCCACTTCCCCTTCTGCCATGAGTAAAACGCCTTGAAGCCTTCTCAGAAGCTGAGCAGATGCTGGCACCAAGCTTCCTGTACAGCCTGCAATACTGTGAAGAAATTAAACCTCTTTTCTCTATAAATTACTCAGCTTCAGGTATTTCTTTATCGCAATGCAAGAATGACCTATTACAATGAGTACTTTGGTATCACTAGAATAAGAGATTGGGAGCAAAAGTTAAAAATAATGACCTCAAGGTTTACTGATGTTGAAGATATTGTGCAAAGTCAACCAGTCATAGAAGGATAAATATTGCACTGTTACACTATGTGAGGTATCTGAAGTTGTCAACATCACAAAAAAACAAAAGTAGAATGGTGGCTTCCAGGGGCTGGCAGGGGAGTGGAACGGGGAGTTGTGCTCAGTGAGTATAGGGTTTCAGTCGTTCAAGATGAACAAGTCCTAAGATCTGCTGTACAATATTGTGCTTATAGTTAATCCTACCGTACTGTGCATTTAAAGCTTTGTTAAACAAGTAGATATCATCATATGTGTTTTTTATCACAATAAAAAAGTTAAAAATAGAAATTCACATCAGAAAACTCAAGATCTTATGTGACAATCAGGATAGTAAGTGGTATCTTGAAAACATTCCTTATTATTTTTGGTACATTAGTACCAAATTGGCACATTAGTAATCTAGATGTGCACGATTGAAGCTGCTCAACCCCTTTACTTACAAACATTCCAGTCATGCTTCTCCTCTAACATCACTAAAAAGCTCAGTCTTTATTATTCTGAATGTCCAGAATCTAATAAAAATGGTAAGAAAAAAGTCAAGAATAAACAAAATCATACCCAAACATTCCCCAGATTTTGGAACTATTAGGTAGGCACATTAAAATAACTATGGTATATATGTCAAAAACATATGAAAATAAGTGATGGTGTTTACATGTACTATATCGACATTTGTTAAAACTCCCAGAACTATCCAACTAAAAGTGGTAAATTGTATTTATGTAAATTATGTCACAATAAGCCTTAATATAAAATATCGATATAGCATTTGTTAGATATGCTCAAAGCCTCTTTTGGGTCTAGCTGATCTTTCCCTCGGGTCACTGAGGGAGATTGTTTAGCTTCCAGCTCCCGTTCATTAGACATTGTCTTCTTCAGGGACTTCATAGCAATATAGACAAAAATATCATAATACGATTTAATAAAACTTTAGGGTTACCCAAAAGACCTACCTAACAATTGTATTTGTTACACTTTGAACTAAAAAAAAAAAAGTCAACACCATTCTCCATCTCGTTCCTGACAAAGATGCTTTAATATCCATGCAAATTCTATTTGCTTCTATCTCTGATGCCCTGCCCTTCCAGCTGCCATTTTCAACCATTCCGGTTAAGATATTTGTCTTGCATTTTCATTCCCAGTCTTTTAGTTACTTTATTAAATGCTAAAGTACTGCCTCATATTTTTGTTTGTCTGATTTGTGTGTTTGGCTTTCTTACCTGTACTCTACGCTATTAATAGGTTGAGTGAAACTATGATGTCTTTTAAAAATATATTTTTAAATAACATTGTTTCACTGAGAAGAATTTTTTTTAAAAGCTATTAATTATATGAAGACAAAAGGGAGAGTTAAATCTCATCTCTATTGGATTTTATTGCACACGCATTTCCTTCTTCCCAGCTGGCCCCTCCTCCCGCAAATCTCAACTGGGTTCCTCAGAGATGTGCCACTGTGATGTCCCAGCCCTGCATTACTGTGTAGTGTCTTCAGCTAGCTGGACATTTATCGTTCTATTAGATTACGTACTTTCCTTAAACTTAAATGTTTTTATTTTCTTTCCTCATTGTCTGCGATCTGGAAATAGAGCTTTCAGTTCTCATCACTCCTTAAATTCTGTGCTCTTTCAGAATGCCATTTTCCATTTTTATTTAAAAACTATTATGAACCAAAAATACAAAGCCAAGAATCATAGACTATACACCACAACCATCCAGTGTAATCACACACACACCCCCAAAAAAACTGAAATTATTTTTTATGCAAACTTACTTTATCAAAACGGTCTTCTAAACTCTTAAAACACTGTTTTCACAAGCAAATTTACTTCTAGTGACACCTTCAAGACATAAACGATGGGAGAAATAGAGTAGTGCTAAATTGTGTCAAAGCTCGACCATGTTTGGTTATTTTTAAAGTGTATATAATGTTAACAGGTGAGGTAGTTAAATTTATACTAAGTAAAGTTTTGCTAGTCTTTCTACTTTGTGATAACTGATGTAAACTCTTAAGATTTTCTTGATATTTCTAAAATTTTAAAGATGAAATTAAAAAATGATAAAACCATAGAATTAATATTAGGGATGAGACATTATGGAAATTAATACAAATAGCCATTCATTTGTGGGTATTAACTTATTTTCATATGTTTTTGCCATTTGAATTATTTTATGTAAATGTTTCATTGATTTATAAATATGTTTCGTAATTGTATTTTCTAAAACAATTGGTGACTGTTTGCAAGTATTGGAAATGTATATATTATCAAAATATTATCTTTTTTCTAGAAACAATTCTAAAAATTTTCTGCAGAAAGTTTTATTTTCGTAAATATTGACATGCCATTTATTTCTCAGCCTATTATTTTAAGGAAAATATTCTTCTCTTACATCTACTTTAACTTTCTTTTACATTTATTGCTTAATTTATTTGGAATTCATTGTCATATATTCTTATTTCTAATTTTTATTAAAATAGATTTAGTGTTTTAACATATAGCAAAATCATTAGTGTTGATTTTCAGATACTAGTTTCATCAGTTTTATTAATTATAAAATATTTTTATTTTATGTCAAGTTTTTCTTAGCATCTACTGGGCTTCAGCTTTTACTTTCTCAGCATGCATTACTATAAGTATATTTTTTCTCTTTCTATTTATTTGTATATTTGCTGATGTTAAACCACGCTTTCACTCATGATCTTAGTAGATTATTTGGAATACATAAGCAAGTAATTTTTTTACTATATTTATTTAATAGATGGTATATGTGAGAACAATAATTAATCACAAAACCTGACCAATAAAATGAATTCTCCAGTTTGTTTTTTCCTATTCATTCAACTCCCATTACACCCATTTAAAAAAAAAAATTCATTTTTAGTTCCATTCACTTTCTTTTTTAAAAAAGAAAAAAAACCATTATATATATGTGTGTGTGTATATACATAGAAGGGTATATATATATATATATATCTCAACATATATATGGATATACATATAATGGATATTTAGAGAATACATATAATTTAATGTATTCCTGGTTCATATAAACTATTTATTTATTTAGTTTATGAATGCTTATGTAACTTAAATCTTTTGCTCAGCATGATGATTCTGGGGATTTATTCACATTACTAAAGTTAAACATTGTTCCCAGGTTTCTGGACCATTGATGCTTCCTACTTTTCTGTTCTGTTCTGTGTGCTTACTTTTCGGCTAAGTTGTGTTTAGTAATTCTGAGCATTTCATATGGATTCTTCCGTATATCCTCATATCATTCCTCCATTGCTGTATATCCTATATATCATTCCTCCATTGCTGTATATCCTGTATATCATTCCTCCATCTTGCAAATATCTCCCATCCTTGTGCTGCTTGTTTCGGGGATCTGTCCATGATCATTTGTTTAACAGTCATTCTTAATTTTGAAAGACATTGATTTATGAGTCTTTTCCTTTACAGTTTACATTGTGTATGTTGGTTAACAAATTATACCATAACATGTGATATCATATCTTTAGCTTTCTGTATTTCTTCTATAATTGTTTGACTTAAATTATGAATATCTATAATCCAGCTGGATTGATTGGGAATGGGGGTGTTCGAATTTTTGTGTGAGGTAGCAGTTGAATTTCATTTTATTTATAAATATGGATACTAGTTTTTCCAGCATGATTTATGGAAGCATTCGACTTTTTCCTATGACCTACAATGTCAAAATTCTGGACTGTATTTCTGGACTCCTTGTTACGTTTCCATAGGTTTTATGTGTCTATTCTTGTGCCATTATCTCACTCTTAAGTACTGTAGCTTAATAATTATGTGTCATATCTTCTAAGCGATGACTTCACAGTTTGTGTTCTTCACTCTTGGGCTTTTGCACTTCCATGTACATAGAGAATTATCTGAAGAAATTAAACCCATAGTCTCATGCACACGTGCATGTGCACACTCACATGTAAACAAAAACCACACCTCTGTTGACTTTTTGTTTTACTAGAATTTCACTAAACTGATAGATCAATTTGAAAAAACTCAACATTTTTCTTATATTAAGTCATTCAATTCATGTATATGATATCACATAAATGTTTTCTTATAAATAATCTCGATTTTCTGCATAAAGATATTGCATTGCTTTTGATAGATTTACTGGTAGGTGTTTTATGCATTAGAAAACTAATGTAAATGTCACATTTTTATCATATTTTCTAAATACTTTTCCTAGTGAATAGTGACATAATTTGAGGATATTGACATTAATTTTTTTATGAATATATGTACTGTACTTTTAGAACAGTTTTATGTATACAGAGCAATTGAGCAGATAGGTCTCATCTATCCCCTCACCCTGTACACAGTTTCTACTAGTACTAATGCCTTACATCAGTATGGTATATTTCTTACAATCAATAAATCAATATTAATATAATATTAAGTAAGTTGATTATATGCAGATCTCCTAGTTTTTACTTAATGCCTCTTTCTTTTCTAGGATCCCATTCAAGATATCACATTACACTTAGCTGTTGCATCTCCTTAGGTTTCTCTTGGATATGCCATTTTTCAGACTTTACTTGTTTTTGATGACCTTGACATTTATGAAAAACACATTTTCAGGTGTGTTATAGGATGCCCTTCTATTGCAATATGTCTGATGTGTCTGATGTTTTTCTGATTATTAGAGAAGTGTTATGAGGCTTTTATTTTCACATTTAGACCTTTACTGAGCAAATGTCTCACACTTTGACAGGGACACTCTGCGGGAAACAGTTGAGAGATCCATGGTACACGCGCGAGATGAGAAGATGACATTTGTGCCTTCATGCAGTTGGTTAGCAATGGTCATCATCCACAGTAGTTACAGAAGAAGGTATGGCCATGGCCATTAGGAAAGTGAGGGTGAGGTGTTCCATTGTGGTGCCTAAGAGGTATTCAAGGTGGCTAACATTTCTTTAGGCTACAACTTTTGACATACAGTCTTCTATGTCCTGCTTTCATCCATTCTGTATCATTAGAATTTAGAACTGTCTGTTTTAAATAGTATATAGGTTGATACTATATCTTGTATTAGAGATTTATCCTTTAGCTGGAGCATGCAAGTTACATATTTATTATAATTACTGGTATATTTGGACTTTTTCTATGTTAATTTTGTGTTTGTGCTTGCATGCTTTCTATTTATCAAACCTCTTCAATTTCTTTTTTCTTGCCCCTTTGAATACTTTTTTAAAAATTGCTTTCTACTCTCTGCTAGTTTAGAAGTTAACCTCTATATAAAATTTTCAATGTATATCAAAAAAGAAAAAGTGGTAGCCACACTACACATTTGGATCTCCAGATGCAACAATACCAAGTGCGTTTTTTCTACAGTAACTTGGAAGCTTCTAGAGTCTAGCTTTTACTATCAGAGATAACATGATTGCTAGAGACAACAGGTAAGTTTCTGCTAATAAAGTCTGGTTTTGTGGTTGATTGGTGCTCTTGGCTGCCATGCTCCTCTGTAGCCTCTAATTTGGTTGCTGGCCTTTCCAGAGATTGTAAAAATGATCAAATAATCTTTAATAAACTCCCATTTGCTGATGCTATCTTAAGTGGATTCTCTTTGTATCTAAGAACCCTGACAAAATAAATTTGGGTGCTTTGTTGTTTGAGATATACACTTTTCTGACTATCCCATTGTTAATGTCACAGTGCATCATATCCCTTTCTTGCTCAGTGTTTTTAATCATAAATTTCATTTTGTCTGATGTTGATTTTGTCACTTTTGCTTTTGCTTGGTGTGCATCTATCTCTCTGGTACATCTTTGAATAACCTTTTATATTTAGCTTTTTTAAACAATTTTTTTCTTATACTTGTTTCTTATAAACAGCATCTCAATTAATTTTGCTTATTAGCCAAGTTTGACAGTATTTGCATTTTAATTGGAAATTCAACTCTATTCATATTTAGTGCAACTGCCTGATATGTTTTAATTTAGTTCTTCATTTTATCATTACCATTCTATTTATTTCATTGTATCTTCTTTACAACTATCCTTGTTGTCATTGGCTTAAATCTGTAACTATGCATGTATTCTCATTTTTTTCTTGTTAAATTGGGAATTTTGCTATCTTTTCTTAAAGGAAAGTACCTAATTTATGCATCTAATCAAACATATATCTGAACAATTTTATGCAATCAATAGACCAACTATTTTTCCTACCAGACTGTTTACTTTTTTCTCAGTCTTTCTTCTCAAGCTGAGGATAACTTTAAAGGGTTTTAACCTCCCCATTTCTCTTATGCATGCATGACACATGAAACCCGGTGAAGGCTTTTGCTTTGCCCTTTGATCTACAAACATGGATACTGCATTCCCCTCTGAATCATTTAGTGATTTTGTGTGAGTTCTTTCTTGAATCATTCCCTCATTGGAGTTATTTTGGTGTTATATTCTATGAGATACCTATTGTTGACTGCAAATATTTTCTTTTATCTTGACGAATAATATCTTGGAGGATTATAGTGTTATCACCTGATGCTCTTTGTGACCCATACAAATTATTTCAACAACTTCATGTTAAAATTAGAATTTTCATGCAAGTTCAATTTCTTGTTATTATTATTTATAAAGAATAAGTCCTTTCTGTCTGGAAAGTTATAAAATTTTCTCTTCTTCTTAGAGATCAGAATTATTATGTGGGAATGTCTAAGCATATGTCTTTTGTCATCAATCCTACAATGAGCTCAGTGTTATTCTTATAATCACAGTCCATGTCTCTTTGGAGGTTAGGGAAATTATTACCTCTTTATTTCATTTTACACACACACACACACACACACACACAATGTGAAAATGTTGGTGAAAAATACTGGCTGTTTTACTGAACTCTAATTCAACTCTCAGCAGAAACTATTCTTTTTTCAATTCCTCTAGTTAGTGTAACTTTTAAAAGTACACTTTTTAACCTTCAGTCTTTGTGATATATCTGAATTTCCCCTCTTTTGTGATATATTTGAATTTCCCCTCTTTTCTTTATCTATGAAAAGAGTCAAACTCTGTAAAATATTTGAAGAGATTTATTCTGAGCCAAATATGAGTGATCACAGCTCATGACACAGCCCTCAGGAGGTCCTGAGAACATGTGTCCAAGGTGGGTCAGGGTGCAGCTTGGTTTTATACATTTTAGGGAGACATGAAGCTTCAATCAAACACATTTGAGAAATACATTGGTTTGCTCCAGAAAGGCGGGACAATTAGAAGTGGGGCAGAGGGTAGGGGGCACTTCCAGGCTATAGGTAAATTTAAATATTTTCTGGTTGACAATCTGTGGAGTTTGTCTAAAGACCTGGATTCAGTAGAAAGGAATAATAAAAGATTGTGGAGACAAAGGTTCTTTTGAAGTCCAATAGTGGCTGCCCTTAGAGACAATAGATGACAAATGTTTTTTATTCAAACTTCTAAAAGGTGCTAGACTCTTGGTTAATCTCTTCAGGACTGGAAGGGCCTGGAAGAAAAACATCTAGCTATGTTAATAGAGATTCCCTACAGGTGCAAATTTTTCCCCCACAGAGGATGGCTTTGCAGGGTCATTTCAAAATACGGCAAAGAAACATGCTTTGGGGAAAAATATTTTTATTTTCTTCTTTGTTACATAACATTATATCAGAGTCAGATTGGAAAGTAAGTGATGATATATAAGGTTAAATAAAACCCATCTGGTGAGAATTTATCATTTGTAGGGCATGATTTCCCAGGCCCCTTAGGTAGGAATTTGGGCAAGATAAGAAAAAAATCACAGCCTGGTCCTCATCTTATTACTTTATTGTTCTCTACATTACTATTTTCAAGTTGATATCTGTTTCCTTTAGCAGCTCTATTTTTTTTTTTTTATTTTACTTTTTTTTAGCTCTCACACCTGCATATCCTTAGGTGTTGTATTAGTTTCCTGTGGCTGCTGTAACAAATTGCCAGTGGCTTAGTGTCTTAAAACAACGCAATTCTATTATCTTATAGCTCTGGAAGGCAGACATGCAATGTAGGTCTGACTGGTTAAAGGGATAGTGTTGGCAGGGCATGTCCCACCTGGAGGCTCTAGAAACTCTTGCCTTTTCCAGATTCTAGAGGTTGCCAGCATTTCCTGACGGTGGCTGATCACTCACATCTCCACTTGTCCGTCCCTTCTTTTCCTTCCCATCTCCTGCCTGTCTGCTCTTAAGCATTGTTTAACTTAAAGACCATGGATTCTAGCGCCTCATCCCGACAAGCTAGGATGGCAATCCACCCCGGCATGCCCCATGAGGACCTGTGGAGTCAGGCAGGCAGTACCGGGACGGCCCTCTTGGCCTTGTGACTGTAATACAACCACAGCCACATTATTCAAAGGAAGACAAACGCTGTATTGAGCTGTCCTGGATATCCAGGAGCTCTTTGAGAGAGTGGAGAGCGGGAAGTGGAGCCGTAGTTGAGACAGACTCAATGTTCTGGGCTGCCTGCCGTAGTCACGAGGCAGGAAGGGAGACTGCCTGAGCACAGCACTGTTGTGTGTTTTTGAAGAGATTATCCTCCTTTTCTTCCTCTTGTGGTAAATTGTGAAAGCCTGGAGTAAACACTCAAATGAGGTGCTGGTTATTGTTATCAGAATCTCACAGGAGTGAGAAGCCTATTGTGAACTGTGCATGCAAGGGATGTAGGTGATTGAGCGCTCCTTATGAGAATCTAACTAATGTCTGACGATCTGAGGTGGAGCAGTTTCATCCTGAAACCATCCACCCTCCCCTGCAGGATCCTGGTGAAAAGTTGTCTTCCATGAAACTGGTCTTGGTGCCACAAATGTTGGGGACTGCTGCTTTATACAATGTACTGAATTTTGTCCCCTTCAAATGAACATGTTGAAGCACTAGCCCCCCAATATAATGGTATGTGGAGATAAAACCTTTGGGAGGTAATCAGATTTAGATGAGGGTAGGGCCCCCCATTATGAGTTAGTGTCCTTATAATGGAGACACCAGAGCGCTTTCTCTTTCTCTCTCTCTCTTTCTCTCTGCTGTGTGAGAACATAGCAAAAAAGCACTCATCTGTAAGTCAGAAAGAGAGCCTTCACCTGACTTTGCTGCCAGCCTCATCTTGGGCTTCACCCTCCAGAACTGTGAGAAAATACATTTCTATTGTTTAACCAATCAGGTTATGGTATTTTGTTATAGAAGCCTGAGTCAATTTAGATAGCTTAATATTTTTTAAAGAAAATTAATGATAAACTGGAATATTTAATTTCTTAAATTGAGAGCTAGACTTAAATGCAATGGCTATTTACAAGTTTTGCCTAGATAATTAGCAGAAATAGCTAGAAACCGTAATCAAGCTTTGTTCCTGTGAATTTCCCATGTATTTCATTTGACTTACAGCCTTGTCAGGATGTTTTGCCCAATTAACATTACTATCAATGATTCAGTCTTCCTTTTTTCTGCATGCCTTTTCAATATTCCCACCAATTCCATAATCAAAATCATATCCTACCACACTTCAGAAACCAATTTCAAAGTCCAACCCAGGTAGCAAAATCTGCACACCAAATAATTGCAAGATATTTCTAACACTATTCAACAAAACATCAGGGGAATATATGGGGAAATGGATTCTGAGAGCACTAGACAAGTTCAAAAGGAAATATAATACAGGAAATAAATTGTAAAAATTGATACACCTGGAAGCTGACAGTTTTAATTTTTGGTATAATTGGTTGAATGAAACTGTATTCAAAGTGAACTATACTAAGTAAAATTTTGATGAAAAAAAAATCCATCTTAAAACACAGAAAATAGAAGCCAAAAACTTAAGGAAATAAAAATGATTGAGATAAGATAGCATATACAATTTATTCATCCATCCTCTAATTTTATCTTACGGAAGAGACCTCAACGCTCTCTTTCCTGAAGCATTAAAAATGCATCAGCGAGAAGAGTGTCAACATCTTTGAAAACTGCTCCAGTGACTATTCTCTATATACCAGAAATAAGATGGAAGATTCTGCCTTGGAAATGAGCTGGTGAGTCCAGTGAGAATGGTGACTGAAGCCAAATGACAGCACTTAAGAACAAAGGGAAGATTGGGAATTGCTACTATAACATGTACGAAGAAAAGAAGTGATGTAGAAGAGAGTGACTTAAAGGGATCTTTGATAGTGGCTAAGTGTAGGGTTTCTAGAATAAAAGTGGAGGAGTAGCCTATTAAAGTCTTGTTTTTTTCTATATAAGCCAAATACTTATGTCTAGTGCTACTAATTCTGACTTGAGTCATAATAATAGAGAATAATGGATGCTCCTCTTGTAGTTGCATTATCTGGGTACATTCAGAGTCCTAGAATCCTTGATAAGAAGAGGAGGCTGATTCTCTTCACAAAAGATACAGCAAAAGGATCACAAATGCAAACTTAAACAGTTCCAGTGGCCTTTCTCAAAGGATCCAGAGAGTTTTTGTTTATTTGTTTGTTTGTCTTGAGGAAAGAAAACAGAAATGGTGTTTTGAGAAAAAGGTGGCTGCCAAGACATTTAGGGGTTTTAAGACTCTTGATGGGTCACCTCTCAGGATTTATGGAGTTTTAACTGAGAATGTCTCAGAGTAGGTCTGAAAACCCATTCTGTGGTTATTCCTTAATTTCTGAATATAGAGTTGGAATAAATATGTTAGCATCTGGCAGAATCCTCACTTTGACTCTTAAACTCATGGGATGAAAGTATTTAAATTCATAAGGATCAAATTTACACCCACTGAACTCTGGCAGTCTGACAAGATATTAAACAAAAGCAAAGTCACATCATTGGAGAAATTTTAAAACAAAATTGATGTCCAGATAATGGGAATTCCTAAGGGCTAACTGAGGGCTATCTTATTACTAGAAACTTTAGGAATCTCTGTATAACAATTTCACAGTGTTAGAAGGAGCCGTGAAGGAGATTATCTAACCCTATCCCTGATCTTTCATATGAAAAAATTGATGGAAACTTTAGCTGATTTCAAATCCATGGTTACTGATTTGGGTTACTCTTCCCAAAGAGACATGCCTTTGGGAAGAAAAAAATATGACGTAGATTCTCTCTTGCTCTGTTTTACACATAAGTATATTAAACTCAGATCACAGATTTGGTAAGGCCAGGAGCTGAGATTCAAACCTTGGACTCTCTAACTTTCAAACCTTTGCTTATTCTTGGAAGTATTAAAAAAGAAAGTGAAAGTTTACACTTTTAATTGTCATAGTCTTGCAATTTTATGGGTGGAAGAATGAGAATGACATTGTAATTTACTTCAGGTGTAAGGTTAGTATATCAATCCTCTCATGACTGGGTCAAGAGGAATCTTTTCACGTTAGATGAGTATAAATGTAAATGAGCAGGGTTTTTGTTGTTGTTGTTCCTGTCATTGTTTTGCCATTGTGTGCACAGGCATGTTTGGTGGCAGCATTGGTATGGCTTACAGGTCTCAAAGGTGGTAAATTGTAACACTAATAATAATAGCAATGATATGGCCAACATTTATTGAACATTTCTTACATGCAAGAGGAGAGAATATTATATCATCCTTTTACCCTCTTCACCAGTTCTTGGTTTCATTACTTAGATCTTCTCAGAAGATAAGATCCATAAGTAAATTTGTGACTCTAATGGTATTTTAACATTACTCAGAATAAAGTGATTGTTTCATTAATCCAGAGTAACTATAAAGGGAGGCCTTTCAGAAGAACAGAGTAGATGAGTCACATTTGCACCACTTTTTACCTAATAAAGTTCCATTTGTCTTGGATGAGTGTCTCTATTAAATAACAGCAGAAAATAAAATGACAGCAATATATCTCTTTTCCTTTGCTTGTGCTAGAGAGAGAGGAGCAGTACCAGGCAAAGCCTGAAAGCATCTAGCTCTTATTTGATGTAAAAAGTTTTTCCCCTGCAATCAGTTGCTGTTTCAAGTTAGCTATGATCTTCTTTTTCCTCCTTCTTTGTATTGTTAAATGCAGAAAAGGCACCTCTGCCCCAGTTTTCAAGAATTAAAGAAAGCCTTTCTTACTTCTCTTCTCTAAAGTCAGTAAGAGTTCTGCAACAAGAAAAAAGAATATGAGCTATGGCAGAGAGAAAAATGCAGTCTCAGTGGTTTAGTAATGAAGTTGATAGTTTCAGGAGAAAAAGAAAATCCCATGTGGCAGATCCATATATGGCAGGATATTCTCAGAATAAATGTGAATCATTTCTGGAGTTGTTCCACATGTTGTTTTAAAAGGAACTTTATTTTATTTTAATTTTATTATAAAAATATAACTTTATTTTTGTTAGATATTTATGTAACTAGTAGATAATTAAAATAGAGTAGAAAAAAACCTGATCCTCAAAGAAACACCTGAAGATTGAATATTTTCTTTCTAATAAAACACTGAAGTTAAGGAAAATGCACAAACTCGTAAAGAACATACAACCTGTTATTTAGAGAGTAGGGGTGGGAAACAAATGCGATATTGATTAGCTTGTTCTTTTAATGAATTTATCCTTAAGAGAACTTCTGATTTTCCACTGACCTACGTCCAGATGTATTTTTAAAATTACAATAGTATAAAATAAACATCTTAGCCTAGAACACAAAACAGGAAGTGCAGGATTTTCTTCTCTAGACTATAGCAAGCTTTGCAGTTAAAATAGTAATATGTGCTTATAAAGATTTTCTTTAAATGAAGGTAATGATATTCTTGGTGAATTTTCAAATACAGAGATTAATTGTATTTGATTATGTGTTGTGAAGGTTAATTTTATATGTCAGTTTGGCTTGGCCAAAGGTGACTAGATATTTGGCCAAATATTATTCTGGGTGTGTCTGTGAGGGTGCTTCTGGATGCAATTAATGTTTGAATCAGTAGACTGAGTACAACAGATTACCTCCCCTCTGCTTCAGTATGGATGGGCTCATTCAGTCAGTTGAAGAGCTGAATAGAACAAACAGTCTGAGTAAGATGGACCTCTTCCTCCCTATCTTGAGTTGGGACATAAGTCTTTTCCTGTCTTCAGGCTTGAACTGAAATATCAGTTCTTCTTGGATCTTGAATCTGTTCGCTTTGAAAACATATCGGCACCATTATCTCTCTAAGTTTGCAGGCCTTCAAACTCAGATTGAAATAACACCATTGTCTCTCCTGGTTCTCCAGCTTGCCTACTGCAGAACTTGGGATGTTTCAGCCTACTTAATCATGTGAGCCAATCCTCATAATAAATCTTTCCTTCCTCTGCCCACTCTCATATACATTCATATACATACATATATACATACACACACACACACACACAGACACACACATATATGTATTATATCGGATCTGTTTTTCCAGAGAACCCTACTATATTCACAAATTCACTTAAAAATGAAATGTTTCTAAGTATAGATATTTATTTACACACTATTATATTTGCAATGTGTTATGCACACTGTAATGAATATTTAAATCAAATTACATATAATAGTATATAGAGGACAGAGCAACAGAGAAAGAAACACATTAAAAGGTATAGGCTAAAAAGTCATCAAAAGTTATAAGGAAAAGTAGAGAATGAGTATGCATTTTGGAAGTTCAAAAATCTGAATTCCATTTCCAGTTTAACATTTACAAGAAATCAAATCTCGAGTATATTGTGGGAATTAAGGGTAGGGTGTGCAGGTCATTTCCTTCAATTCTGTAACAAAGTAGGAGCTTTGACAAATTCAAGGTGTTGTTGGGACTCAGCTTTGGGAAACTAGATAGCAGGAAAGCCTTGGGCAGTCAACATCACTCACCATTTCCATAAGTAGTAGGACCCAGGTGGGAACCTGCAAAAAGAATGAAGCAAGCACAAGAGAAACAAGAGTACAAGGCCACAGCACACACTGAAGTCAGAATAAGTCTTTGATCCCTGCTGAAACAGAGGTAATCAGAAATAGATTTTCATCACTAAATTATGTGACCCAGGATGAGGGCCGGCTCTGAAGTCTGGAGTCAATGTTTGGCTATACTGAAGTTTATTGAAAAATTGCATAGGTAACCAAATTCCTCATGTGGCGAAGTCCAGGTCATGAATTGGCTTACAAACATCATATTTTCTGTGAAGAAACCGTATTTCCTTCAGGTTAGAATTGGCCATTTTCTACACACACACACACACACACACCACACACTCTCCTTCAGATATATATATAGATATGTGGACTTACACATATAGTCTTCTTTAGTAATATGCTGTTAATTATTTTTTGTACATCAGAATCATACAAATGGCTTGTTAGAGTGTAGATTGCTGAGCCCATCTCCAAATTTACTGATTCAGTTTGTTTGGAATGAGCCCATGAAATTCGCATTTATGACAGTTTCCCACATGATCCCAGAGGCCACAAATGGGGAACTACTGCCTTAGCACAGTACATGGCAATTTGTAAGGCAGGGATGAAATTCTGAATGAATGCATAGAGGATTGATAATTTCTGATAAAACTTGTTTGTTGGAGCTACTATGCTCAGAAACTGAGGCCAGCTGAGTTCTTTAGTAGAGAGACTTTGAACATTTATTTGACAGAGCTTGGCTAGAACAGAAAGAGAAAGAGAAACTAGGAATTTAAAAAGTCACTGATAAATGCTTTCTTGGTATTAATATTATTATTAATCATATAAACATCTTAAACTTGTGCTGCGTTTTTTACCACTGAATCTGTAAATAATTTAATGAGGACCTGCTCTGAGAAGTCGTTTGCAATGTACACACTGTAGCTTATGGGCTAATTTCACACCAGCCACACAGCTTTTGTATTATTTATCTTGCATGTTAATCCCCCTTATCTTCTAACTTTGAGTCCTCTGCTTATGTGCCCAAGCAGAAAAAAAATTATATTTTTAAATCTTGCTGATAATGTAATGATTGCCATGTTTAAGGAATTCAAGGTATTTTTAGGCCTTCTGACTTATGTATTCAGCTAAAGCTAAATAGAACCATAAGAATTCACATTCTAGGGGTATCACAGTAGAAATAGTAGAAGAAAAATTAAAACAGAAATGGTTAAAATAACTTACTTCTGTAGAACAAGATTAAGATCGTGAAAGTGGGGATAGAGAATGTGACTATTCATCAGAACACATTGTTTTGTAAACATGTACATGAACTGTTTTCATTATTAAAAAAACAAAAATAAATATGCCCAAACACATAGCACATATATAAATAATTATGCCAATATTCATTGACTTTAGGGGTACCATATTTACTCTCTTTGTGGAAAAAGGAGTATTCTGTACAATATACCTGTCATTTATCACAATTATCTTATTTTCATTTCATTGTGCATATTTTACAGATTTTTATCTCCCAGACTTTTTTGGAGAATTTTTATCTTTATACAAAATCTAAAGAATAGGACCATGGCCAAGCATTTACTCTTAACCTAGAGTCACCATTTGTAAACTTTAGCTTTTAATACCACACTCGTGCATATATAATGCCCATGTGTGTATGTGTGTGTATGGTTTTTTGTAAGTAAGTTGCAGATATTATATTTCATTTTGTATACTTCAGCATGTGCCTTCTTAGAATAAGAAAAACTTCTTATATAATCACAGTATCACACCTCTAACATTTCAGTTAAATTCTGCTATTACCACTTCTAAATCCACACTCAAATCTTCTCAATTACCCTAAAAGTGGTTTTTATCATCTTTTAAAAAAATTTCTGACCCAGGTAATGTTACAAGTTGTATTTATTTATTGCCCCTTTTATCTCTTTACAGTTAGAACATTGCCCATGAGCCTTCTCAAAATATGGATTATTTGAGGCATCTAAGCCCATTATTTTGTATAATTAATCAAATCATATTCTAGATGTGTAAAATTATTTACTAGTGATCAGTTTTACATTAAACATTTTCTGGCAAAAATAAAATGTAGATGGTATAGTGTTCTTTCATTGTGTTGTGTCAGGGGGCACATAGATTGTTCCAAAATCGTTGATGAAAAATTTGATCATTTGTTTAAGTTGGTAAACTACAGATATTTCTGTTTTAAAGGTATATTGTTGCTTTATAAATACAATTTTTAAGCAACCTGTGGGACAGTATTTTGAGACAATGTGATTGTCCTATTCTCCAGTGACTTCTTACCAAATAATTTTGAATACATCATAGTTCTTGCCTAAATATTAGTTTAGTGGTCACAAGATGATGATTTTTCAAATTACAGTTTATTTTACTTTTAGATATTACCTCATTAGTTTTTGAACACCTCCTTGCTTTCTAGCTAAGCAAGATGCTCTTGAGTCGATGTATTTTCCTGCACAAGACTAGAAGTAAACTACTTTTATAATAGTTAAGTAACTCTTAGAAAAATAATTGTGTTTAGAAACAAATATCTGGATTAGATAATTGTATTTCAAACGCATCATTAGATAGAATTAGAAAAATAGATCTATATATTTACATTTATACATATAAATATCTGAGTTCACATTGACATTTCCAATTCAGATTTAACATTGCAAAATTTTTCCTTTGTTTTTAAAATTATTTGTATTAATTTTATCTTATAACAGAAATCTTGGTTCTTACTAACATTAATATATTTACTTATTTAATATTATGCTCATAGAATAAATTCAAAATAATAACTCCAATACTACTTCTAAAAATAAACCTACTATTGAAGTTCAGTATTTATTTGCAGTTATGTTTGTTCTTACAGTACAGCCCACTAGAGATATAAAATCATTTTTCTGCTTTCAGAATTTAGTTGACCAGTTATTATTATTATTATTTATTATTATTATTTTTTACCTCAGACATGCAAAGAACGAGCAAGAGCATTATTCTTACCATTACAACAAGAAAGAAATTTGGACAAAAGAAAATCAGTTCACTTTCTGGGATCCATCAGAAACAAGTTGGAGGCAAACAGCTAACCTACAATCTGTGGAAAGACAGGCACTTGCTGGGAATTACAAGACCTGAGGGCTTGCTTGCTGGAGCAGATGCTGCCAGACAACATATAAGCTAGTGAGAAGATCAAACCAGCAATTCAATGAATTGCTAAAGGCCAATTGTGGGCTCGCATGGTGACCTTAGACATAGAGGAATTTGACCTTTTTGACCTACTTGTAGGCAACCTCTGCCTCCCAGGTTCAAGCTATTCTGCTGCCTCAGTCTCCCGAGTAGCTGGGACTACAAGTACACAACACCATGCCTAGCTAATTTTTCTATTTTTAGTACAGATGGGGTTTCACCATGTTGGACAGGATGGTCTTGAACAGAGCTTTATATATGATGCATATTAAAGTTATGATTAATGATATAGATGTATCCATAATAGCAGTTGGAGATTTCCATACTCTTTTATCAGTAATTGGTAGAAGAAGTAGAGAGAAAATCAGTAAGTTTGTAGTGATCTAGACATAATCATTAGCATATTTGACCACACTGACATTCATAGAACACTCCACAAACAACAAAAGAATACACAATCTTCTAAAGTGTACAAGGAACATTGATCCAAATAGTTCATATTGGTAGCAATAGAACAAATCCTGGCAAATTTAATAGAAATTAAATCATATGAATTAATTTTTAGTCAACAAGAAAAATTAATAGGAATCAACGATAGAAATATATCTAGAAAATTCTTAAATAGTTAGAAATTAAATTATTCACTCCAAAGTAACTCATAGGTCAAAGGGGACACGTCAAGAAAAATTAAAAATTGGTTTGATGCAAATAAAAGTAAAATACAATATTTTAAACCTCTGGAGCTTAAGATAAACTAGTGCTTAGAGGAAAAAGTAATTATGTAAATTATTACATTAAGACCCCAAAAGCAAATGCAACAAAATAAAAAATAAATAAGTGAAACCTAATTGAACTAGAAAGCTCTGCAGAGCAAAACAAATAATCCGCAGAGTAAACAGACAACTTACGGAATGGGAGAAAATATTTGCAAACTATGCATTGGACAAAGAACTTATATCTAGAATCTTCAAGAAACTCAAACAAATCAGCAAGGAAAAATAAATAATCCGATTAAAAAGTGGACAAATTACATGAATAGATATTTTTCAAAAGAATATATACAAATGGCAAACAAACACGTGAAAATATGCTCAACATCACTAATCATCAGGAAATTGCTAATTAAAACTACAGTGAGATACCATCTTACTTCAGCCAGAATGGCCACTATTAAAAAGTAAAAAAACAATAGATGTTCTTGGAGATGTGGTGAAAAGGGAGTGCTTATCCCCTGCTAGTGGAAATGTAAATTAGTACAGCCTCTATAAAAAACAGAATGAAGATTTCTCAAAGAACTGAAAGATCTACGTTCAATCTAGCAATCCTACCACTGGGTCTCAATGCAAAAAAAAAAAATCATTATATCAAAAACACACTGGCATGCATTTATTTATTGCAGCAAAAATCCCAATTGCAAAAATATGGAATCAACTTTTTCTTGATTTTTATTTTTTGTGTATTCACTGTATGTTTCTTGGCTTGAGGTTATCATGAGGCTTGCAAATACTACCTTATAACCTATTATTTTAACCTGATAATGCTGTTTGCATAAACAAACTTTAAGCAAGCAAAAAGGAAACTAGTAAAAATTATTTGCCTTAACTTTATCCCCCCAACTTTTTAACATTTTGTTGTTTCTAATTATATCTTATTATACGATGTCTTGAAAAGTTGTCATATTTATTATTTTTGATTGGTTCATCATTTAATCTTTCCACTTAAGATTAGAGTAGTTTACAGACCACAGCTATAGTGTTGTAATAGTCTGTGTTTTTCTGTATACTTACTATTACCAGTGTACTTTCAGGTGATTACTTACTGCTCATTAATGTCTTTTTCTTTCTAACTGAAATACTACCTTTAGCATTTCTTGTAGGACAGGTCGGGTGTTAATGAAATCCCTCAGCTTTTGTTTGTCCTGGAAAGTCTATATTTCCCTTTCATGTTTTGAGGATATTTTCACCAGATATATTATTCTAGGGTAAACATTTCTTCCTTCAACACTTTAAAGGAGAACATTATCCTACTCTCTCCTATCCTGTAAGGTTTCCACTGAGAAGTCTGCTGCCAGACGTATTGGAGCTCCATTGTATGTTATTTGTGTCTGTTCTCTTGCTGCTTTTAGGGTCTTTTCTTTATCTTTGATCTTTGGGAGTTTGATTATTAAATGCCTTAAGGTAGTCTTTTTTGAGTTAAATCTGCTTGGTGTCTATAACCTTCTTGTTTCTGGATATTAATATCTTTCTCTAGGTTTAGCAATTCTCTGTTATCACTTTACCCAAACTTTCTACTCCTATCTTTTTCTCTACTTCCTCTTTGAGACCAATAACCCTTAGATTTGCCCTTTTGAGGCTGTTTTCTAGATTCTGTAGGTGTCCCTCATTATTTTTTATTCTTTTTTTCTTTTGTCTCCTCTGACTGTATATTTTCAAATAGCTGCTCCTCGAGCTCCCCAATTCTTTTTTCTGATTTATCAATTCTGCCATTAAAATATTCTAATCCATTTGTCAGTATGGCAGTTGCATATATTAGCTCCAAAATTTCTGCTTGATTTTTTAAATTTATTTCAATCTGTTTATTAAATTTATCTGATATAATTCTGAATTAGTTCTCTGTGTTATATTGAATTTATTTGAGCTTCCTCAATATAGCTATTTTGAATTCTTTGTTTGAAAGGTCATGTATCTCTGTTTCTTCAAGATTGGTCTCCCATTTCTTATTTAGTTAATTTAGTGAGGTGATGTTTTCCTGGATGGTGTTGATGCTAGTAGATATTTTTCAGTGTCTGGGCATTGAAGAACTGGGTATTTATTGTAGTCTTCACTATCTGGGCTTGTTTATACCTTTCCTTCTTCAGAAGGCTTTCTAGATATTTGAAATGATTTGGGTGTTGTGATCTAAGCTGTATCTGCTTTAGAGGACACCTTAATCCCAGTAATGCTGTGGTCCTTGCAGTTTTGTAGAGGTACTGCCTTGATGATCGTGGACAAAATCCAGGAGAATTCTCTGGATTACCAGGTAAAGACTCTTGTTCCATTCCCCTACTTTCTCACAAACAAATGGACTCTCTCACTCTCTCTCTCTCTCTCCCTCTCTCTTCTGAGCCACCTAAAGCTTGAGGTGGACTGACAGAAGCACCCTTGTGGTAACCACCACTATGACTGTGGTGGGTCAAACCTAAATCTAGCATAACACTGGGTCTCGGCCAAGGCCTGCTGTAACCATTCCCTGGCCACTACCTATGTTTGCTCAAGGCCTTATGGCTCTACAATCAGCAGGTGGCAAAGCCATCCAGGCCTGTCTTCTCTTCAGGGTGGCAAGTACCCCCAGGGCCCAGGTGGTTCTGGAGGTGCCATCCAGGTGTCAGGGACTGGATTTAAAATCTTAGAAGTCTACCTGGTGTTCTATTGTACTGTTGCTGAGTTGGCACTCAAACCACAAGACACAGTCCCTTCCACTTTTCCCTCCCCCATAGCCACTGCCACCCCAGGTTATGAGGAATTCTACCAGACTACTGTCAATGTTCCCTTAAGTCCCAAGGGCTCTTCAGTCAGCTTGTTATAAATGCTGCCTGGCCTGGGACTCACTCTTCAGGGCAGTGGGCTCTCCTGTGGCCCATGGAAGATCTAGAGATACTGTCCAAGAGTCAATTCCTGAAATAAAAGACCCCAAGATCCCACTTGATGCTCTACCCTCCTGTAGCTACGCTGGTACCAAAGGTGAAAGACAAAGTCTCCTTTACTTTTTCCTCTGCTTTTATCAAGCAGAAGAAGCTTTTCGTCATAGCTGCAACAGCTGGGAAAGTACTGATACTCAACTGAAGTGAGCAAGTCTCAGAGGTTCAGCCAAGGCCCTTGACATAGTACCTGTTTATTGCTGCTGATTGTTCAGGTCCCAAGGGCTCTTCAATTAGAAGGGGATAAATGCTGCCTGCCAGGGCTATGTCCTACTCTTCAAGGTGGCAGGTTCCCTTCTGGCCCAGGGTGTGTCTAGAAATGTCATCTGGGGACTAGGGCCTGAAAAGGGATATCTCATGACTCTGACTAGTGCCCTATACTACTGTGGCTCAGGTGGTATTCAAGATGTAAGACAAGTCCTCCTCACTCTTTTCTCTCTTTTTCTCAAGCAGAAAGAAGGGGTCTCTTTTTGGAGCCATGAGCTGTGTAGTTTTGGGTTAAGGTAGGGGTGAAATGAATACTCTCTTAGCTGCTCTAGCTGGTGTCTCAGTAGGTCACATGTTCCCCTCCCCACACCCAGTTCACTGTCTCTGGGCCCATTTCAGCCCTAAGACTCACATCAGCACATCGGAGCTGCAGTCCTTGTGGCCTAGATTGCCTTTCAAGTTTACTTAGAGACCCAGAGCACTTTGGCCTTTGGTAGCGAGGTTTTTCAGAACTCAAGTTCAGACTGCTGGGATTGGTGATTCTCCTTTGGCTAGGGTTGGTTTAAATGCTCCATTTGTGGACATGCATTAGTTAAGTTTGGTCTGGTTTTCCTTTCTGCTCTAGCAGAATAGCACTGCCTCACAATTGTTATGTTCACAACAGAAGTGCCTCACAATTTCCATGTTCTTCCTCCCCTGCCATCCAGAGACACACTATCTGCACCATGCCTCTGCTTCCAGGGTGTGAGGGAGGGGTGGAATCCACCATTCAAGACTATTTATTCTATCTTTTTGATTCCTTTTTCAGTGATATGTAGTTAAAACCAGGTACTATGAGGGCTCACCTGATCTTTGGTTCTTATGAAGATGTCTTTTCTGTGTAGATAGTTGATAAATTGGTGTCCTTGCAGGGAGGATGATCAGTGGAGCCTCCTACTCCACCATCCTGCTCCTCCCTCTCCCTAAGAAAACTTAACAAAAAAATAGATAACCTGAGTTGTCCTATAATTATTAATGAAATTGAATTTTTAGCTAAAAATTTTCCCAAACCCAGATGTCTTCACTTATTCATTCTACAAATCTTGTAAGAAAAAATATATAATAAGTCTTTACACAATATTTAAAAAGAACTCTAAGAGGATTTAAATAAATACAGAAATATACCATATTTGTGGATAGAAAAATATAAGATTATTAAAATGTCAATTATCTCCAATTTGATCCAGGGGATTAATGAAATCCTGTTCAAAATTGCTGCAATATTTTTGATGGTATGAATAACTAATTCTATAGTATATATCTGGGAAGGTAAAGAAACTAAAATAGCAAAAATAATTCTACCAAAAAAATAATTTTCAGGACACTCACTGTCCTTCTGCAGGTCTTCATATAAAGTTCCTATAGTTAAATCTATGGCACTGGTGAATGGATAGATCTATAAATCAAAAGGAACTAAAATAAAGACCCCAGAAACAAACCCAAGCACATATAGTGAACATATTTATGACAAAGATGCAAAGACAATTTAACAAAGAAGAAATGGAATAACTTTACTCAAATTCAGACAGTTATGTGCAATAAATAAGAAAATATAAAACAAAAAAACAAACATCCTTAACTTATACCTCACAGTTTATACTGAACTCAAAATTGATCACAAACATAAGTATAAAATATACAACTATAAAAATTGTATAACAAGTTATAAGAAATGGTCTGTATGATATTGAATTTGACAAGTTATTACTTCAAAAACATTATCCATAAGGAAAAAAAATGTTTTCTAGTTTAAGAGCTTTTGCTGTATAAAATAATTTTATCAAATTTAAAACCTTAAATTTTAGTGCTCATGCTCTTTAAAAGAAAGTGTTACATTTAAAAAGAGTCTATACACTGGGAAAAATATTTGCAAATTATATGTCTTATAAAACACATATCTAGACTATTAAGAAAAACAAAACTCAAACAAACCCCAACAATAACAAAACAACAAGCCAAATAATAAATGAATAGACTATCTGAAGAGACATTTCATCAACAATGATGTTTATGTAGAAAATAAATATTGGAAATTATGCTCAGCATCATTAGTCATTAAGAAAATACAAAATCAAATCACACTAAGATACTATGTAAACCTTATTAAAATGGCAAAAACAAAGTAAAACAACAACAACAACAAACAACAAAATATTGACAGTATAAAATATTGGTGAGAGTATAGAGCAACACAAATTCTCACTTATGTTTTGTTTCAGTTAAAAATGTCACTGTCAATTTAGAAAATAATTTGACAACTTTTTAAAGGAAACCTTATACACACACACAGACACACAACACACACACAAACATATGTTTATCATAAGACTGAGGACTTGCACCTGCAGATTTTCATCCAAGTGAACTAAAAACTATATGCACACCAAAAACTATATGAGAGTATTTATAGCAGCCTTAATTATAATGACCAAAAACTGGAAATAACCTAAATGTCCTTCAATAGCTGAATGTATAAGTTGTGGTACATCCACACAACGAAACATCACTAGGAAATAAAAAAGATCTCATTATTGATTTATGTGTCAACATGAATGGATCATAACGGCATTTAGAAAAGTGAAAGAACAAAGCCACAGAAGCTATTTACTGTGTGATTCCTTTATCCGTCATTCTGTAAAGGTAAAACCATAAGCAACAGAAAGTAATAAAAAGGAGCTGACCTTACAACTTTGGAAAGAGTATTTTAACTACATTCTGTAACGTTAAAGATAAAAATAAATCCTCTAATTCGTCAATACCTTTGTTTCTCACAGGAATATAGGCTAGAAATTTTGAAAAATGGTTTGTATATATAGTAGAATTGAACAAATAAGCAAATAAATTACAGATCATGGGAGCCCCCCAAATTATTTATTAATCAATGTGGTGATTTTAACACATGTGCACAAATTGTTGGTTAATCTTCCCTCTAGAAGGTGGAAATTAATTCCTCTCCCCTTGAGTGTGGGTTGTACTTGGTTTCTCATTTCTCATCAATAGATTATGCAAAGAGAAGAATAATTCTCTGTATATCAACTAGGGAGACACCACTTTAATCAATGTGAGCATCACCAACAATAACTTATATTGATAGCATATACCCCCTGTTTGATTCAATGAGAGGGCACTTCACATTATGGAGTTCTCCTCTAAAATATTCAATCCCAATTGAATTTTGACAATACCTCAGAGAAACCCAGACTCATTTTTAAAAATAGCTGGACTGTATCTTTCAAAACCAAAAAGGTTGTCACTATACACTTTTTAGGATGGCCAAAATCCAGAATGCCACCAAATGCTGATGAAAATGTGCAGCAACAGGAACTCTCACTCTTTGCTCCTGAGAATGAAAAATGGTACAACCATTTTGGAAGACAATTTGTCAGTTTCTTACAAACATGTGTTTATTATGTGATTCAGCAATTGTGGTGTTGGTATTTACACATAGGATTTGAAAACTTATGTCCACAAAAAAAAAACCTGGACACAGATGTCTATAGCAGCTTTATGGATAATTGCCAAAACTTGGAAGTCACCAATATGTCTTTTAGTAGGTGAACAGATAAATAAACTGTGATGTATCCAGACAATGGCATATCATACAGTACTTTGTTGGTAACTATCAAAAAATGTCTGTCTAATGCTTTAATTTCTTACTTTTTGATTCAGTCCAAGGACAAAGGCCTGAGAACCTGCGTGACTCACTGGTGTAAGTCCGAGAATCCTAAGAGCTATGAATCTGGAGTTCTGATATCTGAGATAAGGAAAACATGAAATGTCCCAGCCCTAAATAGAAAATTCACCCTTTCTCCGCCTTTTTAATTGCTGTTGCATTTTGTTTAATAGTATTTATTTTGACATTTAGAAAAATCTTACTTTATAGACTCATATATAATCATACACTAAAACCGTTTATAATATTCAAGTTTCCCTTGTCTATCCCTTTATTGGAAAGACCATCTTTTGTTGAATTCCTCAGGCTGGGTTAATAAATATAATATTCTATAAATTCTTTCTTCTTTGAAATTGTTTTTCTATTAGTTGTATGATTTAAATCAGTTCATCTTAATGTGACACATATTTTAATTAACTTCATTTCTCATTCTTTTTTTATTGTCTCCTTGTCTCTCCAAAGGTATATCACAATGTGGTATAATTTAAAGCAATCACTTTCTTTTGAAAACCATTGAAAACAGTTGCCTGTATTTCATTTTTGTTTACTGTATTATGTTCTATCCATACTCTCAACAGATTGGATAATGCCAACCTGCACTGGAGCTCCCACTTGCCTGAATCAGCAGCCTGAGAGGCCCCACCATTCCTGGGCATAGATTGTGGTACAGCATAGTCTTCTCTGCTCCATACCCAAACAGATATTCAGACACTTGGATAGCTACTCACTTGCATTAGGAGTTTAGGCCCCTCCCACACTCAATGAAGAGAGTGTGAGGCCAAGGAGGTGTGCCAGCTCTACAAACAGGCACACCTCTAGGTTATTGGTGGCTGCTCAGTGTATTTTCTCTTGGTGCTGCTGCTTGTGCCTGCCGTCAGGAGACTTGTAAGTGGGCCTTCCTAGTCTGGCCATGCCTATTGTATTCGTCTGTTTTCACGCTGCTGATAAGGACTACCTGAGACTGCGTAATTTAGAAAGGAAAGAGATTTAATTGACTCACAGTTCCACATGGGCTGGGGAGGCCTCATAATCATTGTGGAATCTTGCAGGATCTGACCAGCAGCCCGCAATGCATTGCAGCTCTTTCTTTGTTCCCAGGTGGATCGGCTGGTCAAGAAATAAAAGACACATACAAGATAGTGAAAGCTGGGTCCAGGGGGGTCACCGCCACCACCAATGCACTGGATATACCAGCATTTATTATTAAGTTTAGTGAGGGCGGGGGTAGGTTAGTGAGGGATTTAGGGTCATTTGATTATGAGGTGAGATGGTCACATGGGGATGAAGTAATTCTTTAACATAACATTGGTATGCTAAAGTACAGTATACAGAGATAAGAATTTACAATATAGTGTGTGCATCAGTAATTTCTAACAGAGCCTTAAAACAGAAACACAGTCTTTCCATAATCTATGATTAGCAAGATATTAATCAGTGGTAACAGTTGCAGCAAAAGCCGGTTACAAACAATCAATACAAACAGGATGTGAAGCTAGACAACCAGTTAGACCAGAAATTCTCAGAAGGGAGTATTAACCCTAAAGAGGCCTAGAAGAGCCGTGGCAAGATAAGGGCATTTATAGCCCTATCATCTTATCCATATGAACAGGCACCCCTCATGCGTCCATTTATAAGCTCTCCACAAGGGTTGCATTCCAGTCCCAGAGCTATGAACACCGGCTTTTCTGGGATAGGAATCTTGGTGATGTGAAACCTCCCTGACTGCACATCTATTCATAGGCTCTCTGCAGGAGGAAGCACATCATGCGCTGTTGGCTCATTCTGGCAGCCCAGTCTGGCATTGTCTTTACACAATCCTGCATGCAATTTTGTATTTACAATAATCAGGAGCATTTCATCTTTTATTCTATAGCAATAGTTTCAAGGGGCTCTCCCTACAGTTGAAGTCAAGGAGGAGAAAAGTCACGTCTTACATGCATGGCAGCAGGCAAAGAGAGAGAACTTGTGCAGGGTAACTCCTCTTTATAAAACCATCAGATCTTGTAAGACTTATTCACAATCATGAGAACAGCACAGGAAAGACCTGCCCTCATGATTCAGTTACCTCCCACTGGGTCCCTCCCATGATACATGGGAATTGTGGGAGCTACAATTCAAGATGAGATTTGGGTGGGGACACAGCCAAACCATATCACCTATCATGCCTCACCTCCAGACTGAGCAGGGAGCTCAGCCCACTATGCACTTCACAGATTACCCCATTGCTGCAAGAACTTCTTCTGGTAAAAGAGGATCAAGTATACATACAGCCACATAGGTCACAGCCAACTTCTTACCCATAAGCATTATTTACTGTCCTGTAGGTCGTACTGCACAGCTCAATATAAAACCTGCCAACAGAAGAGCAGAAGCAAATCCCAAAGACCCCACCCAGCATTCTCTACAGTCACACCTCTTAGGGAGGGGGGAAATGAAAAGAAAAAAAATATTATGGAGAAATAAAGAAAAAAATTCTATTCACACAAAAGTCATTACAAAAATTAGAAGTGCCAGTGTCTACAGATGCGAAGGAATCAGCAGAAGAATTCTGGCACCATGAAAAAAAAACAATGCTGTGACACCACCAAAGGATCACACCAGCTCTCCAGCAATGGTCCCAACCAAAATGGAAACTTAGAAATGATCAATGAAAATGTGAAGCATGGCTTGCAAGGAAGCTCGACAAGATCCGAGACAAGACTGAAAATCAACACGAAGAAACTTTGAAAGCAATCCAGGAAATGAAGAAAGAGATAAACATCTTTAAAAAATCAATCATAGCTTCTGTAATTGAAAACCTCACTTAAGGAATTTCAAAGTACAATTAAATCATTATCATTAAACTAGACCAAGCAGCAAAAAGAATTTCAGAGCTTGGAGACTAGTCTTTTGAATTAAAATCGTCTGACAAAAATAAAAGGAA